>NC_000001.11:32053835-32678835 GCF_000001405.40 Homo sapiens
ACTTTGGGAGGCCGAGGTGGGCGGATCACTTGAAGTCAGGAGTTCGAGACCAGCCTGACCAACATGGAGAAACCCCGTCTCTACTAAAAATACAAAAAATTAGCTGGGCGTGGTGGCGCATGCCTGTAATCCTGGCTACTCGGGAGGCTGAGGCAGGAGAATCGCTTGTACCCAGGAGGTGGAGGTTGCAGTGAGCCAAGATAGCGCCATTGCACACAACAAAAGCAAAACTGCATCTCAAAAAAAAACATTTAACATGACACACAGTAAGCACTCAAATATTAGCTATAAATAGAGATTGGAAGAATAAGTTAGTGCTGATTTTGGAAGCTACATATTAATCAAGGGGTTTGGACTTTATTCTAAAGTTTGAGCTATTTAATGCCTTAAGCATGAGAGTGACTTACATCACATCTGTTTACCAGTGTACCGGCAAGGTAGGGAAAATAAGGGAAGGAAGCCTTCTATAAAGTGGCACTACTCCTTTGTGGGAGAGTGAAGGGGATATTCTCCCCTTCTTGTCCTCCCGCCTTCCCTCCTGCCTGAAGGCCTTTAATTCCTGCCTTTTTCAGAAAGGAGACTCATCTCTCCTGTCTGGTACTTGAGTCGTTTGAGGATGAGATGTCTGGACTTACCTATGTTAAGGGAATCTCCTTGTGTCGTATTCCTTTCGCCCACCCTGCAAAATGGAAACCAAAACTCTTGACTGTCCACTAAAAGAAACTTCGCTCTTAACGGATTGTTAAGCAAGGCTTTGCTCACCACTAGAAGTCCTCAATGGATGAGGTCCCTGCCTCCATTTTAAGCTCTTAATTATGTTCTAATTCTGTGCTGAGAGTATCATATACAGCAAGCTTGTCCAGCCTATGGCCCGGGACGGCTTTGAATGTAGCCTAACGCAAATTCATAAACTTTCTTAAAACATTATGAGATTTTTCTGCAATTTTTTTTTAAGCTCATCGGCTGTCGTTAGTGTATTTTATGTGTGCCCCAAGGCAGTTATTCCAGTGTGGCCTAGGGAAGCCAAAAGATTGGACACCCTAGAATTATACAGTATCTCATTTAATTCTCACAAACAACCCTGTGAAGCAATGATTATCCATGGTATACAGAGTGAGAAATGTATGTCTAGAAGTTAGGATAACCACAGAGTCCAAGAGATGGAGTTTAGACTGAAGTCTTTATGTTCCTCCTTAGCTGCCTGCTGGTCTTCTCTGTACCTAGGGTGGCCGCATGATCAGCTTACACCAAAGTAGTTCCTGGCTTTGGTGTATAGGACTGGTACTCCTAGCTTGGTTTCCAGATTCCTGAAGTTTAAAAACTTGGATCCTGGGCCGGGTGCGGTGGGTCACGCCGGTAATCCCAGCACTTTGGGAAGCCAAGGCGGGCGGATCATGAGGTCAGGAGTTTGAGACCAGCCTGGCCAACATGGTGAAACCCCACCTCTACTAAAAATACAAAAATTAGCCGGACGTGGTGGCGCGCATCTGTAATCCCAGCTACTTGGGAGGCTGAGGCAGGGGAATTGCTTGAACCTGGGAGGCGGAGGTTGCAGTGAGCCATGATCGCACCATTGCACTCCAGCCTGGGCGACAAGAATAAGACTCCGTCTCCAAAAAAAGAAGAGTTGGATCCTTATGAGCCCTCCCCTCTTCTCTTGAGACCCACATGTACCTCCTGCTCCCCAGATTAATAGTCGTTGCATGTTTAAAGCTAGCAAGCATCTGATGAATATTTAATAGCATTGAGCAGACAGGCTGGAAACAGCTGTCTGAGACAGCAGCTGCTTAGTGGGAGAGGAGGAAGTGCACAACACTGCCTTAACTACCCGTTCTTTTGTTTCCTGGCCTAGAAAATAGGTCTGGCTCTTCAAGGCCCCTTAGGAGCACAAGCCTATGGGGGCACTGCACCCTAGTCCTATTGTAGCCTGATTGCTGCTCTCGGCTCCTAAGGAGGCTGCATTCAAGCAGGAGACTCAACCCTTTTTGGGAAGTAATGGGGAAGAATGTTCACGGACCTCTAGAATCCATTTTCCAGTCCCAGGACTGGAGGTCTTCCACTCTATTGTCTATTCTGGCTCTGAAGCTGAGGATGCAGTCTCATCTAGTGTTCTGCAAACTGTAGCACTCTCTGTTTTTTTGTTTGTTTCGAATGTACTTTCTGCTTTCGTATACAGCTCTCTTCTAAAAGGAGAGAGACATGTATCTGGAAGGGATGTGAATTTCATAGCCGTGCTGCTAAGGTTTAGCTTCTTAGCATTCCTTGATCACAGATTCACTAGCCTCTCACCAGTGACTGTACCTCTCATTCCTAGCCGGTACTGTGGTGATTGTCTTTGCATCTCAGGCAGGGAATGGGCCGATAGGAGTTCTCATGTACACAAGCTAACCCCATCCTTAGACCTTGGGGAGCTTCTTGCTTCAAGGAGGCCTTGTCACTTTCAGGGCAAATTGGGGGTGGGGGCGGGGGTTGTCCAGGGACTCCTTAAAAAAGACAGCTTAGTTGAGATGTTTCTAGATAGAGTGTGAGGCACAGCCAGTCTATCAGCCCAGATTAATCAGCTAAATAGGGCACCTTGCCAGAAATTTGGGTACTATTTCTGATCTTAATATTGCATTAAGATGCCTGAATTGGCTGTTCCCCTGTCAACCTCTGGTGCCCACCTCAGGGTATCCAGTCTCTTTCTTCTAGGCACTGTGATGTGTGTGAAAACTTGAGATAGAAGAGTTTGGGTTCAGATACAGAGCTAATTATTCCCAGGGGTCTTCTAACTCCAGCAGCCTTCATGGTTCCTATTCATGGCCTAGCTTTAGGTATAAGATGGTTGCTCCTCAGGTCTCAGGCTCTCTGGGGTTGGAATGTAGCAAACAAATTCTGCATCTGCCTTTGAGAAAGAGAAATATCTTATGCTCTGATGTGATTCTTTCTAAGCTTCTCTCTAGAAATCAGTACAAATGTCTCCTTTCATTATTTTTAAAAATACATTCACTATTATACATTAGAACACCTACTATGTGCTAGACACTGGGGATCCAGTGGCCGGTGAACAATATAAAATGGTCCTTGGCTTCATGGAGCTTATAGTCTATTTGTGGAAACAGATACTAAACAGATAATCTCATAAATAACATAATTTCAATTGTGTTAAGTTCTACAAAGAAAAGAACAGGGTGCAATGAGGGTATACAACCTAATACTGTGGTTTTCCTTGAGGAAATGATGTTTAAGCCAACATATAAAGGAGGACTTAGCTAGGCAGAGGGCTTGGGGAAAGGACATAGAGCAGCACATTATAGGCAGAGGATAGGACTGAAGCAAGTTGAAGCCGAGGTACGAATCTGGACCTTTTTTATTTTTATTTTTGAGACAGGGTCTTGTTCTGTCATCCAAGCTGGAGCACTTATCAATATGATGGCTCATTACACCCTCAAGTGATCCAGGCTCAAGTGATCCTCCACCTCAGCCTCCCAAGTAACTGGGACTATAGGCAGGTGGCTAATTTTTTCTATTTTTTGTAGAGACAAGATCTCAATCTGTTGCCCAGGCTGGTTTCCAACTCCTAGGCAAAATTGGTCCTCCTATGTTAACCTCCCAAAGTGTTGGGATTTATGGGTGTTAGCCACCACACCTAGCTGGACCTTCTTCTTTTCTTTTTTTTTTTTTTTTTTAAAGAGATGAGGTCAGCCGGGCGTGGTGGCTTAACGCCTGTAACCCCAGCACTTTGGGAGGCTGAGGCGGGCGGATCACGAGGTCAGGAGTTCGAGACCATCCTGGCTAACACAGTGAAACCCGTCTCTACTAAAAATACAAAAAATTAGCTGGGCATGGTGGCGGGTGCCTGTAGTCCCAGCTACTCGGGAGGCTGAGGCAGGAGAATGGCGTGAACCCGGGAGGCAGAGCTTGCAGTGAGCTGAGATCGCGCCACTGCACTCCAGCCTGGGCGACAGAGCGAGACTCCATCTCAAAAAAAAAAAAGAGAGAGAGAGATGGGGTCTCAGGGGCCGGGTGCGGTGGCTCACACCTGTAATCCCAGCACTTTGGGAGGCCGAGGCGGGCAGATCACCTGAGGTCAGGAGTTCAAGACCAGCCTGGCCAACATGGTGAAACCCCACCTGTACCAAAAAAACAAAAAATTAGCTGAGTGTGGTGGCGGGCGCCTGTAATCCCAGCTACTTAGGAGGCTGAGGCAGGAAGATTGCTTGAACCCAGGAGGCGGAGGTAGGAGTGAGCCGAGATCGCACCACCGTACTCCAGACTGGGCAATAAGAGTGAAACTGTCTCAAAAAAAAAAAAACAGATGGGGTCTCACTGCATTGATCATAGCTCACTGCAGCTTCTACCTCCTGGGCTCAAGACATCCTCTCACCTCAGCCTCCAGAGTAGCTGGGACTGTAGGCATGGGCCACTGCACCCAGCTTATTTTTTTATTTTTTGTAGAGACAAGGTATTACTATGTTGCCCAGGATGGAGAACTTCTGGCCTCAAGCAATCTGGCCTCAAGCAATCCTCCCATCTCGGCATCCCAAAGTGCTACGATTACAGGTGTGAGCCACTGCACCTGGCTGACCTTAAAAAAGCAAAGTTTATCATAGAGTTTTGGTTTCCAATTCACAGGGTGGTTGAAAGGAATAGAATATGAGGAGAGTCCCTTAACACATGGCAGTCCTAACATCCCACTGAAGACAACTTGAATGGGAGGAGGGGGGGTGTGGAAAATGAAATTATTCAATGTCTGATTTTTAAACTTGCTGATGAGTGGAGAATGGTTATGGGGCCCTGTTAAGAAACTTGCTAGTCTAGGCAAGAAATAAGAAAGGTCTAGCCGAGCATGGTAGCACATGCCTGTAATCCCAGCTGCTCGGGAGGTGGAGGCAGGAGGATCGCTTGAGCCAAGGAAGCAGAGGTTGTAGTGAATTGAGATCGTGCCACTGCACTGCAGCCTGAGTAACAGAGTGAGACTGTCTCAACAACAACAAAAAAGGTCTATAGTAGAGTAATATTGCAAACATAGAGAAGTCAATGAATTCAAGAACTTTTGTCAGGCACAGTGGCTCATGCCTGTAATAATCCTAGCGCTTTGGGAGACCGAGGTGGGCGGATCACCTGAGGTCAGGAGTTTGAGACCAGCCTGGCCATCATGGTGAAACCCCATCTCTACTAAAAATACAAAAATTAGCTGGGCATGGTGGTGCGTGCCTGTAATCCCGGCTACTTGGGAGCCTGAGGGAGGAGAATCACTGGAACCCAGAAGGCAGAGGCTGCAGTACTGGAGCTAAGATTATGCCCCTGCACTCCAGCCTGAGTGACAGAGCGAGACTCTGTCTCAGGAGAAAAAAAAAAAAAAAAAAACAAAACCTTTTAGGCGATAGAATGAACATATTAAGGCTCCAGGTTACTGACTGGAACAACTAAGGGAGATGGTAGCGCCATTTAAAAGATCGGAAGCACTGGCCAGGCATGGTGGCTCACACCTATAATCCCAGCACTCTGGCAAGCCATTAAGAGGATCCCAGGAGTTTGAGACCAGTCTGAGCAACATATGGAGACAAAAATTTAAAAATTAGCCAGGGATGTTGGTGTGTGTCTGTGATCGTATATGGAGGCTGAGGTTGGAGGATCACTTTAGCCCAGGAGATCAAGGCTGAAGTGAGCCATGATGTTGCCACTGTACTCCAGTCTGAGTGACAAAGCAAGACTCTTTCTTTAAAAAAAAAAAAAAGAAGAAGAAGAAGAAGGAGCATTGCTATAGGTTTTAGCATGAGATCAAGCCCCTTCCCTGTGCCGCAGATTTAAGATGCGTCTCCTCTAGTCCACCCTGAGTATTTGGTGCTGGGATGAATCCTTCATAACATCCATCGCCCCTTGAGCCTAACATTGAGTTACCAATAATAGTGATAATAAGATGCCTATTTTCTGATTTCCATTCTTCAAAAGACTTTAAAGATTTTTGTTCATCTTTTTCACATTTCTAGGACAGCAGAAAGCATTTTTCCCTTTGTTTATAGAGGCTTCAAAGCTTGGATAGGCCCCCCAAAGGTTTTGTTGATTCTTCCCTGGATCCACTCAGCTGAGATATGGCCAAGGACAGGAGATATTGAGCGTGAGACTGCATTTTCATTACCAGACAGACAGTAAAAAGAGAATTCATAGGCTGTGGACTTCTGTTTTCTACCCATCTGTGTACCCAAGAAACTTGTGTACTGAATGAAACAAGTAGAGTTGTGCTGTGGGATGGGGCAATTGTGAGGGAAGCATCCTGGTCAGGTGGGAGGCTGGGAAGCCCCCTAATAGGGAGCTTTCTTAATTTTCTACCTTGTGTCTTTGCAGCTATCAGAGGACTCCTGAAACCTGGAGAGCTACCTGCTGTATAAAGGCTGGCCTGAGGGCATTTGCTGAACACAGAGAAACCCAGGAGAGGAGATCAGCAGTTTTCTTTCACTCTACTTGATCTGTCAGATTTACCCACAGAAAGCCAGTCAGGATCCCTTAAGAGTCTTTAGGCCCAGAATGGAGTCCTCAGGGCTGCAGGGGACTGTGGTGCTAACAATTAAACTGTTCAAGACTTTAAAGAGTTGAAGGGGACTAATGGGTATCCCTAGCATGGCCTCCTAGATGGGAATTAACTGGCAACTCCTACTGTGCCATTCCCAGTATGTGTGCTTCCCTTTAGCCTCCCATAGAATTGGCTGAAACACCCTACCACCGTTTTCTGTTTCCCCACTACCACACCTGTGTTATGGGTGTCAGCCTGTGAGTCCTTGAACCCTTCCAGAGGGCTCCCAAGGGAGGGTGATCACTGCCCTTCCATAAAAGGCTGAGGAAAGCCAAGTGAGAAGATTCAATTAATTTGGGCAAGTTATTTAACATCTGAACCTGTTTTTCTCTTCATTGTTTATTACTTACCTTGTCCAAAAAGGTCATAAAGGGTAGGGCTTTTTCTGTTCCACCTCTGTACTATATTTCTCCCCAACAAATATCTGCCCCTGAGGACCTCAATAAAGGTTTGGTCAAGTGATGAATGGTCCCACTCTGGTAGCTTCTATCAGCTTTGGGAGAGAGCCAAAGCCCCCTTGTTTAGCTCTCACTTTCCTTCCAGCTATACTAGGCCAGCTATTTGTTCTGCCATTTTCCCTTGAAGGATTGGAAAGTCAGCCTTTGATAGGCTTCTGGTTTCCTCTGGCCTATTTCTAGGTTGATTTATACTCAGCTTCCTGAGAGGCTAGGGACCTCTGATACTGTACTCTTCCCTAATGCCTTCTGGTTATTTATCCTAACAAAGGAACAAGGGGAAGGACTGAGTTTAGGGAGAGAATAGAGCCTATCTGCATTTTAACTGTGCCTGGGGCATTCTAGTGAGCTTGGATTCATCCTTAGCAGGAACAGAAGTATAATGGAAAGGGATTCCTTAAAGTCAGTTGATTTACACTGGGCAAGCTATTTAATCTCTGAGCCTGTTTCTGTCATCATTGTTGATTACTGTAAATAACAGCTAATAATTTACTGATTTCTTAGTATGTACCAGGAAAATAAGAAAAACTGAGACTCAAGGAGGATAAAAAATTTGCCTATGGTTAGAAAAAGACTTCATGGTCTATACTATCAGACTTCATGGCCTATTCTTTTGACCTGTTTGTACCTCTCACAGCCACAAGTGCTTTGAAATATTAAAGCATTATGTTTGCATGAGGGGTTCGTCTAGGATGACAGATCATCTAGGTTTACCCAAGAGAGAGTTTCTGGGATATGGGACTATCCAGTGCTAAAACTAGAAAAGTCACAGGCCAGCCTCGATGAGTTTGTCACCCTGTTGTTTACATTGGATGCTCTGAGTCCAGGGCTGACAAGGGAGGAGTTTGGGGTGGGGAATTAGGGAATCAGATGGCATCTTCATCATATATAAATGGAGGCACAGAACCTGAGTCACTGACTGAGGAGCTGGTGTTAGGTTCCTAGATCGCTATACCTTCAGTCTGCTAGGATTTCTACTCGGGAGCCACAGAATTTTATAGGAAAGCTTACAGGGCTGAAGCCAAACAGATCTGAATTCAAATCCCAGCTCATCATTTGCATATTTCCAGAGCTTGTTTTAATTTTTTTTTTTTTTTTTTTTTTTTTTTTTGCTTTAAGAAGAGCTGTAGGGCCTGTTTACTCCATCAAAGTAGGATAAGAATTGCTACCTACTGGCCAGGTGCGGTGGCTCACGCCTGTAATCCTAGCACTTTGGGAGGCCGAGGTGGGCAGATCACGAGGTCAGGAGATCGAGACCATCCTGGCTAACATGGTGAAACCGCATCTCTACTAAAAATACAAAAAATTAGCCGGGCGTGGTGGTGGGCGCCCCTAGTCCCAGCTACTCAGGAGGCCGAGGCAGGAGAATGGTGTGAACCCAGGAGGCGGAGCTTGCAGTGAGCCGAGATCGCGCCATTGCACTCCAGCCTGGACCACAGAGCAAGACTCCATCTCAAAAAAAAAAAAAAAGAATTGCTACGTACTGAATGGGATCTGAGAAGCAAATGATGTGTTTGAAATGCCTGGCATGGGGTCTAGACACAATACTGCTCAACCTTTAAGTTTCCTTCCTCCTTTTTTCCCAGGCTTGTGGGTCTTATCCAGTCCTGTCACCTGTCACAGTCTTCGTCCTCCTCCTGTTACCACTTATGGCCCTTGGGATCTTCCTTTGAGAGCCCTGACTTGTTGGGCTTGGCCCACCCACCCAGCTGCCCTGTATGTCAGTCACCTCCCCTGTAAGCTGAGAAGGGATGACATCAGCCTTTCCCTCTTCCCCCCTCCCAAGCCTCTAGGCTGTTTTGAGCCATAAATATTTTAGCTGGGCCTTTCTCTGGCTGTTGCCAAGGTGATGGGCTCTCAGGGGACTGGGGTGGGAGTGTGGAGGTAGGGCTGGCAGCCTGGGGCCTGGCAGCAGAGCTGGCCCTGGAGGAGTGGGTATGAGGCCTGGCCAAGAGCCAATGCTTGCAGCTTGACAAGCAGGCTGTTGCTCTACCTGCTTGCCTTCCCTTTCCTCAGCCCCTCAGAGCCACTCCTATTGCCTACAGGCCCACTTCTGCCCTTGGCTGCTGCTCTTCGACCTCAGGTAAATTGTTCAATGTCCCTAGGCTTTCATTTTAACATTCGTAACAAAAATCCAAGAAAGCAAAGGAGGTTTTGTAAAAATGCTGTAAGATGCCAGGCTAGTGAATCATGATTGGAGAAGCTAGGTCCCACTGCCCTTTCTGATAGACCTAAAGGCTGAGGTCTTGATGCCATGTGGATGTCACCCTAAAGACAGCTCTTAGATATGCCACTCTCTCCCCTTCCTCCTTCCCCACGATGCACCCCCTGCTCTTTAGAAATTTTCTAAAGTTCCCGGGCCAGCTAGATGACCTGGCCTGCCATGGGGTAGCCCAGGAAGGAGTTGGGCCTGGTGGCTTATGAGCAGAGTTGAGAGTCTCTTTTGCTTGAGATACAGAAATTCAGGTCCCTAAACTAGATCTGGCCCTCATCCTTACCCACCTCACCTCTTTCCTGGTGACCTTACATCTGGCTAGCTGCTAAATTCTAGGTTGTGGCAGCATGCCCCACCCCCTCTCCTTGGGATGGGTCTAAGAAGGCCCATAGAGGAGGCACTGGGATCCATTCCCTACCCTACCATTGAGAATCGCTGCAGTTGTATCCAGGATTCCACATCTTATGCCCAGCTTAATTTCTCTGTTGTACTTGGAGTTGAGATTCCTTTGTATCAGGCTCTCTCTGGTGGTTAAGATGTGCATTACAGAAAAATAAGATAAATGAGAGACTGAATTTCAGGCCACCCTGAGAGGTGGGGATAGTTTACACTAAGGAAAAGAATCTGTGTCTCCAACTCCTAATAACATCTGCTCCATTTGTCACAGGATATCTCTCCCATGTGTTTGCTTCTCTCCATTAATCCTCACAACATAGTAATTTTCCTAATTGTACAGATGAAACAGGCTTAGAGAGTTGAAATCAAGTCCAAATTCTTTACTGTGTGTAACATTCAGGATCATCAAGTGATCTGAATTGAACCTATTTTTCCAACCTCATCTTCAGTTATTCTCAAGCCAAACTAGACTCACCCTTCTGGAACATAGCCTACTTTACAGTTCTCTCTATCTTAATTACCTTAAATACATTACCTGCCAAAATCTTATCTCTTTTTAAACTAAAGAAATGTGACATTTTCTGGGTTTTCTATAGTTTACATATATTTGTAATATAAGATGTGGGAAGACAAATGTCTGGATAAGAATGGGGGTAGGGGGATTGCCTGACAGGTGGGAGGTTGTGTGGGGAGACTAATGTATACATGGAGTGAGAATGGCCCAGGAAACTGGAAGAACATGAAGACACCTGGATTCTCTGGTATTGAAAATCAGATGTAAGTATTCTTGCTGGCAAGAGAAGGTGAAAGCAAATCCCTGGTGGGCTGGGACCGGGCTGCAGGTGACATTTTTTTCAAAGCCTTCAATCTTAAATTCACATTAGTTTGTTTTGTTTGTTTGAGATGGAGTTTTGCTCTTGTTGCCCAGGCTGGAGTGCAATGGGACGATCTCGGCTCACCACAGCCTCTGCCTCCCGGGTTCAAGCGATTCTCCTGCCTCAGCCTCCTGAGTAGCTGGGATTACAGGCATGTGCCAACATGCCCGGCTAATTTTGTATTTTTGGTAGAGACGGGGTTTCTCCATGTTGGTCAGGCTGTTCTCAAACTCCCGACCTCAGGTGATCCGCCCGCCTCAGCCTCCCAAAGTGCTGGGATTACAGGTGTGAACCACCGCGCCTGGCTTGTTTTTGTTTTTGACACAGGGTCTCGCTCTGTTTCCCAGGCTGGAGTGCAGTGGCACAATCTCAGCTCACTGTAACCTCCACTTCCCGGGTTCAAGTGATTCTCATGCCTCAGCCTCCTGAGTAGCTGGGATTACAGGTGCACAACACCACACCTGCCTAATTTTTGTGTTTTTAGTAGAGGTGGGATTTTGCCATGTTGGCCAGGCTGGTCTTGAAGTCCTGGCCTCAGGTGATCTGCCCATCTTGGCCTCCCAAAGTGCTGGGATTACAGGCGTGAGCCATCATGCCCAGCCCACATTAGTTTACTTTGTACTTTACAGTATATCCATGTTTTAATAAAAATAGCTAATGCTTCAATAGCACTGAATGTATGTCAGGTTCTAGTCTAAATACTTTACATAGATTCTCAAACCCATAAGGCTTGAGGAAACTGAGACCCAAAAAGGTTAAGTAACTTGCTAATGTCATACAGCCAGTAGGTGATGGGGCTAGGAAGTCTGGCTCCAGAGAACGTGTTCTTAATGACTGCGATTTGATGTTGAAAATTCTGCCTTACAGGCCGGGCGCGGTGGCTCACGCCTGTAATCTCAGCACTTTGGGAGGCCGAGGTGGGCAGATTACAAGGTGAGGAGATCGAGACCATCCTGGCTAACGTGGTGAAACCCCGTCTCTACTAAAAAATACAAAAAATTAGCCAGGCCCGGTGGCAGGCACCTGTAGTCCCAGCTACTCGGGAGGCTGAGGCAGGAGAATGGCGTGAACCCAGGAGGCGGAGCTTGCAATGAGGCGAGATTGCGCCACTGCACTCCAGCCTGGGCGACAGAGCGAGACTCCATCTCAAAAAAAAAAAAAGAAAAAGAAAATTCTGCCTTATATTTCCATTGAATAAAACTGACATTCCAGAAAGCTGCATTGTGTTTTATCCTGTGGATTCATCACTTCTGTGTACCACCAGAGGTCTGCATAGTCTGGTCTGAAAACTGCTGATTTAAGGCCAGGCGCAGTGGCTCATGCCTGTAATCCCAGCACTTTGGAAGGTCGAGGCGGGCGGATCACCTGAGGTTCAGGAATTCGAGACCAGCCTGGCCAACATGGCGAAACCCCAACTCTACTAAAAATATGGAAATTAGGCATGGTGGTGGGCGCCTGTAATTCCAGCTACTCAGGAGACTGAGACAGGAGAATCGCCTGAACCCGGAAGGCAGAGGTTGCAGTGAGCCGAGATCGTGCCATTGCACTCCAGCCTGGGCAACAAGAGCAAAAGTCCATCTCAAAAAAAAAAAAAAATGCTGATTTATAGGACAGATTTGGGCCAGGTGTGGTGGCTCCATTTTGTAAACCCAGTGATTTGGGAAGCCCAGGCAGGAGGATCATTTGGGCCCAGGAGTTGAAGACCAGCCTGGGTAACATAGTGAGACCCTGTCTCTACAAAAAAAAAAAAAAAAAAAAAAAAAATTTTTTTTCTTTTGAGATGGAGTCTTGCACTGTCGCCCAGGCTGGATGGAGTGCAATGGTGCAATCTTAGCTCGCTGAAACCTCCACCTCCCAGCTTCAGGCAATTCTCCTGCCTCAGCCTCCCAAGCAGCTGGGATACAGGTGCACACCGCCATGCCAGGCTAATTTTTTTTTTTTTTTGTACTTTTAGTAGAGACGGGGTTTCACTATGTTGGCCAGGCTGGTGTCGAACTTGTGATCTGCCCACCTCGGCCTCCCAAAGTGCTAGGATTACAGGCCTGAGCCACCGCGCCTGGCCAGTTTTTTTTTTTTTTAATTAGCCAGGCACAGTGGTGTGCACCTGTAGTCCTAACTACTCGGGAGGCTTACGTAGGAGGATAACTTGAGCCCAAGAGTTGGAGGCTGAAGTGAGCTATGATTGCACCACTACATTCTAGCCTGGGTGACAAAGTGAGGCTGTGTCTCTAAAAAACAGGACAGATTGCCAGCTTTTGGCCACAGTCCCAAAATAACATGACCAAAGAAGAGATCTCAGCTTCCAGTACCCAGTGACAGGACTGGCTTAGAGCCAGTGGCATTTCCTCAAAAACTTAAGACTCCTCGAAGGGCCAATAGATAGCAAGTTTATCAGGAAATGAAGGCTCAGGGAGGGGAAGTGAGGGTTTCAAAGTTACGAAACAGCTGAGACTTGTGGCCACAGGTCTGGAAGACAAGGTCCTAGCCAAAATCCTGCCGTCTTACTATTTTCTCCAGAGATTGGTAATGATCGTATGTGGGATATAAAAATATTTTTTACAAAAGAAAAGATAAATATTTTTTCCAGGGAAACTGTAAGAGGCAGATTTGAAAAGGACAAAAACCCTAGGTGTTTCAGGTAGATTCTATGATAGAATTGTAGATTCTAGATTATTTCAGTTGCAGTTGTCAAACAACAGGCACAAACTGGCTTTCTGCAACAGAAAAAAATCCATAAAAGCTTCAGGTATAGTTGGATCCAGGATTCAATTGATGCCATCAAGAAAGTGTCGGGCCAGGCATGGTGGCTTACGCCTGTAATCCCAGCACTTTGGGAGGCTGAGGCAGGCAGATTGTGAGGTCGGGAGTTCGAGACCAGCCTAACCAATATGATGATACCCCATCTCTATTAAAAATACAAAAATTAGCCGGGTGTAGTGGTACACGCCTGTAATCCCAGCTACTCAGGAGGCTGAGGCAGGAGGATTGCTTGGAGCTGGGAGACGGAGGTTGCAGTGAGCTGAGATCGCGCCATTGCACTCCAGCCTAGGCAACAGAGCAACAGCGAGACTCCATCTCAAAAAAAGAAAAAAAAAGTGTTTTGGCTGGGCGTGGTTGCTCACACCTGTAATCCCAGCATTTTGGGAGGCCAAGGCAGGAGGATCACATGAGTTTGAGATCAGTTTGGGCAACACAGACCCTGTCTCTCTAAAAAAAATGTTTTTTAATTAGCCAGGTATGGGCCAGGTGCGGTGGTTCATGCCTGTAATCCCAGCACTTTGGGGGGCCAAGGCTGGCGGATCACCTGAGGTCGGGAGTTCAAAACCAGCCTGACCCATCCTGGCTAACATGGTGAAACCCCGTCTCTACTAAAAAAAAATAGAAAAAATTAGCCGGGCGTGGTAGCGGGCGCCTGTAGTCCCAGCTACTCTGGAGGCTGAGGCAGGAGAATGGCGTGAACCCGGGAGGCGGAGCCTGCAGTGAGCTGAGATCGCGCCACTGCACTCCAGCCTGGGCAACAGAGCGAGACTCCGTCTAAAAAAAAGAAAAAAAAAAAGCAGCCTGATGAACATGGAGCAACCCTGTCTCTACTAAAAATACAAAAATTAGCCGGGCATGGTGGTGCATGCCTGTAATCCCAGCTACTCGGGAGGCTGAGGCAGGAGAATCGCTTGAACCCAGGAGGCGGAGGCTTCAGTGAGCCGAGATCGTGCCATTGCACTCCAGCCTGGGCAACAAGAGTGAAACTCCATCTCAAAAAAAAAAAAAAAAAAAAAAAAATAGCCGGGTGTGGCCACGTGCACCTGTAGTTCCAGAAACTCTGGGGGCTGAGGTAGAAAGATCACTTGAGCCCAAAAGGTAGAGGCTGCAGTGAGCCATGAACACACAATTGCACTCTAGCCTGGGTGACAAAGCAAGACCCTGTCTTGAAAAGAAAAAGAAAGAGGCCAGGCACAGTGACTCACGCCTGTAATCCCAGCACTTTGGGAGGCCGAGGCGGGCAGATCACGAGGTCAGGAGATCAAGACCATCCTGGCTAACACGGTGAAACCCCGCCTCTACTAAAAAACACAAAAAATTAGCCGGGCATAGTGGTGGGTGCCTGTAGTCCCAGCTACTCGGGAGGCTGAGGCAGAAGAATGGCGTGAACCCAGGAGGCAGAGCTGGCAGTAAGCAAGATCGCACCACTGTACTCCAGCCTGGGTGACGGAGCGAGACTCCGTCTCAAAAAAAGAAAAAAAGAAAGAAATGTCTACTGATCTCTTGACCTTTTTTTTTTTTCCTTTTGAGACAAGGTCTCTGTTGTCGAGGCCAGAGTGCAGCCTCAAAGTCCTGGGCTCAAGGAATCTTCCAGCCTCAGCCTCCTGAATAGCTGAAACTACAGGCATGCACCACCATGCCCAGCTAATTTTTTAAATTTTTTGTAGAGATGGATCTTGAATTCCTGGGCTCAAGTGATCCTCCTGCCTCCACCTCCCAAAGCACTGGGATTATGGGCATGACCCACTGCAGCCAGGCATTTCTTGACTCTTCTGTGTTTCCTTCATTGTCAGCTAAATAATTCTCAAAAGATGGCAAGATGGCCACCAAGACCTCCAAGTTTATAACTTACTTGCTCAGCCAGCCCAGAGGGGAATAAAAATTTCCTTCCCAATAGTTCTAACAAAGATCCTAGGATTGCACCTCATTTGGGCTGACAGGTCACTAATCCCCTCCTACTCCCCAACCACCCCAACCAGTCACTAGCCTTAGGAGGCAGGGATATTGGAATGCTTTGATTTGCCAAGCCTGTGTCTTCTGCCCACAAAGGAACTGCAAAGTAAGGCAACTCCACCAAACCACACAGACTGAGAGAGTCAGAGGAAGAGTAGTTCCCCAAGGGAAAAATCAGTGTTCTTATGAGGAGGAAGAATAGATGCTGAGCAGGCAAATTTAGTAGTCCACCACTACAAGGTGGGCTGGAGCCACAGGTAATAGGTGGGTCACATTCATGGCAGTCCATACAAGTGGACTTACCTCCCCCGCTTTTTTTGAGACAAGGTCTCACTCTGTCGCCCAGGATGAATGCAGTGGTGTGATCATTTCACTGTCATCTCAAACTCCTGGGCTCAAGTGATTTCTCTCCCTTCAGCCTCCCGAGTAGCTAGGACTACAGGCATGCACCCATCATGCCCGGCTAATTTTTAAATTTTTTGTAGAGACAGGGTTCCCCTGTGTTGCCCATGCTGGTCTCAAATTCCTGGACGCAAGTGATCCTCCCACCTCAGTCTTCCAAAGTGTTGAGAAAGTGTTGAGATTACAGGCATGAGCCACTGCACCCAGCCTCTAACAGAATTTCTTTTTTTTTCTTTTTTTCTCTATAAGAATTTCTGTGGCTGGAAAAAAGCACTCCCAGTCCTGCTTTCTTCTTTGCTTGTTGAGCCAGGGATAGTCATTTTCCATCCCTGGGCCACTTTTCCCCTTGAAGGGAAGGACTGACTTGGTGTAAAATCTGTCATAATTGGCCAGGCGAGGTGGCTCAAGCCTGTAATCCCAGCACTTTGGGAGGCCGAGGCGGGTGGATTACGAGGTCAGAAGATCGAGACCATCCTGGCTAACACGGTGAAACCCCATCTGTACTAAAAGTACAAAAAAATTAGCCGGACGTGGTGGCGGGCACCTGTAGTCCCAGCTACTCAGGAGGCTGAGGCAGGAGAATGGCGTGAATCCGGGAGATGGAGCTTGCAGTGAGCCGAGATCGCACCACTGCACTCCAGGCTGGGCGACAGAGTGAGACTCAGTCTCAAAAAAAAAAAAAAAAACTGTCATAATTTAAAAATATACATCTGTTGAATTGGACTCCATATTTTCATTAGTGCAGGCTACATACCTTGGAGTCATCCTTATCTCTTCTCTTCCTCACACACTCCTATCCATTTTGTCAACAAGTCCTGTTTTGTTTTTGTTTTAATTTTTTTTTAGATGGGGTCTTTCTACATTTCCCAGGCTGGAGTGCAGTGGCACTATCACGTCTCACTGCAGCCTCAATTTCCCAGGGCTCAAGTGATCCTCGTACCTCAGCCTCCCAAGTAGCTGGGACTACAGGCACATGCCACCACACCTTGCTCATTTTAAATTTTTTTTTTTGTAGAGACAGGGTCTCACTTTGTTGCCCAGGCTGGTCTCAAACTCCTGGGCTCAAGCAATCTTTCCACCTCAGCCTCCCAAAGTGCTGGGATTACAGGCATCAGCCACCATAGTCAGCCCAACAGATCCTGTAGACTTTACCTTCAAATCCAGAATTCAACCATGTCTCACCATCTCACCCAACCTGGTGCAAACGATCAACATCTCTTGCTAAGATCATTGCCACAGCCTCCTGCCTGGTCTCCCTGCTTCCACCTTGGTGCCCCTGCAGTCTATTCTCACCATACAGCTGGAATAGTTCTTTTAAATAGAAGTTCAAACCCTATAATAGCTCTGCATCTCATTCAAAGTAAAAGCCACACAGCCCTACATGATCTATCCCTTCTCATGTCCTACTCTTATATCTATACCTGTGTCACACTTGCCTCCTTATTTCTCAAACACACCCTCTTGGCTGGGCGTGGTGTCTCACGCCTGTAATCCCAGCACTTTGGGAGACCGAGACTGGCAGGTCACTTGAGGTCAGGAGTTCAAGATCAGCTTGGCCAACAAGGTAAAACCCCGTCTCTACTAAAAAGTACAAAAATTAGCCGGTGGTGGTGGCACGTGCCTGTAATCCCAGCACTTTGGGAGGCCAAGGCAGGCGGATCATGAGGTCAGGAGATTGAGACCATTCTGGCTAACATGGTGAAACCCCATCTCTACTAAAAATACAAAAAATTAGCAAAGTGTGGTGGCACACACCTGTAGTCCCAGCTACTTGGGAGGCTGACGCAGGAGAATCACTTGAAACCGGGAGGTGGAGGTTGCAGTGACCCGAGATCACACCACTGCACTCCAGCCTGGGGACAGAGTGAGACTCCGTCTCAAAAAAACAAACAAACAAAAAAACAAAAATTAGACCAGGCGTGGTGGTGCACACCTGTAATCCCAGCATTTTGGGAGGTCGAGGTGGGTGGATGATTTGAGGTCAGGAGTTTGAGACCAGCCTGGCCAACATGGTGAAACCCCGCCTCTCCTAAAAATGGAAAAATTAGCCGGGCATGCTGGCGGGTGCCTGTAATCCCAGCTACTTGGGAGGCTGAGACAGGAGAATCGCTTGAACCCGGGAAGCGGAGGTTGCAGTGAGCCGAGATCGTACCACTGCACTCCAGCCTGGGCAACAGAAAGGGAGACTCCAGTCTCAAAAAAACAAAACAAAACAAAAACAAAAATTAGCCGGGCATGGTGGTGCACGCCTGTAATTTCAGCTTGTTGGGAGGCTGAGGCAGGAGAATCGCTTGCACCCAGCAGGTGGAGGTTGCAGTGAGCCGAGATCGAGCCACTGCTCTCCAGCCTGGGCAACAGAGACTCCATCCCCTCAAAAAACAAAATAATAAAATAAATACACCCTCCTGCCTGAGGGACCTTGCACTAACTATTCCCTCTGCCTGAAATGCCCCCTTTCTCCAGAAATCTGCACCACTGACTCACTCATTTCCTTCATGTGTTTACTCAAGTCAACTCTGAAGCCTGCTCTGCCTGCCCTATTTAAAACTGCAACCCCATCCCCCTTTCCTGTTTTTCCTTCACACCATTCCCATCTAACATACTACAGAATTTACCAATTTTGTTCATGTCTATCTCCTCCCACTTGACTGTAAGCTCTATGACTATTAATGAAATATCTACTAATTCATTCAATTAATTGAATACTGCTATTAAGTGCCAAGCACTGTGCTAAGCAATGGAGCTACAAGATGACTAAAACTGCTTGTAGGTCTTGTGAGGGAAGAATCCTAATGACAATAAATGTAGCTCATTTAGTCAATGCTTCTCCAAACATCGTGATGGCTAATACTAAAACAGACTCAGTTCTGCATGCTCTATTTCATTTAACCCTCACCGAAACCTACACGGTGACCATCAGCAGCCTCATCGTAAAGCATAAAAAAACAAGATTGCAAGGCTGGGAAATGGCAGTCAGGATCTGAACCACGGTGTTGACAATGAGAACGGTGAGTAACGTCAAATGTGAGAAATATTTAGGACTTAGGCTCACAAAGACTAAGGCAAAGATCGGATGTGGGGGCCGAGGGAGGGAGGAAATGACTCCTGGATTTTGACTGGGGTGGACTAAAGCGCAGTGAGGCCTAAGAGAAGGATGAAGCGCAACGTGGGGCTGGGCTGGAGGTGCCTGCGGACCGGTCAGGGATATGGTCCACCCCTAGGGGAGCGGAGAGGCGGCTCCGCACCCTCCTCCGGTCGCCGCCGCCCCGGTCCAGGAGATGCTGAGAGAAGACACGCACGGGAAGAGCAGGAGGTGGGTTCCGTTCCCCTCCCTCTTGAGTCTCTTCACCAGCAGCTGCAGGAAGGGCGTGGGGGACCGAGAGACAAAGAGCGCGCAGGCACCGCCTCCGTCCGGGCGGCCCCTTTAAGAAGCGCGCGCCAGCTTCCAGCCCGCCTTGTATGCAAATGTAGCGGCGCGGCGGGAGCGCGCGGCTGATACCCGGGACTGGGCTGCGGCGGTTAGTCCTCTCCCGGCCGCCGTCGCCTCCGACATATTGCCCGCAGGAGCTGCGGCGGCGAAGCGGAGAGCACCGGGGGGAGGAGATGGGTGAGCAGAGCGGCTCAGGCTCGGCCTGGCAACGAGCGGGCGCACGGGTTAGGATGGCCAGGCTGCTAATTGCTGCTCCACGCGGACAGGAGCCCGGTGACGGGAGGGGGAGGGGATGCGAGCGCAGACGGGATCCCGCCCCCTCCTGTCGTTTTGCGGGGTGGGGCCTCTGTTGTGGGGGCGGGACATTGGACGGTGGGCGGGGCTTCTAAGACGAAGCCCTGTGGGGGCTTGGGCTTTCGTGAGGACCAGCTCGTCGGGGCTAGAAAGGGGGGCGGGACTTACCAGTGGGCGTGGCTTCAGCGCTAAGGGTGGAGATTCTGGGCAGGGGGCGCTAGTGCAGTCGGCGTTTCTGGGTTGGAGGGGTTACACTGGGGGCGGTGGAGCGGGGAGACTTCCGACTGAGGGAGCCCATTCTGGAGTGGGGCTTCTGGGCTGAGAGGGCTTTTATTGGCTTGTGGGCGGGGTTTCTGGGCTGACAGTTGTGTGTAGGCGGAGCTTCTGGGCTGAGGGGCTTTATGTGGGTGCAGAGCTTCTAAAGAGAGGAGAGTGGGTGTGGGCAGAGCTTCTGGACTGGACTAAGGGTGTTTGTGTGGGATTTTCTAAGCCAAGTATAACAGCGTATGAACAGAGCTTCTGGTCTGGGGGTTTATGGAGGGCAGAGCTCTTCGCCAGGTACTTTTTAGAGACTTGTGGAGGTTTATAATTTTGGGCATACATCCAAGCCCAAAATTGGCTCCGAAGTGTGGGAAACGCTTCCGAGCTGAGATGCTACGGCGTGGGGTGTATGTGAATGGAGGCTGCTGTGTTACTGTGAAGAGGTATGAACAGGTTATAACTTTTTAAAAATATGTATATGTATGTATATATATTTTTTAATAGAGACCGGGTTTCGCCATGTTGCCCAGGCTGGTCTCCAACTCCTGGTCTCAAGCGATCCTCCCGCCTCGGCCTCACAAATTGCTGAGATTACAGTCGTGAGCCACCACACCCAGTCAGGTTGTGACTTTTTTAGGTGCTTAGGAGCTTTGTGCAGAACTTTTGTGCGAAGTGGTGCGTGGGAGCTTGGGCTAGACTGCTCAGCCTAGTAGGTCCAATTTTTCAGTCCACAGCCACAGGATTCTCCCAGCCATATCCTTGACCCTTTATTTAGGCCCTGGGTCCTGCCCATGAGATCCCAGAATGCCCTTTGAGCTGAATCATGGGGCCCTGGATGAAAAAGCTGTCCCAAAGTTACCCAGAGTTATAGGCCTCCAGAAACTTATGTCTGAATGGGGCCCAATGTGTACCAGAGTTGAGAGCACACGACCCAGCCACGATACTGTGACATAGTGTAAGCTGAGTTTCCTAATGTGTGAAAAACCTACCTTGCTGGGTTCATTCACTCATCAACATATACTTGCTGGGCACTGAGGTAGGGGATATAGCAGTGAAAAAGATAAGGTAACTGACCTCATTGACCTTTCATTGTAATAGGACAGACAAGCAATAAGCATATTAACAAATGAGTAAGATAATTTCAGAGAGTGAATTCTGGTGGAAAAAAAGAATAGAAATTGGAGAGAGAGTGATGGGGAGTTACTTCAAAACTTCAGAAATGGCAGTCCGGGAAAGGCTTTCCAGATAGGATATTATAAGTGCTAGAGGTAGCAATGAGCTTGGCTTGCTGAGGAAAGAAAGATCAAGATGTTTAGAGCATGGGGCGGGTGGTAGAGGGTGGGTGTGAGGTAGAGAATGATAGGGGATGAAGCTGAAGATGTAAGAAGGGGCCAGATCATAGGTCTCAGTGAGGATTAAATGATAAAGTGAGATACTAGGTGACTGGCAGCTGGTATCATTGCTGTTATCCTTGATATATGCCCCCTGGCTTGAGGCTCTATTTTATGTTGAGCCCCACAGGAGGACGAAGAGGTCCCAACAGGACATCTTACTGTCGAAATCCGCTCTGTGAGCCGGGATCCTCGGGGGGCTCTAGTGGAAGCCACACTTCCAGTGCATCGGTGACCAGTGTTCGTTCCCGCACCAGGTAAACCACCTCTCTGTCTCACCCCTCACTGTGGCCTCACAGGGACGATGTGGACAGGGCTCTCTCTGACTGGATTCTAAGATGTGAAATCCTAGATGCCAGTGGGGGCTTAGAGGGGAGTAAGCAGCAGAAAAGATCCAGAGGGAGCTCAGTTGAGGGTGATCACTTGGACAGATGCAGTGGGACATGGTAGAATAAATCCAAAGGCCTGGATTCTAATTACAGTTCTGCTCCAGATTTGCTGATGGCTTGGACAAGTTGCCTCCCTTCTCTGGGCCTCCTTTTCCTCATCTGTAAGATGGACCTAATAATTCTTTCTCTCCTAGGGGGTGTTGGAAGACCTGAATAAGATTAGGGATAGGAAAAGGCTTTGTCGGGTTCCTTTGTCTGACAAGCAGGATTAGGAAGACCCCGTCCTTGCTATGAGCTGCTTTTCTGATCTTATCCCACAATCCTTTGCCTCAGAAGCCCTTCCTGGTAGGATTCTCAGGTCAGCTGCTGATGTTGTTCCCTCCCCACTGTCAGGAGCAGTTCTGGAACAGGCCTCTCCAGCCCTCCTCTGGCCACCCAAACTGTTGTGCCTCTACAGCACTGCAAGATCCCCGAGCTGCCAGTCCAGGCCAGCATTCTGTTTGAGTTGCAGCTCTTCTTCTGCCAGCTCATAGCACTCTTCGTCCACTACATCAACATCTACAAGACAGTGTGGTGGTATCCACCTTCCCACCCACCCTCCCACACCTCCCTGGTAGGTACCCAACAAGGGTGTGTGTGTGTGTGTGTGTGTGTGCGTGTGTGTGTATGTGTGTGTGTGTTTCTTTTGGTTTCAGTTTAGCATATCCTACTAAGCACCACTGTGCACTTGGCTCCATGCTGAACATGGAAGGTGCTGAAGGAACAGGAAACTGATGATTCACTGAATACTCCTAGTGTGTTTAGTAGCACATTGGGCACTGTAAGTGTATGGGAGATGAATCTGACAAAGATTTTGCCTAAAGGAGCTCAGAGTCCTTTTCTTTTCTTTTCTTCTTTTTTTTTTTTTTTTTTTTTTTTTGAGACGGAGTTTCGCTGTTGTTGCCCAGGCTGGAGTGGAATGGCGCAATCTTAGCTCACTGCAACCTCCGCCTTCCAGTTTCAAGCGATTCTCCTGCCTCAGTCTCCCGAGTAGCTGGGATTACAGGTGTGTGCCGCCATGTCCGGCTAATTTTGTATTTTTAGTGGAGACAGGGTTTCACCATGTTGGTCAGGCTAGTCTCGAACTCCTGACCTCAAATGATCCACTCGCCTCAGCCTCCCAAAGTGCTGGGATTACAGGCGTGAGCCACCGCGCCCGGCCAGGAGCTGAGAGTCTTAATCCAGTAGTGGAGATGAACCACAGGGATACATGAGTGCTTCAAGGGGAGGAAAGACTTCAGTGCAGACACAGTATAGGGACAGGGGCATGTGTGAGCAGAGCAAGAGGGCTCACATACCACTCTCTTATCCCCAGGGACTGTCCCACTTCCCTTCTCGGGGTCCTGTCCTACTCCTGTAGGTAATTTCCTGGCCTGACTCAGCTGGAGGCCGATGAAGGTCAGAGAATGAGGACAGTCTCTGTGGAAAGAAATGGGCAGCGGGAGGTGGGTATGAAAAAAGCCTGCATATGGGCAAGGGGCCCACATGACCCCCAGGCCTCTGCCCCCTGACAGAACTTCCATCTGATCGACTTCAACTTGCTGATGGTGACCACCATCGTTCTGGGCCGCCGCTTCATTGGGTCCATCGTGAAGGAGGTGATTGGGTCCTAGAGGCTGGCCAGGGACTTTGGGATTCCCCTTTTCCCCTGGGGATGCCAAGGAAACATGCCCAGCCCTTCAGCCTTAGGGTATTTCCTTGGGGCTCCCTTTGGACTTGGTTGAAGAACATTAGTTACATCCCATCTTGGAGTTTACTGGGCATCAAAGAGAAGGATTTACCTTGCCAGGTTCTGCCCAGCCTGCTGTGCCACCTCTCCCTGGGTGGGATCACAGGTCATGCTGGGTGGGATTTGGGCACAGCCCCTTCGGCCTCCATCCAAGGCCCCATCCCGTCCTATCTTGCCCCGACCCAGGCCTCTCAGAGGGGGAAGGTCTCCCTCTTTCGCTCCATCCTGCTGTTCCTCACTCGCTTCACCGTTCTCACGGCAACAGGCTGGAGTCTGTGCCGATCCCTCATCCACCTCTTCAGGACCTACTCCTTCCTGAACCTCCTGTTCCTCTGCTATCCGTGAGTACCCCTCACTTCACCCCTCACTGCCCAGCACCTGGCCCCTGACCTCTGCCCTGACCGTAGCTGGCTCACCAGGCCTCCATATCTGGAAGATCGGAGGCAGGCAGCAACATCCTCTCACATTGTCAGATGACACTCACTCACTGAGGTCAGGATAATTAGCCTTTTTTTGCAGACGAAACTGAGGTGGCATAATTTACCCAGCTCTCACTATGGGGGAGGTCAGAATGGGACTCAGATCTGCATATATATCCCAAAGGAACATTCCCAAGAGGGAATGTATGGGCTTTGTCTCCCTCGCTCTTCCTTTCCCCTCCCTCTGGTTCTTTCCCTTTCTCTGTGTCTCTCTTTGTGTATCTCAGTGTTTGTGTAATCTCTTGGTATCTCCCTGAGTCTGTGTGCCAGCAAACAGCTGCATGGTTGCATGTCTCTGTGTGGGTGTCTATGCATGAAGCGTGTGGGTGTCTATGCATGAAGCATGTGTGTGTGCCTGCATATGCATGTGTGTATGCCTTTGTGCCTGTTTTTGCTCTCTTTCTCCGTCTCACCAGACCCTAGATTGTTGAGGATGGAGAGACTGTTTCGGGGATGTGCCCAGGACTGCCCATTTCTCGCCTTGCATCAGGGAGAACTTTGGTGAGGTGTTGGATCTGGCTGCTTCTGGGGCAGGCTGCTGGCTGCCTGAGCATTAACAGTCGTTTCCCAACCCCCAGGTTTTCTGGTTCACAAAATTCCTCAAGCTGGGTCAATCCTGGTCTCTGGGAAGCTTCAGAGCTGGCACCTCCCCCTTTCTACCCTGCATGTCCAAAAAGGCACTGGCATGGGAGCCCTGTCACACTTCCTTCAGTTATATCTACTTTTTAATTATAAGAGTGACATGTGGCCAGGCACAGTAGCACAAACCTGTAATCCCAGCACTTTGGAGGCCAAGACAGGCAGATTGCTTGAGTCCAGGGGTTTGAGACCAGCCTAGGCAACATGGCGAAATCCTGTCTACTAAAAACATAAAAAACTAGCCAGGTGTGGTGAGGCACGCCTATAGTCCCAGCTACTCAGGAAGCTGAGGTGGGAGAATCACCTGAGCTCAGGAGGTCGAGGCTGCAGTGAGCCGAAATTGTGCCACTGTACTCTAGCTTAAGCAACTGGAGTGAGGTCCTGTCTTTAAAAAAAAAAAACATTATAATGTCTTATAAAAACATTAAACTTTACAGAAGCTTTTAACATGGAAAAAGAAAGTCCCACATAGTCTTATTCCCCCAGAAATCCATTACTGGCAGCAATTTTCCCAAAATATTTTCTGTGCAAGTACACACACATGCAGTTTTTTTGTTTGTTTGTTCTTGAGACAGTCTGATGTCACCCGGGCTGGAGTGCAGTGGCACGATCTCGGCTCACTGCAACCTCTGCCTCCTGGATTCAAGCAATTTTCCTGCCTCAGCCTCCCAAGTAACTGGGATTACAGGTGCCCACCACCACGCCTGGCTACTTTTTGTATTTTTAGTAGAGTTGGGGTTTCATCATGTTGGCCAGGCTGGTCTCGAACTCCTGGCCTCAAGTGATCTGCCCACCTTGTCCTCCCAAAGTGCTGGGATTACAGATGTGAGCCACTGTGCCTGGCCACATGCAGTTTTTTAAAAAAGAAAAATGGTATTATGCTATGCATGATGTACAATTTACCACACTTTTCACTTAATCATATAACAGATATTTTTCTATGCCAATACATACGGGTCTGTCTCATTATTTTATTTTATTTTAGAGATGAGGGTCTTGCTGTATTGCCCAGGCTGGAGTGCAGTGGCTATTCACAGGTCTGTTCCCACTACTGATCAACACAGGAGTTTTAACCTGTTCTATTTCTTTCTTTTTTTTTTTTTTTTTGAGATGGAGTCTCGCTCTGTCGCCCAGGCTGGAGTGCAGTGGCACAATCTTGGCTCACTGCAAGCTCCACCTCCCGGGTTCACACCATTCTCCTGCCTCAGCCTCCTGAGTAGCTGGGACTACAGGCGCCTGCCACCACACCTAGCTAATTTTTTGTATTTTTAGTAGAGACAGGGTTTCACCGTGTTAGCCAGGATGGTCTCAATCTCCTGACCTCATGATCTGCCCGCCTCGGCCTCCCAAAGTGCTGGGATTACAGGCATGAGCCACCGCGCCTGGCCAACCTGTTCTATTTCTAACCTGGACCAGTTCATCCCCTCCTTAGGCAATTATGTGGTCCCCCACTCCCAGGAGTTCACCATATGGATGCTGAACTTCTATGCAGGCACCTCATCGGCATAGCACATTATAGCATAGAATTCCTCGGCTCAAGCAATCCTCCCACCTCAGCCTTCTGAGTAGCTGGGACTATGGGCATGCGCCATCATGACCTGCTGCCTCATTTTTTTAATGGCCTCGCAGTATTCTATGTTATAGAATTTTCACAATTTATTTGTCTTCTATTGGCAATTTTTTTTTTTTTCTGAGATGGAGTCTTGCTCTGTTGCCCAGGCTGGAGTGCAGTGGTGCAATCTTGGCTCACTGCAGCCTCCAACTCCCGGGTTCAAGCAGTTCTCCTGCCTCAGCCTCCCAAGTAGCTGAGACTACAGGCATGCTCCACCAAGCCCAGCTAATTTTGTATTTCTAGTAGAGATGGGGTTTCTCCATGTTGGTCAGGCTGGTCTCAGGTGATCCGCCTGCCTTGGCCTCCCAAAGTGCTGGGATTACAGACATGAGCCACCATGCTCGGCAATTTTTTGTATTCTTAGTAGAGATGGGGTTTCACCGTGTTAGCCAGGATGGTCTCGATCTCCTGACCTCGTGATCCGCCCACCTTGGTCTCCCAAAGTGCTGTGATTACAGGCGTGAGCCACCGTGCCTGGCCTACTGGCAAACTTTTAAGTTGTTTCTAGCTTTTCCTTATTCATAACAATGAATAATTGCATATGTGTCCAGTATCTCTGCACAGTAGATTCCCAGAAGAATTAACTACACCAAAAGATGGATTCATTTAGATTTTTCATAGTTATTAACAAATTGTCCTTCGAAAGGGTTGCACTGGTTAGAACTTAAGAGTTGCCTGTCGGACGCGGTGGCTCATGCCTGTAATCCCAGCACTTTGGGAGGCTGAGGCGGGTGGATCACGAGGTCAGGAGATTGAGACCATCCTGGCTAACACAGTGAAACCCCGTCTCTACTAAAAAAATACAAAAAACTAGCCGGGCATGGTGGATGGCACTTGCAGTCCCAGCTACTCGGGAGGCTGAGGCAGGAGAATGGTGTGAACCTGGGAGGCGGAGCTTGCAGTGAGCCAAGATCGCACCACTGCACCACTGCACTCCAGCCTGGGCAACAGAGTGAGACTCTGTCTCAAAAAAAAAAAAAAAAAAAAGAGTTGCCTTAATTTGACAGTTTATGGTTACTACCTGGTGAATCTTTTCTTCATGGATGCAGATAACACCCAATGTCATATTATGCTTTATTTTTCATTATTTAATTTAAAAATGTTTATTGACCAAATATAAACATATTGTAAAAAATTAAATCCAATAGTGCTGAAAAGCTTATAATGAAAACCATTGCTGGGCACGGTAGCTCATGCCTGTGATCTCAGTGACTTGGGAGGCTGAGGTGAGAAGATTGCTTTAGCTGGTGGATTTGAGGCCGAAGTGAGCCATGATCACACCAGTGCACTTCAGCGTGGACAACAGAGTGAGACCCTGTCTCTAAAAATAAATAAATAAATAAATAGAAAAACATTAGTCTCCAATCCCGCCTCCAGATTTTTAGTCCCACTCTTCATAGAAAAACATTAGTCTCCAATCCCGCCTCCAGATTTTTAGTCCCACTCTTCAATAGCAGTCTCTTTTACTTTCTGGGTTTTTTTATTTGTTTGTTTGTTTGTTTGTTTGTTTACAGACAGAGTCTGTAAACCTATTATCCAGTTCTAAAGTGGCACTGCACTCCAGCCTGAGTGACAAGACCCTGAGTCAGGGTCTGGCTCTGTTGCCCAGGCTGGAGTGCAGTGGTGCAATCTCGGCTCACTGCAACCTCTGCCTCCCAGGCTCAAGCCGTCCTCCCACTTCAGCCTTCTGAGTAGTTGGAACTACAGGCATCAGCCACTGTACCTAGCCTGCTTATTCTTTTTAAAAATTTATTTATTGGCCAAGCGTGGTGGCTCACGCTTGTAATCCCAGCACTTTGGAAGGCCAAGGTGAATGGATCACTTGAGGTCAGGAGTTCAAGACCAGCCTGGCCATCATGGTGAAACCCTTTCTCTACTAAAAATACAAAAATTAGCCAGGTGTGGTGGTGCACGCCTGTAGTCCCAGCTACTTGGGAGGCTGAGGCAGGAGAATTGCTTGAAACTGGGAGGTGGAGGTTGCAGCGAGCTGAGTTTGCACCACTGCACTCCAGCCTGGGCAATAGAGTGAGACTCTGTCTCAAAAAAAAGAAAATTATTGATTTATTTTAGAATTGAATAAGAGGTTTACATAGTTAAAATTCAGAAGGTTTAAAAGAGTATACCATGAAAAAGTCTCCCCTTGACTGCTGCCTCCCAGCCACCCAGTTTCCTTTCCAAGAGGTAATTATCAATGTTTTTGGTTTCTTGTATATCCTGGAAACAAATGTTCTACGCATATACAAACATACCACATACACACATATGCAAGTATATTGATTCCCTGCAATGACAGATGATTTAGCTCACGATCCCATCCTTACTGTTCCCAGTAATTGATAGCTTTTAATATTTTTAAGTTTCTGTTGGTTATTTTCATCAATAGTATAAGTATCCCTATACTTTTTTTTTCCATCAACAATAGTATCTTGAATACTTTTTATGTAAGACAAGAATATTAGGCACCCTATCCAACCACTTTTCCTCCCCTCTTCCTCTTTTCACTTCCTGGCAGCTGTATTTTTACTTTTATATCGTCAAGCTTGACATTCACATTCTCCTATGTAACCACATTTAAGCCTTCCATTCTTTGTCTAAGCCTAATTCTGAAAATTAAAAACCAGTATGTGGCTTTGATATAATTATGTGTATGAAAATATCATTCACTCCAGGGCCCAGTAGTATGCATACATGACATTTCTTCTCTGTAGTTACAGAGTTACAGTCTTGGACCTCTTTATTTATTTATTTTTATTTTTATTTTTTTTGAGATGGAGTCTCTCTCTGTCACCCAGGCTGGAGTGCAGTGTCACAATCTCAGCTCACTGCAACCTCCGCCTCCCAGGTTCAAGCAGTTCTCCTGCCTCAACCTCCCGAGTAGCTGGGATTACAGGTGTGCACCACCACGCCCAGCTAATTTTTTGTATTTTTAGTAGAGATGGGGTTTCGCCATGTTTGCCAGGCTGGTCTCGAACTCCCAACCTCAAGTGATCCATTCATCTTGGCCTCCCAAAGTGCTGGGATTACAGGCATGAACCACCAAGCCCAGCCAGGAACTTTTTTTGTTTTTTGTTTTTTGTTTTTTTTTGAGACGGAGTCTCGCTCTGTCGCCCAGGCTGTAGTGCAGTGGCACGATCTCAACTCACTGCAAGCTCTGCCTCCTGGGTTCACGCCATTCTCCAGCCTCAGCCTCCCGAGTAGCTGGGACTACAGGCACCCGCCACCACGCCTGGCTAGTTTTTTGTATGTTTAGTAGAGACGGGGTTTCACCGTGTTAGCCAGGATGGTCTCGATCTCCTGACCTCGTGATCCACCCGCCTCAGCCTCCCAAAGTGCTGGGATTACAAGCGTGAGCCACCGCGCCCAGCCTGGTTTTTTTTTTTTTTTTTTTTTTTTGAGACGGAGTTTTGCTCTTGTTGCCCAGCCTTGGTGTGCAATGGCGCCATCTCTGCTCACTGCAGCCTCCGCCTCCCAAGTTCAAGTGATTCTCCTCCCTCAGCTCCCGAGTAGCTGGGATTACAGGCATGCGCCACCATGCCCAGCTAATTTTGTATTTTCCGTAGAGATGGGGTTTCTCCATGTTGGTCAGGCTGGTCTCGAACTCCCGACCTCAGGTGATCCACCCACCTCAGCTTCCCAAAGTGCTGGGATTACAGGTGTGAGCTACCACGCCTGGCCGGCAGGAACATTTTTTTAAAGGACTTCTTTTTTTTTTTTTTTTTTTTTTTTTTTTTTGAGATGGAGATTCGCCGTTGTTGCCCAGGCTGGAGTGGAATAGTGCAATCTTGGCTCACTGCAACCTTCACTTCCCAGTTTCAAGCGATTTTCCTGCCTCAGCCTCCCGAGTAGCTGGGACTACACGCGCCCGCCACCACGCCTGGCTAATTTTTTGTATTTTTAGTAGAGACGGGGTTTCACCGTGTTAGTCAGGATGGTCTCGATCTCCTGACCTCGTGATCCGTCCATCTCAGCTTCCCAAAGTGCTGGGATTACAGGTGTGAGCCACCGTGCCCAGCCTTAAAGGACTTCTTTAAAGGACCTGTACTCCCAGCTACTCAGGAGGCTAAGGTATAAGAATCGCTTGAACCCAGGAGGCAGTGGTGCAATCTCAGTTTATTGCAACCTCTGCCTCACTGGCTCAAGCCATCCTCCCATCTCAGCCTCCCAAGTAGCTGGGACTACAGGTACAGGCTACCATGCCCAGCTAATGCCAGAGGTTACAGTGAGCTGAGATTGTTCCACTGCACTCCAGCGTGGGCAATAGAGCAAGACCCTGTTTCAGACACACAGACACACACACACACACACAAATGTTCCTAGTGTCAAGGTGAAATGATTTTTCTTACATTCTATCAGTTACTTAAAATCATAGCACATTTTAGTTTGCTTCATGTTTACACCATAGCTTTCTTATATGGCTTTTTATTTTTCTTGGACTTTCTAATTGCCTTTCTTTTTTCTTATTGACAAAAGAATGATGAGCCTTCATCATATCCTCAAGTTTATCCAGCCTCTCAGTCATACTGCCTGTTGCCTGGAGTCCATTTCCTTCTCCCTGCTTCCCCCTACAAAGGCATCCCTCCTGGAGCCCTTCCTCCTCCTGCTGCAGTCTGGAGTGTTTGCTCTTTAGGTCTGCTGTACAGCTCTCAGCCTGGGACTTCCCTTTGCTGCCCTCCTGGGTTGGACCCCCTGCTTCCTGAATCCCATGTCTTCCTCTTTCTTGGTTTTCTTATTTTGCTGGAGTAAATTATCAGGTAATTACTTTAACAATGGGTACGTTGGAGATGAGTCCTTGCATGTCTAAAAGTGTGTTTATTCTGCCCTCATACTTGATTGATAGTTTGGCTGAATGTAGATTTCTTTTTTTTTGTTTTTTTATTTTTGAGACAGAGTCTCGCTCTGTCGCCCAGGGTGGAGTGCAATGACACGATCTCAGCTCACTGCAACCTCCGCCTCCCGAGTTCAAGTGATTCTCCTGCCTCAGCCTCCTGAGTAGCTGGGATTACAGGCACGCCACCATGCCCAGCTAATTTTTGTATTTTTAGTAGAGACGGGGTTTCACCATGTTGGTCAGGCTGGTCTCAAACTCCTGACCTCGTGACCCACCCACCTCAGCCTCCCAAAGTGCTGGGATTACAGGTGTGAGCCATCGCACCCAGTCTCAGTGTAGATTTCTAAGTTCAAATTCACATTCTCAGAACTTTTGCAGTTATTATTCCATTGTCTCTAGTATCCAGTGTTGCTAGTGAGAAGTCTGGTGCCAGTTTGAGTTTGATTCCAATTCTTTTATAGATGACTTGTATTTTCCTTTCTGAAAGCATTGAGGAATATTCTGTTTATCTTTTGATTACTTGAAATTTCAAAGGATGTGTCTGTTGTGGGACGTTTGTCATTCATCCTTTCAGGACTCTAGGACTTTTTTAACCTGGAGATTTGAGTACTTCTTTAGCTTGGGGAAATTTTCCTTTGATATTTCTTTGATAATATCTTCCTTTTAATTTTTTCTATTATCTCTGGATTTCTGTTCATCAGATGGTAGACCTCATAGATTGGTCATCTTTTTCTCCTATATTTCTCTAATATTTAATCTCTCTCTCTCTCTCTCTTTGTATGTGCATTGCCTTTGGAGAGATTTCCTCAACTTTATCTTCTAGCTTTTTTACTGAGATTTTTTCAGCAATCATATTTTTCATCTCTAAGGCCTCTATGTTTGCTGATTGTTCTTTTCTCATAGCATACTATTCTTGTTTTAAAAATCTCTTATTTGGCTGGGCGTGGTGGCTCACGCCAGTAATCCCTGCACTTTGGGAGGCCAAGGTGGGTGGATCACAAGGTCAGGAGTTCAAGACCAGCCTGGCCAACATGGTGAAACCCTGTCTCTACTAAAAATACAAAAATTAGCTGGGTGTGGTGGTGCATGCCTGTAATCTCAGCTACTCGGGAGACTGAGGCAGGAGAATTGCTTGAACCCGGGAGGTGGAGGTTGCAGTGAGCTGAGATTGCGCCACTGCACTCCAGCCTGGGCAACAGAGCGAGACTCTGTCTCAAAAAAAAAAAAAAAATTCCCTTATTTTCCTCAATTTTGTCTTTTCACTGGGGTCAATTTTTCTGTTTCATGCTGCTTGTTTTCCAAGTATAGTTGGCTTGTTTGCTTGTCTCTTTATATGTAAAAATGAAGGACTGAGTAGCAGGAGTGCAGTTTCTTTCTCTCTGTCATTGTTTAAGGGGGTAAGAGCTTTGACTGGAAACTTTAAGTACATGGGCAGGGCACACTGACTGGCAGGCTTTGCTTTGAGGATGAGTGAGTGAAGTGCTGGTTGTTAGGCTTTGAGCCTCCGTAGGCCAGAAAGGGAGTGGTGGGGGTGTTACTCTAAGATATCGCCATTAGAGACCTCAATTCTCAGTTTACTCAATTTCTTTAGAAAAGAATCCTTCAGGGTGTGTTGTATGAGGTGAGTAGGGGAATAAAGGGACTGACTCTTATAAATAAACATAGGTCATTGTTTAATCCCATTTATTCATACCTGCTCCCCACTTCATCTTCTATCATATGTGCCCACTTCAAGGCAGAGTCTCTCTTGGGTCACTCTGGGTAGATAAGCTCCCACCTCCAGTCCAGTTCGCTCATGCCATATTCTAGACTTGTACCGTCCAGTTGAGTAGCTACTAGCCCCCCTGGTTATTGAGCACATGAAATAGGGTAGTCTGAGTTGAGATGTGCTCTAAGTGTAAAATACACACCGATTCTGAACCCTTAGTACACACACAAAAAAGAAAGTAGGCTGGGCATGGTGGCCCATGCCTGTAATCCCAGCACTTTGAGAGACTGAGGCAGGCGGATGGCTTGAGCTCAGGAGTTTGAGACCAGCCTGGGCAACTTGGCAAAATGCCATCTCTACCAAAAATACAAAAATTAGCTGGGCATGGTAGCCTGCACCTGTAGTCCCAGCTACTTTGGAGGCTGAGGTGGGAGGATGGCTTGAGCCTGGGAGGTGGAGGTTGCAATAAACTGAGATTGCACCACTGCACTCTAGCCTGGGAAACAGAGCCAGGCCCTGTCTCAAAAAAAAAAAAAGAGAGAGAAACTGAGGCTGGGCACAGTGGCTCACACCTGTAATCCCAACACTTTGGGAGGCCAAGGCAGGGTGGATCAGGCCCAGGAGCTTGAGACCAGTCTGGGCAACATGGCAGAACCCTGTCTCTACAGAAAATATAAAAATTAGTTGGGCATGGTGGCACGCACCTGAAGTACCAGCTACTCGAGAGGTCAGAGGATTGCTCCTGAATAGCTGGGACTACAGGTGTGTGCCAGCACCTGAGCCTAGGAGGTAGAGGCTGCAGTGAGCCATGATTATGCCACTGCCCTCCAGCAGCCTGCGCAACACAGCAAGACCCTGTCTTAATTAAAAAAAAGAAAGTAAAACATCTCAAAATATTCATTATATGTTGAAGTGATAGTATTTGCATGTATTGGGTTAAGTAAAATAGAATCTTAAAATTAATTTCAGGAGGCTGATGCAGGAGAATCTCTTGAACCCGGGAGGGGGAGGTTGCAGTGAGCCGAGAATGCACGACTGTACTCCAGTCTGGGGCACAGAGTGAGACTCCGTCTCACAAAAAAAAAAAAAAAAAAAAAAGGCCGGGTGCGGTGGCTCACACCTGTAATCCCAGCACTTTGGGAGGCCAAAGCGAGCGGATCACCTGAGGTCAGGAGTTCGAGACCAGCCTGACCAACATGGAAAAACCCCGTCTCTACTAAAAACACAAAATTAGCCAGGCGTGGTGGTGCATGCTTGTAATCCCAGCTACTAGGGAGGCTGAGGCAGGAGAATCGCTTGAACCTGGGAGGCAGAGGTTGCAGTGAGCCGAGATCATGCCACTGCACTCCAACCTGGGCGACAAGAGTGAAACTGTCTCAAAATAATAATAATAATAATTTCATCTCTCTTTTTTTTTTTCTTTTTTTTTTGAGACGGAGTCTGTCACCCAGGCTGGAGTGCAGTGGCACAATCTCTGCTCACTGCAAGCTCCGCCACCCAGGTTCACACCATTCTCCTGCCTCAGCCTCCCGAGTAGCTGGGACTACAGGCGCCTGCCACCACGCCCGGCTAATTTTTTGTATTTTTAGTAGAGACGGGTTTTACTGTGTTAGCCAGAATCGTCTCAATCTCCTGACCTCGTGATCCATCCGCCTCAGCCTCCCTAAGTGCTGGGATTACAGGCATGAGCCACCACACCTGGCCCATCTCTTCTGTTTTTTAATGTGGCTAAATTATGTGACTCTGGTGGCGGGCGCCTGTAGTCCCGGCTACTCAGGAGGCTGAGGCAGAAGAATGGCGTGAACCTGGGAGGTGGAGCTTGCAGTTAGCTGAGATCTCGCCACTGTACTCCAGCCTGGGTGACAGAGCCAGACTCCATCTCCAAAAAAAAAAGCCAGGCACGGTGGCTCATGCCTGTAATCCCAGCACTTTGGGCGGCCGAAGTGGGCGATCACGAGATCAGGAGATTGAGACAATCTTGGCTAACATGGTGAAACCCCGTCTCTACCAAAAATACAAAAAAATTAGTCGGGTATAGTGGCGGGCGCCTGTAGTCCCAGCTACTCGGGAGGCTGAGGCAGGAGAATGGTGTGAACCTGGGAGGCGGAGCTTGCAGTGAGCCAAGGTCTCGCCACTGCCCTCCAGCCTGGGTGACAGAGCCAGACTCCGTCTCAAAAAAAATAAAAATAAAAATTATGTGACTCATCTTTCTGTTGGAAAGCGATGCTCTAGACCATGACTGCTTCTTCGTCTGTCATCATGTCTCCATCTGCTTTCTAAATTTGTCAGAATCATTTGTGCACTGATGACCCTCACTCCCATTTTTTTTTTTTTTTTTTCTGATACAGATTTATTTTCTACTTTGATAGACTCACATGTAGGGTGGAGGAGGTGGGAGGGAATCTGCTATCATGCATATGAAGCTGCTTCTAACTTCTAACCTGTCAGAGCAGTCTGTCACCAAATAATTTAATTGATCATAGGACCTATCTGCAGTCCTTCTTAGAGACAAAGCCAGCGAGATTCTTTAAGTTTAAGCTGGAGACCTTTGTATGTTCACATAGGTGCCCCCGCCCCCTCATTACCACAAGATACCCTGAAGAGTATTTCGGGAATGCCATTTTAGTCTTTTTTCCTGTCCCCATAGAATCACTGGCCTCTTCCTTTTCTAGTCAAAATTCTATTGATCATCTATTCTGGGCCAGAAACTATGCTAAGGGTTGTTGTAGGACTAAAAGACAGTATTTATGAGAAAACTAGTGTAATACCTTGCTGAGAGTGGGATCAATACAAGCTATGTAATTTAGGGCAAGTTAAGGAAACTGAGGCTCATAGAGGTTAAATAACTTGCCATAAATCACAGAGCTAGTAAGTGGCAGAGCTGGGAATTTTTTTTTTTTTTTTTTTTTTTTAGACAGGGTCTCATTCTGTCACCCAGGCTGGAGTGCAGTAGTGTGATCTCAGCTCATTGCAGCCTTGAACCCCGCTAGGATCAGGTGATCTTCCCACCTCCACCTCCCAAATAGCTGCAACTATAGGCATGTAGTCTGGCTACTTTTTGTATTTTTTGTAGAGACAAGGGTTTCGCCATCTTGCCCAGGCTGGTCTTGATCTCATGGCTCAAGCAGTTTCTCTACCTCTGCCTCCCGAAGTGCTGGGATTACAGGTTTGAACCACCACACCCAGCCCAGAGCTGGGATTTTGATCCAGGCCTGTTTGACCCTAAAGGTTGTGCTCTTGACCACAGTTCTGTTTTTATATTACGGACTGTACAGTATAATTGACCACAATTATGGTAGCATCCCTATTTTATAGACTGGAAAACAGAAACTCAGGGAGGCTAAATGACTTGCCAGGGACACTCAGATATTTCTTCTTGGGACCCCCAGAAAAAAGTAAAAGGAGATTTTTTTTTTTTTTTTAAATGGAGTCTCACTCTGTTACCCAGGCTGGAGTGCAGTGGTGTGATCTCGGCTCATTGCAACCTCTGCCTCCTGAAATGTAGCATTGTCAGCCAGGTGCAGTAGCTGACGCCTGTAATCCCAGCACTTTGGGAGGCTGAGGCGGGTGGAGGTCAGGAGTTCAAGACCAGCGTGGCCAACATCATGAAACCCCATCTCTACAAAAATACAGAAATTAGCTGGGCATGATGGCGGGTGCCTGTAATCCCAGCTGCTCGGGAGACTGAGGTGGGAGAATCGCTTGAACCCAGGAGGCGGAGGTTGCAGTGAGCTAAGATCGCGGCACTGCACTCCAGCCTGAGCAACAGAGTGAGACTCTGTCTCAAAAAAAAAGAAAAGAAATGTAGCATTGTGATCAGCCCTAACTCCTGGGGGCAGCCCAGGAACCCTTGTGGGGGTGTGTAATTCTGAGGACCTGGGGAAATTGAGAGGCCCCAAGCTGAAAAAGGGAATATTTATAAAAGCCCCTACTATGATGGGCATGGCACTTACTCAGTTTTTATAATTACTTTTCTAGACTATGGGCCCATCTAGTTTTCTCCGCATACAATAGCAGCCACACACATAATTAGCTCCAGCCCTGCTCTCAGGGTGCTGCTCAGGGGAAAGGATTTGTTCTGTTCAAGGGCCCATTTCAGTGCCTGGTACGTAATAAACACATACATATTTGTTCCTGAACCGCCCTCTGCAAACTAAAGAGCTGTTCTCATATGCACCCATAACAACTCATTACTTATACCTCTCTTGTGCGTGTATTTTTTTTTTTCTGAGACAAAGTCTTACTCTGCCCGGCCAGAGTGCAGTGGCACAATCATGGGTCACTGCAGCCTCAACCTCCTAGGTTCAGGTGATCCTCCTACCTCAGCCTGAGTAGCTGGGACTATAGGCATGTACCACCATACCTGCCTAATTTTTTTTTGTTGTTGTTGTTGTTTTTTGTTTTTTTGTTTTTTGAGACGGAGTCTCGCTCTGTCGCCCAGGCTGGAGTGCAGTGGCGCGATCTCGGCTCACTGCAAGCTCCACCTCCCGGGTTCACGCCATTCTCCTGCCTCAGCCTCCCGAGTAGCTGGGACTACAGGCGCCCGCCACCACGCCCGGCTAATTTTTTGTATTTTTTAGTAGAGACGGGGTTTCACCATGTTAGCCAGGATGGTCTCAATCTCCTTACCCTGTGATCCGCCCACCTCAGCCTCCCAAAGTGCTGGGATTACAGGCGTGAGCCACTGCGCCTGGCCCATACCTGCCTAATTTTTAAATTTGTTTTGTAGAGATGGGGTCTCACTATGTTGCCCAGGCTGGTCTTGAACTCCTGGGCTCACGTGATCTTCCCACGTCGGCATCCCAAAGTGCTGGGATTACAGACATGAGCTACCGTGCTTGTCCTCTGTGTACACTTTTAACTAATTACTCATAATGATTTGTTGAGTAGGTGCCTTGATCTTTGGTACCAAACAGTTCTGATTTTGAGTCCCACCCCCACCTGCCCTATCACTTCCTTACTAATGTGTAAGCTTTGGGAATTTACTTCACCTTTCTGAGCCAAGGCTTCCTCAGCTGAAAAGGGGACAAAATAACAGCACCTAATGAATAGTGTTGTTATGAGAAAAGCGTTTGCCTGAAAGCATTCGGTACAGTGCCTGGAACATAGGCCGAGCCCAGCGAATGTGGGCTGTTGCTGTTAGTCATCCCTAGGCTGCGAGTGCAGGGACTTGTCTCTTGCTTCCTACTGTAGCCCCAGTGTCAGCATTTCTGCTATACCCCTAGTGCTTGGCACGTACCGAGTGGTAATACGTGTGCTGAGTGACTGGCCATTGGATGGTAGGGTGGATGGATGGAAGGACTGGTAAATTCTCCCCTCTGGGCAGCCAGGAGAGCTGAGGCCCAGGAAGGAAAGAAGATCCCCTCAGTGGCTGAGAGTTGGGATCCTGGCCCATGGGCAGGCCTTCCCTCACCACCGTCTTCCCCAGCAGGTTTGGGATGTACATTCCGTTCCTGCAGCTGAATTGCGACCTCCGCAAGACAAGCCTCTTCAACCACATGGCCTCCATGGGGCCCCGGGAGGCGGTCAGTGGCCTGGCAAAGAGCCGGGACTACCTCCTGACACTGCGGGAGACGTGGAAGCAGCACACAAGACAGCTGTATGGCCCGGACGCCATGCCCACCCATGCCTGCTGCCTGTCACCCAGCCTCATCCGCAGTGAGGTGGAGTTCCTCAAGATGGACTTCAACTGGCGCATGAAGGAAGTGCTCGTCAGCTCCATGCTGAGCGCCTACTATGTGGCCTTTGTGCCTGTCTGGTTCGTGAAGGTGCGTACCTCAAGCCAGGGAGGGAAAGGGACTAGCTGGGACTTTACCCTGCTGCCTGCCCGATGTGAGTTCTCCTGCTGGCCTAACTATGCTGTTTTTGATGTGATTTCCCATCTCTGGAGGACTGGAGTGACTACTATCTCCATTTTATTTTTTATTTTTAGAGACAGGGTCTTGCTCTGTCACCTACACTGGAGTGCAGTGGCACAATCATGGGTCACTGCAGCCTCAACCTCCTGGTCTCAAGTGATCCTCCTGTCTCAGCCTCTTGAGTAGCTGTGACTGCAGGCATGAGCTACCATGCCCAACTAATTTTAAAATTTTTTATAGAGATGGAGTCTCACTATGCTGCCCAAGCTGGTCTCAGAATTCCTAGTCTTAAATGGTCCTCCTGCCTCAGCTTCCCAAAGTGTTGGGATTACAAGCGTGAGCCACTACATCCAGCCTGTGTCCATTTTATTTTACTTTTTTTATTTTTTATTTTACTTTATTTTTTTGAGACAGAGTCTCATTCTGTTGGCCAGGCTAGAGTACAGTGGCACGATCTCGGCTTACTGCAACCTCCACCTCCCAGGTTCAAGCAGTTCTCCTGCATCAGCCTCCCAAGTAGCTGGGATCATAGACATGTGCCACCATGCCCAGCTAATTTTTGTATTTTTAGTAGAGACGGGGTTTCATGATGTTGGCCAGTCTGGTCTCAAACTCCTGGCCCCAAGTGATCCGCCCACCTTGGCCTCCCAAAGTGTTGGGATTACAGGCATGAGCCACCACACCCCAGCCTGTGTCCATTTTAGAGTGCAGAGAACTAGACTCACTGAAGGGAAGTGACCTGTCCAAGGTCACCCAGCCAATGAGGGAGACATGGCATTGTTATTCGTAATACTTGATTACAAAGACTAGTGAGTTTGTATTTCAGCAGCTGTTGTAACACAGACATGTCACAATGTCTGGTTTTATCATTTAGTAAGGAAGCCAGTGTTCATCCAGATTTGAGTGATCCCAAAAGCCTGTGCTCTCTTTGTCCTAACCTCTCAGTCTCCTGGGAAGGTACCTCCTCAGCTGCAAGCTGCAGTGGGCTTGAGAGAACTTAATCTCTCTTTTTTTTTAGACGGAGTCTCGCTCTGTCGCCCAGGCTGGAGTGCAGTGGTGCGATCTTAGCTCACTGCATCCTCCACCTCCCAGGTTCAAGCAACTCTCCTGCCTCAGCCTCCCAAGTAGCTGGGATTACAGGCGAGCACCACCACACCCAACTAATTTCTGTATTTTTAGTAGAGACGGGGTTTCATCATGTTGGCCAGGCTGGTCTTGAACTCCTGACCTCAGGTGATCCACCCACCTCGGCCTCCCAAAGTGCAGGAATTATAGCCATGAGCCACCAAGCCCGGCCCTTTTTTTTTTTTTTTTTTTTTTTTTTTTTTAAGACTAGGTCTTGCTCTATGGCCCAGGCTGGAGTGCAGTGGCGCAATCTTGGCTCACTGCAGCCTTTGCCTCCTGGGTTCAAGCAATTCTCCTACCTTAGCCTCCTGAATGTCTGGGACTACAGGTGTGCAGCACCATGCCCGGCTAATTTTTGTATTTTTAGTAGAGACGGGGTTTCGCTATATTGGCCAGGCCAGTCTCGAACTCCTGACCTCAAGTGATCCACCCAACTTAGCCTCCCAAAGTGCTGAGGTTACAGGCGTAAGCCACTGCGCCCGGCCCTTAATGTCTTTTGAGCACCTGTAACACGCCTGGAGCTTTCATAAGTGTTACAATCCTCCTAGCGCCTCTTGGAGGTGGTTCATGGTTGCTTTTTTTTTGTTTTGTTTTGTTTTGTTTTGTTTTTGAGACAGAGTCTCGCTCTGTTGCCCAGGCTGGAGTACAGTGGCACAATCTGGGCTCACTGCAAGCTCCGCCTCCCGGGTTCACGCCATTCTTCTGCGTCAGCCTCCTGAGTAGCTGGGACTACAGGCGCCCGCCACCACGCCCGGCTAATTTTTTGTATTTTTAGTAGAGATGGGGTTTCACCGTGTTAGCCAGGATGGCCTCGATCTCCTGACCTTGTGATCCACCCACCTTGGCCTCCCAAAGTGCTGGGATTACAGGTGTGAGCCACTGCGCCTGGCCTTTTTTTTTTTTTTTTTTTTTTTTTTTGAGGCGGAGTCTTGCTCTGTTGCCCAGGCTGGAGTGCAGTGTTGTGATCTTGGCTCACTGCAACCTCTGCCTCCCAGGTTCAAGCTATTCTTCTGCCTCAGCCTCCTGAGTAGCTGGGACTACAGGCACACGCCACCACGCCCGGCTAATTTTTGTATTTTTAGTAGAGACAGGGTTTCACTATATTGGCCAGGCTGGTCTCAAACTCCTGATCTCGTGATCTGCCCACCTCGGCCTCCCAAAGTGCCGGGATTACAGGTGTGAGCCACTGCGCTGGGCCTAGTAGTTGCTCTATCCTCATTTGACAGATGAGGAAACTAAAGCACAGAGAAGGTAAGTGACTAGCCCAATGTCACATAAATAAGCAAAAGAGCCCAGATTTGAATTCAGGTCTCTTGGACCCCAGAGCCTGTTCTCTGGCTCAGAGTGGTGGGCAGTGGGAGCAAATTTCCTTGTAGAAAACCAACTAGTGGGCACAGGGCCTAAGCCTTGTTTGTTGGGTGTTTGATTCTTGGTTTCAGGCTATTCTGAGGTCTCCCCAGGACTGTCCTAACCTCTCAGTCAGGTAGAATCAGGGAAGGAAAGGGAATGAGGCCATTATGGGGATCCCAGGCCTCACCCACCTTCTGCTACCCCCAGAACACACATTACTATGACAAGCGCTGGTCCTGTGAACTCTTCCTGCTGGTGTCCATCAGCACCTCCGTGATCCTCATGCAGCACCTGCTGCCTGCCAGCTACTGTGACCTGCTGCACAAGGCCGCCGCCCATCTGGGCTGTTGGCAGAAGGTGGACCCAGCGCTGTGCTCCAACGTGCTGCAGCACCCGTGAGTCACCCTACCCTGCTCAACCCAATCCCAGCCCTTCTGGTCAGCATCTGGAGTCACTTGTCCACTCGCTGATTAACTTATTTAGTTAGCAAATAGTTATTGAGCGTGTCTTGTATATTATTAGGCCAGGTGTCCAGGGTGGGGTATGGTGGGGCCTGACACACATGTTCCCTATCCTTGGGTAACTTGCAGTGTACTGAAGATGGGAGGGGACTGATGGTAATTCATGGACTTGTTGACTTTCTCTTTGCTGACTGTTTATTCACTCATTGCCTTACTTGCTCATGCTTCACTCTTCTCTTACCTGCTCACTCATCCACTGGGTCATTACGTCACCTACTCTTTCAGCAGACATTTACTTCCACCCAATCCATACCAGGCCTGTGGATGTGCCAGGCAAAAGAGCTTGGACTTTGACTTAGGCCCAGCGGAGATAGAGGATTTTTAGCAGTGGAGGGACCCATGCCAAGGTGTGCTTTAGAGTCATCAGCCTGGTGCCAGGATGTGGTGCTGTGCTAGTTGATGCTGAACCCTGGCCAGGGAAGGATGAGATGGGCAAAAGAGACCTAGCTGCAAGAAGGCACTGCACCCAGAGCAGACACAGAAGTCACACTGCTCAGGGGCCCTTTTCCAAAGTACTTTTCACCCCATTATACTAATTTTCCTGCCTGTATTTCCCCATTAGACTGGAAGCTCCTCAAGGCCAGGATCACCTCGGAAGCACATCTGAGTCTTGGGTCCAGGACAAGGCTTGGCAGAGAGGAGGCCCCTAGGACAGGTTTGCAGAGGTAGGCCCACCAAGGAGCAGAGATGCAAGCAAGGCCATAGAAGCTAAGCCTCCTGGTGTTGGCCATGCATGTCAGTCAGGGTCCCTTTCAGGCTCTGTCCTGGAGGTCCAGAAGAGTGACTGGGCATTGCTGATTGGGCCAAAAGGAGGCTTGGCTTAGCCTTGGGCTCTGAGGGGTGGGAGGAATAGAAAGATAGAACATAGCTGAACATGAGGATATACCTGTCCATGGCTCACCGTGGTCCTTCGCGTGGCTTCCCAGATGATGAGCTGGGTCCTGCCAGATGTTTCTGCCTCATCTTTTACCATGCCCCAACCCATCCTCTGCTCTTCAGCAAAGCAAAGCAAATCTCCTCAGGTCCTCATATGCTTTATGCACTTGTGCCTTCAGGATTTTGCATGTGATGTGTCTTTTGCTTGGGATGGTCTTTCCATTCTTTCTATCCTGATTAACTCCTATTCATCCTTTAGCACTTTGCTTCCTCCAGGAACACTTTCCTGACCATCCAGAATGGGTTCAGTGCCCCTCCCCTATAAGGGGCCCCTCCTTTCAGTGGCCCATAATACCATAATCATTGCATTTAATGCTGTCTACTGTGTTTGCTTAGTTACCTGCCTGTCATTTCAGGACTAAAAGTTCACAAAGGTCAGGGCCCTTGCCTGTCTAGCACTCAGTTGTCTCCTCTGGCCTTTTTTTTTTTTTTTTTTTTTTTTTTGAGATGGAGTCACGCTCTGTTGCCCAGGCTGGAGTGCAGTGGCACAATCTTGGCTCATTGCAATCTCCACCTCCTGGATTCAAGCGATTCTCCTGCCTCGGGCCTCCCAAGTAGCTGGGATTACAGGTGTGCACCACCACACCCGGCTAATTTTTACGTTTTTAGTAGAGATGGGGTTTCACCATGTTAGCGAGGCTGGTCTCAAACTCCTGACCTCAGGTGATTCACTCGTCCTGGCCTCCCAAAGTGCTGGGGTTACAGGAGTGAGCCACTACACTTGGCCTAGGCCTTTCTTTTTAAGGTAAAATTTCCATACAGTGAAATGTGCAATCCTTTTTTTTTTTTGAGACAAGGTCCCACTCTGTCTCCCAGGCTGGAGTGCAGTGGTGCAATCACAGCTCATTACAGCCACAACCTCCTGGGCTCAGGTGATCCTCCCACCTCAGCTCCCAAGTCGCTGGGATTACAGGCGCATGCCACCACATCCAGCTAATTTTTGTATTTTTTTGTAGAGACAAGGTTTTGCCATGTTGCCCAGGCTGGTCTAGAGCTTATGGGCTCGAGCGATCCACCCACCTCGACCTCCCAGAGTGCTGGGATCACAGGCATGAGCCACTGCACTTGGCCTACAAATCTTAAAGGGTACAATTCTTTCAGTTTTGATAAAGGTATATATACTCATGTAACCCACCCCTCATTCAAGATATAGAACATTTCCAGCCCTTCAGAAAATGTCCTCATGGCCCTTCCCAGTGATCCTTCCCCCAAGACAAACTACCTTTCTGTTTTCTTTCACGAGAGGTTAGTTTTGCCTGTTGTAGAACTTAATATAAATGAAATCGTGTCCAACTTCTTCTTTTTTTTTTTTTTTGCTACAGAGTGTCACTCTGTCACCCAGGCTGGAGTGCAGTGGCGCGATCTTGGCTCAGTGCAATTTCCGCCTCCCAGGTTCAAGCAGTTCTCCTGCCTCAGCCTCCCGAGTAGCTGGGATTACAGGCGTGCGCCACCATGCCCAACTAATTTTTTGTATTTTTAGTAGAGATGGGGTTTCACCATGCTGGCCAGGCTGGTCACGAACTCCCAACCTCGTGATCTGCCTGCCTCAGCCTCCCAAAGTGGAACTGGGATTATAGGCGTGAGCTGTTGCACCCGGCCCCAACTTCTTTTTTTTGTTTGTTTGTTTTTGAGATGGAGTCTCGCTCTGTCGCCCAGGCTGGAGTGCAGTGGTGTGATCTCGGCTCACTGCAAGCTCCGCCTCCCAGGTTCACACCATTCTCCTGCGTCAGCCTCCTGAGTAGCTGGGACTACAGATGCCCGCCACCGCACCTGGCTAATTTTTTGTATTTTTAGTAGAGACAGGGTTTCACCATGGTCTCAATCTCCTGACCTCATGATCCATCCGCCTCAGCCTCTCAAAGTGCTGAGATTACAGGCGTGAGCCACCGTGCCCGGCCCCCAACTTCTTTTATTCAGCATATTGTTTGTGAGGTTCATTCATGTTATGAGTCGCACAATAACTTTTCTTTTTTGTTTTTTGAGACGGGGTTTCGCTCTTGTTGCCCAGGTTGGAGTGCAGTGCTGCGATCTTGGCTCACTGCAACCTCCACCTTCCGGGTTCAAGCGATTCTCCTGCCTCAGCTTCCCGAGTAGCTGGGATTACAGGCCTGTGTCACCATGCCCCGCTAATTTTTTTTTGTATTTTTAGTAGAGACGGGGTTTCACCATGTTGGCCAGGCTGGTCTCGAACTCCTGACCTCAGGTGATCTGCACACCCTCGGCCTCCCCAAAGTGCTGGAATTACAAGTGTGAGCCACTGTGCCCAGCCAACTATTTTTTTTTTAAATGAGTGAGTCAGCAAGGCAAGAGCATTGGGTTGAGAAGGGGGCTGCTTACAGGCTGTGACTTGCAGTCCTCTGGTCCAGGCCCTTGGGATTCCTGGGAGATCTCACAGGACATTATAAGAAAGCTCACTGGGCCAGGTGCAGTGGCTCACGCCTGTAATCCCAGCACTTTGGGAGGCCAAGGCGGGCGGATCACGAGGTCAGGAGATCGAGGCCATCCTGGCTAACACGGTGAAACCCCGTCTCTTCTAAAAATACAAAAAAATTAGCTGGGCGCAGTGGCGGGCGCCTGTAGTCCCAGCTACTCAGGAGGCTGAAGCAGGAGAATGGCATGAACCTAGGAGGCGGAGCTTGCAGTGAGCCGAGATAGAGATAGCGCCACTGCAGTCTGGCCTAGGCGAAAGAGCGAGACTCTGTCTCAAAAAAAAAAAGAAAGCTCACCGGTCCTAGCATTTCATTCACATGCTCACTAGGGCCTCTCTGTGCCAGGCCTTGCGGCATGCTCTGAGGACACAGGGATGGATTAGATCCTCCCGCTCAAGGGCTCTCAGCCTAGTGAGGTATACAGATGGGAAATAAATAGATGACCAGCATTGGGGAATGTGGACTAGTAGCAGGAGATGCAGGGAACAGTTAAAGGATGCCAAATGGGCCAGGCACGGTGGCTCATTGCCTGTATCCTAGCACTTTGGGAGGCCAAGGCAGGCAGATCACGTGAGGTCAGCAGTTTGAGACCAGCCTGGGCAACATGGCGAAACCCCGTCTCTACAAAAAATACAGAAAAATTAGCCGGGCGTGGTGGCAGGTGCCTATAGTTCTGAGGCAGGAGAATCACTTGAACCCAGGAGGTGGAGGTTGCAGTGAGCCGAGCGCCACTGCACTCCAGCCTGGGCGGCAGAGTGAGACTCTGTCTCAAAAAAAAAAAAACACTCATAGGTTGGAATTGAACAATGAGAACACTTGGACACAAGGTGGGGAACATCATACACCAGGACCTGTGGTGGGGTGGGGTGGGGGAGGGATAACATTAAGAGAAATACCTAATGTAAATGACGAGTTAATGGGTGCAGCACACCAATGTGGCACATGTATACATATGTAACAAACCTGCATGTTGTACACATGTACCCTAGAACTTAAAGTTTTTTTAAAAAAATAAAAGGATGTCAAACTCTAGGGAGTTTGAGAAAGGCTTTGTGGAGGAACCTGGGTTTTGAAAGATGATGAAGAGCTTACCAGAAGGATTAGGCTTTGGGAAGGGCAATCCAATTGGAGGGAGCAGCTTAGGGAGAGACGTGAAGCAGTACAGAGTGCTGGAGGAACGAGAAACAGCATGAGCTGTGTGGTGAGGGTTGTGGGAAGCCACACAAGACCTCAGAGGCCATGTCAAATCCTTGGGGCCTTGACCCCAAGGGCACTAGGAAGCCTTCAAAAGGTTTTAAGCAGGACCAGGCGCTGTGGCTGACGCCTGTAATCCCAGCACTTTGAGAGACTGAGGTGGACAGATCACCTGACGTCAAGAATTCGAGACTAGCCTGGCCAACATGGTGAAACTCCATCTCTACTAAAAATACAAAAATTAGCTGGGCATGGTGGCAGATGCCTGTAATCCCAGCTACTCTTCAGGCTGAGGCAGGAGAATTGCTTGAACCTGGGAGGCGGAGGTTGCAGTAAGCCAAGATTGTGCCACTGCACTCCAGTCTGGGCGACAAGATCGAAACTCATTCTCAAAAAAAAAAGCCCACAAAGAGTTTTAAGCAGAGGGTGGTCAGGCTGAGCTTAGTATTTTACAAAGACCACTCAGACAACTGTGTGGTGGACCACTTGGAGGCAAGAGGTGAGACCAGATGAAGCAAAGGGACCCAGAGAGGAAGAAGGGTTCTCTCAACAGTCTCTTAGTAATTAATGTCAGCCCTAGACCACCTAACTCACAGTACAGTGAATTCCTCATGATTCTTACCCCATTTTACAGAGGAGGCAACTGAAACCCAGAAAAGGAAAGTCAGCGTGTCTAAGTGATAGAAATGGGAGTAGAGCCCTGGTGATTCCCTCCTGCCCATTCTTCTGGTATCCCTTTTGTGGGTGAGCTGGGGATAAGGGGCACCATTGAACTGTGCCCCCAGGTGGACTGAAGAATGCATGTGGCCGCAGGGCGTGCTGGTGAAGCACAGCAAGAACGTCTACAAAGCCGTAGGCCACTACAACGTGGCTATCCCCTCTGACGTCTCCCACTTCCGCTTCCATGTGAGTCTCCTCCCCGGGGAAGGAGGGTTGGGGCCTGAGAGGGTGGGAGGATCTGCAGGGCAGGAATGTGATGTCATTGCAAGAGAAAGCTATTTTCAGTATTTCCCCAATCCAAAGGAAGACAGTGCACACATGTAGCACAAGGACAGCCATATAAATTGTCACTTAATAACTGCAGCTCGGCCGGGCATGGTGGCTCACGCCTGTAATCCCAGCACTTTGGGAGACCAAGGCAGACAGATCACCTGAGGTCAGGAGTTCAAGACCAGACCAGCCTGGTCAACATGGTGAAACCTCGTCTCCACTAAAAATACAAAAATTAGCCAGGTATGGTGGCGGGCGCCTGTAATCCCAGCTACTCGGGAGGCTGAGGAGGGAGAACCACTTGAACTCAGGAGACGGAGGTTGCAGTGAGCCGAGATCATGCCACTGCACTCCAGCCTGGGCAACAGAGCAAGACTCATTCTCAAAAATAAATAAATAAATAACTGCAGCTCATTTGGTTGTAGATCTTTGAGAACATTGGACAGAGGGAGAGAAGATGATACAGTAAAAGAAGGGGCTCTTGGCAGTGAAAGACAATACTGTCTTCATTTGTTACTGTGTGCCAGGCATGTCGTTAAGCACTCTCCATGTACCTTCCTACTCAGCCTTACCCTGAACCTTGTACGTGAAAGATATGCTAGGGTTATCTCTGTTTTTAGATACTGAAATCAGCTAAGAGAGTTTAACTTGTTAAAGGGTGCCTTCTTGGGAAACTTGAGAACCTAATGGTAATGACTCATGACTTAGCTATGGAAAGGGCTGCTCAAAATTATCTAAACTAGTGATCTCTATTTTTTTTTAAATTTCACTATGAAATCCCCTCCCCCCCTTTTTTAAAAAAAACAATCAGAGGCCAAAATCCAATATATGGGACATCCTGGCACTGCTCTGTTTGGAGGAGTTAGAACCCCCTTCACTTCCTGCTCACCCCCGCTGTAACTCCTAAAGGATCCCCTTGAAACCTGGGGCTCTAAGGAACACAGCATGAGAAATCACTGACCTAGACTGATGTCTTCATTTCACAGTTGAGACATCCAAGCCCCAGAGAGGAAAGGGACTTGACCAAAGTATTGCAGCCTGTTAGGTGCAGAGCTGAGCCTGATATCCTGGTCTCTTGGCCTCCCATTTCCTACCACTTCTCCTGTCCTGTAAGCAGCTCTTGAGATTTAGGTACCTTGGCCCCTGTGGAATCAAAATCCCTAGACACTGTGCACTCTTTTGAACTCATCAGAGATTTTTTTTTAGTCCCTACGTTCTACCTTGCTGTTGAGAGTGAGCTGTTGCCATGTCCCTTGGCAGCTTCCAGCCTAGCTAGGGATGTACCTATGAAGTAGTAGGTAATTCAGGCTGTAGAGTCTGTAATAACTTTCCATGCCTATGTCATAGGATTCTAATTTGTTCAGGCCCAGCAATACCCAGGAGATGACATTAAAAGGTGTTGATTTTATTGAGGGTCAGTGGATGAGGGAGAAAAAGTTTTCAAAAATTAAAAAAAATTTTTTTAAAGGTGTTGACTTTAGACCACAAAAAGAGTTTGAGAGAGCAAGCAGAACCTGTCAAGAAAGACTTCCTAGGGGAGGTAGAAGTTGAACAGGATCTTAGATGACTTACATCAGAAGCAGCAGTCCTATCAGGAGGAATACCACAAGCAAAGGCAGATGAGGTGGCAAAGTCCACATCCAACCCCAGAAAGTCTTCTTCCCCACCCATGTCTGCATGGGGCCCCAGGAGGCTGTCCCCTTCACTGGCCCACCCAGAACCCCCATCCAGGAGGAAGATTTCTGGAGCACACCTTTTAGCCATGCCCACCCGCTTCCGGGCAGTTCTTTTTCAGCAAACCCCTGCGGATCCTCAACATCCTCCTGCTGCTGGAGGGCGCTGTCATTGTCTATCAGCTGTACTCCCTAATGTCCTCTGAAAAGTGGCACCAGACCATCTCGCTGGCCCTCATCCTCTTCAGCAACTACTATGCCTTCTTCAAGCTGCTCCGGGACCGCTTGGTATTGGGCAAGGCCTACTCATACTCTGCTAGCCCCCAGAGAGACCTGGACCACCGTTTCTCCTGAGCCCTGGGGTCACCTCAGGGACAGCGTCCAGGCTTCAGCCAAGGGCTCCCTGGCAAGGGGCTGTTGGGTAGAAGTGGTGGTGGGGGGGACAAAAGACAAAAAAATCCACCAGAGCTTTGTATTTTTGTTACGTACTGTTTCTTTGATAATTGATGTGATAAGGAAAAAAGTCCTATTTTTATACTCCCAACAAGCCTGTGTCCTGTGGTTCTTTTCCTTCGTGTGTGTGAGACCTATTACAGAGGTGTGGGATTCTGGTTTAGGAAGCCCCAACATGTGGCTTCTGAAGCCTCTGTGGGTACTGCCTTCTTCAGTAGAGAGGAGATGAGAAGGCACTGGAGGCCACGGGAGCAGTGATAGCTACTGCGAACTGAATGCTCACTGTGTGCCAGATGCTGCTCTGTGTGTATTTCAGGCCTTGCCTTAATCTAACTTTTATGACAACCCTAGGAGGAAAGTGCTATCACTCCAATGGATGAAGAACTGGAGCTCAGAGAGTTATAGTGACTTGCCCGTAGTAACACAGCTAGGAAGTGGTAGAGCTGGACATAAAACCTCTGAAAGGCCGGGCACAGTGGCTCAAGCCTGTAATCCCAGCACTTTGGGAGGCCGAGGTGGGCAGATCACTGAAAGCCAGGAGTTCGAGACCAGCCTGGCCAAGATGGCAAAACCCCATCTCTACTAAAAATATAAAAATTAGCCAGGTGTGGTGGCGCATGTCGGTAGTCCCAGCTACTTGGAAGGCTGAGCCACGAGAATCGCTTGAACCTGGAGGCAGGGGTTGCAGTGAGCTGAGATCGCGCCATTACACTCCAGCCTGGGTGACAGAGCAAGATGCTGTCTCAAAAAAAATAAAATAAGGCCGGGCGCCATGGCTCACACCTGTAATCCCAACACTTTGGGAGGCCGAGGCAGGTGGATCACCTGAGGTCAGGAGTTTGAGACCAGTCTGACGAACATGGAGAAACCCTGTCTACTAAAAATACAAAATTAGCCAGCCATGGCGGGTGGCGCATGCCTATAATCCCAGCTACTCGGGAGGCTGAGGCAGGAGAATTGCTTGAACCCAGGAGGCAGAGGTTGCAGTGAGCCAAGATCCCACCACTGCAATCTTGCAGTGCCAAGACTGAGCCAAGATCCAGCCTGGGCAACAAGAGCAGAACTCTGTCTCAAAAATAAAAATAAAAAACCTCTGAAAGATGACACTACTATCCTGGCAGAATGTGATTTCTTGATTATCTCAGCATGCAGTCACTGGGACCCTCCTTGCTGGGTATTATGGTAGATGGTGAGGATGCCAAGACACTGGAACAAGCAAGTAATACTACACTGGGATGAGCCCAACAGTTACAAGGTACAACAGAGCAGAGGGGAGAGAATGCTTAATGTTCTCTGGGCTTTTTGGAGGAGGGGATAGTCTGAATTGTATTAGCCACTTCCTAGGTGAACAAGAGAGGAAAAGGGTGTTTCAGTTAGAGAAGCAGGCAAATGTAATAGTGCACATGCAGTAGCACATAGATTTGGAACATCCTGGTGTGTTTCGGGGAAGGTAAACAGAATGTGGATCTTAGAGCAGGAATGATTTAAAAAAAAAGTGGAATGGGAAAAGTCAACAGAGGCTGGATCAGGGAGGACCAATAGTCCTAGGCTAGCAAAGGTGTATGAGCAGGGTCATGTGCTAGAGTAGAAACAGCTGCTTGTAGGTCACTGCCTCCTATGGGCATAGGATGGAGGGTTCAGGCTGAAAGGAGAGGAAACATGGACACTCAGCCATTCTCATCTATTCAGCCCACGTTCCCTGAGCCCTTCTTCGCCATAAGGTATGCAGACGAGCTCACAATGCTATATGGGAGACACACACCTCAACAAATATTTTTGGTGCCTCTACTGAGGCAGACACCGTGCTGAACACTGGGATGGTTACAAAGATAAGGAAGATACTGTTCCTTCCATAGACAAGGAGAGAGAGACACACATTGTGAGCAAATTTGGGTGTGAAATGCTAAGGAAAATTAGTGTCCATTTCTTCCTGTAGTAGCAGAGAGGACAGGTGCCCTATCTGGAAAGACAGGCTTCCCCAAAGAGCTGATAGCTGAGTTCAGTCTTGAAAGCGAGTAGTTCTCAGAGTCAGGCGCGGTGGCTAACGCCTGTAATCCCAGCACTTTGGGAGGCTGGGGCGGGTGGATCACCTGAGGTCAGGAGTTCAACACCAGCCTGGCCAACATGGCAAAATCCCGTCTCTACTAAAAATACAAAAATTAGGCTGGGTGCCATGGCTCATGCTTGTAATCCCAGCACTTTGGGAGGCCGAGGCGGGTGGATCACGAGGTCAGGAGTTCGAGACCAGCTTGGCCAACACAGTGAAACCCTGTCTGTACTAAAAATACAAAAATTAGCTGGGTGTGGTGGCAGGCACCTGTAATCCCAGCTACTCGGGAGACTGAGGCAGGAGAATCGCTTGAACCCAGGAGGCAGAGGTTGCAGTGAGCCGAGATCACGCCCCTTTACTCCAGCCTGGGCGACAGAGCTAGACTCTGTCTCAAAAAAAAAAAAAAAACCAAAACACCAAAAAAAACCCAACAACAAAAAATTAGCCGGGTGTGGTGGCGCATGCCTGTAATCCCAGCTAGTCAGGAGGCTAAGGCAGGAGAGTTGCTTGAACCTGGGAGGTGAAGTTTGCAATGAGCCAAGATCATGCCATTGCACTCCAGCCTGGACAACAAGAGCAAAACTCTGTCTCAAAAAAAAAAAAAAAAAGTGAGTAGTTCTCATGGTTAAGTGGGGAAAGGAGGGCACTGCATTCTAAGCAGAGGGAACAGCATATGCAAAGGCACATGAGAAGACAGGCGCATATTTGAAGAAAAGTGGTTCTCCAAATATGGTTGGAGCCTGCATTGCCTGGTGGGGAGTGTCCCAAGAAGCAGGTAAGGACCAGTCTGTGCCAGATTAAAATGTCTGGGCATTACCTAAGGGCAGGCAGTAGGAAGTTGCTAAGCAGAAGAGTTACACTGTAAGGTTTCTGCTTTTTTTTTTCTTTTTTTTTTTCTTTTTTTTTTTTTTTTTTAATGAGACAGGTTTCTCTGTGTTGCCCAGGCTGGTCTTGAACTCCTGGGCTCAAGCAATTCTCCCACCTCAGCCTTCCCAGTAGCTGAGATTATAGGTCTCTGCTTTTCAGGAGATAGTGGGTGGGAGCCGGAGAGTCTGGAGGCAGGAGGCCAGAGAGGAGGCAGGCAAAACAGAACAGGGCAAAGTGATGAGGTCTCACCTTAAGCAGGGGCAGTAGGAAGGGAAATAAAGTGCGCCCCTTCCTGACCTTCATCCTAGAGTTTTCCTTTTGATTTCTTTGCCTCAAGAAAATGGGCCAGGCGCACAACTAAAGTTGGCAGTTTGTTGTGACAGGCCCTTGTTCTGCTTCCAGAAGATAGATCCCTCTGTGTCTTGAAGATATAGCCTGGCTCTGTGTGTCGAGGTGGGGGACAGGAGGGCTGCCATGTCATGGAAAAAGAAAGGCCTGATATGTACTAGCCATACGTCCCGTGATTGAAAAGGCATATGAACAATAAAAGCCTCAATTTCCTCATCTCTAAAAGGGGAGATCATGTCCCTTGCTCTGTGTAACTCAATTTTTTGTTCATTCCTTTGTTTATTCATTCAATAGTTATTTATGGAGCACACACAATGTGCCAGATTCTGTGCTAGGTGCTGGAGATACGGTGGTAAACAATATAGAACCCACCCCTGCCTTCAAGGAGCTTGCTGTGAGGATAAATGAAATGATTATGAAATCACTCTGTTAACTATACTGCATGGGTCTCATTGTTTTTCTTTTTTTTTTTTAGAGACGGGGGATCTTGCTATGTTGCCCAGGCTGGTCTCGAACTCTTGGGCTCAAGCAATCTGCCGCCTCAGCCTCCTAAAATGCTGGGATTACAGGAATGAGCCACCATGTCCAGCCCATTTCTTTCTCTCTCTCTCTCTCTCTTTTTTTTTTTTTTAGAGACAGGGTCTCACTCTATCACCCAACCTGGAGTATAGTGACACAGTCATGGCACTGCAGCCTTGACCTCCCGGACTCAAGTGATCCTCTCGCCTCAGCCGCCCAAGTACAAGTGCTCATTACCATGCCTGGCTAATTTTTTTCTTTTAATTTATTTTTTGTGGAGATGGGGTCTCACTGTGTTGCCCAGTCTGGTCTTGAGCTCCTGGCCTCAAGTGATTCTCTGGCCTCAGCTTCCCAAAGTGTTAGGATTATAGACAAGCGTGAACCACCACACCCAGCCCTATTTTTCTATTTCTCATCTCCCAATAAGATTGCAACCTCAACTAGGGCTACCTACGTAGGCCTAATCAGAAAACCTGAGTTTAGTCTTACTTCTTTGTTTCCTTCTCTCCATAGCCTCATTGAGCAAGGCACTTCCCCTCTCTAGATGATTCGTTGTTCATATTCAGCCCAAGGTCTATGATTGCTGTTTTTGTTTTTAGAGACGGAGTTTTGCTCTTGTCTCCCAGGCTGGAATGCAGTGGCACAATCTCGGCTCACTGCAACCTCTGCCTCCCGGGTTAAAGCAATTCTCCTGCCTCAGCCTCCCAAGTAGATTACAGGCATGCGCCACCACACCCAGCTAATTTTTGTATTTTTAGTAGAGACCATGGGCAGGCTGGTCTCGAACTCCTGATCTCAGGTGATCCGCCCGCCTCGGCCTACCCAAAGTGCTGGGATTACAGGCGTGAGCCACAGCGCCCAGCCGATTGGTTTCAACTATTAGAAGAAGGGATAAACTGGCCCGGAGCGGTGGCTCAAGCCTGTAATCCCAGCACTTTGGGGGCGGGCGGATCACCTGAGGTAAGGAGTTCAAGACCAGCCTAGCCAACATGGTTGAAACACCGTCTCTAGTAAAAATACAAAAATTAGCCAGGCGTGGTGGCAGGCGCCTGTAATCCCAGCTACTCGGGGGGCCGAGGCAGGAGAATCGCTTGAACTCGGGAGGCAGAGTGTGCAGTGAGCCGAGATCGCGCCATCGCACTCCAGCCTGGGGGGACAAGAGCGAGACTGCGTCTCAAAAAAAAAAAAAAAAAAAAAAAAAAAAAAAGGAGGGATAAGCTTCTGGGAGAAAAAGTTCCGGGTAAAGAAATCTCACTATAAAAAAGAAATAGTAGCAGAAACAGCTGGGAACTCCTAGACACACTTAACTTTCTTAGGTATCCCTTCCAGTCTCCTCCCAACCACTCCTTTCCTATTTCATTTCCACTCCCCACCTTTAGTAGCTGCGGTCTCTTTAAGTGCGCACTTTCGGTGTAATGATAGGCGATTGGGCCAATAAAGCGTTTCGTCCTGGAGTTAACTGGTTTGTCCCTTTCGGGCTGCCGTCCTACAGATCCGCCATATTGTCTACTGAAAGCTGCCGCTGAAGCTGCCGCCGTTGCCTCCGCCGCCAAGAGTGAGCGAGCGGACCCGCGATGGGTGAGTGAGGAAACCACGCAGTAGGGTTCTTGGGCTCAGGGAGTGTCGGGGCCTGGGATTTGGCGAGAGCCTGTCTCCGGTCTGCGGAAGATGTCTGCATCCCCTCTAGCTAGGTCTGAGGGGAAAAGTCAGGCCGGGAGTGCCCCTCTTGCCAGTTTTGGGCCGAGCTAGGGCCCGTGCTGGAAGCAGTCCTTTGGTGCTGGTTTCGGGGACACCTTGGCACGCCTGGAGCCCCCCACATGGTGGCCTCGGGCAGGAGCCCACGTGTTCCTGGGAGGTAGAAAGGGGCCTACTCTCTGTCCTGCGCCCAGACTGGGGCTGGGGGACGGGCTCCCGGCGGCAGGCCTGGGCGGCGCTAAGGTAGCTTTCTCCTGGGTTGTGTTTGGCCAACGCGTGTCTTGACTAGATTCAGTGGCTCCCCTGAACTCAGGGAAGTCCTACCTACGTAGCGAGGTGGAGTCCTCTAGTGAGGGGACGTCAGGCGAGCCAGCACTAGGCCGGTAAGCATGGGCAGCCAGGCCGAGGGCAGCTTGCGCCGCTGAAGGCCGGGAGAACGGAATCAAGGCGGAAATAGTGTGGTTCGGTTGGGCTCAGAGTGGCATCGCTTGTGATGGTAGAACACCAAAGGCCAAGTCCTCTTGGCCATCTTTAGGTTGAGGACTTTAGGTTTCTGGGCTGGCCCTGGTAAGGAGAAAAGGAGCGACCTGTTGATCTTTCTGAGGGGACTCCGGCTGGCAAGGCCTCTGTTCAGAGAGAATACCATGGCGAAGTCTTTGGATTTAGAGACAGAACCAACAGTGGTAATTCCTCTAAAGCAGTAAAAATTGTGAAATTTGCTAAGCTCTTTCTACGTACGGGCATTGTTCTGATTGCTTTACATGTCTTGTTTTACTTAATTTGTACAACCTAAGGAAATAGATGCTACCATTGCCATTTTACAGATGTGGAAGCTGAGCTTTAGAGAGGTAAAGTAACTTACCCAAGGTCATGCAGTGGCTAAGCCAGGGTGAACACTCCCAAGCCTAGTTTGTAACTGCTGTTTGTTGTTGTTGTTGATAGAGTCTTGCTCTGTCGCCCAGGCTGGAGTGCAGTGACGCGATCTCGGCTCACTGCAACCTCCTGCCTCCCGGGTTCAAGCGATTCTCCTGCCTCAGCCTCCCGAGTAGCTGGGATTACAGGCACCCACCACCACGCCCGGCTGATTTTTGTGTGTTTTTGGTAGAGACAGGGTTTCGTCATGTTGGCCAGGCTGGTCTCGAACCCCTGACCTCAAGTGATTCGCCTGCCTCGGCCTCCCAAAGTGCTGGGATTACAGGTGTGAGCCACTGCGTCCAGCCTGTTTTTTTGTTTTGTTTTTTTTTTTAAATGACCTGGCCCTCTAGTGGTTGGGCAGGGAGAAAAGGGGAAAAAAGCTTTTAACCCTAGGCAAAGTTGTAAATGTGTTTGGGTTTTCTGTTTGTTTATTTTGTTTTGTTTTGCTTTTTGTTTTTGCATGTGGGCCCATTATGAAATCTTTTTTTTTTTTTTGAGACGGAGTCTGGCTCTGTTGCCCAGGCTGGAGTGCATTGGCGCGATCTCGGCTCACTGCAACTACCACCTTCCCGGGTTCACGCCATTCTCCTGCCTCAGCCTCCCGAGTAGTTGGGACTACAGGTGCCCGCCACCACGCCTGGATAATTTTTTTTGTATTTTTTTGTATTTTTAGTGGAGACGGGGTTTCACCGTGTTAGCCAGGATGGTCTTGATCTCCTGACCTCGTGATCCTCCCGCCTCGCCTTCCAAAGTGCTGAGATTACAAGCGTGAGCCACCATGCCCGGCCACTTTGAAATCCTTTTTCTGAACGAAACTGAAGGAGTCCAGAGTGAATTGATAACTCTAATTATTGTGTGTGGGGCAAGCAAAATGAGAATCTGGAATTGAATTTTTTTTTTTTTTTTTTTTTTTCTGAGAAGAAATTTCACTCTTGTCTCCCATGCTGGAGTGCAGTGGCCAGATCTCGGCTCACTGCAACCTCTGCCTCCCGGGTTAAAGCAATTTTCCTGCCTCAGCCTCCTGAGTAGCTGGGATTACAGGCATCCACCACCACACCTAGCTAATTTTTGTATTTTTAGTAGAGACAGGGTTTCACCATGTTGGCCAAGCTGGTCTCGAACTCCTGACCTCTGGTGATCTGCCCGTCTCGGCCTCCCAAAGTGCTGGGATTACAGGCATGAGCCACCGCGCCTGGCCTGGAATTGGATTTTTAAAGATCTGAGATTCTAAGGAAGCAGAAATTATTCACTTGAGCTTCAAGGCAATGACTGTAGAATCAGATCTGGTATTGGAAGTCACTTAAATGTCAGACACAACAACACATATGGAAAGCATCTAGCACAGTCCACAATAATGTTTTTCTTCCTTTCTGAGCCTTCCTTTTCTGACCTCTAGAAAGAAGGGGTGGGGCTGTGTTATCAAGATATTTGGGGACTAAATAAGATAACAGCATTTGGGCTGGGCAAGGTGGCTCAGGCCTATAATCCCATAGGCCGAGGCGGGTGGATCACCTGAGGTCAGGAGGACGACACCAACCTGACCAATAAGGTGAAACCCTGTCTCTACTAAAAATACAAAAATTAGCTGGGTATGGTGGCGTGCTCCTGTAATCCCAGCTACTTGGGAGGCTGAGAAGGGAGAATTGCTTGAACCCGGGAGGCGGAGGTTGCAGTGAGCCGAGATCATGCCAGCCTGGGCAACAAGCTAGACTCCCTCTCAAAAACAAACAAATAAACAAACAAAAAACAGATAACAGTGTTTGGAGCCTAAAGGGCTCCATGAATATCAGAACAGATTCTTTTCCACTTTCAATAATGTTCCTTTCCCTTAAGCACTCTGGTTTCCAGGTTTCCCTATTGAGTAATAAGACTGATAGGCCTTTCTTAGTAGCTGGAGCTTCATCTTTCAGTGAAAAAAATTTAGGGGGTTTTATGTTATAAACTTTGTTATAAATTTTATATTGGTCTTCAGTTTCAGAAACACTGTTGCCTCAAAGGGAAGGAACTAATGTTTAATAAGCTCAGTGAAATAAGTAGAGATTTACTCAGTTTTATAGATTGGGAAACTGTCTCGGAGAAGATAACACAGCCAGTAAGCCACAAAGCCAGGAGTAAGATTCTTACCCATTTTGCAGCACATAAATCTATAAGACTTAAGAAGTTAAGAAATAAAGTTAGTCCTATTCTGGTACAGTTCAACATGAAAGTTCTTCAGTGGAGCAACAAACCCTGACCAAGGTCTTGAAGGGGGTTTTTAGCCTAGAGTCAGGTAACTTCCTCTTTCCAGCTCCATCTCAGGTACCTCTCCCTCATCGTAGCTTGTCTTTATGAATGTCAGCTTTTTGTTTGTTGTAGACCAAACTAATGCATTCATTTAATTCTAACATCTAATCTAAGGTATCTTGGGTTATCTCCATTTACACTTATAAACTGAGGCTTTGAGAAGATTAGGTGACTAGTCCAAGGCTGGTATTCTGGATCCTTTGGGCACTGGAGACACTAACACAGCCTGCCTTCACATGCCCACAAGTACGGAACCTGCCGTATTTCACTGCCTCTTAAGTGTACTCTCAGTCTGTATCCTACTAGCTCAGTCGTATATCCTACACTATTTCTACTATGCCAAACTTCATTACCCTTAACAGACCTTTGCAGTGATTTCCCTGCCACTAGGTGCCCTGTAGGGGTGATATTTGTAGCTCTGGAGATTGCTTTATTCTGACCCTCTAGCAGAGACTACAACCTCATGAGTCTTGGCAGACACTACTTGTCTTTTCACCATTACTACTACTGTGCTAACTGGGAATCTGGCCACCCTTCCTTACCCCAAGGGGTGGGTCTTGATATAAACTCTAAACCAATCATTGTAACTCTAGCTCCCTAGACAGTGATTGATTTAGGCATGGGCATATGATGCAGTTCTTGCTAATTAGATGGGAAGGGAAGCCTGGGGAACTTGTGGAGAAGCCTTCCTTATTTAAAAGAGACTTGCCAGCTTTTATTTTATTATTTTTTGCCAGTTTGTATTTTAACCCAGGTTGCACCAAAATGTGTGAACCACAAACAAAGACAGAGATGGGAAAGCTATAATAATAATAATACCCAACACTTGTATAGAACTTGCTATGTGCTAGGTACTCTTCTAAGTAGAGGCATACCTCAGAGCTAAGGCAAGTTTGGTTCCAGACCACTGCAATAAAGCAAATATAATAAAGCAAGTCACATGAATTTTTCTGTTTTCCAATGCATATAAAAGTTATCTTTATACTATACTGTAGTCTCTTAAGTGTGCAATAATATGTAGAGTAAAAGTACCTCTTTTATTTATTTATTTATTTATTTGAGACAGGCTGGCCCTGTCTGTCACCCAGGCTGGAGTGCAATGGCGTGATCTCGGCTCACTGCAACCTCCGCTTCCTGGGTTCAAACCATTCTCCTGCCTCAGCCTCCTGAGTAGCTGGGATTACAGGTGCCCACCACCACACCCAGCTAATTTTTGTATTTTTAGTAGAGACGGAGTTTTACCATGTTGGACAGGCTGGTCTTGAACTCCTGACCTCATGATCTGCCTGCCTCAGCCTCCCAAAGTGCTGGGATTATAGGCATGCATGAGCCACCATGCCCAGCCAAAAGTACATATCTTAATTAAGAAATCCTTATTGTGAAAAATTGCCATTTGGTGAGCTGTAATCTTTGCTGGTGGAGGGTCTTACCTTGATGTTGATGGCTGCTGAGACTGATCAGGGTGGTGATTGTCTGGGGTGGCAGTAACAACCTATGAAATTTGCCACATCAATTGATTCTTCCTTTCACCACAGATTTCTCTGTAATGTGATACTGTTTGATAACATTTCTCTCTGCCATAGACCTTTCAAAATTAGAGTCAGTACTCTCAAACCCTGCCACTGCTTTATCAACTAAGTTTATGTAATGTTCTAAATCTGCCGGTCTTGGTGGCTCACGCCTATGATGCCAGCACTTTGAGAGGATGAGGTGGGAGGACTGCTTGAGCTCAAGAGTTTCAGACCAGCCTGGGCAACATAGTGAGACCCCATCTCTAAAAAAACATTTAAAAAATTAGCTGGGTGTGGTGGCGCGTGACTGTAGTCCCAGCTACTCAGGAAACTGAAGTGGGAGAATCACTTGAACCTGGGAGGTTGAGGTTGCAGTGAGATGATTGTGCCATTGCACACCAGCCTGGGCGACAGAGCAAGATCTTGTCTCAAAAAAACCCCAAAAATCCTTTGTTGTCATTTCATGTATGTGTGTATGTATGTATGTATATATGTTTTTTTTATTTATTAAGACAGGGTCTCACTCTGTCACACAGGCTGGAATGCAGTGGTGCTATCAACAGCTCACTACAGCCTTGAATTCCCAGGCTCAAGCAATCCTCCTACTTCAGCCTCCCGAGTAGCTGGGACTACAGGCATGCACCACCATGCCCGGCTAATTTTTTAAATTGTTTTTAAAGAGTGTTGCCTAAGCCTGTCTTGAACTGGGCTCAAGTGATCTTCCTGCCTTAGCCTCCCAAAGTGTTGGGATTACAGGTGTGAGCCACCTTGCCCAGCCTATTGTCTTATCAACAGGATTAACGGCATTTTCACAAGGAGTAGATTCCATCTCAAGAAACCATTTGTTTGCCCACCCGTAAGAATAGCTGCTCATCCATTCAAGTTTGATCGTGAGATTGCAGCAATTCAATCATATTTTCAGTTGTCTAGTTATCACATTTTCACTTCTAGTTATCTTGCTGTTTCCACCCCATCTGCAGTAACTTGCTCCATTGAAGTCTTGAACCTCTTAAAGTCATCCGTGAGGGTTGGTATCAACTTCTTCCAAACTCTTATTTATGATATTTTGACTTCTTATGAATCGTGAATGTTTTTATAAGACCTGAAAGTTGAAATCACTCCTTAATTCATACAGAATGGATGGATTCTGTATAGCTACAGAATGGATGTTGTATTAACAGGTGGGAAAACAACATTAGGCCGGCGCAATGGCTCACACCTGTAACCCCAGCAATTTGGGAGGCCGAGGCGGGCAGACCACTTGAGGTCAGGAGTTCGAGACCAGCCTGGCCAATGTGGTGAAACCTTGTCTCTACTAGAAATACAAAAAATTAGCCTGGTGTGGTGGTGCACACCTATAATCCCAGCTACTGTGGAGGCTGAGGCAAGAGAATTGTTTGAACCTGGGAGGTGGAGGTTGCAGTGAGCTGAGATCACGCCACAGCACTCCAGCCTGGGCGACAAGAACGAAACTCTGTCTCAAAAAAAAAAATATATATATATATATATATATTCAGTAAATCAAGCTGTAAACAGATGTGCTGTCATCCAGGCTTTATTCCATTTATAAAGCATAAACACAGTGGATTCAGCATACGTTTTAAGCTTCTGAGATTTTCAGAATAGTAATTGAGCATTGACTTCAACTTAAAGGCCCCAGCTGCATTAGCCCATAACAAGAGAGTCAGCCTGTCATTTGAAGCTTTGAAGCCAGGCATTGACTTCTCTCTAGCTATGAAAGTCCTAGATGACATCTTCCTCCAATGGAAAGCTGTTTCTTCTACATTGAAAATCTGTTGGCTAGTGTAGCCACTTTCATTAATGATCTTAGCTTGATCTTCTGGATAACTTGCTGTAGCTTCTGCATCAGCACATGCTGCTTCACCTTGCACTTTTTTGAGACAGTGTCTCACTCTGTCACCCAGACTGGAGTGCAGTGGCACGATCTCGCCTCACTGCAGCCTCTGTCTCCCGGGTTCAAGTAATTATGGTGCCTCAGTCTCCTAAGTAGCTGGGATTATAGGTGTGTGCCACCACGCCCAGAACATTTATGTATTTTTATAGAGACAGTGTTTCGCCGTGTTGGCCAGGCTGGTCTCGAACTCCTGACCTCAAGTGATCCGCCCACCTCAGCCTCCCAAAGTGCTGGGATTATAGGCATGAGCCACCACACCCGGCTTCACTTTTTTTTTTGAGACGGAGTTTCTCTCTGTTGCCCAGGCTGGAATGCAGTGGCGCGACCTCAGCTCACTACAAGCTCGGCCTCCCGGGTTCACGCCATTCTCCTGCCTCAGCCTCCCGAGTAGCTGGGACCACAGGCGCCCGCTACCACGCCCGGCTAATTTTTTTTTGTATTTTTAGTAGAGATGGGATTTCACCATGTTAGCCAGGATGGTCTCGATCTCCTGACCTCGTGATCCGCCCATCTCAACCTTCCAAAGTGCTGGGATTACAAGGCGTGAGCCACTGTGCCCAACTTTTTTTTTTAAGATAGGGTTTTTGTCTGTCACCCAGGCTGGGGTGCAGTGGCAAGATAGCACACTGCAACCTCTAATTCCTGGGCTCAAGGGATCCCCCCACGTCAGCCTTCTAAGTAGCTGGGGACTACAGGTGTGTGCCACCACACTCAGCCAATTTTAAATTTTTGTGAGACAGTGTGTCACCATGTTGCCCAGGCTGGTCTTCAAGTCCTGTCCTCAAGTGATCCTTATTCCTCAGCCTCCAAAGCCACTGGGATTACAAGCATGAGTCACTGAGTTTGGCCTCCACATTGATGGCTTCTTTCCTTAAACCCTTTCTTTTTGAGACGGAGTCTCACTGTCGCCCAGGCTGGAGTGCAGTGCCATGATCTCAGCTCACTGCAACCTCTTCCTCCCAGATTCAAGCGATTCTCCTGCCTCAGCCTCCCAGGTAGCCAGGATAACAGGTGCCCGCCACCACATCTGGCTAATTTTTGTATTTTTAGTAGAGATGGGGTTTCACCATGTTGGCCAAGTTGGTCTCGAACTCCTGACCTCAGGTGATCCACCTGCCTCAGCCTCCCAAAGTCTTGGGATTACAGGCATAAGCCACTGCGCTCGGCTCCTTAAACCTTATGAACCAGTCTCGTTAGAGCCTGGCTCTGGATTAGGCTTTGGTTTAAGGCAGTATTGTGGCTGATTTGATCTTCTGTCAAAACCACTAAAAGTTTATCCATATTGGCAATAAGGCTGTTTTTTCTTTTCTTTTCTTTTTTTTTTTTTTGAGACAGAGGCTGGAGTGCAGTGGCCCTATCTTGGCTCACTGCAAGCTCCGCCTCCCGGGTTCATGCCATTCTCCTGCCTCAGCCTCCTGAGTAGCGCCCGGCCGGTTGTTTTTTTTAAACATTTGTGTGTTCACTGGACTAGTACTTTTCATTTCCTTCAAGATCTTTTCCTGGCCAGGTGCAGTGGCTCATGCCTGTAATCCTAGCACTTTGGGAGGCCCAGGCAGGCGGATCACCTGAGGTCAGGAGTTCAAGATCAGCCTGACTAACATGGAGAAACCCTGTCTCTACTAAAAATACAAAATTAGCCGGGTGTGGTGGCACATGCCTGCAATTCTAGCTATTTGGGAGGCTGAGGCAGAAGAATCGCTTGAACCCAGGAGGTGGAGGTTTCGGTGAGCTGAGATCGCACCATTACACTCCAGACTTGGAAACTCCTTCACAACAAAAAAAAAGAACTTTTCCTTTGCATTCACAGCTTTGCTAACTGGCGCAAGAGGCTTAGCTTTCACCATATCTTGGCTTTTTGACATGCCTTCCTCACTAAGCTTAATCATTTCTAGCTTTTGACTTAATGTGGAGACATGCAACTGCCCCTTTCACTTGAACAAATAGAGGCCATTGTAGGGTTATTAATTAGCCTCATTTCAATATTGTTGTATCTCAGGGAATAGGGTGGGAGAGAGACTGTGGAATGGCTTGTTGGTGGAGCAGTCAGATCATACACAGTATTTATCAGTTAAGTTCTCCATCTTATATGACCATGGCTCATGGCACCCCAAAACAGTTGCAATACTAGCATCAAATATCACTGATCACAGATCACCATAACAGATAAAACAAAAAACAAAAGTTTGAAATATTACGAGAATTACCAAAATGTGGCACAAAGTGAACACATGCTGCTGGAAAAATGGCACCAGTAGACTTGCTTAACATAGGATTGCCACAAACCTTCAATTTGTTTTTTTTTGTTTTTTTTTTTTGAGACGGAGTTTCACTCTGTCACCCAGGCTGGAGTGCAGTGGCACGATCTTGGCTCACTGCAACCTCCACCCTCCGGGTTCAAATGATTCTCCTTCGTCAGCCTCCTGAGTAGCTGGGACTACAGGCGCCTGCCACCACGCCCGGCTAACTTTTTGTATTTTTAGTAGAGATGGGGTTTTACCATCTTGGCCAGGCTGGTCTTGAACTCCTGACCTTGTGATCCACCCGCCTCGGCCTCCCAAAGTGCTGGGATTACAGGCGTGAGCCACTGCGCCCGGCCCAATTTGTTTTTTTTTTTTTAAAAAAAACACACATTGGCTGGGTATGCTGGCTGACGCCTATAATCCCAGCACTTTGGGAGGCTAAGGCAGGTGAAACTCTTGAGCTCAGCAGTTTGAGACCAGCCTGGGCAACATAGTGAGACCCTGTCTCAAGACAAAAACAATAACAACAATAAAAAAACACACAGTATCGGTGAATCACAGTAAAATGAGATATGCCTGTACTTTATATATTCATTTAATTCTCAGATTCTCATGTTTTAGTTGAGAAAACCAAAGGATGGAGAGGTTTCAGTAACTTGGGCAAATTCATAGCTAATACATGGAAGAGACGCTTACTCAGTATGATTCTAATCAAAATATGGGCTGTTTGTACATAAGCATTCCTGAAGTAGCTAAAGCAATCTCTTCCCCACCCATCTTTTCCTATAGAAATCTCACCTGTTTTTCTTTTCTTTTTTTTAATTTGATATGGAGTTTCGCTCTTGTTGCCCAGGCTGGAGTGCAGTGGCACAATCTCCGCTCACCGCAACCTCTGCCTCCCAGTTCAAACTATTCTCCTGCCTCAGCCTCCTGAGTAACTGGGATTACAGGCATGCACCACCATGCCCAGCTAATTGTTTGTATTTTTAGTAGAGACGGGGTTTCACCATGTTGGTCAGGCTGGTCTCGAACTCCCAACCTCAGGTGATCCTCCCGCCTCAGCCTCCCAAAGTGCTGAGATTATAGACGTGAGCCACCGTGCCCAGCCATCTCACCTGTTTTTCAAGATATACTTTAAATACTGCCTTCTTCATGAACCTTTCTGAAGTACTTTATGCCTTCCAGTTTGGAAATGAACTCTCCTAAATTCTATAGCACTTTGTTCTTACTTTTTTTTTTTTTAAATGGAGTCTCGCTTTTTCTCCCAGGCTGGGGTGCAGTGGTGTGCGCTTTTCACATCCTTTTTTCTATTACAGTTGTTTTATTCCATGTTATTAGTTTTTTGACCAGTTACTTACTCTACATAGCCTCATTTTCTTATCTTTAAAATAGGTATAGGTTAGGTGCGGTAGCTCACACTTGTATTCCTAGCACTTTGGGAGGCTCAGGAAGGAGGATTGGTTGAGGCAAGGAGTTCCAGACCAGTCTGGGCAACATGGCAAAACCCCTGTCTCTACAAAAAAAAAATTAGTTGGGCGTGGTGGGATGTGCCTGTACTCCCAGCTACATGGGAAGCTGAGACAGAAGGATCGTTTGAACCTAGGAGTTTGAGGTTGCAGTGAGTTATATGATCTCACCATTGTACTCTAGCCTAGGTGACAGAGCAAGACCTTGTCTTTAAAAAATAAAAATGAAATAAAATAGAGATAATAGGATTGTTACAGGAATTAAATGAGGTAATGCCTGTAAAGCATTTTAGCTCGGTGCTTAGCACATAGTAAGTACTCAATAAGTGATAATTAATAGCTGTTAATCACTTAGTAAACAAAGTACTTTCTATGTGTCAAGCCATATATATGTGTGTGTGTGTGTGTGTGTATACATATATATATATATATATATATATATATATATATATTTTTTTTTTTTTTTTTGAGAGAGAGTCTCACTTTGTCACCCTGGCTGGAGTGCAGTGGCCTATCTCAGCTCACTGCAACCTCCACCTCCTGGGTTCAAGCGATTCTCCTGCTTCAGCCTACTGAGTAGCTGGGATTACAGGCATCCACAACCACGCCTGGCTAATTTTTGTATTTTTAGTAGAGGTGGGGTTTCACCATGTTGACCAGGCTGGTCTCAAACTCCTGACCTCAGGTTATCCGCCTGCCTCGGCCTCCCAAAGTGCTGGGATTACAGGCTTGAGCCACCACACCCAGCCAGGCCCTACATTAAATATAAAGTTAAATTTACTAGTCTTTGTCTTTGAGTGGAGGACAGGAACATATTGTGAATACTTGTCAGAAACTCATACTTTTAGGACCAGGCAGACAGCAGTTAATTTCAGCAAATGATTATTAAGTGCCCACTATGTGCAAGGGACTTTTCTAGGCCCTGGAAATACAGTGGTTAACAAAACAGACAAAACCTCTTTCTGGTGAAGTCCCAGATTTTATATTCTAGTGAATAATTTTATGAAATAAACCAAAGGGAGACTGTTAGATGAACGGGACAACCCTATTTCCTGGCTGCTACGCTCCAGCCAATTGTTGCCATGGGGAAATGTGGTTCTAGTGTTGTTGATTTCGCATCCTTTCCACAATTCCTCTCCCTCTTGAAGCTGGAAATCTGGAATTTTTTTTTTTTTTTTTTTGAGATGGGGTCTTGCACTGTCGCCCAGGCTAGAGTGCAGTGGCACGATCTCAGCTCACTATAACCTCCGCCTCCCGGGTTCAAGCAATTCTCCTGCCTCAGCCTCCCAAGTAGCTGGCATTACAGGCGCTCACCACTGCACCTGGCTAATTTTTGTAATTTTAGTAGACTTCACCATATTGGCCAGGCTGGTCTCAAACTTCTGACCTCGTGATTCACCTGCCTCAGCCTCCCAAAGTGCTGGGATTACAGGTGTGAGCCACCACGCCCGGCCTGGATTTTTAAATAATACTTACTGCTTTGTAAAGGTTACAAGCTAACTTTCAAAATCTGAAAACATTAACAAAAGATATTTGAGGCCAAATATAGCCTGAGAATTGTCTGTCTTATTTGTAAATGTTACTTCAATTAATATTCTGTGTATCTTATGAAATATTACGTAGTCTCTGTATTTTACAAAATTATATGTATTTTTTTAAATGTTAATTTTTTTTTTTTTTTGAGATGGAGTCTCGCTCTGCCGCACAGGCTGGAGTGCAGTGGTGTGATTTTGGCTCACTGCAAGCCCTGCCTCCTTGGTTCAAGCGATTCTCCTGCCTCAGCCTCCCAAGTAGCTGGGATTACAGGCATGGACCACCATGCCTCCCTAACTTTTTTTGTATTTTTAGTAGAGGCGGGGTTTCACCATGTTGGCCAGGCTGGTCTCGAACTCCTGACCTCAGGCCATCTGCCCGCCTCAGCCTCCCAAAGTGCTGAGATTATGGGCTTAAGCCACTGCACCCAGCCAATTAATTTTTTTAATTAATTAATTAATTATTTTTTTGAGATGGAGTATAGCTCTGTCACCCAGGCTGGAGTGCAGTGGCGTGATCTCAGCTCACTGCAACCTCCGCCGCCTGGGTTCAAGAGATTCTCCTGCCTCAGCCTCCCAAGTAGCTGGGATTACAGGCGCCTGCCATCACACTCGGTTAATTTTTTGTATCTTTAGTAGAGACGGGGTTTCGCCATGTTGGCCAGGCTGGTCTTGAACACCTGACCTCAGGTGATCCTCCCTCTTTGGCCTCCCACAGTAGTGCTGGGATTACCACCACACCCAGACGGAGTTCCTTCTTTTTTTTTTTTTTTTTGACAGAGTCTTGCTCTGTCACCCAGGCTGGAGAGCAGTGGCGCGATCACAGCTCACTGCAACCTTTATCTCCTGAGTTCAAGCGTTCAAGCGACTCTCCTGCCTCAGCCTCCTGAGTAACTGAGATTACAGGCATGTGCCACCATGCCCAGCTAATTTTTGTATTTTTAGTAGAGATGGGGTTTCAGCATATTGTCCAGGCTGGTCTGGAATTCCTGACCTCAAGTGATCTGCCTCCCTCGGCCTCCCAGAGTGATTACAAGCGTAAGCTACTGCTCCTGGCCGTACCTAGGAGCTCTTTGAGTAATGTGGTAGTCCTGGCAGGAGATGATGGCAGCAGCTGAGATGGTAATGGTAGGGAATAAGAGAGTTAGGAATTTGAATCATCAGGACTTGGTTATTGATTTCATCTGGTGGCTGAAGCCAAGGGGAAAAAAAATTAAGCATGACTCCTATGCCTGTTGCTTTGAGAGCAGAGTGGATAGTGATGCTGAATTTAAATTTGTGCATTTTGAGGATTCTCTGACCTCCAGGGAAGTTGTTCAAAAATCAGTTGAATGTAGAAGTCTGGAGCTCAAGAGTGAGGCCTGGGAATGGAGATAGAGGTTTGATCATCTATTTATCTCTATACATGGCAACTAAAACTATGGAGTGATTCATCAACACTCAGGAAAAATGTGATGAGAGCTGGGCTAAAAAGCTGGCCAAGGTAGATCAGCTGTGATGTGCAGAAAGGAAGGAAACATCAGTCAGAATTAAAAGAAAACAAGGAGTGCTTGGTGTCTTAAAAGCCAAGAGAAAGAGGCCAGGTGTGGTGGCTCACACCTGTAATCCCAGCACTTAGGGAGGCTGAGATGGGTGGATCACCTGAGGTCAGGAGTTCGAGATCAGCCTGGCCAACATGGTGAAACCCCAGATCTACTAAAAATACAAAAGTTAACCGGGCGTGGTGGTGTGTACCTGTAATCCCAGCAACTCAGGAGGCTGAGGCAGGAGAATCACTTGAACCCGGGAGGCAGAGGTTGCTGTGAACTGAGATCGTGCCACTGCCCTCCAGCCTGGGTGACAGAGCGACACTCCGACTCAAACAAAAAAGCCAAGAGAGGCTGGGCGCGGTGGCTCACGCCTGTAATCCCAGCAGTTTGGGAGGCCGAGGCAGGCGGATCACCTGAGGTCAGGAGTTCGAGAGCAGCCTGGCCAACATGGTGAAACCCCGTCTGTACTAAAAATACAAAAATTAGCTGGGCGTGGTGGCAGGCGCCTGTAATCCCAGCTACTCGGGAGGCTAAGGCAACAGAATCGCTTGAACCCAAGAGGCAGAGGTTGCAGTGAGCCGAGATCATATCATTGCACTCCAGCCTGGGGGACAAGAGCTAGATTTTGTCTCAAAAAACAAAATGTGAAACAAAACGAAAAAAAAGCCAAGAGAAAGAGAGTATTTCAAAAATAAGGAAGTGGTTGTCAGAATTGAGTGCTGCCAAGAGAACAAGCAAAAAAAAAAAAAAAGACTGAAAATGTCTAGTGAATTTAGCATCATGTACTTGGTAAGTGGCCTGTGCAAAGACGGTTTTGATGGCATGGAAGTGCTAAGTAAGCTAAGAAATGAGAGAGGAGAGGCCTGGCACAGTGGCTGATGCCTGTAATTCTAGCACTTTGGGAGGCTCAGGTGGGAGGATCACTTGAGGTCAGCAGTTTGAGACCAGCATGTGCAACTTAGCGAGACCCTTTCTCATTTTTAAAGAAAAAAGGAGAGAGAAGAGGCAAGCTGTTTTAAGAAGTTTGGGTGGGCCGGGTGCAGTGGCTCATGCCTGTAATCCTAGTACTTTGGGAGGCCGAGGCAGGCAAATCACCTGAGGCCAGGAGTTGGAGACCAGCCTAACCAACACAGAGAAACCCCCTCTCTACTAAAAATACAAAAAATTAGCTGGGTGTGGTGGTGCATGCCTGTAGTCCCAGCTACTCAGGAGGCTGAGGTAGGACAGTCGCTTGAACCTGGTAGGCAGAGGTTGCAGTGAGCCGAGATCGTGCCATTGCACTCCAGCCTGGGCAACAAGAGCGAAACTCCATCTCAAAAAAAAAAAAAAAAAAAGTTTGGGTGTAAGGAGCAAAAAGGCAGTTTGATGAGGCTCTTATAATGTCTAGGCAAGAGATTATGAAGACCTAAATTCGTGCAATGGCAGTAGGAATGGAGAAAAAGACACAGAGTCCAGAAATAATTAGGAAATAAAGCTGGCCATTCTTTCTGATTGGATGTGATTGGATGTGGGGTGGGAGTTAAGGGAAACAGAACTGTCAAAGATTATTCCCATGTTTCTGGGTTGAAAAACTTTGAAGGTATTGGTACAGATCAGTAATCCAGTGTTTCCGGGCGTGGTGTTTCTCAACTTTTTTTTAATCACCTTCCTAAGGAAACTTTTTAGACCTTTTTTTCCCCCTAATGTACCTGCCCTATGACATATTAACACTGAGATAAACTCTGTATCTTTTTATGTACCATGTCTGTGCTTTATACATAAGAGTAAGTGTACAATTTAGTTTTTATTCAATGCATGGTTAAGAAAGACTAAACAGGGCGGGGCATGGTGGCTCATGTCTGTAATCCCAGCACTATGGGAGACTGAGGTGGGTGGATTGCTTGAGGTCAGGAGTTCAAGACCAGCCAGGACAACATGGTGAAACCCTGTCTCTACCAAAGATAAAAAATTAACTGGGTGTGGTAGCATGCATCTGTAGTCCCAGCTACTCAGAAGGCTGAGGTGGGAGGATTGCTTGAGCCCCGGAGATTGAGGTTGCAGTGAGCCAAGATCATGCCACTGCACTCCATATTGGGTGACAGAGTGAGACCCTGTCTTAAAAAAAAAAAAAAAAAAAGGCCAAGTGGCTCACGCCTGTAATCCCAGCACTCTGGGAGGCCAAGGCAGGTGGATCATGCGGTCAAGAGATTGAGACCATCCTGGCCAACATGGTGAAACCCCATCTCTACTAAAAATACAAAAATTAGCTGGGCGTGGTGGTGTGCACCAGTAGTCCCAGCTACTCAGGAGGCTGAGGCAGGAGAATTGCTTGAACCTGGGAGGTGGAGGTTGCAGTGAGCTGAGGTCATGCCACTGCACTCCTGCCTGGCGACAGAGCAAGACTCTGTCTCAAAAAAAAAAAAAAAAAAAAAAAGGAATGACTAAACAAAATTTTTAGGTTAAAAATTTTTAACCCAAAATTTTTAGGTTAAGCTCAAACTCCTGAGCACTTTGGGAGGTTGAGGAGGATCGCTTGAGCCTAGGAGTTTGAGACCGGCCTGAGCAACATGATCAAACCCCGTGTCTACAGAAAATACAGTAATTAGCGGTGTGTAGTGGCATGCACCTGCAGTCCCAACTACTTTTGAGGGTGAAGTGGGAGGATAGATTGAGCCTAGGAGGTAGAGGCTGTAGTGAGCCAATATCACACCACTGCACTCCAGCCTGGGCAACAGAGTGAGACCTGTCTTTAAAAAGAAAAAAATCTATTTGGGCTGGACAAGATGGCTCACGCCTATAATCCCAGCACTTTGGGAGGCCAAGGCGGGAGGATTGCTTGAGGCCAGGAGTTCAAGACCAGCCTGGGCAACATAGTGAGGCCTCATCTTTTTTTTTTTTTTTTTCCAACAGTCTCTCGCTCTGTTGCCCAGGCTGGAGTGCAGTGGCACGATCTCGGCTCACTGCAACCTCTGCCTCCTGGGTTCATACAGTTCTCCTGCCTCAACCTCCTGAGTAGCTGGGATTACAGGCCCCCGCCACCATGCCTGGCTAATTATTTGTATTTTAGTAGAGACGGGGTTTCACTGTGTTGCCCAGGCTGGTCTCAGACTCCTGAGCTCAGGCAATCCTTCCGCCTTGGCCTCCCAAAGTGCTAGGATTACAAGTGTGAGCCAACGTGTTCGGCCGGCCTCGTCTTTTTTTAAGAGCTGTTTGCGTTTAACTTATTTATTTATTTATTTTTGAGACGGAGTTTCACTCTGTCGCCCAGGCTGCAGTATAGTGGCGCAATCTCAGCTCACTGCAACCTCCACCTCCCAGGTTCAAACAATTCTCCTGCCTCAGCCTCCTGAGTAGCCGGGACTACCGGCGCATGCCACCACGCCCAGCTAATTTTTTGTATTTTAGTGGAGATGGTGTTCCACCGTGTTGCCCAGGCTGGTCTCGAACTCCTGAGCTCAGGCAATCCACCCGCCTCGGCCTCCCAAAGTGCTAGGATTACAGGCCTGAGTCACCTCACCTGGTCTTAACTTAATTTTTATGGCTGTATTTGCTTTGTAACTTTTAATGCAGTTTACTTGCTTACATAAATTCTATCAAATTACAATCCAGTTTGGCAGTTTGTATAAAAACAATGTAATCAAAACTTTAAAAATCATTCAAAACTAGAATTTATCCAACAAAAGTAAAACAATTTGAAACAATTAAAAATTATTTAGTGAGTTTTTAGACTTTTGCTTGATAATGACCAAAGCCCAAGTCACACAATCCACTGAGGATAAAACATAAATAACATTCATGAGGCAGCCAACAGGCCTGCACAGGCCATCTCTTGCCATATCGAGATCCAGCGATCAATCAAGAGAAAGTTCCCCAGTCACGGCCATCTGGTCACCATAATTTTGTAGCATAGATCCTGCATATATTTTGGCTGCCTTCCATGAAGTCACTGTCAGTCCTGCTCATGTAATAGTAAGATTTTGTTGGGTAAGGTTGAGCTTTGGAGGGCTACGCACCATTCTAACGTCTTAACTTTTTTTCTCCCTCGCCGACAAACCTATTTTGCCCTTTGGGTATGATATTGCCCCCGTTGAGAGTGTATGCCTTTTAAGAAATTATTCATGCCAGATGTTCCAGAATCCTAATTTTTTGAATTTTAGAAAGGCATTATGGTGCATATAACTTGTATAACACCTCCAGTGAGGTTTGGGATAGAACCCTGTATAGTCAAATATTATGAATGTTTCTGTAGCAAAAATATCCAGTTGAAAATTAATTGAGATTATATATATAAAGACTATAAATAATCTCATGTGAGGTTCAGATTTTGCCGCCAAATGTGTTTTGAGACTATATTTACTAAAAAAAAAAAAAAAAAAAAAACCTGTCCTATTTTCAGAGCTTGTTTTTCTTTTTTCTTTTTATTTTGTTTGTTTGTTTGTTTGTTTGTAGAGATTGGGTCTTGCTTAGTTGCCTAGGCTGGTTGCAAACTCCTGGCCTCAAGCAATCCTCCTGCCTCGGCCTCCTAAAGTGCTAGAATTATAGGTATGAGCCATCGTGCCTGGCCCTGAGAGCCCCTTTGATTTCAGAATTCCAGGTAAGGAATTGTGGACCATGAATTAAGAGAAATATATAAGGAACCGGTTTATGGAGAAGAAGATGCTTCCCCACCCCCCCACCCCCCATTTGAGGTACTTACAGACATGATTGGAAGGAACCCATGTTCCCTCTAGGTGTTAGGTATAGATTGCAGAAGTCATCAGCATTTGTTTGTTTATTTTTTGAGATGGAGTTTTTGCCCTTTTGCCCAGGCTGGAGTGCAATGGTGCGATCTTGGCTCACTGCAACCTCTGCCTCCTGGGTTCAAGTGATTCTTCTGCCGCAGCCTCCCAAGTAGCTGGGATTACAGGCGCCTGCCACTACACCTGGCTAATTTTTGTATTTTTAGTAGAGACGAGGTTTCACCATGTTGGCCAGGCTGCTCTCGAACCCTTGACCTCAGGTGATCCACCCGCCTCAGCCTCCCAAAGTGCTAGGATTACAGGTGTGAGTCACTGCATCTGAACAGTCATCAATATTTAAATCACCCAAGAGGCTATAATTTTCTAATGAGTAATGATTGGAATTGTCCACTTTGAGGTGAAGTAAAGGGGGAAATAGGCCCTTTTTTAAACCCCTGGTCATTGGTTCCTTAAGTGTAGCTTTCAAGGGAATGAAGACAGAATGGAAGGATAAAGATTAAGAGAAAGAACTGAGTGTTGGAAGGAAAAGGAAAAACCACCTGTTCAATAGAAAGCAAGAAAATAATGGTTTTTTTCTTTGACCGTAACTTCCTGAAAATTTCCCTTATAAGGAATTTAGGCCTTTCACTACAGGAGGTGAGAAGAAAAAGGGAACACCATTGATTCAGCATTTAGGCCCTAGATACTTTCACATTACCTCCTTAATCCTACAGGGCCCTATAAAGTTTATTGTGCCCATTTTATTTTATTTATTGCTTTCCGAAGACTTGCGCCATGAGAAATACCCCTGTTTTAGAGAGGCAGAAGCAAGACTAAGATAGTGGGTACTTTGCCCACAATTATACAGTTGGGCTTGGAACTCAGTTCACCTGACCTCCAAATCAGTGCTCTTTTCACTACATCATGTTGGATCAAGTTGATGGAGTTTGAGGGTGAACATTGGATGTTTGTTCATGGCATGTCTTCTGGGAGTGGAGAGGATTCTTTGTGTGGCCTTTCAGCCTGGCTTTTCTCTCCCATTTCACCCTGGGCCTTTCTCACATGGGGCCTTAGAATATTGCCTCCTAAATCTAACTCCCTCATTTTGATGAATTACATACAGGTTAGAGAAATCCCTGTTTCCAATTTGTCAGAAGGGCTGTTGGAAAGGCCCTTTCTTGTATTGTTGCTAAGAGCTAAAAGGAAGAGCTAATCAGAGGGATTTTTATAATTCAGCTGACAGACAATGCAGAACCCTCTTTGTCTGAAGACGAGTTGTGGGTGGAGGGTACTGCAGAATAGAGGCCAGGTAACCAGCCGTTTTGCTATTCTATCTCAGAGGCATTTTGCTGTGTGGACCTTTGTTTTTATGCCTCTTTAACTGAACTGGTCTTGTGCCCCAAACCCTTCAGAAATATTAACCATCTAGCCTTCAAAGACCACTTCAGACCTTACCCACTCAGTAAAGAGAGTTCTCACTCTCACTCTCTGAACTCATTGTACAGTTACATTCATTATCTTTTGTATTCTTAGAGCTGTGAGTCTAAACTAAGTTGTAAAGCTTCCTGAAGGTAGAAACAATTACACAGTGCCTGTTTGAGATTGGAGATAACCATTTGGTTATCTGCAACACACACACATACACACACACAATGCAAGTGCTTAGGAGCTATTCAGTGAATATTTTTGTGCTGGCTTAAATGGAAATTGAGCTCTTTCATTTTCCTACTTTAATTCGTTTTAGTCCCTTGTGGTACCTAGTGGTAGTGGCAGTGAAGTGTTCCTAGAAAGGTAAGAGCCACCTGATTCTATTTCAAATGAGATCGCTGGAAAATTTCTTTTGGAGAAACTGTTTGGACTATAGTTATCCCAGTCTTCTCCTGTGTCTCCCCTCCACCTCTTACCTCCCTTCCGTAGATCTGAGCATTGTGTTTACATATTTATATATACACTCAAGGGCCAAAGAACTAGTAAATCCTAAGAGAGAATTAGGATTAGCAAACTAGAAGAACTAGGAATATATATATTTTTTATATTATATATGTATTTATATATATATATATATATATATATATATATATATATATACACACACACACACATATATATATACACATTTTTTTTTTCCTTAGACCTTGAGCTTTGGATATATAGTCATGTGTACAGGAGATAGTTTTCCCCCAGTGGCCTTTAGCTAAACCACCTAGTTTATAAATTTAGCTTTGTTTCCTAGAGTGATTACTGTTCAGCCCAGTTCAGTGAAGATGCTACCAGAATATGAGCAGCCTTATTATGGTCCCATTGTGGACTGACCCAATTGTCCAGTAGAAGAAGAGCCTCTGCCATTGTTGTGGTGACTGGCACTTCTGACAGGCTTGCACATAACACCCTGAGAGCCTCATGCTGCCAGATCTGTTTCAAACTGTTTTCTCGTTTGCAACATTTCCTGGTCATGAATCTCTGAGAGAAATTCAGGAATTTTGAAAAGCCATCTTCAAATCTAACCCACTTTACCAGCATAGCATTTTACTGTTTACAAAGTACTTGGGTATATATTCTCATTCAGTCTTCACTGTGACTCTGAGATAGTCTGGGTAAGGGTATGAAAATTAAGATACAGATAAATAATACCCAAGTTGCACAATTATTAAGTAGCAAGACTAAGAATTAGATCTGTCTTTGTAGCTCTTTTCACCAGTACCACACCACTTCCAATGTGCCTGTTGGTGGTCCATCCAGCACAGCTACCTTCTGTCAATACTAGATATTTCCCTCCCTCTCTCTCTCTCCCTCCCTCCCTTCCTTCCTTCCTTCCTCTTTTTTTTCTTTCTTTTTTTTTTTTGAGACAGGCTCTAGCTCTGTTGCCCAGGCTGGAGTGCAGTGTGAGATGTCAGCTTACTGCAACCTCTACCTACCTTCCAGGCTCAAGCCATCTTCCCACCTCAGTCTCCCTAGTAGCTGGGAGGCATGTACCACCATGCCTGGCTAATTTTTGTATTTTTTTTTAGTAGGGGTGGGGTTTCGCCATGTTGCCCAGGCTGGTCTTGAATTCCTGGGCTCAAGCAATCTGTTTGATTCAAATGCGGTTGTTTTTGTTTTTCCTTTGAGGTGACAGCCTTCAAATGACTACCTAACTACTTGCCAGTCCCTATAATTTTGTTTCTCTGCATATTAGTATTTGTATCATTTGATATTTGTGTTTTTTTTGTTGTTGTGTTGTTTTGTTTTTATTTGGAGACAGGGTCTCGCTCTGTCACCCAGGCTGGAGTGCAGTAGCGCCATCATAGCTCACTGCAGCCTTGATCTCCCGGGCTCAAGTGATCGTCCTGCCTTAGCTTCCCAAGTAGCTGGGACTACAAGTGTGCACCACCATGCACAGCCAATATTTTTTATTTTTATTTTTAGTAGAGACGAGGTCTCACTATGTTTCCCAGGCTTATATTCCTTGTTCACAGCAAGAACTGGATCATACCTCAATTGAGAGATTGAATCAAACGTGGTGGAATTGAGAAGCAGCATTGACACTCCTGGGAGCACACTCCTTCCAGGAAACAACAAAGGAGTCCTCTTGTGGTTGGTATGCTGTCAAATAAGGAATATGTAGTGCTGGAAACATTGGCTGTCATGGAAATACCTGGTTTAATCTCTCCCACTTATTAGCTGGTTCTTCTGCAAGTTATGCCTCAGTTTGCCTACCTCTAAAATGAGAATTCTATGTGAGTCTAAGCTAATAATCAAATCCTTACTAAATCAATTATCAGTCAAATATGAATTTTGCCTGAGAATGCCTCCCTCTACAGATATTAGAGATTGACTTTGGGGTATTTGAAAGATATTTCAAATATAATATCTTGGTTTTTAGTCTGGATTTAGTAGATAAATATTTTTTTTTTTTTTTTTTTTTTTTACCATGGCCAGTGATTTTGAAAAGCATTCTAGACTGAACTTGAGAAGACTGCTTCACAGCTAGTAGAGAGGACACAAATGTGACTTTCTTGGCAAAGCATTGTGATCATTGCCTGCCTTGGTGCCTTACAGAGGTCCTCTCCCAGCAGGTCATGGAAAATAAGTAACTTGACACAGGAAAGGAACTTGTATACTGCAAGTCAGTTGGTTTGATAAGTTGATTTAATCACAAAAGTCATTAACATTGAAGGCATCTCAGGCCAGACGCAGGGTCTCATGCCTGTAATCCCAGCACTTTGGGAGGCCGAGACGGGCAAATCACTTGAGGTCAGGAGTTTGAGACTGCCCTGGCCAACATGGTGAAACCCTGTCTCTACTAAAAATACAAAAATTAGCTGGGCATGGTGGTGCATGCCTGTAGTCCCAGCTGCTTAGGAGGCTGAGGTGGGTGAATCACTTGAACCCCAAGATGGCACCACTGCACTCCAGCCTGGGCGACAGAGTGAGACTCTATCTCAAAGAAAAAAAAAAAGTCACAGGCATCTCAAAGAAGTTCATTAAGAAAGGGCTCATGTGGATCATTGATTTATTTTTATTATCTTAATGTGCTAATTGCTATATATAATGCCTAAAAAGAATAGATAAACATATGCAGAAGAATTAATTTGGACCCCTGCCTCACATCATACACAAAAAATTAACTCACTGGATCAAAGACCTAAATGTAAGAACTAAAACCATAAAATTACTATAAGAAAAAATAGTGGGCCGGGCACAGTGGTTCACACCCATAATCCCAGCACTTTGGGAGGCCAAGGCGGATGGATCACCTGAGGTCAGCAATTCGAGACCAGCCTGGCCAACATGGTGAAACCCCGTCTCTACTAAAAATACAGAAATTGGCCAGGCCTGGTGGCGGGCGTCTGTAATCCCAGCTACTCGGGAGGCCGAGGCAGGAGAATCACTGGAACCTGGAAGGTGGAGGTTGCAGTGAGCCGAGATTGCGCCATTGCACTCCCGCTGGGCGACAAGAGCGAAACTTCATCTCAAAAAGAAGAAATCTTAGGGGTATATCTTCATGGCTTTGGAGTAGGCAATGATTTGTTAGATAAGATGCCAAAGGCTGGGCATGGTGGCTCATGCCTGTAATCCCAACACTTTGGGAGGCCAAGGCAGGAAGATCACTTGAGCCCAGGAGTTCAAGACCAACCTGGGCAACAAAGTGAGACCCTGTCTCTACTTTTATTTTTTAAAGTAAAAAAAGATTTAAAAATTTAAAAAGACACTGAAAACACATACAACCACATACATACATACACACATATATGTATGTGTATATATATTTAAATCTTAAGTCTATACACACACATATATATACATATATACATATATGTATGTGTATATATATATACACACACAACAAAGGAGTTGTGTGTGCGTGTGTATATATATATATATGTATGTGTATATATACTTAAAATTTAAAACTTTTGGCCAGGTACAGTGGCCCACACCTATAATTCCAGCACTTTGGGAGGACAAGTCAGGCAGATTGCTTGACCACTGCACCCCACCTTTTTTTCTTCTAATTTTCTGTCTCCCTATCAGGGAATCCAGCCTGGTCTCCTGTGTGACAGGCAGGGATACTATACAAATGAGGATACATTTTCACTTTCTTGATGGTGTCTTTTATTTACTTTTTATTTTTTATATTTATTTATTTATTTATTTTTTATTTTTTTTGAGACGGAGTCTTGCTCTGTTGCCCAGGCTGTAGTGCAGTGGCGTAATCTCGGCTCACTGCAACCTCCGCTTTCCAGGTAGAAGCAATTCTCCTGCCTCAGCCTCCCAAGTAGCTGGGATTACAGGTATGCACCACCATACCCGGCTAATATTTGTATTTTTAGTAGAGACAGAGTTTCACCATGTTGTCCAGGCTGGTCTTGAACTCCTGACCTCAGGTGATCTGCCCGCCTTGGCTCCCCAAAGTGCGGGGATTACAGGTATGAGTCACCATGCCCGGCCCAGTGGTGTCTTTTAAAGCATTAAAGTGTTTTGTTTTGTTTTGTTTGAGACAGTATCTCACTCTGTTGCCCAGGCTAGAGTGCTGTGGTGTGATCACAGCTCACTACAGCCTCAACCGCAAGGGCTCAGGCAATCCTCCCACCTCCCAGGTAGCTGGGACTATAGGCACATGCCCCCATGTCTGGCTTTTTGTATTTTTTATAGAAATGGGGTTTTGCCATGTTGCCCAGACTGGTCTCAAACTCCTGGGCTCAAGTGATCTGCCTGCCTCAACCTCCCAAAGTGGGAACACAGGCGTGAGCCACCATTTCCAGTCAGTGCAGCCATTTTATTTTAAAAATATGGGGTCCCAGCCCAGCGTGGTGGCTCAAGCCTGTAATCCCAGCACTTTGGGAGGCCGAGGCGGGCAGATCACAAGGTCAGGAGATCGAGACCATCCTGGCTAACACGGTGAAACCCCGTCTCTACTAAAAATACAAAAAATTAGCCGGGCGTGGTGGCAGGCACCTGTAGTCCCAGCTACTCCGGAGGCTGGGACAGGAGAATGGCGTGAACCTGGGAGGCGGAGCTTGCAGTGAGCCAAGATGGCGCCACTGCACTCCAGCCTGGGCGACAGAGCGAGACTCCGTCTCAAAGAAAAAATATATACATATGGGGTCCCACTCTGTTGCCCAGGCTGGTCTCAAACTCCTGGGCTCCGGTGATCCACCTGCCCCAGCCTCCAAAAGTGTTGGGATTACAGATGTGAGCCACGGTGCCTGGCCCCAGAGTATTTTTTTAAGTGGTTGCAGGGCTGGGTGCGGGGTCTCACACCTGTAATCCCAGCACTCTGGGAGGCTAAGGCAGGCAGATCACTTGAGCCCAGGAATTTGAGACTAGCCTGGAAAACATGTTGAAACCTCATCTCTACAAAAAATACGAAAATTAGCCGGGTGTGGTGGTACACACCTGTAGTCCCAGCTACTCAGGAGGCTGAGGTAAGAGGATTGCTTGAGTCTGGGAGGTTGAGGCGGCAGTGAGCCATGATTGCACCACTGCACTGCAGCCTCGGTGACAGAGCAAGACCTTGTCTTAAAAAAAAAAAATTGTGGAGGTTAGAAAGCAGTAGGATAACAAAGTGCTGAAAGAGGCCAGGTGCAGTGGTTCATACCTGTAATCCAGCACCTTGAGAGGCCAAGGCCAGAGGATCACTTGAGCCAAGGAATTCAAAACCAGCCTAGGCAACATCACAAGACCTAGTCTCTACAAAAAAAAAAAAAAAAAAAAAAAAATTACTTGGACATGATGGCATGGGCCTGTGGTCCCAGCTGTGTGGGAGGCTGAGGTAGGAAGATTGCCTCACAAGGTCTAGGCTGCAGGGAGTTGATTGCACTACTGCATTCCAGCCTGTATGACAGAGCAAAAACCTGTCTCAAAAACAAAACAAAACAAAAAAGCAAAGTGCTGAAAGAAAAACCGTCAAGCAAGAATTCTATATCTGGCCAGGCAGCATGGGCGTGGTGGCTCACCCCTGTAATCCCAGCACTTTGGAGGCCGAGGCAGGCGGATCACTTGAGGTCAGGAGTTCGAGACCAGCCTGGCAAACGTGGTGAAACCCCGTCTCTACTAAAAATACAAAAATTAGCCAGGTGCAGCAGCCGGCATCTGTAATCCCAGCTACTGCGGAGGCTGAAGGAAGAGAATTGCTTGAGGCCAGGCGTGGTGGCTCATGCCTGTAATCCCGGCACTTTGGGAGGCTGAAGTGGGTGGATCACCTGAGGTCAGTAGTTCGAGACCAGCCTGGCCAACATGGTGAAACCTCGTCTCTACTAAAAATACAAAATTTTTTTTTTTTTGTATTTAAAAAATGGGTGGTGGGCCCCTGTAGTCCCAGCTACTGGGGAGGCCGAGGCAGGAGAATTGCTTGAACCCAGGAGGCGGAGGTTGCAGTGAGCCGAGATTGCACCATTGCGCTCCAGCCTTGGTGACAGTACAACACTTCGTCTCAAAAAAAAAAAAAAAATTCTATATCTAACAAAACTGCCCTTCTAAAATGAGGGAGAAATTAAGATATTTCCAGATAAACAAAAGCTTAGGGGGGTTGTTACCACTAAACCTGCAGTGACTTAGCCTATGATCTTAGCACTTTAGGAGGCTGAGGCAGGAAGATCACTTGAGCCCAGGAGTTCAAGACCAGCCTGGGCAACATAACAAAACCCCGTCTCTACTCAAAATACAAAAATTAGCCAGATGTGGTGCACGCCTATAATCTCAGCTACCTGGGAGGCTGAGGCAGGAGAATCGCTAGAACCCGGGAGGCAAAGGCTGCAGTGAGCTGAGACCATGCCACTGCACTCAAACCTGGGCAACAGAGCAAGAGTCTGTCTCAAAAAAAAAAAAAAAAGTGCTATAAAAAGAATGTACTGATATATGTTAAAACATGGATGAACCTCAAAATCATTATGCTAAGTGAAAGAAGCCAGTCAAAGACCACATATTGTATGGTTCTATTTAAATGAAATGTCCAGAGCAGGCAAATCTGTAAGAAATAGAAAGTACCTTAGTGATTGTTTACAGCTTAGGTGGGTGAGCATTGGGGGTGACAGCTAAAGAGTAATAGGGTTTCTTTTTTTTAATTTTATTTATTTTTTTTTTACTTTTTTTTTTTTCCTTCGAGATGGAGTCTTGCTCTATTGCCCAGGCTGGAGTGCAGTGGCACAATCTCAGCTCACCACAACCTCTGCTTTCCAGGTTCGAGCAATTTTCCTGCCTCAGCCTCCTGAGTAGCTGGGACTACAGGCACGTGCTACCACTCCTGGCTTATTTATTTATTTACAGACAGAGTTTCACTCTTGTCACCCAGGCTGGAGTGCAGTGGCGCAATCTCAGCTCACCGCAACCTCCACCTCGCGGGTTCAAGTGATTCTCCTGCTTCAGCCTCCCAAGTAGCTGGGATTACAGGCATGCACCACCAGGCCTGGCTAATTTTGTATTTTTAGTAGAGGTGGGGTTTCTCCGTGTTGGTCAGCCTGGTCTTGAACTCCCGACCTCAGGTGATCTGTCCCCCTCAGCCTCCCAAAGTTCTGGGATTACATGTGTGAGCCACCGCGCCTGGCCAATTTATTTTTAGTAGAGACAGGGTTTTGGCATGTTGGCCAGGCTGGTCTCAAACTCCTGACCTCAAGTGATCTGCCTACTTCGGCCTCCCAAATTGCTAGAATTACAGGCGTGAGCCACCATGCTTGGCCATTTTTTTTTTTTTTTTTAGAGGCAGGGTCTAATTATGTTGCCCAGATTGGTCTTGAACTCCTGACCTCAAGTGATCCACCCACTTCAGCCTCCCAAATTGCTAGAATCACAGGTGTGAGCCACCATGCTTGGCCATTTTTTTTTTTTTTTTTAGAGGCAGGGTCTAATTATTTTGCCCAGACTAGTCTTGACCTCTTGGGCTCAAGTGATCTGACTGCCTCAGCCTCCCGAAGTGCTGGAATTACAGGCATTAGCTGCCATGCCTGGCCATAGAGTTATGGGGTTTTTTTTTTTTTAGGATGATGAAGATGTTCTAAAATTGTGCTAGTGGTTGCCCAGCTCTATAAATACACCAAAAATCATACTAAATATACTAAAAATGTATGAATTGTATGGTTTAGGAATTACATCTCAATAAACCTATTACCAAAGGAAATAAAAATAATAGGACTTCTTTGCCAACAGGACACTTAAAAGTCTGCACAAAGAGATAGGATCACTTAAAAATTCTAACATGCTCTTTAATTTGTATTAACAATTTAACCAGAGGCTCCAAACTAGTAGTCTGTAGGCCACACTTGGCTTGTAGTAGATGTGTCTTACAGGGACTAATATGTTTTTCAAAAATTAAACAAACATTAAACAGTTGGCTGTATATAAAATCCACATTTCTAGCTTCTCTCTTTTTTTTTTTTGAGATGGAGTTTCACTCTTGTTGCCCAGGCTGGAGTGCAAGGGCGTGATCTTGGCTCACTGAAACCTCCTGGGTTCAAGTGATTCTCCTGCCTCAGCCTCCCAAGTAGCTGGGATTATAAGTGCCTGCCACCACACATGGCTAATTTTTTTTGTATTTTTAGTAGAGACAGGGTTTTACCATGTTGACCAGGCTGGTCTCAAACTCCTGAACTGAGGTGATCTGTCCGCCTTGGACTCCCAAAGTGCTGGGATTACAGATGTGAGCCCTGCCTTTAGCTTCTCTTGAAAATCTGATCTAGCAAATCTAACAAATGGGACTCATGTAAGTTAGTCATATGTAGGTCTCATTCACAATGATGGAAACCTTAGTAATTAGAGCTGTGTGAAATGAAATGGGTTGCTTTTGTAATAATATATTATCACTGGTAGTACTCAGACATAGGTTATAGGTCAGGGAAATAGAACAATGATTCAGAGTATCAGAGGAGAGATCAGACTAATAATCTAAATCTATTCTGATTCAGCCTATGGATTCTGTTTGATAAAGTGGGAAGTTATATGGAATAAGCAGAATGAGATTCTCTACGCATTTATTCCTCCCCAATTCATTACATTTGGAGTGAAGATATGGTTAGAAGAGACATCATACACTATTACTGCCAGCGTTTCTGGTTTTCAAATCAAAGCCTAAAGGGCAGACCCTAAAGCCTTAGGTATTATTCGTTCTTGAAGCCAAGTTTCAGAAATACGTTGCTTTCCTTCTTGAATGAGTAGTAGAGGAGAAAACAAAAATAAAACAATTAAAAAAGAATTACTTTGCTTTCCAAATATACTTGAGTGTTCTCTTCAAGGACAATGAAAATTATGTAAGTGCTCATTTTACTTTATTTTGGATGACGGGTAGCTGACATGCCAAAATGCCACTCTGTTTTAATAATTAAGTGGTTCTTTGGGTTCTGTTTACTGCATTCATCTTCCCCCACTTTTTTTTGTTTGTTTTGAGAAAGGGTCTTGCTCTGTCACCCAAGCTGGAGCACTGTGATACCAGCACGGCTCACTGTAGTCTCAAGCTCCGTTCAAGCAATCCTCCGAGCTCAGCCTCCCGAGTTGCTGGGACCACAGGTGTGTGTCACCACACCTGGCTAATTTTTGAAATTTTTTTCAGAGACGGTTTTGCTAGGTTACCCAGGCTGGTCTCTAACTCCTGGGCTCAGGTGATCCTCCCACCTTGGCCTCTCAAAGTGCTAGGATTACAAGTGTGAACCACTGCACCTGGCTACTTCCCCCAATTTCTATATAAATTTGTATATTCCTAGTCCAGATTCTTGTTTTATTTATATTTCATTGAATTTATTGTAAACGACTTCAGATTCTCTAGAAAACTGAAGTTTAAAATGTTAGATGGAACATTTGAGGGCATGCTGTGTACTTTGCTATAGACGCAAAGATAAGTAAAAGAGTTCTTGTTCTCAAAGATTTAATAATCTAGAAGTGAGAGGTGATGAGGGTGTAAACTAAAATTTATTGGAGGTGGTCAGTAGGAGCCAATTTGGAGTAACAGATAAAAATCAGTTTCCTGAATTGGGGAGGAGAATGTTCATGGGTGACTCCAAGACCAGGTGAATGGTGATGGCATTAACTGCGAAATAGGGAAGATAGGCCAGGCACAGTGGCTCACGCCTGTAGTCCCAGCACATTTGGAGGCTGAGGCAGGCAGATCACTTGAGGTCAGGAGTTCGAGACCAGCCTGGCCAACATGGTGAAACCCCATCTCTACTAAAAATACAAAAATTAGCTGGGCATGGTGGTGGGCAACTGTAATCCCAGCTACTTGGGAGGCTGAGGTAAGAGAATCGCATCAACCCGGGAGGCAGAGGTTGCGATGAGCCAAGATCGTGCCACTGCACTCTAGCCTGGATGACAAGAGTGAAACTCTGTCCAAAAAAAAAAAAAAATAGGGAAGATAGCAGAAACTGGTTTAAAGAGAAAGTTGGGTGAAGATAGCTGGTAGGCAAGATGTTTTGACAATAGGGATTTCAAACTTGGTTTAAAAGTAGAGGTGGAAGCTGGCCAGGCGCGGTGGCTCATGACTGTCAACCCAGCACTTTGGGAGGCCAAGGCGGGTGGATCATCTGAGATCAGGAGTCGAGACCAGCCTGACCAACATGGAGAAACCCCATCTCTACTAAAAATACAAAATTAGCCGGGCGTGGTGGCACATGCCTGTAATCCCAGCTACTTGGGAGGCTGAGGCAGGAGAATCACTTGAACCTGGGAGACGGAGGTTGCGGTGAGCCGAGATCGCGCCATTGCACTCCAGCCTGGGCAACAAGAGCGAAACTCCATCTCAAAAAAAAAAAAAAAAAAAAAAATGGAGGTGGAAGCTAAGGGAGATCGTGAGCTTGGAGTGGGGGCTCCTCCTGCTGAGAAGAGGACCAAAGGTAGGATTTTGGTACACACTGACATTGAGAGGTTGGCTCTGGAAGATGACCACAGTAAGAAACTTGAAGAGTGGTTGGAAGGCTAAGAGAAAAATTGGGAGAGGATGGTGTTACTAGAATCATGAATAGAGTTTCAGGAAGGCAAAGGTGATCATCAGTGACAAATTAGAAAGCTGAATGCAATGACTACTGAGTGGGTCACTGGATTTAACAGTCTAAACTGGCTTTTTCTGAGGTATTTGTGTCTTGTGTCCTGTAGTTTTTATAATGGATGGTTTTAGTTTAATTTTCACATGAATTCTGGAGGAAATCGTGGTTTCTGGGTTTTTAGTAAGAAATTCTTCTGTAGTCTGCTTTTGGAGGGTCTGCTTCACTCCAGTCACAAGGAAGGTTTCTTTGCTATATACTCCTTTACTTACCTATCTGGCAAACACTTATTAAATAGCTGTTGTGGCTAGGCCTTGTGTCTGGAACAACGTATATGCTCGATGAGTATATAATAAATATTTGAATGGTGATTCACTCGACAAATATTTGTTGTAGATGCCGGGGATACAACAACTCTGCCTTTGTGGAACTTAACATCCTATGGAGAGCAGATGGATTGGAATTAGTATAATGAAAGAAAGAAAACAGGTGTTCTGACAAAAATAGGGTAACTTACTTTGGGTTAGGGTAATGGGGAAGGACCCAGCAATTCCAAGAGCTAAGGAAAAGCGTTGAAGGCAAAAAGAACAGGAAGTGCAAAGGCTATGTAGTAGGAAACAGTATGAAGCACACAGCATCACCTATATATATTCTTGGCCAACAATTACTATATATATATGTTTTTTTCTCCATCTATAACCCAGCAACACCAAAAGTTATTTTCAACCTGAATCTATTCTAGCCCCTAGACTTAACTTCCATTTTACAGGAAATACAAGGGGTAAGGGTATGAGTTTAATAACACAAAACTAGAATGTGAGGCGTTCTATAAGAAAACTGACCTAGTCTCTTCAGAAAGTATCACAAGCAAATAAAAGGGTTGGGGGAGAGGAGGATGGACATTATAGATTAAAAGTGATCAGATGTTGGATAATGATATTGTAGTTTTTAAAATGGCTTTGTTGTTTGCAGATACATACTGAAATGTGGATGAAGTGATAGGTCAGGAATTTGCTTCAAGGATCTGGGAGAGGCAGAAGCATAGATATGAATGGCTGCTAGTTGATCATTGAATCTGGATGGTTAGTGTATGAGATTCATTTTATTTACTGTTTTGTCTACTTTTGTGTATATTTGAAATTTTCCATGATAAAATGTTAAAATAACAAATACAATGTGTGAACCTTGGCTGGATTTGGGGAGAAAAACCCAGATATAAAGGATATGTTGAAATAATTAAGAAATTTGAATATGAACTAGATATTGGGTATTTTGTTAATTTCTTTGGTTTGAAAATGCTGTTGTGGTTATATAAGAAGAAGGTCCTGGGCCTGGCTCACGCCTGTAATCCCAGCACTTTGGGAGGCCGAGGCAGGCGGATCACAAGGTCAGGAGTTCGAGACAAGCCTGGCCAACATGGTGAAACCCCATCTCTACTAAAAAATACAAAAATTAGCTGGGCATGGTGGTGTGAACCTGTAATCCCAGCTATTTGGGAGGCTGAGGCAGAAGAATTGCTTGAACCCAGGAGGCAGAGGTTGCAGTGAGCTGAGATGGTGCCACTGCACTCCAGCCTGGGCAACAGAGCGAGACTCTGTCTCAGGAGAAAAAAAAAAGAAGAAGGTCCTTATTATGGGATACATACTAAAGTAATTGGGCGAAGTGCCAAGTGATGACATTTACAATTTTCAAATGTACAGTTAAAAATATAGCTATATTATATATACATCTGATAGAATAAAACTAATATGATGTTAAAAATCATTGAATCTTAGTGGATAATTTATAGATATTGTACTATATCAAACTTTTAGTGTTTAAGCAGTTTATAATGGAAACAGAAAAAATAGTTCGGCTATTCTTGAGAACTGAGAAATGGGGCAGTAGCTAAGGGAAAATGAATGAAAAAATGCACTCACAAGTGTCTGGTTCTCAGTACAAGGAATCACAGGTGAGATTCCTAGAACTGTTCCTACAGTGTGTTTTTAGCTGGCAGAGTTACAACAATACCCAAATTTTGTCATCAACTTTATATTAATTTACAGTAAATAACTAATAGGTAGACCAGTAAGAAGACAGCAAAATTTAAGCCATCTTTGATGTTTTCTTATGGCATCTTTGGTAAGAAACTGGGCCAGGTAAGATTTGGAAGAACATCTGTGAAATCTTTGGATTTATTATTGTGTCTATCACTTGTGTATTGTGGGTTATCTTCTCACCCATCACATCCCAGCATCATGGCTGGCTTTACTTGCTTTGGGGGAATTAATCCTGATGTTGTAGGTGTTAGTCCATACATGTACTTCAGGTTTGTGGTTGGTTGGATCTGTGGTCTAGGGTGAGAATTCATTGTATTAATAAAAGGAAAACTTGTACTGTGAAGGTGAGTTCCTATGAAAATCTGGTATGGTGGTGGAGGGGAGGCTCAACAGTCAATTGGCCTGAGTTTAAAATGTTTATGAATCTCAAAATGTTAAACATACCAGTGATTAAATGGAGCACTATGGCAATCTTGCTACTCACTAATGTGTGACCTGAGTGAGCCTCAGTTTTTTCATTTATCCATTAGGGCTTTTTTTTTTTAAGTTAATCCTTTTTTTTTTTTTTTTTTTTTTTTTTTTTTTTTTTTTTTTGAGACGGAGTCTCACACTGTCACCCAGGCTGGAGTGCAGTGGCGCGATCTTGGCTTACTGCAACCTCCGCCTCCCATGTTCAAGCAATTCTTCTGTCTCAGCCTCCCAAGTGGCTGGGATTACAGGCACCCACCATCATGCCTGGCTAATTTTTATATTTTTGTAGAGACAGGATTTCACCATGTTAGCCAGGCTGGTCTTGAACTCCTGAACTCAGATGATCCACCCGCCTCAGCCTCCCAAAGTGTTGGGGTTACAGACATGAGCCACCGTGCCTGGCCTATTAAGTGAATCTTAACCTTTCTTATTACAGGCGTGTCCTTGTGTCTCATGAAAGCAGTTTACTTCGATTGTCGCCTTTGCCGAGGTCTAAAGACAAGGCTTAATTAACTTGAATTTGATATCAGACACTGGCAGGAGTCGGTGCCTTATTTAGATTAGGTAATTAGGGCCTATATTAGTTTGCGAGGGCCACCATAACAAAGAACCACAGACTGGGTGGTTTAAACAACAGAAATGTATTTTCTCACAGTTCTGGAGGCTAGAAGTCTGAGATCAAGTTGTCAGAAGAGGTCAGGTGCAGTGGCTCATGCCTGTAATCCCAGCACTTTGGGAAGCCAAGGCGGGCGGATCACGGAGTTTGAGACCAGCCTCAACATGGTGAGACCGTCTCTACTAAAAATGCAAAAAATTAGCCAGGCGTGCTGGCCCGCACCTGTAATCCCAGCTACTCAGGAGGCTGAGGCAGGAGGATCGCTTGAACCCCGGAGACAGAGGTTGCAGGGAGCTGAGATTGTGTCCCTGCATTCCTGCCTGGGTGACAGAGCGAGACCCTGTCTCAAAAAAAAAAAAAAAAAAAAAAAAAAGTTGTCAGAAGGGTTGTTTTATTCTCAGCCGTTTGTTGTTGGCTTCTATATAGCTGTCTTCATGTTCACATGCTGTTCTCCCTCTCTTGTTTTAAGGACACCAGTTACTGGATTAGGGCCTACCCCAATAACCTTATTTACCTTAATTACCTCTTTAAGGACTCTATCTTCAAATATAGACGCGTTTTGAGGTATTGGGGTTTAGGACTTCATAATATGAATTAGGAACAGACATGATTCAGCCATTTTAAGGCCCCTACCTATTTTGTATTATCATTGCTAGCTCTTTGGTTTTAAAAGCTTAGAAAGTGCATGGCAACATTAGACATTCCCTAGAAATGAAAGGTGTGACTTCAGAGACCTATTCACTTTGAGAGAGTTCCTTGACTAAGAAAACCCAAAGACAGTCTAGGACAGCCAGATGCTAGAAAAGTTTATTTGTATTGTGAATTTTAAAAAATTCATCCACAGCAAGTAAGGGAGTACATAATGGAAAAAGCCGCTGGCGTGCTGGATCCCTGAGATTCCAGATGTGCTTGTGCAGATGTTCCTCCTTCCAATCTAACCTCCCTTGTCTGCTTCCCCAGTGAAGTCATAAGCAAATATTTGTGATAGTTTCTTGTCACCATGGTGACTAAAGAAGCTCAGCATGGCTCTCCTCCCAGCTTCACTGTCAGCTGTGCTTGAAGGAGAGGCTAGCGTCCAGGACAGCCCAGGCTCAGTCATGAAAAGCTATGTGTCAGGTAATAGGGGACAGCAGTTCATAGTGCTGCCTTCAGAAATCTGTTGTCTACTCTGTTAGTCTCACAGGGATAATCGGGCCTCAAAAGGAGTGCAGAGGTGCAGACACAGCTCACTTGCAGCCTCAACCTCCTGGGCTCAAGCAATCCTCCTGCCTCAGCCTCCCAAGTAGCTGGGACCACAGGTGCATGCCACCATGCCCAGCTAATTTTGGTATTTTTTTGTAGAGATTGTGGTTTCACCATATTGCTCAGGCTGCTCTTGAACTCCTGGGCTCAAGCAGTCTGCCCACTTTGGCCTCCCAAAGTGCTGGCAGTACAGGCCTGAGCCCAGGCTACAATGCCGATTAAAAAAAAAAATTATTCCAGCCTGGGCAACATGGAGAAACTCCATCTCTACTAAAAATACAAAAATTAGCCGGGCATGGTGGTGGGTGCCTGTAATCCCCACTACTTGAGGAGAATCACTTGAATCTGGGAGGTGGAGGTTGCAGTGAGCCAAGATCGCACTGCTGCACTCCAGCCCGGGTGACAGAGCAAGATTCTGTCTTAAAAAAAAAAAAAAGAAAAGAAAAAAAAATTATTAGTGATAAAATATATGTAACAAAATTTTCAATTTAAGTGTACAATACAGTGGCATTAATTACAGTTACAATGTTATGTGACCATCATCATCACTATTTCCAAATATTTTACTACCCCTAACAGAAATTCTGTACCCACTAAGCGATAACTCCCTATTTTCCTCTCCTCTTAGCACCTGGTAACCTCTAATCTACTTTCTGAGTTTGACTCTAGGTACCTCATGTAAGTGGAATATTTTGTGTCTTGCTTATTTCACTTAGCACATTAATTTCAAGGTTCAATCATGTTGTAGCATGTGTTAGACCTTCATTCCTTTTTTGGCTGAATGATATTCCATGGTATCCATATGCAGTAGTCCTTGCCTTATCCACAGGCAATATATTCCAACACCCCCAGTGGACACCTGCAACGACAGATGGTACCAAACCCTATATACTATATTATTTCCTATACATACGTACCTATGATGAAGTTTAATTTGTAAATTAGGCACAATAAGAGATTGAGAACAATAATAATAAAATAGAACACATAACAATATGCCAGCATCATCACTTTTGCACTTTGGGGCCATTATTAGGTAAAATAAGGATGACTTGACCACAAACACTGCAATATCTGCTACTAACTGGCAGTGTATACAGTGTGGATATACTGGACAAAGGGATGATTCATGTCCCAGGTGGAATAGATGGTTAGCGCGATATTTCATCATGTTACTTGGAATAGTATGAAATTTAAAACTTATGAATTGTTTTTATCTGGAAATTTCCATTTAATATTTTCAGACCACTGTTGTCCATGGGTAACTGACACTCTGCAAAGCAAAACTGAATAAGGGAGAAATCGTATAAAAGTAGAATTGCTGGATTATATAGTAATTCTTTTTAATTTTTTTAGGAACTACTATTCTGTTTTCCACAGTGGCTGCACCATTTTCCATTCTTATCAGCAATCCACCAGGTTCCAGATCTTAGCCAGCGTGTGCTTTTATTATTCTTACTCCATCCTAGTAGGTGTGGAGTAGTATGTCACTGTGGTTTTTAAAACTTTTTTTTTTTTGAGATGGAGTCTCGCTCTGTCGCCCAGGGTGGAATGCAGTGGCACAATCTCGCCTCACTGTAACCTCCACCTTCCAGGTACAAGCAGTTCTCCTGCGTCAGCCTCCCGAGTAGCTGGGATTGCAAGGATGTGCCACCATGCCCAGCTAATTTTGTATTTTTAGTAGAGATGGGATTTCTCCATGTTGGCCAGGCTGGAGGGTCCCACCCTTAGATAATCTCCCCACCTCAGCCTCCCAAAGTGTTGGAATTACAGGCGTAAGCCACCGCGCCTGGCCTAAAACTTTTTTTTTTTTTTTTCTTGAGATGGAATCTCACACTGTCGCCCAGGCTGAAGTGCAGTGGCGCGATCTCGGCTCACTGCAAACTCCGCCTCCCAGGTTCATGCCATTCTTCTGCCTCAGCCTCCCATGTAGCTGGGACTACAGGGGCCCGCCACCACACCCAGCTAATTTTTTTGTTGTTGTATTTTTAGTAGAGGCGGGGTTTCACTGGGTTAGCCAGGATAGTCTCAATCTCCTGACCTCGTGATCCACCCACCTCGGCCTCCCAAAGTGCTGGGATTACAGATGTGAGCCACCACGCCTGGCCAAAACTTTTTTATATACGTTTTTCAGTCAGCTTTCTCAGGTTGAATCATTGTGGTTTTGATTTGTATTTCTTTTTTTTTTTTTTGGAGATGGAGCAAGCTCTGTTCCCCAAGCTGGAGTGCAGCAGCACGATCTCAGCTCACTGCAACCTCTGCCTCTTAGGTTCAAGTGATTCTCCCACCTCAGCCTCCTGAGTAGCTGTGATTACAGGCACCCGCCACCATGCCTGGCTAATTTTTGTATTTTTAGTAGAGACGGGGTTTCATCATGTTGGCCAGGCTGGCCTCAGACTCCTGACCTCAAGTGATCTGCCCACCTCGGCCTCCCAAAGTGTTGAGATTACAGATGTGAGCCACCCCGCCTGGTCTGGCTAATATTTCATTTTATATAATGTATAAAATATTCTCTATACAATGAAATATTTATTTCTCCACTGAATGGACATAATATCCTTCTTCAAAATCAGTTGGCTGGCCGTAGATGTAAGGGTTTATTTCTGGACTCTCAATTCTATTCTGTATGTCCATATGCTTATCCTTATGCCAGTACCACACTGTTTTAATTACTGTACCTTTGTAGTAAGTTATGAAATCAGGACATATGAGTCTTCCGACATTTTAAAGAATGTCTTCCTTAATTTCTGTATATTTGTGAATTTTCTAGTTATCATTCTGTTACTGATTTCTAGCTTCATTCCATGTAGTCAGAGATAATGTTTTATATGACTTCAGTCTTCCAAAATTTATTGAGACACTTTTAGTGGGCTAACATATGGCCTATCCTGGAGAATCTATACTTGAGAAGAATGTATATTCTGCTGTTATTGGGTGGAATGCCTTGTATATCTCTCTTAGGTCTACTTTATAATTTTGTTCAAGTCCTCTGTTACTTATCGATCTTCTGTCTAGGTGTTCTGTTCATTATTGAACGTGGTTCATTAAAAGTCTCCAAATATCTGTAGGCCACAGTTGGTGGGGACAAAAAAGTCTCCAAATATTTTTTCTGCACTTCTGTCAGAACTTGCTTCATGTTTGGGGGCTCTTGTTTATTGCATATGTTTTTTAATAGCTTGATGAATTGGCCATATGATGTCCTTTCTTTTTGGTAACAGTTTCTGACTTAAAGTTTGTTTTGTCAGATATTCATGTAGCTATTCCAGCTCTCTTTATTCCCTTCTCATTTCCTTTTGTGTATATTTTTAATTTTTATTTTCTGTGCATGTAGTTTTTTGGATATTTCCTAGTGAACACCATGGGAATTACACTTAATATTCTAACTTTATAACACTCTAGTTGGAATCAATACCAGCTTAATTCAGAAGCATACAAAACTGCTCATGTACAGCATTGTTTCCTCCTTTATGCTGTTGTCATCACACATTTTATGTTTAAACATTGTGTGACCAATAATGTAGATTTATAATTATTTTATGCATTTGTCTTTTAAATCATGTAGGAAATGAAAAGTTACAAACCGATGTATAGTAATACTGGCTTTTATATCTGCCCATATAGTTACCTTTATCAGAGATCTTTATTTCTTCATATGGCATCAAGTTACTGTGTCCTTTCATTTCAACCTGAAGGGCTCCCATTAGTTTTTTGTTTTTTGTGTTTTTTTTTGACAGAGTCTTGCTTTGTTGCCCAGGCTGGAGTCCAGTGGTACAGTCACGGCTCACTGCAGCCTGAACCTCCCAGGTTCTAGCAATCCACCTCAGCCTCCCAAGTAGCTGGGACTGCAGGTGCATACCACCACGTCCGGCTAATTTTTATATATTTTTTTGCAGAGATGGGGTTTCACCACATTGCCTAGACTGGTCTCGAACTCGGCTCATGTGATCCTCCTGCCTCAGCCTCCCAAGTGCTGAGATTACAGGCCCAGCCAGCATTTCTTGCAGAGCAGGTCTAGTGGTAACAAAGCCCCTCAGCTTTTGCTTATAGGGAAATGTCATAATTCTCCCTCATTTTTGAAGGACAGTTTTGTCAGATATAGAATTCTTGCTTGACGGTTTTTCTTTCAGCACTTTGCTTTTTGTTTTGTTTTGTTTTGTTTTTGAGACAGGGTTTCACTGTGTCACACAGGCTGGAGTGACGGTGCAATCACAAGTCACTGCAGCATCAACCTCCTGTGCTCAGGCAATCCTCCTGACTTAGAGGTGTCCCAGGTAGCTGGGACCATAGGTGCACGCCACCATGCCCAACTAAATTAAACAAAATTATTTGTAGAGACAGGGTCTTGCTCTGTTTCCCAGGCTGGTCTTGAACTCCTGGGCTCAAGTAATCGTCTGGCCTTGTCCTCCCAAAGTGCTGGGATTACAGGCATGAACCACTGAACCCAGCCTCTTTTCGGCACTTTCTTATTCTACTGCCTTCTGACTTTCGTGATTTCTTTTCTTTTTTTTTTTTTTTTTTTTTTTTTTTGAGACAGGGTCTTGCCCTGTTGCCCAGGCTGGAGTCTAGTGGTACAACCACGGCTCACTGCAGCTTCAACCTCCTGGGCTCTGGTGATCCTTCCACCTCGTCCTCCCAAGTAGCTGGGATTACAGACATACACCACCATGCCCAGCTAATTTTTGTACTTTTTGTAGAGACGGGGTTTTGCCATGTTGCCCAGGCTGTTCTTGAACTCTTGGTCTCCAACGCAAGCCATTCGCCTGCCTTGGCCTCCCAGAGTGCTAGGATTACAGGCCTGAGCCACTGCTCCCAGCCTGACTTTCATAATTTCGAATGAGAAATCACCTGTTGATCTTATTGGGCATCTTTGTATGTGATAAGTCACTTCTTTCTTGCTGCTTTCAGGATTCTGTCTTTGGCTTTCATCAGTTTGATTATGTGTCTCAATGTGGATATTTTCTTTTTCTTTTTTGAGACAGAATCTCACTCTATCACCCAGGCTGGAGTACAGTGGCATGATCTCGGCTCAATGCAGTCTCTGCCTCCCAGGTTCAAGTGATTCTCCTGTCTTAGCCCCCCCACTTGCTGGGATTACAAGTGCGTTCCACCATGCCTGGCTAATTGGTTTTTTAGTAGGTGCCACCATGCCTGGCTAATTTTTGTTTTTTTTTAGTATAGACACAGGGTTTCACCCTGTTGGCCAGGCTGATCTCGAACTCCTGACCTCAGTTGATCCACCTGCCTCAGTATCCCAAATGTGTATATCTTCATTAGAGTTCATTGAGCTCCTTCATGTGTAGATTCATGTGTTTTATTTAATTTGGGAAGTTTTTGACCATATTTTTTCAAATATTCTACCTCTTTATCTTCTGCTCTTAGGACTCCCATAATGTGGTGTATATTGGTCTTTTTTTTTTTTCTTTTTTTTTTTTTGAGAAGGAGTCTCGCTTTGTCACCCAGGCTGGAGTGCGATCTCGGCTCACTGCAACCTCCACCTCCCGGGTTCAAGCAATTCTCCTGCCTCACCTCCTGAGTAGCTGGGATTACAGGCGCACGCCACCACGCCTGGGTATGTTTTTTGTATTTTTAGTAGAGATGGGGTTTCACCATATTGGCCAGGCTGGTCTCAAACATCTGACCTTGTGATCCACCCGCCTCAGCCTCCCAAAGTGCTGGGATTATAGGCATGAGCCACTGCGCCCGGCCCCCCTACTTTTTTTTCAATAGAGATGAGATCTTGCCTATGTTGCCTAGGCTGGTCTCAAACTGTGGGCTCAAGCTGTCCTCCTGCCTCAGCCTCCAAAATTGCTGGGATTACAATCATGAGCCACCGTGCCGGCCATATTGGTCCTTTTAATGGTATTCCATGGGTCCACTCGATTCTGTTCATTTTTCTTCATTCTTTATTCTTTCTGCTCCTCAGATTGGATAATTTTAATTGATCTGTCTCCAAGTTTGCTACTTTTTTTTCTATCTGCTTGTATCTGCTGTTGAACCCCTCTAGTGAATTTTTTATTTCAATAAGTGTACTTTTGAGCTCTAGAACATTTGTTTGGTTCCTTTTTATAATTTCTTTCTTTTTATTGATATTCTCATTTTATTCATGTATTGTGTTTCAGATTTCCTTTAGTTCATTGTCCAGGTTTTTCTTTATCTCTTTGAGCATATTTAGGACAGTTGTTTTAGAATCTGTCTAGTAAGTCCAGTCTCTGGGCTTCCTGAGGGATGGTTTCCTATTTTTATAAAATTATTTAAAATAGAAACAGGGTCTCCCTATGTTGCCCAGGATGGTCTCTAACTCCTGGCCTCAGGCAGTCCTATCATCTTGGCCTCCCGAAGTATTGGGATTATAGGCTTGAGCTACCACACGCAGCTAGGAATGGTTTCTACTTTATTCCGCGAATGGGCCATGCTTCCCTGTTTTTGTGTGTGTGTCCATGTGCCTTATTTTTTAAAGACAATTTTTAAATGGCAAAAAAGTTATTTTATGTTTATCTGCCATATCTAGTGTTTTTCATTTTGTGGATATCCGAGTTTCCATCTGGTATCATTTTCCTTCTACTTGAAGACTTTTAGCATTTCTTTAGTGCAGGTCAGCTAGAGAAAAAGTCTCTCAGCTTTTATCTGAAAAAGTCTTTATTAATATTATTTTTAATTTAGCCCATGACCTGCTGAATTGCTTTCATTTCAAAAAGTATCTTTGTTGGATATAAAATTCTAGTTTACCAGCTTTTTGTTTTTTCCAGAACATTAAAAATGTTTTGTTGTTTTCTGACTTACGGTTTCTGACAAGAAGCTAGGCCATTCTTATCTTTGGTCTTAATAGGTCTTTATCTGGCTGCTTTTAAGATTTTATCTATCGCTGCTTTTCAAGATTTTGGTTGTGATGTGTCTTGTGATTTTCTTTGTTTTTATCTTGCTTAAGGATTAGCATAGCTTTTAGGGTTAATGGGATTAGATCTGGAAAATTTTTAGTCTTTTTTTTTTTTTTTTTTTTTTTGAGACAGGGTCTTACTCTATTGCCCAGGCTGTAGTGCAGTAGCATGATCTTGGCTCACTGCAACCTCCGCCTCCCGGGTTCAAGTGATTCTCCTTCCTCAGCCTCCCGAGTAGCTGGGATTACAGGCACCAGCTACCACGCCTGGCTAATTTTTATATTTTTAGTAGAGACAGGCTTTCACCATATTGGCCAGGCTGGTCTGGAACTCCTGGCCTCAAGTGATCCATCTGCCTCGGCCTCCCAACGTGTTGGGATTACAGGCTTGAGCCACCATGCCCTGCCAATTTTTAGTCTTTGCTTGTAAATGTTTTTCTGTCTGCCTCTCAATTTTTTTCCCCTGTGAATCCAGTTACTAATATATGAGAGCACTTGAAACCATCCTACTATCTACTGAAGTGTCATTTCTGGATCTAACTTTTGACTGATTTTTCTCCTATGGGTCACAATTTTTCTGCTGCTTAGCATGTATAGTACTTTTTGTTGTTTGTTCATTTGGAGACAGAGTCTCCCTCTGTCACCAGGCTGGAGTGCAGTAGCATGATCTCTGCTCACTGCAACTTCCACCTCCCTGGTTCAAGTGATTCTCCTGCCTCAGCCTCCCGAGTAGCTGGGACTACAGGTGCGTGCCACCAAGCTCAGCTAATTTTTGTATTTTTAGTAGAAACGAGGTTTCACCATGTTGGCCAGGATGGTCTCAATCTCTTGACCTCGTGGTCCGCCCACCTCGGCCTCCCAAAGTGCTGGGATTACAGCCGTGAGCCACCACGCCCCGGCTGTTTTTGTTTTTTAGAGACAGGGTCTCACTCTGTTGCCCAGGCTGGAGTACAGCGGTGCAGTCATAGCTCACTGCAGCCTTGAAGAACTCCTAGGTTCTTCAAGCTATCCTCCCACCTCAGCCTTCCAAAGTGCTGAGATTTATAGGCATGAGCCACCATGCCTGGCTCTGGCCCATAATTTTTAATTGGATTCCAAGCATTGTGAATTTTGTTTTTAGTGTCTGGATTTTGTTGTCTTTTTTTTAAAGGATGTAGGGCGTTTTATAGGTGTTCTGTTTTAGCAGTGTAAGGCTCGTTTTTAAGCTTCATGAGTAGCCTTTTCTGGGAATAGTTTAATCCCACTACTAAGCCATAGCCCTTCTTAGGGTCTCTACTATGCCCTAAGTGATCAGGGAGAAATCCCCATTCAGATTTGTCTAAAGTCTCTCAGCCCTGTGCGAGCTCTGGGAACTGCTGAGCTTACATACAGCTTCTCAGTTGCCCTTTGTGTGACTCATGGAGCTTCACCCAGCATGTATGCATCCTTAGTCTTCAGCAAAGATTTAGGGAACCCCAAACAGATTTCCCAATTTTTTTTTTCTGCCTATTTCTCTCCTCGCTGGAATGCTGTCTCAGTGTTTTCAGCCACCTCAGTCTCACTGAAGTCTCTAGTCTCTCCTCCACTGGTGAGATTTCCGTGGTGCTGTTTGGGACCCCTCTTCTGCTATAGAATGTGCCTCTGGGCAGAAAGCCAAGGAGACAAGTAGAGCTCACTTAATTCGTTTCCCTCTTGGAGAATCACAATTCTGCATTGCTGTTGCCCGATGTCTGAAACAGTTTATAGCAACAGGGGAAATCCTATCCCTCTTATTCCATCATGGCTGGAAGTGGAAGTGATAACTATATTAATATCCAACAAAAGAAAAAGGGCAACAAAGGGCATTGTTAAGGAATAATTTGGCTCACTTTATAACAAACTTCTATTCACAGTCAAGATACAACAGTTCTAAATTTGTATGCTTCTAATGAAATAGTATTAAAATACATAAAGCAAAATTAAACTACGGGGTAAAATGGCTACATTCACTATCAATAAGGAAAACATTAGTGAAGTGAAACATTAATAGAAGATTTGAACAACATGATGGGCATGGTGGCTCATGCCTATAATCCCAGCACTTTGGGAGGCTGAGGCAGGGGGATTGTTGAGGACAGGAGTTCAAGACCAGCCTAGACGATATAGTGAGACCCCCATCTCTACAAAAAAAACGTAAAGATTAGCCACTCATGGTAGTACGAGCCTGTAGTCCCAGCTACTCAGGCTAAGGCAAGAGAATTGTTTTAGCCCTGGAAGTTGAGGCTGTGGTGAGCTGTGATCGTGCACTGCACTCCAGCCTAGGCAATAGAGGGAGGCCCTATCTCAAAAAATAATGAATAAATAAAGAACAACATGATGACAACTTAATTTAATGGACATGATATTCAGAAAGCCATGCACAATAATTTAAGAATACAGATTCTTCTCAAGCACACATGGGACACTTATGTAAATTGAATAAATCAAAAGTAATTAGATATTTAGGACTGAATTACAATACAAATATTAATTTGAAGGAAATTTATAAGCCTTAGAAAGGTAATATAGAAGTATAGTGTGGGGCCAGGCACGGTGGCTCACACCTGTAATCCCAGCACTTTGGGAGGCCGAGGCAGGTGGATCACGAGGTCAAGAGATCAAGACCATCCTGGCTAACATGGTGAAACCCCATCTCTACTAAAAATAGAAAAAATTAGCCAGACGTGGTGGCGGGCGCCTGTAGTCCCAGCTACTCGGGAGGCTGAGGCAGGAAAATGGCGTGAACCCAGGAGGCGGAGCTTGCAGTGAGCCGAGATGGCGCCATTGCACTCCAGCCTGGGCAACAGAGGGAGACTCTGTCTAAAAAAAATAAAAATAAAAATAAAAAAAATTAGCCCTGCGTGCACACCTGCAATCCCAGCTGCTTGGGAGGCTGAGGCAGGAGAATCACATGAACCCAGGAGGCGGAGGGTTGCAGTGAGCCAAGATCGCGCCACTGCACTCCAGCCTGGGTGACAGAGTGAGACTCCATCTCAAAAAAAAAAAAAAAAAAAAAAGTATAGTGTGAACATTTAATTACTTAGATATACAACTTAAATTAGAAAAAATGTAGAAAGGGGATAGAAATCATATAGTAGAGAAGACTCAATGAAGCTAAAACTTGGATCTTGCAAAAGACTAAAATAAAAATAGTCAAGTCTCTGGTAAAGGTTCTCAGGAACAAAAGAGGGCACAAATAAGACAATATTAAGGATGAAGAAAGTACACAGTCACAGATAACTGATTTAAAAGAACGTGAACAGGCCAGGCGCAGTGGCTCATGCCTGTAATCCCAGCACTTTGGGAGGCCGAGGCAGGCAGTTCACCTGAGGTCAGGAGTTCGAGATCAGCCTGGCCAACATGGTGAAACCCCGTCTCTACTAAAAATACAAAAATTAGCCGTATTAGGCGTGGTGGCAGGCACCTGTAGTCCCAGCTACTCAGGAGGGTGAGGCAGGAGAATCATTTGAATCTGGGTGGCATAGGTTGCAGTGAGTCAAGATGGTGCCATTGCACTCCAGCCTGGGCAACAAAAGTGAAACTCTGTCTCAAAAAAAAAAAAAAAAAAAGAAGAAAAATATTTAAAAATACAGAAACAAACATTTTTCACAGAAGGGGAAACATATAGCTAATAACAACATGAAATCTAACCTCATTAGTAATCTGGGATATGCAAATAATCATCTCTGTGAAATACTTTATGACACCCAGTAGATTGTCAAAAGTATTGGTCAAGATATTTGTCAGTGGCAGTACTATGGAAGACAACTTTGGCACTAGCTGGTCAAGTTAACATTTATTTACCTACAACTGAGTAATTCACTGCTTAGAACAGCAGTTCTTGGCTGGACGTGGTTGCTCATGCCTATAGTCCCAGCACTTTGGGAGGCCAAGGCAGGTGGATCACCTGAGGTCAGGAGTTTGAGACCAGCCTGGCCAACATGGTGAGACCCCGTCTCTACTAAAAATATAAAAATTAACCAGTTGTGGTGGTGTGCGCCTGTAATCCCAGCTACTCGGAAGGCTGAGGCAGGAGAATCACGTGAGCCCAGGAGGCAGAGGTTGCAGTGAGTCGATACCGTGCCACTGCACTCCAGCCTGGGTGACAGAGTGAGACCCTGTCTCAAAAAAAAAAAACAGCATTTCTCAAAGTATGGTCTGCAGACCCCTGGGATTACGGGTGGGAGCCACTGTGCCTGATGTGTTCCTGTTTTATTAAAGATTAAATTCTGAAGCAATAAAAGTTACAGGAGCTTGTCCAAGGTTGCACAGCTAACAAGTAGAAGGGTCAGGATGTGAACCCAGACAATCTGTCTCTAGGGCCCACACTTTTAACTACTAAGCTTATACCAATTGCTTTAATACCACCTGTTTAGCAAGCTTATTGTAATTAAAAGATACTGGGGCTGGGGGGTGGGTAGAGATGTCAGGTGCTATTGAGAGCTCCCAGAGAGCTGTATTCCCCCCAGAGTAGGGGAGGGTGAAGGGTGGGTAGGGATAGAAGTCTAGTGAAAAGGAAATGCTGTCCTCTCAAGAGTTTTTGGCAGTGTGTATCTTTTCTTCTAGAGACCATGGCGAGCCCAGGGAAAGACAATTATCGAATGAAGAGCTATAAGAACAATGCTCTAAACCCTGAAGAAATGAGACGAAGAAGAGAGGAAGAGGGCATTCAGCTCCGGAAGCAGAAGCGAGAGCAACAAGTGAGTTAATGGGAGTATTCTCAAACATACTATTCTGGGAAACAAGCCCCTATGGTTGGCCTCCACCATGCACCCTGACTTGCCCTGTAGAAAAGTAGCTTACTAGGTGGGCATGGTGGCTCATGTCTGTAATCCCAGCACTTTGGGAGGCCAAGGCAGGCAGATCACCTGAGGTCAGGAGTTCAAGACCAGCCTGGCCAACATGGTGAAACTTCATTTTCTCTACTAAAAATACAGAAATTAGCCGGACGTGGTGGCATGCGCCTGCAATCTCAGCTACTTGGGAGGCTGAAGCAGGAGAATTGCTTGAACCTGGGAGGCGGAGGTTGCAGGAGCTGAGTTCGTGCCATTGCACTCCAGCCTGGGCAACAAGAGTGAAACTCCATCTCAAAAAAAAAAAAAAAAAAAAAAAGAAAAGTAGCTTACTTACTGAGTGAGCTACTCATCCAGTTTCCTTTGTTGTAAATAAATGTTGGGAGCTTTGAGAAAGAGAAAACTGACCTTATCCCCTTTTCACAAGTTAGACCAACTTAGACATCATTTATGTCTTTACTGTAACATTCTAGTTCTAGTTCCTTGTTACCTTTTCTTTTCTTTTTTTTTTCTTTTTTTTTTTTTGAGACGGAGTCTGATTCTGTCACCCAGGCTGGAGTGCAATGGCACGATCTCTGCTCACTGCAACCTCTGCCTCCTGGGTTCAAGCAATTCTCCTGCCTTAGCCTCCCGAGTAGCTAGGATTACGGGCATGTACCACCACGTCCAATTAACTTTGTATATTTTTGGTAGAGACTGGGTTTCACCATGTTGGCCAGACTGGTCTCGAACTCCTGACCTTGTGATCTGCCCAGATCTGCCCGCCTCAGCCTCCCATAGTGCTGGGATTACAGGCGTAAGCCACCACGCCCAGCCTGAGACTATAATAATGCCTCACCATCTGCACTCCTACGCCACCCCGCCAACAGATTCAGTCACCTGATTATTATTATTTATTTATTTATTTATTTATTTATTTATTTATTTATTGAGACAAGGTCTCACTCTGTCACCCAGGCTGGAGTGCAGTGAGTGCAGTGAGTGACATGATCTCAGCTCACTGCAGCCTCAAGCTCCCGGGCTCAAGTGATCCTTCTTCCTCAGCCTCCTGCATAGCTGGACTATAGGCATGTACCACCACGCCCGGCTAATTTTTGTGGATTTTTTTTTTTTTTTTTTTTTTGTACAGACAGGGTTTTGCCATGTTGCCCAGGCTGGTCTTGAACTCCTGAGCTGAAGTGATCCACCTGCCCTGGCCTCCCAGAGTGCTGGGATTGCAGGCATGCGCCACTGTGCCTGGCCAACCTAACCTGATTTTGCCCACCCTTTTGCTATACTATCATTCCTTTTTTTCTTTTTTTTTTTTAAGACAGGATCTTGCCCTGTTGCCCAGGTTGGAGTACAGTGGCGTGATCTTGGCCCACTGCTGCCTCTGCCTCCAAGTCCTTGAATATCTTTTCCATGTTAGTAATCAATAGTCTCCTCTTCTCTTTGTGGAATACATTCCAGGACCCACAGTGGATGCCTGAAACTGCAGATATTACTGAACCTTACATATACTATGTTTTTTTTCATGTTTTCATCTTTTTACTTAAAGGAAGCACTTTACAGCTTCTCTTTGGCACATTTGAATTGCCAGCATCACTACTCTTGCACTTTGTGGCTATTACTAAGTAAAATAAGGGTTACTTGAACACAAGCAATTGCCACCTGATAACCAAGTTGGTTATTAAGTGACTAACTGGCAGCAGCGTATACAGCATGGAATGGATGCACTGGACAAAGGATGTTCACATCCTGGGCCAGACAGAACAAGATAGCGTGAAACTTCAACACTACTCAGAATGGCATGCAATTTAAAACTTATGAATTGTTCATTTCTGGAATTTTCTGTGTAATATTTTCAGACCACGGTTGACTGGATAACTAAAATAATAGAAAGCAAAACTGAATAAGGGGAGACTAATGTATAAAGCTTGGCCTCACTTCTCAGCTACTCTAGTATATCCTTGTCAGTTATGCCATAATTTAACATTGGATTGTTCTTTGTTTTCTTTGGTTCAGAGAGTACTCTTAACCACTGTCTCTTTACTTTCAGCTTTTTAAACGGAGAAATGTGGAGCTGATTAATGAAGAAGCTGCCATGTTCGATAGTCTTCTCATGGACTCTTATGTGAGCTCTACCACTGGGGTAAGGCCCCTGCATGTGCCTCAGGCTGACCTGGAAAACACCTGCTTCTAAGGACAGAAATTGGGCCGTTCACATCATCTACCAGCTTTGCCAGTAACCATGACAAGTTCTTTCCTCTGTGGACCCTTTCGTCAGCTTTAGGAGTCAACAAAGATTCAACTTTGTTAGATATATCTGAGGAAACATTTAAGAGAAGCCATCAGTTGCCTCAGAATTAGGAATCACTTTTCAAATGTCCCAACTTGAAGCACCTATAGATTAAACAGACCCCTTCTCCTGAGCCTATTATGCCATCCTCTTGCCCTCAGTTTTTTAGAAAACAGGATGCCAAGCAGTATTATGTGCTCACATCTGGCTCTAATGTTGGTTTGCAAAGTCCTAAACTTGTTTTATGTTCTAGGAGAGTGTGATCACAAGAGAGATGGTGGAGATGCTCTTTTCTGATGATTCTGACCTGCAGTTAGCAACCACACAGAAATTCCGGAAACTGCTCTCCAAAGGTACAAAGCCTGGCCCTTGTCAGAGAGGCCTTATATGATTTAGCCTCTTTTCTCTTCACTGATGTCATCAACTTACACGTGCCCTCACTCATTCTGCTCTAGCCCTACTGACCTTGGTGTTGCTTGTACAAGATAGACACATTGCTACCTTCACACTGGATACTTCCTCTGCCTGATGTCCTCTATTCCCAGATATCTTTGTAGCAACTCCCTTACTCCTATGATTAAATCCCACCTTCAACAGTTTTATCTTTTTACCTTGCCCTACATATTCTCCTCCTCTCCCCCCATTATATTTATCTTCTAACATAATAAAATGACTCTTCCCACTAGGATATAAACTCTCTGAGGGCAGAGACTTTTGTTTTTGTTCCCTCCTGTGTCCTCTGTACCTAGAACTGTGTGGCACACCATAGGTACTTAATAAAAAAATTTAATGTATGATTGGAAAAATACCTCTTGTTTCAGTATATCAAATAGTCTTCCCAAGAAGAGAGTACTGGTCTTTCTTGAAAGGGAAATGTGCAGACCATGGTTGTTCATCCCTTAGGTGGTTCTCTCTCCCACACCTTTCTTTGCTTACATTTAGTAAGCCAAAGATGAACATTCTTAAATTAGGATTGGCTTTACTCTTTAACATTCCAGCTGTATTATACAGTTCAAAGACGAGTAGATATTGTTAAAACCACCTTACCAGAAGGGAGTTTGGGAATGTTTGTAAGGGTGGTCAGAAGTGTCTAAGAAGGATTGCAAGCTGACCCCCATGAAGGGATCAGCAAAAGCTTCTCCTGTGTTTTTATTTTCCCTTCTCCCTTATCCAGAGCCTAGTCCTCCAATAGATGAAGTTATCAACACTCCAAGAGTGGTGGATCGGTTCGTGGAGTTTCTGAAGAGGAATGAGAATTGTACATTACAGGTGAGGCCTGAAGGGAAGGGGTTTGTTTTGTCTTTTAATTTTTGGGGGATACATAGTAGGTATATATATTTATGGGATACATGAGATGTTTTGACACAGGCATGCAATTTGAAATAAGCAAATCATGGAGAATGGGGTATCCATTTCCTCAAGCATTTATCCTTTAAGTTACAAACAATCCAATTATACACTTTAAGTTATTTTAAATTGTGTAGTTATTATTGACTATAGTCACCCTATTGTGTTACCAAATAGTAGGTCTTATTAATTCTTTCTGGGTTTTTTTGTACCCATTACTTATCCCCATCCCACCCCCAGTCCCCCACTACTGGGAAGGGGTTATTAGATGAAAGCCCTACTTCCAAGAAATTGCAGTGGGATACTTCTATTGACATATCTCTCAGGAAGTTCAAAAGTAATGTTAGGAAACATTCAGGAGAAACCATCAGTTCCCTCACAGCCAGAATCTCTTCCTTAAAACAATTTCAAAGGAAAGGCACCAGACTATGATAGACTGATCATTCAGTTATAAATCAGAGGCTATAGTCCACTACCTGTGTGACCTGAGGCAAATTGTTTAGCCTCTCTGGGTCTCTTGTTTCAGAGATGGGTGATGGGTCAATCCATTGGAACTTGCCAGAACTCAGCTGAAAGGGACTTTGAGAGACCCATTTCATTCTAATCCTCATTTCAGAAATGAAGAAAGTGAAGCTCAGGAAATAAAAGAGTGACCTGGCAAAGGATGCATGGGTGTTGTGGTAGTGCAGGACTAAACCTGGGACCCTGGAAGCCCAATGTCTTATTCTCATCTATATCACATCACTGCATCTTCCCACTCTCTAAAGACGGGAGGGGAAAGGCTTGTATTTTATGTGTGTGTGTTTTAAATTCGTGGGCAAGAGGCTTGCTTGTGTTTTGTGAGGTTTTGTTTTGGTTTTTTAAATTCATGGGCAGGAGGCTTACTGTTCTGAGCCAGCTGATAGGCATGGCTGCTCAGTCTGAAATGACCTTTCAATCATTGCTTAATCTCACTTTCAGTTTGAAGCTGCCTGGGCTCTAACGAATATTGCCTCTGGAACCTCTCAGCAGACCAAAATTGTCATTGAAGCAGGGGCTGTCCCCATTTTTATAGAGCTGCTTAATTCAGACTTTGAGGATGTTCAGGAACAGGTAATGCTTAGATTTGGTGTGATTCTTTATAGTACCTGTGGTATAATAAAAAATATATTTGGTCTTTGTCCTGGTTCTTGGCACAGTGTTAAAACTCTTGGAATTTCCTGAGTGATAGGGGTGTCAAGTACAGATGGCCCCTGGGACTTGCAACTGGTATCTCAAGTTGGGGCAGTCTTGTGGGACTAACCTGCGGACTCTGCATTAACTCTAGGTGTTAGAGTCAGAATTGAATTAAATCGTTGGACACATGGTTGGTATCAGAGAATGGGTGGTTGATGTGGAAAAAACTCTATACATTTGTTGTTGGAAGTGCCATTGGAAAAAAGACACCACAGTACCCATATCTGAGTACCCACAAATCATGGAGATAAAGATACAACTTCCATTTCTCCCATTGAATTCTTACTAGTTGGATAGAATTGGAGAGTGGTAGTGGGCTCTTTTATAGACTTGGTCCAAGGCAGCTACAAGAGTGCAACTTTCGCCAGGCGCGGTGGCTCACGCCTATAATCCCAGCACTTTGGGAGGCCGAGGTGGGCAGATCACGAGGTCAGGAGTTCAAGACCAGCCTGACCAACATGGTGAAACTCCATCTCTACTAAAAATACTAAAAAGTTAGCTGGGCATGGTGGAGCTTACCTGTAATCCCAGCTATTCAGGAGGCTTGAGACAGGAGAATCACTTGAACCCGGGAGGTGGAGGTTACAGTGAGCAGAGATTGTGCCACTGCACTCCAGCCTGGGTGACAGAGCGAGACTCCGTCTCAAAAAAAAAAAAAAAAAAAAATGCAACTTTCTGATTACTTTCTCCTTTTCTGGGCGATATTGTTTTGGCTTCTGTGGCTATAGTACAGATGGCAGCCTGTCTTTCCCTGCTGAACCAGGAACTCCCAGGGATAGGTCATTGTAGAACAAGTGCTCAGTAAGAATTTCAATAGGGAGGTTACCTGAGCTTGTGTAGTATATTTGGGGCCTTGACATCATTCTCATCCTGGTGGGTACTCACTTTGCAGTTGTGGCTATAAAGTACTCACAGGAGTACCAAGCTTTGTGGGTGACAGTTTCATTATCCCCTTTTCAGGCAGTCTGGGCACTGGGAAACATAGCTGGAGATAGCTCTGTTTGCCGAGATTACGTCTTGAACTGTTCCATCCTTAATCCTTTGTTAACGTGAGTAATTATAATCATCTGTACCTGGGCGTCTACTGGGTGGCCACGTGGCAGGTCATTTGGGGGCAGCATACTTGATTCCTTAAGATGATAGGTAAGTGCAAAAACTATAAAAATGCATTCTGATTGCCAAAGTAAAAGATAGGTATCTTTGGAGATTGAGAAGGTTGTGGCCGGGCATGGTGGCTTATGCCTGTAATCCCAGCACTTTGGTAGGCCAGAGCAGGTGGATCCCTTGAGCCTAGAGTTCAAAACCAGCCTGGGCAACATGGTGAAACCCCAACTCTACAAAAAATACAAAAGTTAGCCAGGTGTGGTGGCAGGCACCTGTAGACTCAGCTACTTGGGAGGCTGAGGCAGGGAGGATCACCTGAGCCCAGGGAGATCAAGGCTACAGTGAGCTGTGATTGATCACACCACTGCACTTCAGCCTGGGCAAAAGAGTGAAAAAAAAAAAAGATTGTGCCACCCATCTGCCAAAAAGGATCTTGTTCCTCACTTCATGGCACTGCAGAACCTCATGTTAGTCATATCCTCATATCCTCCTCATTGTTGAGCCAGGGGAGAGAGGCAGGACTAGCCCACCTGGAAAAATCCAACCTTCTCTACAAAATGCATTGATTTGTTATGGGGTTTTGCATACATACATCGGACAGCTCTGTCGTAAATTATAGATCAAAGACCCCGTGAAGCGTCATTGTATCCTTCTCCCATCCTTCCCTCCGTACCCTTAGAGTAAACTATGCCTAAACCAAAACAGATGAATGAACTGTTCTTCAGAGACCACAGTCTCATAGCCTACCACTGTCACTTTCTTGGACCCTTCACAGAAAATTATTCCATACTGTGTGGCTAAAGCTCTCACAGTAGACCTATAGCTTTTATTTCTTAGACTTTTAGCTTTTATTTCCAGAGAACACCATTCCTTGTCCTGGACTTGTGGCCAGGGTTATGGGCATGATATATCCCACTTTAGAAGCTTTACAGGCTTACTCCAGATCTAGCCCTCTGTTTCGTCCCTATTATCTATGGTATTAACTAGCCACAGCTGGTCCTGAAATGAATACTCTGTATAGAGCCTGGCCTCCTAACCTATACCAGCTCTATTAACTTAGGTCTGTGAGTAGGAAGAAACAGGCTGCTAGAGTCTGAGAGGTCTCATTGGATTTGTCTCTGGGTTCATTGGCAACAGTCCTATGCCAAGGCCTCAGTGCTCAGGATCTGGCTTTGCTGTTTCCTTCAGACTCCTTACCAAGTCCACACGACTGACGATGACACGGAATGCAGTCTGGGCCCTGTCAAATCTCTGCCGAGGGAAAAACCCACCCCCAGAGTTTGCAAAGGTGAGAGAGCTACTTACTAGACCCTGAGTGACATCAGGTTCCTTCATATGGAGTTTTTAAGTCTTTGGGATACTCCTTGGAGTCTCAAATCATGGGAAACTGAAAGAAGCAATTGTTAGTGAAGTAGATGATCTTGTGTACCTGGATAGTAAAGTGAAAAGGTAGACCCAAATGTTTAATGTAGTAGCGATCCCTAGGGTCTGGAATTACTTGTGTGTGTGTATTGTGGGGGCGGTGGTTGCAATGTTAGGGTTCGTGATAGAGCTGATATAGTCTTGTTCCCCTGTGAGTCTTTCTCACTCTGCTTCCCACAGGTCTCTCCTTGTTTGCCTGTACTGTCTCGCCTACTCTTCAGCAGCGACTCGGACTTGCTGGCAGATGCTTGCTGGGCCCTTTCTTATCTGTCTGATGGCCCCAATGAGAAGATCCAGGCAGTCATAGACTCCGGAGTCTGCCGGAGATTGGTAGAGCTGCTGATGTGAGTGGTCTTAGAAGGGGTACAGGTTCTGGCTGGGCACGGTGGCTTATGCTTATAATCCCAGCACTTTGGGATGCCAAGGTGGGCGGATCACAAGGTCAGGAGTTCGAGACCAGCCTGACCAACATGGTGAAACCCCGTCTCTACTAAAAATACAAAAATTAGCTGGGCGCAGTGGCAGGCGCCTGTAATCCCAGCTACTTGGGAGGCTGAGGCAGGAGAATCATTTGAACCTGGGAGGCAGAGGTTGCAGTGAGCCGAGATCGTGCCATTGCACTCCAGCCTGGGTGACAGAGCAAGACTCCGTCTCAAAGGAAAAAAAAGAATCCCAGCACTTTGGGAGGCTGAGGCGGGTGGATCACAAGGTCAGGAGATCAAGACCATCCTGGCTAACACGGTGAAACCCCGTCTCTACTAAAAATACAAAAAATTAGCCGGGCGTGGTGGCGGGCACCTGTAGTCCCAGCTACTCGGGAGGCTGAGGCAGGAGAATGGCGTGAACCCGGGAGGCAGAGCTTGCAGTGAGCCGAGATCGCGCCACTGCACTCTAGCCTGGGCGACAGAGCGAGACTCTGTCTCAAAAAAAAAAGAAAAAAGAAAAAAAAAGGGTACAGGTTCCTTAAGCTTCTCCAGGCTCAGACTAAAGAGAGAGAATCAGCAGGGCCGAAAATGGTGTGCTGGCCTTCTGATCAGATCTCCCTCCTCTGTAGGCACAATGATTACAAAGTGGCTTCTCCTGCCCTGAGAGCCGTGGGTAACATCGTCACTGGGGATGACATCCAGACCCAGGTAAGAAAGAGGAGGGTGCAGGATCTTAGACCAGCTATGGAAGAGCTTGTGGAGAGCTGCCAGTGGACAAAAGCCTTTCCTGCAAAGGGCTGTGGTCCTGATGGGAGGCACTATGGTCTAAGGAAGTAAGTGTGGGCTTGAGTGAAAAGTTCCAGCTCTGTTATTCTCTAAACAGTCATGGGAAACTTGGTTCCTTCTTTTCTTACATAAATTGGGAACAAATCATCGTCTAATGGGTGAAGGAAAACTAAGTGGAATAACTGGACTTACCACCTGGGACATTGTGAGTTAGTTAAGTTTGAGTCATGGTCCCTTTGAGATACTGAAAGCTATGGAACTCCACCCCTGCTTCCTAGATCTTTAAGGTCTCATGGATATCATGGACCTTGGAATAATCTTTTGTAAATAACCCTTCTGGTGAAGGCATAGTAAACAAAGTTCCCCTGCTCAAAGGCTAGAGATTTGGGTATTCTTTGGGTTTTGAGTAGCGAGCATAATTCTGTGGGATTCTGGACAGGTTTCTTAACAGGTGAGTAGTGTCACTCAAACACTCAAACCCACATGCTCATTTTCTGGGTTACTTTGTATATGTATATGCATGTACTTTAAAATACAACATAAAATTTACCATTTTAACCATTGGCATAAAGTACATTCACATTGTTTTTCCGTTATTGCCACTAGCCAGCTACAGAAATTTTTTATCATCTCAAACTGAAACCGTACACATTAAACAGTAACTCCCCATTCTCCCTTCCCCTAGTGCCTAGTAACCACCATTCTATTTTCTGTATCTGTGAGTTTGAGTGCTCTAAGTACCTCATGTAAGTGGAATCATACAGTGTTTATTCTTTCTCGTCTGGTTTATTTCACTTAGCCTAGTATCTTTAAAATTCGTTCATGTTGTAGCATGCATCAGAACTCCTTTGAAAGGCTGAATGATATTCCACTGTATGTATATACCATATTTTATTTATCCATCAATAGACATTTGGGTTGTTTCCACCTTTTGGCTATTGTGAATAATGCTGCTATGAACATTGGTGTACAAATATTTGTTCAAGTCCCCGGTATATACCCAGAGTGGAATTGCTGGATCATGTTCTAATTTTATGCCTAATTTTTTTGAGGGGACACCATACTGTTCTGCACAGCTGCTATGCCATCTTACATTCCCACCAACAATGCAGCATGTTCCAGTTTCCCCACAGCCTTGCCAACAGTTGTTATTTTCCGTTTTTTGTTTTTTGTTTTTTTTTTGATAATACCCACCCTAATGGGTGTGAAGTGATATTTCATTGTGGTTTTGATTTGCATTTTTCTAATGATTGGTAATGTTGAGCATCTTTTCATATGCTTATTGGCCATCTGTGTATTTTTTTTTTTTTTTTGGACACATGTCTATTCAAGTCTTTTGCTCATGTTTTAATTGGGTTGTTGAGTTTTCTGGTTGTTCAATTTTAGGAGTTCTTCATATGTTCTGGATATTAATCTCTTATCAGACACATGTTTTGCAAATATTTTCTCTTGTTCTGTGGTTTTATCTTTTAACTTTGGTGTCTTTAAAAAAAAAACTTTTAACTTATTTAATTTTTTAAAATTGAGACAGAGTCTGTCTTTGTCACCCAGGCTAGAGTGCAATGATGCCATCTCGGCTCACTGCAACCTCTGCCTCCTGAGCTCAAAGCAGTCCTTCCACCTCAGCCTCCCAAGTAGCTGGGACTACAGGCATGCACCATCATGCCTAGCTAATTTTTTGAATTTGTTTTTTTTTGGAGAGACAGGGTTTTACCATGTTGCCCAGGCTACTCTTGAACTACTGGGCTTAAGCAATCCTCCCACCTTGGCTTCTCAAAGTGCTGGGATTACAGGCATGAAGCCACCTCACCCAGACCAACTTTCTTTTCTTTTTTAATTTTTTTTAGAGGGTCTCACTATGTTGCCCCAGCTGGCCTTGAACTCCTGTGCTGAGGTGATCCTACTGCCTCAGCCTCCTGAGTAGCTGGGACTGCAGGTGCATACCACTGTGCCCAGCTTACTCCAATGTCTTGATGCACAACAGTTTTTCATTTTGATTAAGTCCAGTTTACCTGGGCCAGGTGCAGTGGCTCATGCCTGTAATTCCAGCACTTTGGGAGGCTGAGGCAGGAGGATCACTTGAGCCCAGAAGTTTGAGACCAGCCCTGCAACATGGGAAGACCCTGTCTCTACAAAAAAAAAAAATGTTTTTTAATTAGCAGAGTGCGGTGGCACCCTGCTACTCAGGAGTCCCCAGCTACTCAGGAGGCTGAAGTAGAAGGATTGCTTGAGACTGGGAGGTCAAGGCTGCAGTAAGCCATGATCATGCCACTGCACTCCAGCCTAGGCAACAAAGTGAGACCCTATTTAAAGAAAAAAAATGAAGCCGGGCACAGTGGCTCACACCTGTAATCCCAACACTTTGGGAGGCCGAGGCAGGCAGATCACCTGAGGTCAGGAGCATGAGACCAGCCTGGCCAACATGATGAAACCCCATCTCTACTAAAAATAGAAAAATTTTCCGGGCGTGGTGGTAGGCGTCTGTAATCCAAGCGTCTTGGGAGGCTGAGGCTGGAGAATCACTTGAACCTGGGAGGCGGAGGTTGCAGTGAGCCGAGATTGTGCCATTGCACTCCAGCCTGGGCGTCAGAGCGAGACTCTGTCTCAAAAAAAAAAACAAAAACAACAACAACAACAACAACAACAAAAAAACATAAAAAAAATTAAAAACAGTTTAATTTTTCTTTTGTTTCCTGTGCTTTTGGTGTTCTAGGTCATTCTTAACTGTTCAGCCCTACCTTGCCTTCTCCACTTGTTGAGCAGTCCCAAGGAGTCAATCCGGAAGGAAGCTTGCTGGACTATTTCAAATATTACTGCTGGCAACAGGGCTCAAATACAGGTAAAACAGGCAGGGAAGTCAAGGGGCATGGGAAGTCATAGGAACTTGGGAGGTTGTTGGAATATTTGCTTTCAGAAGAAAGAATTTGTTTCCCTTTAAAAATAGGAGTCAATTGGCCAGGCACGGTGGCTCACGCCTGTAGTCCCAGCACTTTGGGAGGCCGAGGTGGGCAGATCATGAGGTCAGGAGTTTGAGACCATCCTGGCCAACATGGTGAAACCCCATCTGTACTAAAAATACAAAAATTAGATGGGTGTGGTGGCGGACGCCTGTAATCTCAGCTATTCGGGAGGCTGAGGCAGGAGAATTGCTTGAACCCGAGAGGCAAAGGTTGCAGTGAGCTGAGATCACGCCACTGCACTCCAGCCTGGGCAACAGAGCGAGACTCCGTCTCAAAAAAAAAAAAAAAAAAAGAGGGGCTGGGCATGGTGGCTCATGCTTGTAATCCCAGCACTTTGGGAGGCTGAGGTGGGCGGATCACAAGGTCAGGAGATCAAGACCATCCTGGCTAACGTGGTGAAACCATGTCTCTTCTAAAAATACAAAAAAAAAGAAAAATTAGCCGGGCGTGGTGGCAGGCGCCTGTAGTCACAGCTAGTCGGGAGGCTGAGGCAGGAGAATGGCGTGAACCTGGTAGGTGGAGCTTGCAGTGAGCCGAGATCGCGCCACTGCACTCCAGCCTGGGTGACAGAGCAAGACTGTCTCAGAAAATAAATAAATAAATAAATAAATTGGAGTCAGTGTGTACTATTGGTCAAAGAAGCTGTGTAACCAAAACTGGGTTCTTCTGTAGTAGCCTGTCACCTATATAGGAAGAACAAAAGAAAACTCCCAGAATGGGGAAGATGTCTAAGTCTCAGCTGATTTGGGGACTAGATTTATTTATCATGCTGAAATGACTTTCTCCTTCCATCTGCCTCCTCTCAATTCTCTCTCAGGCTGTTATAGATGCAAATATCTTCCCTGTGTTGATCGAAATCCTTCAGAAAGCAGAGTTTCGTACAAGGAAAGAGGCAGCCTGGGCCATCACCAATGCCACATCAGGAGGAACCCCTGAGCAGATCAGGTATTACATTCCTTTCCCGTTGTCTTGAATGATAATGGATGCTCTCCCTGTTTGCTCATGGTTTACAGGTGACCTATAAACTGCTCTTGCTCAGACAGGTCTGCCCCCTAGTCTCACTGTAATAGAATTTTACTGGTAAACTGCTACAGTGTCACTAGAATCTGGAATAGATTCCATGTAAGCCATGTGGGAATCTATTCCAGATTCCAGTGACACTATAACAGTTTACCAGTTTTCCCTTCTGGAGAAGAGAAACATGACATGGACATCCATCCTTTCTCTACCTTTTCTTATCCAACAGAGAACTGAAATCTATGTAGTTCTCAATTCAAATGAAGGGGAACCGTACTATGGGTTACTCAAAACAGTTTCTTCAGCCTGACCAACATAAGAAGACTCTGTCTCTACGAAAGACAAAAATTAGCCGGGCGTGGTGGCATGTGCCTATAGTCCCAGCTGAGATGGGAGGATGGCTTGAGCCTGGAAGGTCAAGGCTGCAGTGAGCTGTGATTGTACCACTGCACTCCAGCCTGAGTGACAGAGCCAGAGTCTGTCACAAAAAAAAAAAAAAACAAAAAAAAACAAGCAAGCTGGTGTAGTGGCTCATGTCTGTTATCCCAGCACCTTGGGAAGCTGAAGCAGGAGGATCCTTTAAACCCAGGAGTTCAAGACTAGCCTGGGCAACATAGGGACTTTGTCTCATGTGTACAAAAATGTAAAAATTAGCAGGTTGTAGTGGCGTGTGCCCGTGGCCACAGCTACTCAGTAGGCTGAAGCAGGAGGATCACCTGAGCCCAGGAGGTCACAGTTGTAATAAGCTGTGATTGTGCCACTACACTCCAGCATTTGCTACAGAGCAAGGTCCTGTCTCAAACAAAAAAGCAGCTTCTTTGAGAAATTAATTTGGGATATGAGACTTGAAAGAAGCGAATAGAAAGCTATTTTGTGTATGTGTGCTCTTTTTGAGACCGCAACCTCTGCCTCCCAGGTTCAAGCGATTCTTCTGCTTTAGCCTCCTGAGTAGCTGGGGTTACAGGCACGTGCCACCACGCCCGGCTAATTTTTTGTACTTTTAGTAGAAACGGGGTTTCACCATGTTAGCAGGCTGGTCTTGAACTCCTGATGTCAGATGATCCTCCCACCTTGGCCTCCCAGAGTGCTGGGATTATAGGCATGAGCCACCTGGCCTGTGTACTCTTTTATTTTAGTTTACATTATCTGAACATTAGTGGAAAGTGGTGGGAATAGTTAAGTGTTTTGCCCTTCACTTGTTGCCTATTAAGGGGAGCACAGTTAGTATATATAAAGTCTTAGGAGAAAAGAGATAGCTGTTGAGTTAAGCTTTGAAGGATAAATATGGGATTGTAAAAGGCCTCTTAGACAGGGAAAAGCATAAATAAAGGTACAGGAATCAGAAACCTGGAGACCTTTACAAGTGTGACTAGAATGTATTGTCCTTGGAAGGGAATAATGGGAGGCAGAGCTAGAAAGGAACTAGGAGCCAGATTGCAGAGCATCCAGGCTGGGCTGGGCTTGTGGTATTATGGTATTGTTGTGCCATAGAATTTGGAGTTCAGCGAATTAGGGAGCCTGTGAAAAATTTTATGCAGGGAAGTAATGTGTTCAGAGGGGTAATATTGCAGCCAAGGAGACATTAGAGGCAAGGAGGAGGAGTGTTTGGTAGCATCCACATGTGAAATGAACTAGACCAACCACATGTGAAATGAACTAGAACAATATCAACAGGAAGGTAGAGAGATAGAGAAAGGATAAGCGGTTATCAAGGCTCAGTAAGAGCAGTGGCTCACACCTGTAATCCCAGCACTTTGGGGAGGTCAAGGTGGGAGGATCGCTTGAGACCAGGAATTTGAGACCAGCCTGGACAACATAATGAGACTTTGTCTCTACAAAAAATAAAAAATAAATTAGCTGAGAATGGTGGCACACACCTGTAGTCCCAGCTGTTTGGGAGGCTGAGGCAGGAGGATCACTTGAGCCCAGGAGGCTGCAGTGAGCTGGGATCGCACCAGTGCACCCCAGCCTGGGTGACAGAGCAAGACCCTGTCTCAAAAAAAAAAAAAGGACTTGGTTGGGGAACACTCTCATTCTCTGGCATGGAATGGGGTGTTGCACAATTCTTTTTTCTTTTCTTTTCTTTTTTTTTTTTTGAGACGGAGTCTCACTCTGTCGCCCAGGCTGGAGTGCAGTGGCGTAATCTCGGCTCACTGCAAGCTCTGCCTCCTAGGTTCACACCATTCTCCTGCCTCAGCCTCCCGAGTAGCTGGGACTACAGGTGCCCGCCACCACACCTGGCCAATTTTTTTTTTTTTTTTGTATTTTTTTTTAGTAGAGACGGGGTTTCACCATGTTAGCCAGGATGGTCGCGATCTCTTGACATTGTGATCCGCCCACCTCAGCCTCCCAAAGTGCTGGGATCACAGGTGTGAACCACCGCGCTCGGCCTCACAATTCTTAAAAATAAAAAAATAAATTAGTAAGAGTGGGTTGCTGAGAGTTCAGAGCACCTGCCCAGCACTTCATGTGTCCTGTACTAGTTTAGCACTTGCCTGGTCTCTGGCCCCTAGGTACCTGGTCTCACTGGGCTGCATCAAACCCCTATGTGACTTGCTGACTGTAATGGATTCGAAGATTGTGCAAGTGGCCCTCAATGGACTGGAGAACATCCTGCGGCTTGGAGAGCAAGAGGGCAAGCGCAGTGGCTCAGGGGTCAATCCTTATTGTGGCCTCATAGAGGAAGCCTATGGTATGTGCCCTCTCCTCAATCTAGGTCAGAACCTGAGACTGTAGGCCTCCAACGTGGTATACATATGTTGGTGGTGGCGGAGTGTGGGTTGGGAAGCATCCATAGCTTCCATGAGACTGATGTCTGTGTCTTCAGAACAGTTAAGAGCTCCTGCCCTAGCCAAGTTTCACCATCCACAGGGTTTCACACGTTACCATGAGTATAATCAGGATGTGCTGAGTAGCTGGGGTACAGCTAGGATTTGGATTTGGCTCATCTTTTGAGTTGAGAGTTGTCTCTCACCAGTTTCTTCTCCTTCTAAGGAGTGATAGGTCAGTTCTCTTTCTGATAGGCTGTACCTATAAGAGTGCTGGATTAACTCATCACTCATCCCTGAGAGGCTGATGATGTGCCCAGGTCATGCTTCTAGTTTAAAGCAGAATCAGGACTAGAACCTCTGTAACTGACATTTTGGTCTCTTTCCTTTGGGATTCTGTAGTTTTGAGAAGAAATCTTAACTCTCCCCTTTCAGGTCCAAGAGTGATCTGATCATATGACTTGTGTTTGTAAGCACTAACATACCTCAGGGAAGGAAAAATAGGTAAATGTTTCACCTGCCCATAGAAAAGCACTCACACTTCCCTCTCCTTCCTTCTTACTACTGTAGGCTTGGATAAAATTGAGTTTCTCCAGAGCCACGAGAACCAGGAGATCTACCAGAAGGCCTTCGACCTCATTGAGCACTACTTTGGTGTAGAAGACGATGATAGCAGCCTGGCTCCCCAAGTCGATGAAACGCAACAGCAGTTCATCTTCCAGCAGCCTGAGGCCCCCATGGAGGGCTTCCAGCTATAATATCTGCCTCCAGGGAGGGGAGGGGATGGGAAGCACCACCAGCCAGCGGAAGAGCAGCCCTCTGGTGGGCGGGAAACCAGTGTCCCCACCATCAGCCACCACACACCTCTGCTGCCCTGGAGACTGTGCTCTTGACCTGCTCCGCCCCCTTCCCTGGAGGGAGCACCCTCTGGACAGACAGAACCATCTGAGGCTCACCTTTGGGTTTTGTGACAAGAAGGGGACGTGTTGGGTTTTTCTTCCTTACACTATATTTTGGCTGCACACATGTCTTTAACCCAGGAGCCCAGGGGTAGACAAAGGAGGACTAAGGTAATCAATTTGCACCTTTTTTTATTTTTATTTTTTTTCTTTTTTTCTTCAGTGGTGACTTCCTTCCCTTTATCTTTTTTCATTCTTCCCGGTCCTCTGCCCTGATCTGTGTAACTCTTATCTTGGGTACTTGAGCAGACGGTATATTCCAGAGGTGGGAGGTGGGAGGGGAAGGGAGAAATCCAAAACAAAGTGTTCTTGCTCTGACAGAATATTAATCTTGTACGCTTGGATTGAGTTATTTAATTTTTTTTTCTTTTGCACATTTTTCTTGTATTAAGATTGCTCTTCCCAAGAGCCACAAGTTCCTGGTTTTAGTAAACCCAGCTGCCTGCATTGCCTGGGACTAGAGGCTGGGGAGGCTACCATGAAACAAAGGTCCCTCCCTCCCTCTGACTCTTTGCCCAGACCTCTTTAGTTTGGGGGATCCTCCTCACTCTCCTGAAGTGTCTCAAGTATACCAGTGGGAGTGCAGGGGAGGAGCACAGGCCTTCAGATGGGGCTTCCCACGTGTAGCTACTGATCCCATATTTCCTACTCACCTTCCAAATGGTGCGACCCAACTTCATTTGTTTACTTGAAAATTCCCCCTCGAGGTTGAGAGAACCTCTGAGGTGGCTGTATTTTCTCCTAAGCTTGAGATAGGGGGCTGTGGTCCTTCCTTTCTCCTGAGGAGAAAGTCCTTGCTCTGGTGACCTGTAAGTTGCAGAGGAGGGTGGAGTGAGAGTGTCATGTATTGGGATAGTCAGGGATCCCTGCCTTTGGCCTTTCTTCTTCTTCTTCTTCCTCTTCCATAGTTGGATCATGTATATTTTACTTCTAAAGGAGAGAATGTCAAAAAGTTCTGTATTTTTTTATATTCTATATATTAGGTAGGTCAATCTTAATTGGTCTCAAGAGGAAGAACTGTCTGTCATTTCGGTAAGTAGGATACTGTGAGGAAGACCAAAAAGAGATATGGATGCTTCCTCGCTCAGGAGGCCTGAGCTTGGTCCTTTTCCTCTCTGCTTGGATTCTGGACCACCACCTGGGACCAACCTTCAGCTCTGGAACCTTCATAAAGCAGGTCAGCGTGGCCTGATTGTCCCAGGACCTGAAGGGAGCAAGGATGGCCTCAGGGCCTGGTGAAGTCTGCTACTCTGTCCTTACTGCTGAACATCCTGCTTGTATCAGGAAACTCAGAAGCAGTTTGCCTTGTCAAATTCAATCTCAATGGCCATTGTCCACATAACTGATCACCCATGGCTGCCTCTCCTATTATCTATTATCACTGAAACTTAGTAGCCTGCTTTTTTTTTTTTTTTTTTTAGAGCTATTGCGTATCTTCCCTGTTTGGGATCCTTGTACCTGGTTTGGGTTTTCCCTTCCTTGTGACAATTATAATCCAGATGCCTCTTCTTTCTGTTTGAATTACGGTAGTGCATTGCCTTAGTGGCTTGCCTGTGCCTCTGGGTGGATTACATATGATAGTAAAGCCCACCTGTTTGGATGGGAGTAGAGGAAGTTGGTGTAGACCAGCTGTGGAGCTGAAGGCACAGTCTGCCCCACCCCCACCTCCCCACTGTGGTTAGTCAGAGGCATCCTGCTCCAAGCTCTGCTTTTCCTTCCTCTGAAACAATGCCATTCTTGCTTCTATTGCTACACATCTCCTTCTGGCTCAGGTGAAATCCATGCCCTTCTGCTTATAGACCTAAAGTTCAGGTACTTATTATTGGCCATTGATCTTGAATTTGCCCTCTCCTAGTGCTGCAGTCCCACTTCAAAGCCATTTTCTGAGGAGGATGGTTTAGGTCTGGCAATTGTCCTTGAAAAATCCCACCCATGTTGTACCACCTTGGTGAGTCATATGCCACTCATCAGCTTGGGAATGATGGCTGCCAACTCCCAATCTCCCAGGAAGGCAGGGGGCAGAATCTTTTTTTCACTTGGCCTGCTACCTCCATTAAAAAACCATTCTCTTACAGTTTAAAAAAAAAAAAAAAAAAAAAGCCTTCCCCTACCCAACCTCCGCCCATTGTTCTCTTCCAAAGGGCAATTTAGTAGGATCTACTTTGTACATCTCAAGTAAGAGTTAAGTCCCTGATACAGGGACCAGTTTCTTAGTGTAAGACATACACATCCTGCTTGTCCAGCTGTTCCTCCAAAATCTACTTTGGCTTCAGCTCCGGGTCCTGTACCAGATGGAAAATGTTTTTGGTGATCTGGCTGCTGCTTAAAGCCAGTTTTCCCTAAGAACTCCAAAGGCTAAAGTCTACTAGGGGCAGAGTGTGAGGATAGATTTCTAATCAGAGAAAAGTGGCCTCCAGGAGCTTTCATTTATGTCTTCTCCAGACCAGGTTTTCCTGTTATCTTCCTTTAATCCCCTTTCAACCAACAGGTGAAGTTCTTCCAGCCCACAGAGGTAGTAATATCATCTTTTCTATCTCCTCCTCTCCTTTGGCCATGTAATGAAGCAAAATATTATTTATTTAGCCCAGGCTTGAGAGCCACTGTTTGTGGACAGTCTTCATCTAGATTCCATACCCTGGCCTAGGCGAGGTAAGGCTCTCTGGTTATTGCCAGGATGGAGCCCCTCTACCCCAGTCTGCTGTAGGGAATACCCTAATTAGTTGAGGCATGCTTTTGGAATCCTGGCATGTTGGCATATGGCTGGTCTATCCTTTTTAAGATCTCTGGTTGGGGGTATCTGGATATGGATTAGGAGGGACAAGGAGCCTTTTTCTTGGCTAATGTTTTCCAATACTTTTTTGAATGGTGCCAGCCCCTCCAGGCATCCCACCCCCAAATCATCATCTTTAGTACTAACAGGGTGTCTGGTCTTAGAAGCCTCCCTTCAGATCCCAGCTGACCCTGGTGACTGCCTGGCCTTGATGTTGGCTGCAGCCTTCTGATAGAACCACATGGATTCCACCCACAGCTGGCCAGGCTTGTTACATGGGTCAGGGAATACAAATGGCCCCCCCCCAGGGAGCAGGTGTTGGCCTCAGTTTTCAGGGACCCTTGGTGTTGCTCCTTACCTAGAGCCCATTAATCTACCCCATCAACTCTCTGCCATGAAAGCCATCTTCCAGGAGCCCTGTTTTTTGGAGCTGAACTGCACAGATTATAGCTGCTATTGTACTTAAATAAGGGAGAGGAAAAGAAGGTTCTCAGGCACAGACTTTCTATTTTTCTCAAGCCAAACCAGTTTAAAATGTCTAGCAGAATGAACTGTATTTCCATTTCTTCATGTCTACCTGCCTTCCCCCCACACCCTAAAGTTGTACTTGTTTCTAGCAAACTAGAAGGAAAAGATAGGAAAGCCTGGCACTACTAACCTCACCTCTCATACACCTCTTTGAAGGCCCCAGCTCTTTTGTTCAGGCCTCTCTTCTCCCCTAGACTCACTCAGCTTGGTATCCATCATCTTGAGCATTCTTCAGTAGATTCATCTAGGGTTCAGATTCCAGACTCTCAGCTGAAGACAGGGAGCCAATTTCCCCCAGGTCCCTGCAGGTAATCCAGGGACCCCATAGGGAGAACAGGCTGACTGGGGCATTAGGAATGTTTGTACCTCTCTGCTTCCCTGGCAGCCTGGGGAAGGGTGCAGGGCTCAGTGCGCTAAACCATGGTAAACATCTTCAATAGAACTACCCTAGAATTTAGTGAGTGTGAGACTGAGATATTGCTCAGAATAAATTTATTCCATAGCCATTTAGGATTGCATGTTCTGGACCAACCTTGTCCAGTATGTTTTCTGTTTGAGCTTTTTCATTCTTTTGTTAAGCCAACAAGTTGAGAATTTGGCCCTGCTGGGATCCATGTAGTGGGCACTAGCTGCTCTTTGGCCAAGGCCTTCATAAATGATTCAGTCTCTCATTATCTGTCCTCTAGCCCCACACCCTGATTTAGACCGTGGCAAAGGAAGAACTTGAGGTCAAGACCAACCAAATCTGTGAATTAAAGCTGTTATTTTTTTCTCTGCAAGGGCGCTTTGCTTCAGGTCTGGGCTATGTGCAGAACCTAAGCAGGCTGTGAGAGTTAGAAGAGGCAGTATTACATGTTAGGCCCAGAACACCATGGGAAAAGGTTTATGTAGTGTATCTTAGTGGCCTGCCTAGCTGCCTCTGGGCCAGGCTGACTTCTGATGTCCACATTAGCTCGTACCTGAACCCTGTTGCTGAATGCCAGCCCTGTTCTCCTGTAACTATTATATACGCCATGGCCTGGGGGGCATTGAAGGAAGTAAGCTCTCAGAGATCCTAACACTGGCTGGGAACCTCTGACTCAGAGCATGTCTTTAAAGAGTCCACATCTGGCCAGGCGCGGTGGCACATGCCTGTAATCCCAGCACTTTGGGAGGCCGAGGCGGGTGGATCACGAGGTCAGGAGTTTGAGACCAGCCTGGCAACATAGTGAAACCCCATCTCTAATAAAAATACAAAAAATTAGCTGGGCGTGGTGGCAGGCGCCTGTAATCCCAGCTACTTGGGAGGCTGAGACAGGAGAATCACTTGAACCCAGGAGGCGGAGGTTGCAGTGAGCCAAGATCATGCCACTGCACTCCAGCTTGGGTGACAGTGCGAGACTCCATCTCAAAAAAAAAAAAAAAAAAAAAATCCACATCTTCAGCTGGGCGCGGTGGCTCATGCCTGTAATCCTAGCACTTTGGGAGGCTGAGGCGGGCAGATCACTTGAGGTTAGGGGTTCAAAACCAGCCTGACCAACATAGTAAAACCCCGTCCCTACAAAAATAAAAAAATAAAAAAAATAAGCCAGGTGTGGTGGTGGGCACCTGTGATCTCAGCTACGTGGGAGGCTGAGGCAGGAGAATCTCTTGAACCTAGGAGGCAGAGGTTGCAGTGAGCCAAGATTGTGCCAGCCTGGGCGACAGGGTGAGGCTCTTGTCTCAAAAAAAAAAGTCCACATCTTCATGAACCCTCAGACTCTGGAGTTGGGTGTCGGCTTTTTTAGCCAGCTTTTGTGGGAATTGCCTTTGACCTATTAAAGAAGGAAAGTGGGTAATGGAGTCCCAGCCACTCAAGAGACTGGATATCCCCCGAGAATGGCTTGGGTTACCAGCTATGGACCCTTGGAAGATGAATCTAATCCTTCTCACTGGTTTTTCTTTGCAAATTCATTTGCTTTTATTTTTCTAATAACAATAAACTCTATTTTCCATGTTCTCAGGGCCCCTGGGTAGACAGACACAGCTTGATTTCAGAGCAGACATAGGCGAAGAAAACATGGCATTGAGTGTGCTGAGTCCAGACAAATGTTATTTATATACACATCCAAATTTGAAGAGAAAATGTATTTCTTTAGGTTTCAAACACTGTAATAGATATAAAGCAAAAATAAAAACCTGTTGCAAAGTTCTAAATTGTCTTCTTTGGCTTGGAGTGACCCTAGACTGGATTTGGGGGAAGAGAATGAGGAGGTGTTTAAATTTGTAGCTTAACAGTGGAAATAAGAGTTGTACCAACCTGCACCTGCTCTAAAGTTTTTTTCATCGACTTTATTGAAATATAATTGACATACAATAAACTGTACATATTTAAAGTATATACACGTTGATAAATTGAAACACATATGCACCCATAAAACAACCACAAGATAGTGAATATATCTATGACCTTCATAAGCCGTAAGCTTCCCGCTTGAGAATCCCTCCTTTCTGCCCCACCTCCAGCAACCACTGATCTGTGGCTGTCACTGTAGTTTAGTTTGCATTTTCTAGAGTTTCTCTAAATGATTTTGACTTAGTTTCATCAGCACCACTCTACAGCCCTTTGAACCTTTTTTTTTTTTTTGAAACGGAGTTTTTTATTCTTGGCATCCAGGCTGGAGTACAATGGCGTGATCTCGGTTCACTGCAACCTCTGCCTCCTGGGTTCAAGCGATTCTCCTGCCTCAGCCTCCCAAATAGCTGGGATTACAGGTGCCCGCCACCACGCCCAGCTAATTTTTGTATTTTTAGTAGAGACGGGGTTTCACGTTGGCCAGGCTGGTCTTGAACTCTTGACCTCAGGTGATCCGCCTGCCTCCGCCTCCCAAAGTGCTGGGATTACAGGCATGAGCCATCGTGCCCAGCCTGAACCTCTTAAGATCAAATAGTTCACAGACTCCTCCCTTCAGTTTAGATAATTCCTAAAGCAGAGATTACAGACAAGCAGCCAGAAAGTTGATTGAACCCACAGGAAGGTTTTGCTTGGCAGAGCGTGTTTAAGTTTGAATTAGTTGCCAACATTTTTTTTTTAAATCAAATGTCTGTCTTGAAAAAGACTGTCCTGAAGTCTCCATTTTTAAAAAGAGGCCAAGCACTGTGGCTCATGCCTGTAATCCCAACCCTTTGGGAGGCCAAGGTAGGAGGATCACTTGAGGCCAGGAGTTCAAGACCAGCCTGGGCAGCAAAGTGAGATCTGTCTCTACAAAAAAATTTAAAAGTTAGCTGGCTGTGGTGGCACATACCTGTAATCCTAGCTACTTGGGAGGCTGGGGCAAGGGGATCACTTGAGTCCAGGTGGTCGAGTCTGCAGTGAGCTATTATGATCACTGCACTCCAGCCCCAGCAGCTGAGTAAAACCTGTCTAAAAAACAAAAATACAATCTGGCCCTACCCGGCCTGAGTTTCTGCTTGCTAACAATGTGCAAGAGCTGCTGTATTTTACTGCAATCACCACCTCTCCCTCACTCTGGCAGGTGCTAATATTGTTGCTATATATTGTTTATAGCAAAGGAGAAAGTAACTTGTTAACCTATGTTTCTGTCAATTATTCTTGCCTGTTCTCATTACCCAACTGGCCCCTCTAGGCTATTGTTGACCCTTCTACTACATCCTCTATCCCTCACCCCATGCATACATTTTTATGTTCTTTATCTCACCTAGAACACCCTTGTTATATGGAAATCTATCAAGGCCTGATTTATATGGTGCCTTCTCAAGAGATTTCCAGAATGCTTTTCTAGAAATAATCAGGGCCTTGGTTTCAGGACATCTAGATTCCAACCTTTCTGAGCCTCAGTTCCATCATTATACTAAAAATTGAATATCTCTTATCCAACATGCTTGGGACCAGAAGTGTTTCCAATTTGGGATTTTCTCAAATTTTACCGGTTGAGCTTCCCCAATCTGAAAATCTGAAATCCAACATGCACGGCTCTGAAGTCTTTCACTGAGCCTTTGGGGGAAATATTTAACATCCTAACAGCCCTAAACCAACGCTCAATTAGCACAACAGTTTACAATCTTCTCTACCCACAGCCTGATGCGAGGCTCTGGGACTAGACTATTTAGCCAACAGTTCTTGCAAAATTAACTGACTTATAAGTAAATAGTAATTTCAACACCTCACTGCTAATGCTGTAACAACTCTGCAGACCTAGGGAGCAAGTACGGTTTGCAGAGCACTGGGAAGGCTCTGAAGTGACCTTTGAACTGGGCCTCAAAAAATTTTGGGTTTGGCAAAAGTCAAATCTCTTAGGCTTCAAATTCCAGGCACAAGGATTGTTGGGTTTGATTTCATTATCCAGAAGCAATGGGGATACAGAATTGTGATCTCATGTGTAGGGAACTGTGGGGGTTTTTTCTACTTTAACCCCAGTGAGACTTTGTAGAGTGTGGGGTAGAGAAAAGGCTCATGAATATGCCTGAAGCCTAACTCAGCACCTTTCTGAGGAACTGACTGCCAAAATGGTAATGGAGAGGGGAAAATATGACCTACTTTCACAAGTTACCTTGACTGCCTCAGGGAAACCTGCTGTGGTAGTGTTTCTTCTGGGTGAAAGACCAGGTAATTACCTGGGTGCTGGTCTCAGACTTACCAGTTTTGAATCCCTGTTTTAACCACTCACTATCGATATGACCTTGGATAAGTTACCTAACCTTTCTCTTACTGTCCTTTTCCGTAAAATGGGGATAACAGATAGTAGTTATTTCTATGAGTGGTTATGAGAACCAAGCTATTAGATAGCGGGAAAGCACACAGTAAGCGTTCAAGGAACTGCTATTGTTATTAAAAGCCTCCTTTGGAAGAAGGACATTGAGGCCCAGAGAGAGAACAGAACGTCCAGCCACACAGCAAATCCGTGATGAAGTTGGGACTGGAGTATGGGTCTCCTGAGTCTCAGCCCAGGACTCTATCCCTCTTCCCGAGTCCTCGGAGTTCCCGGATGGAGTCACATTTGTTCACGGCCAGGGAGGAAGGTTTGATGGAGGCCTGCAGGAAACAACAGCCAGGCGCAAGGCTTTGGGAGTTGAAGCATAGCTTCTGCGAGATAGAAACAAGGTTGACATGGGCACTCGTGCAGAATGACGGGCTCCTTTTGGACTCCCAGGACTACAGTCCCTTATGCACCTTGGGATCTGCGGCTAGCCCCTGCGTAAAGAGGGACGCGTAGTCTTTTCCCTGCCCCGCCCTGCCGGGGCGCCCGCCTCCGAGGCCGCCCTCGCTTCGTCCTTCCCAGCAAGCTCCGCGCCGGCGCCGGCTATTGATTGGCTGAGGCGGGAGCAGGCGGCTGGCCGGCAGCAGTTACTCGGGGTTTCCGGTGCGAGGCCAGAGGTGGGGAAGCCATCGGACGTCGGCGGTGAGGTACGTGCAGCGGCGGCCGGTGGGCGAGACTATTTGAGAGTGTGCGGGCCGGGATGTTCTCGGCCTGTGGGGAAATCACGCCAACTCCCCGCGTGGGCCGGGGGCTGTCTGGGGATATGCGCATGCGCGGGCGTGCCTCGCGGCTTGAGGGCGCGCGGGGCGTGGGTGGCTGCGCGCGCGGGGGGCGCACGTGGGGCCTGAGGGGCGGGGGCGGTGCCGGGAGTCCCGCCACGTCAGTCTCCGGCCCTGAGCCAATCCCGCGCCCGGCCTGCCGCGAGGGGGCCGGTTGTGCCGGGAAGTGGCTCCAGGGAGAAGAGGCCTCTTCCCTCACCCGCTGTGGGAGCTGCGCCCCGAAAGCCTGCCCCGGCACGTCGGGCTCTCCTGACCCGCCAAGACCAGAGAGCCGTTGGCGCCCTCCGCCCGGGCCTGCCGGTCCGTTTATTTTAAGAAGCTTTGTGCGCCTGCTGTGGGGATTTCTGATCCAGGCTGCGAAGAATTTCGAAGTCTGGAAAATAGCAACTGTGTTTGTTTCTAAAGGATCTTCTCCTGACCCAGCATCGCTCATCACAATGAAGAACCAAGACAAAAAGAACGGGGCTGCCAAACAATCCAATCCAAAAAGCAGCCCAGGACAACCGGAAGCAGGACCCGAGGGAGCCCAGGAGCGGCCCAGCCAGGCGGCTCCTGCAGTAGAAGCAGAAGGTCCCGGCAGCAGCCAGGCTCCTCGGAAGCCGGAGGGTGTGTGCCAGCTCTGCGTTGCCAGCGGGCAGGGGGAGGAGCTGTGGGGTCGGCCTCGCTTCTGGACTTACAGGCCGAGGCCAGGTTGTCCGGGAGGAGGAGATGTAGAATGAGAGGACAGTGCTGGGGGCCGCGGTCCCCCCTGCGCTCTGGCGAGTTGGCGGAGCTGCCCCCTCTAAGCACAGGAACAGAGTTCTGGAGAGAAGCTCCGACGGGATTAAGTCAGGTGGCAGCCAAACGAGGCACCCAGTCAGGAAATCCAGGTCCCGTTAGAAACACCTCAGCCACCAGCAGCTAACTGCCCTTCCTGTTTGAGGCATTTCTAGAATGATCTGAATGGCAAGAAATGGTTTTGTGGGGGGGAAGGAGATGGACTAGAAGTTGCTCCGTGCCATCCCTGTGTGCTGATGCTTTACATACTTTTATGATCTAACAAATATGTTCGGGTGGTAGTGAGAAATAGTTGTGTCATTTTACAAGTAAACAGACTTAAAGAAGTTAGGCAACGATTACTATAATTTCTTGATTTAAAAGATGTTTCGAATCTAAATTCTGACAGGAACTAGATTTGCTGAATGATACTCCATTCTTGCTTCTCAGTTTCCATAAAAAAAAAAGTTAGGCAACATTTAACTCAAACTGATGAGTTTGGCTGGGCCTGAAAAATCCCAACCAGTGGTATAATCGTCTTCTTTCTCACTCTACCCCTCATCCTCTCCTGCTGTAGGGGCTCAAGCCAGAACGGCTCAGTCTGGGGCCCTTCGTGATGTCTCTGAGGAGCTGAGCCGCCAACTGGAAGACATACTGAGCACATACTGTGTGGACAATAACCAGGGGGGCCCCGGCGAGGATGGGGCACAGGGTGAGCCGGCTGAACCCGAAGATGCAGAGAAGTCCCGGACCTATGTGGCAAGGAATGGGGAGCCTGAACCAACTCCAGTAGTCAATGGAGAGAAGGAACCCTCCAAGGGGGATCCAAACACAGAAGAGATCCGGCAGAGTGACGAGGTCGGAGACCGAGACCATCGAAGGCCACAGGAGAAGAAAAAAGCCAAGGGTTTGGGTGAGCAGAGGGCGGCTCTTTGTGAAGCTGGTGAGGAGAGGGAGTTTGGACTTGACGTTCTCTGGGCCAGTCTGTTCTGCCAGGATTCAAAGGAAAACGGTACTTCTCAGAGCAGCAAGTCACTCTAGTCTAATCAAAGCCAGGGATGTGGGGGCCACGGCATAGAGAGATGCAGGAGTTACCAGCACAAAGCCTTCTGGGTTTTGGAGCAACTGGAGCTTGGCATGGGACCTGTTCTCTCTTTGAGAAAATGGAGACGGGAGGCTAGGGTAGGCTCCTGTGCCAGCCAGTACTACCTGCTGTGTGACCTTGGGTGTGTCCCTTCTCCTCTCTGGGTCTTAGTTTATATTTCTCTTTACAGTAAGAAAATTAGACTAGGCCAGAGTTGAAAACCCAAATATCTGCATAAGCTGGGCTGGCCATGGGGCCACCTGAAGATGGAGGCTTTACTGCTTCCTGATTAGTTGCTCTCAGCTAGCCAACTGAGAGCAGGCAAAACTACAGGCTGGGTGCAGTCAGGCTTTTTTTTTTTTTTTTTTTTTTTAAATAAAGAAAAGCCAGAAATCTAGAGTTATGTGAGAACTCTAGATTTTTTCATAGTTAGCAGCTAAAATGGTAAGAGCCAAACAAAACCCATCCGTGGGTTGGATTTGGCACACATGCCTGCGAATTGCAGTCTCCATGCTGATCTCTTGGGCCCTTCTGGGGAGGCAGAGGGAAGGCTCCCTGACTCAGTCACAGGCAATGGGGAATAGGCAGTGACAGTCATTTTACAGCAGGGTATGTATGTTTAAGAGTCTAGGCCGGGTGTGGTGGCTCACGCCTGTAATTGCAGCACTTTGGGAGGCCGAGGCGGGTGGATCACCTGAGGGTCAGGAGTTCGAGAACAGCCTGGCCAACATGATGAAATCCCGTCTCTACTAAAAATACAAAAATTAGCTGGACATGCTGGCACACGCCTGTAATCCCAGCTACTTGGGAGGCTGAGGCAGGAGAATGGCTTGAACCCGGGAGGCAGAGGTTGCAGTGAACTGAGATTGTGCCACTACATCCAGCCTGGGTGACAAGAGTGAAACTCTGTCTCAAAAAAAAAAAAAAAGAATCTAGAATCTAAGTCGAGTGTCATTATATCCATGTTTTATTCCTATTCCCTTTTCCCCTTATGTATCCTCTTACTTTAAAGAGGAACTTTAAAAAATCTTAGGGACGACTAGGCAGAGTGGCTCACACCTGTAACTCCAGCACTTTGGGAGGCCAAGGCAGGCAGATTATGAGGTCAGGAGTTCGAGACCAGCCTGGCCAACATGGTGAAACCCCAGTTCTACTAAAGATACAAAAAATCAGCCGGGCGTGGTGGCACGTGCCTATAATCCCAGATACTCGGGAGGCTGAGGCAGGAGAATCACTTGAACCCGTGAGGCAGAGTTTTCAGTGAGCTGAGATCATGCCATTGCACTCCAGCCTGGGTGACAGGGTGAGACTCCATCTCAAAAAAAGAAAAAGGAAAAAATCTTAACGTCACATACATGGAAAGTATCATCTTCTTCACCCCCCACCCCCAACTGAGATGGAGTCTTGCTCTGTCACCCAAGCTGGAGTGCACTGGCGCGATCTCAGCTCCCTGCAAGCTCCGCCTCCCGGGTTCACACCATTCTCCTGCCTCAGCCTCCCGAGTAGCTGGGACTACAGGCGCCTGCCACCATGCCCGGCTAATTTTTGTATTTTTTTAGTAGTGACAGGGTTTCACTGTGTTAGCCAGGATAGTCTCGATCTCCTGACCTCATGATCCGCCCACCTGGGCCTCCCAAAGTGCTGGGATTACAGGCGTGGGCCACCGTACCCTGCCTTTTTTTTTTTTTTTTTTTTTTGAGATGGAGCCTCGCTCTGTCCCTAGGTTGGAGTGCAGTGGCGCGATCTCGGCTCACTGCAAGCTCCACCTCCTGGGTTCACGCCATTCTCCTGCCTCAGCCTCCCGAGTAGCTGGGACTACAGGCTCCTGCTACCATGCCCGGCTAATTTTTTTGTATTTTTTTTAGTAGAGACGGGGTTTCACTGTGTTAGCCAGGATGGTTTTGATCTCCTGACCTCGTGATCCGCCCGCCTCAGCCTCCCAAAGTGCTGGGATTACAGGCGTAAGCCACTGTACCCTGCCTTTTTTTTTTAATTAATTAATTTTTTTAGACAGAGTCTCGCTCTGTCACCAAGCTGGAGTGCAGTGGCGCGATCTGGGCTCACTGCAACCTCCGCCTCCTGGGTTCAAGCGATTCTCCTACCTCAGCCTCCGGAGTAACTGGGACTACAGGCGCGTGCCACCACACCAAGCTAATTTTTTTGTGTATGTCTTTAGTAGAGATGGGGTTTCACCATGTTAGGATGGTCTCGATCTCTTGACCTCGTGATCCGCCTGCCTCGGCCTCCCAAAGTGCTGGGATTACAGGCATGAGCCACCTTGCCTGGCCGAAAGTATCTTCATTTTAAAGTTCACTGTTTGGCTACTCTGTTGACAAGAGTTTAGTATTTCTCAAGGAGGCTAAGATACCTATTCCTTTTTGGATCCTACCTCTATCAGGAGGGTGGGCCTTCCTTGCATTGAAACAGTATGAAACAGTAGCCCTGAATTCATAAGTGGGACACCTTTCTTCTATTGGTAGAGCAGGCAGTTTTTTTCTCCTGCCAATGGTGCCTACTAAGGAGATTTCACTAGGGTACAGTCGTTCATTTGATAAGCATTTGTTGAGCATATCCTCTGTGATGGTACTATGGACAGTACTGGGGCTATAGTGAGGGCAGGATTGAGTTGGTCCTTATGGCAAGGAAGGCAGCTAATCAACAAGCAAAATATAAAGTATGATGGGGAGGGCTGTCTTCAGCACTCATGAGTGTGAGCCCAGGCCTGGAGGGGACACCTGGAGAAGAGGGTGCATGTCTTTGCTCCTGTGCTTTTCAGGGAAGGAGATCACGTTGCTGATGCAGACATTGAATACTCTGAGTACCCCAGAGGAGAAGCTGGCTGCTCTGTGCAAGAAGTATGCTGAACTGGTCAGTTCCCCCCTCCGCGGGCACCTTCCCTGCGTTGGGAAAATCAGCATGCCACCTGGTGTAAGGTTGGGGGTGCAGAGTCAAGTAGGTGGCTTAATTCCTGTTCAGCTTTTCTCTGAACTATCTGTTAAATGGGGAATCACTTCCAGCCAGCCTCTTCAGGGCTGTGCAGCAAGAGGAGAAACTGCATATTCCTTGAAAGAAATTTCTCAAAGAATGATTCCAAGGTGGTAGAGCCCTTGTTCCTGGCCTGAGTCCAAGACACCTTGTGATCTTGATGCTTCTTCCTCAAATACAGATGCATAGAGCCATTATCACAGTTAATAAAACTAACACTAGTCACTTGATACTTTTTCCTTTTACTCCAGAGCAGTCTTCTTGTCACTGCCTCCTCATATTCCCCATGACATTGACTTTTAACAGAAACTAGACTAGCTGTCTTGTAGGATGCCCCCTTCTAGCTTTGTCATCTCTGTGGTATCATTTTACTTCTTTACCTCCTGGTACATGTAAGTGAAGTAGAAGTTAGCTCTAAAGCTTGATCCAATTCAGCTTCAACTTTTTGACAAGAATTCTTCATAAGTACTTCATGTTCCATCACAATAAATGCAAAGCATGCTCTTCCCACTTTGTTGTAACATTGTTCAGTGGGTTGGGGGTGGGGCAGCCAGATTCTTCCATCATCAGGTCCCTTGTCAGAATTTGAACTAACAGATTTATCCATTGATGGTCACAGCCTGTGTATGTATGTATGTATGTATGTATGTATGTATTTATTTATTTATTTATTTTTTGAGACGGGGTCTTGCTCTGTCGCCCAGGCTGGGGTGCAGTGGCACGATCTCGGCTCGCTGCAAGCTCCGCCTTCTGGGTTCATGCCATTCTCCTGCCTCAGCCTCCCGAGTAGCTGGGTCTACAGGCGCCCGCCACCATGCTAGGCTATTTTTTTTTTTTTTTTTTTTTTTAGTAGAGACGGGGTTTCACCGTGTTAGCCAGGATGGTCTCGATCTCTTGACCTCGTGATCCGCCCGCCTCGGCCTCCCAAAGTGCTGGGATTACAGGCTTGAGCCACCACGCCTGGCCTATTTATTTATTTATTCAGAGTCAGAGTCTCGCTCTGTCACCAGGCTGGAGTGCAGTGGCGCGATCTCGGCTCATTGCAACCTCCACCTCCCAGGTTCAAGCGAGTCTCCTGCCTCAGCCTCCCGAGTAGCTGGGATTACAGGTGCATGTCACCATGCCTGGCTAAATTTTGTATGTTTTAGTAGAGACAGAGTTTCAGTATGTTGGCCAGGATGGTCTTGATCTCTTGGCCTCGTGATCCGCCCGTCTCAGCCTCCCAAAGTGCTGGGATTACAGGTGTGAGCCACTGTGCCTGGCCTCTAAGTATTTATTTTAAAATTAATTCATTCCACACACATTTATTAATATTTTCCTGTAAGGAACTTTACTCATCTTTAAAATGGGGAATGTCATACCTGCCTAATGACATTCTTGTAAGGATTAAATAAAAGGTATAAGGAAGATAAGCACCCTTTTGGAGTGATCCAGCCAGGGGAAAATTGCTGATGCAAGAGAGGAAATGAGTTGCTAGAGTGGTGTTGTGAGTAGAGGAGGGGAGCTGAGGCCTGCCCAAGAAGGGGGCTTGGCTGTGGTAACCACATGGCTAGGTCTGTGTGACTGGAGGAGAGGACGGGGCAGGTGGACTGGTAGATGTGCAGCTTGTGCCCCTGATTCTCTAGTTTCTTCTGTGTTTTGAGATTTGATGAGAACGATGAAATAGTTGTCTGGAAGGAGAGGAGTGTGAATAGCATATGCATTGTATTGGGATTGCTGGTCTTCCTGAAATTGGTGGCCATGAATTTAAAGTGAGACTCTTCAAGTAGGGTTGTTATAGTACTGGTGTAAAGCAGGAAGGTGCTTTACTAGGGTTGCAGTACTACTGGGGAAGGGCCAAGAGAGTTGAGGGTGTAAGAAATCCAAGCCAGGTAATGTAGTTATTTTAAAGGAGAGTGGAAGGATGGTTGAGTCAATGGATTGGAGGTCCTATAGGGTAAGAGACTTTCTGAGGATCACAGATACTGATTGGAATGAGCTAAAAAGATAGGTGATGGTAGTCCTGGACTGGGATGCTGGAAATTGAGATAGTGGGTGTGCTCTCTGGTAGTGACAAAGTCTAGATCTGCGCTGTCCAAGATAAATTCGTCTCTAGCTAATTGACATGTGGCCAGTTTGAATTTGAACATGCTATAAATGTAAGATACACATCAGCTTTTGAAGACTTAAGCAAAAACAAAGAATATAAAACATCTTTTTGTGAGAGAGTGTCTCAGTCACCCAGGCTGGAGTGCAGTGGCGTGATGTCCTGCTTCCAGGTTCAAACGATTCTCCTGCCTCACAGCCTCCTGAGTAACTGAGATTACAGGCGCATGCCACCAAACTGGCTACTTTTTTGTATTTTTTTTTTAGTAGAAACGGTTTCACCATGTTGGCCAGGCTGGTCTTGAACTCCTGACCTCAAGTGATCTGCCTGCCTCAGCCTCCCAAAGTGCTGGGATTACAGGCATGAGCCACCACTCCCGGCCTCACTTTTTTACATTGATTCCGTGTTGAAATTGTAATGTTTTGGATATTAGGTTAAATACATATATTACTAAAATTAATTTCACCTGTTTTTTACTTTTTTAGTGCGGCCAGTAGAATATTTTTAATTACTTATGTGGTTTGCATTATATTTCTGTTGTACAGGCCTGGATAGGGTCATGGGAGGGGAACTGAGCTGGGGAAAGGAGTGGGTTTGTGGAAGAGGTGATGGACTGTGAGGCCAGGGAGTTAGAAGGATTATCTGTTGATACTGAAGTGGCCACAAATGAGAAAAGTAATTGTGTTGGGGAGAGCGCTGATGAACGCAGCGCTAACGTTTTGAAGGAATGCGAGGGAGCGATGGGGGTCTGTCTGTTAATAGGCACAAGGTACGGTAGCAGGTGGTCTCATCCTCGGGCATGAGTGTCCAGCAAGTTGGGGAAATGCAACAGCTTGAAGTGGCTCTAGTGGCCCAGAGTCAGAGCTGGAATAGGAATTGGCATCTGCTGGCTGTGTGGCCCCTGCTTGCCCTAGTGAGTTACCATTTCTCTGTCCCTACGGTGGAGCCTTTGGGGTTATTGTGAGTTCATGGGAGGAGCGTGTAAGCACCGGCACAGCATCAGCCCATGAGAGTGCTCCTGGCCTGAGAGGGTAAGGGTCAGGGCAGCTCAGGAGACCCTAGACCTGCATAGTGATCCCCCCACCAGGAAGGCCCCACAAGATGCTCACCTGCCCTCCCTATCCCTGTCCCCAGCTGGAGGAGCACCGGAATTCACAGAAGCAGATGAAGCTCCTACAGAAAAAGCAGAGCCAGCTGGTGCAAGAGAAGGACCACCTGCGCGGTGAGCACAGCAAGGCCGTCCTGGCCCGCAGCAAGCTTGAGAGCCTATGCCGTGAGCTGCAGCGGCACAACCGCTCCCTCAAGGTAGGCCTGGGCCCCCTGGAACAGGTGACTCTGGTTTCCTTGACTTCCACTTAATGTTTCTTTCATGGGCTTTCCTCTTAAAAAGTAGTGCAGGCTAGGGCCAGGCGCAGTGGCACACATAAGTGATTAAAAATCTTCTGGCCACTAAAAAACAGAAATTAATTTTAGTAATATACTTAACCCAATATCCAAAACATTACAATTTCAACATGAAATCAGTGTAAAAAAGCAAGGCTGGGTGTGGTGGCTCACACCTGTAATCCCAACACTTTGGGAGGCTGAGGTGGATGGATCACTTGAGGCCAGGAGTTTGAGACCAACCTGGTCAACGCAGTGAAACCCCATTCTACTAAAAATACAAAAATTAGCCGAGTGTGCTGGCAAATGCCTATAATCCCAGCTACTCAGGTGGCTCAGGCATGAGAATTGCTTGCACCTGGGAGGCTGAGGTTGCAGTGAGCCGAGATTGCATCACTGCATTACAGCCTGGGCAACAGAGTGAGACTCAGTGTCCAAAAAAAAAAAAAAGTAGTGCAGGCTTGTGGCATAGAAATACACTTTCTCAATAATGCCTTACGTTAAGAGAGTACTGCTTGTAATCATTTGACATGTATTAGATAAGGTGAAGGATAAAGTACTAAGAGAATCCATAATGCACTGGCGTTAGTATTTCTCAATGAAATGACAGTCCCCTGGTAAGCGGAGGCCTGGCTCTGACAAGCAGCTCTTGTCCCAGACGTTGGTCAGTCAGGAACCTGGGTCCTTCCCATGTTCTGCTGCTTCTATGGTGAGGTCAGTCTGTGGTTACACCAAGTTTAAATACAGCCTTTTAACTTTCTTTTTTATATGTAAAATCTTACATGTAGTTTTTAGAATGAAATTATTATACATGTACCATTTCATATCCTGTGCCTTTTTTTCACTTTACATAACATTTTTCCCTATCAGTATGTGTAGGGCTATCTTCTCATTATATGGATATATTATATCAGTGCCCTAGTTAAAGCATTTTGGGGGTTGTTTACAATTTTTCATTATTACATATAGAACTATAGTGAAAATTCTTGTTATATTTATCACTGGTCAGTTATATAGAACTTATCTGTAGGATAAGTCATGGAATTGAAATGGCTAGGTCACAGTATATGCAGATTTTTCATTTTAATAGATTTTGCTGGATTGCCTTCCAGTGAGGGGGCAGTGTGCCTTCCCCATCAAAAGTGTTGAGTGCCTAATTCTGCACAACTTTGCAAACCCTGGGTGTTACTAAATTTTAACAGCTTGGTCTCTGGGGGTACAGAGGGGACAAATGCACATTAATCTGAAATCTGGAAGAATAGGCCTTAGGAGATCCGACTTGCTTCAGAATGGCACTTAGCACTTACATGTGTGCATGTGTGCCTGCATTTTTTCTTCCTTTTTTTTTTTTTGGGGACGGAGTCTTGCTCTGTGGCCCATCGCCCAGGCTGGAGTGCAGTGGCGCGATCATAGCTCACCACAACCTCCGCCTCCCAGGTTCAAATGACTCCTCTGCCTCAGCCTCCCAAGCAGCTGGGACCACAGGTGCACACCATCACGCCGGCTAATTTTTGTATTTTAGTAGAAACGGGGTTTCACCATATTGGCCAGGCTGGTCTCAAACTCCTGACCTCGTGATCCGCCCACCTCAGCCTCCCAAAGTGCTGGGATTACAGGCGTGAGCCACCGCGCCTGCCATGTGCCTGCATTTTTCTAGGGGGAGAATCTCACTTGATGTCACCTGATATACAGAGGGGCCCATTGGAACCCGCATTGCACAACATCCTGGAGTCTGGCTACTCCACGCTTTGGGAGCAGGGAGGGCTGTTGGCAGAGACCATCTGTGGACTAGCTGGGGGACCCTTGTGAGGTAGCAGTGGATGATGGCTCTCGGGCTGACTTCTTTGCCCAGGAAGAAGGTGTGCAGCGGGCCCGGGAGGAGGAGGAGAAGCGCAAGGAGGTGACCTCGCACTTCCAGGTGACACTGAATGACATTCAGCTGCAGATGGAACAGCACAATGAGCGCAACTCCAAGCTGCGCCAAGAGAACATGGAGCTGGCTGAGAGGCTCAAGAAGCTGATTGAGCAGTATGAGCTGCGCGAGGAGGTAAGGGTATCACGGACAGCAGTCATGGCCCAGAAATTGTGAGGTTTTGAGTGTGTGCTAGGCACTGGGACAGTACCTTTTCAGGCTTCATCCCATTCTCCCTTTCTTCCTCCTCCTCCTCCTTGGGAGGAGAGTAATGTTATTCCTCATAGATAAAAAACAGGTGTGGAGAAGAGACTCACTTACAGCCACACAGCCCCAGGTCCACAGTGCCTTGTCCCAAATGACTGGGCCAGGCATCTTTTGGAATTAGAACTATCCACATTTTAGAATGGAGGTACATGTATGGACTGTGTGTTATATAGCACCCTCAGCAGGGCCTTGGGGAAGCCAGACACATTAATGTATTTATGCAGTAGAACTTCCAAATACTCACCTACATTATGGGCTTACAATGATGCAGGTCAAGTCTGGCTGCCAGCTTATGACAATTTCCATTTTCAGAACTTTGTAGAATTTGGAATTGCAGGGGAGGGGTGTACCTGTGATCAGTGATGGACTCCAGAGACTGTGTCCACTGATTCCTTGCTGCTCCTGCCACTCAAAAGGCAGAATTTATCAGGCTGGGCGTGGTGGCTCATGCCTGTAATCCCAACACTTTGGGAGGCCAAAGCGGGCGGATCACCTGAGGTCAGGAGTTCAAGACCAGCCTGGCCAACATGGTGAAACCCTGTCTCTACTAAAAATACAAAAAATTAGCCAGGTGTGGTGGTGCACGGCTGTAGTCCCAGCTACTCAGGAGGCTGAGGCAGGAGAATTGCTTGAACCCAGGAGGCAGAGGTTGCAATGAGCCAAGATTGTGCTACTGCACTCTAGCCTGGGTGATATACCGAGACTCCATCTCAAAAAAAAAAAAAAAAAAAAGCAGGATGTCACTCCCTTTGTCACTGCGTTGGCTGCCACCCCAGGCACTTGAATCTTTGGATCTTCCCTGCCAGTCACCTGGCTGTTCTGGGCGCGTTCTCATCATGAGAAGGGAGACCTGCAGCCCCCTTACAGGGCTGGCAGAGGACCTGCTCTGGATTAGGCCCTTTCCTAGCCCCTGGGGTGTGGCAGTGGGTGAGACCGGGAAGATCTGCCCTCTTAGGTTCATAGGCCAAAGTGATGATCGTGTGTGCAGGACCTAGAGGGCGCTCCCCTGACCCACCCCTTTCCTTGCCATACTTCATCCTCTGGGAACAAAGCTGCTTGTTTGGTTTGAGGGGAGTTGGTTTGGTTCTTATCCCTCAGCGCTGAGACATAGAGGCTTCCTGGGCCACTACAGTGAGACACGAACTTCAAGAATCTGAATACCCCCGTTTTCTCTCCCCGCCAAGGCAAAAAAGGACTTAGTACTACCTGTGGAGAAGGAGGTGCAGGACTACCAGGCCCTGCTGCTTTGCATTTACAGCCCTCCCCAGACAGACACAGGCACCCTCATCATACCCAAACTGGACTTACCTGCTAGGCACCTTCCCTTCCCCATCCAAAAAAATGGAGTTATTTTCCCTTATTTCAGCAAGTCCAGTTGATTTTACCTTTGAAGTAGCACCTGAGTCCTTCACCTTCTCTCCATCCCTTCTCTCTCACCTGACACAGGTCTGCAGCGCTCCTCTAGTAGGCAGGACAGCCATTCCTTGGGGATGCACATGTCTAGTCTTTGCCTAGATATGGCAAGTCTTTGCCAACTGAGCTAGGCTGTTATGTTCTTAGAGGCATTGTTTTTGCCCATTCTTCCCATTTACAAGAGAATCAGGGACACAGAAGTGAGGGCTTCCAGCCCCATAGGTGATCAATCCTGGGGTCAGAGATTTGAGTGTGTTTATTGCTTGCCTTCTTGGGAGCAGATTCCATCCATAAACCATGTGCTTACCAAGGTCTGACTCACTGGGAGAGAAACGACGTGAGGTTGGAAAGCTGACCTTCCAGAGACTTGGGGCCCATGTTGTGTGGTACACATGGGAGTCCATCATATCAGATTGAGATGGGGGGCTGGGCAAAGTGCCCTGGTCTGTGGCTGTGGGGCTACCCTGAGAAAGGGAGCGCCTGACAAGCCGACTGCTCCCACCATCTTTGTTGCAGCATATCGACAAAGTCTTCAAACACAAGGACCTACAACAGCAGCTGGTGGATGCCAAGCTCCAGCAGGCCCAGGAGATGCTAAAGGAGGCAGAAGAGCGGCACCAGCGGGAGAAGGATTTTGTGAGGCTCAGGCCCCAGGGTTGGGGTGGGGGTGGGAGGAGACAGGCTGGGCTCTGGCTCAGCTCATAGCCGGGTTATATGGGAGAAGTCTGGCCAGACCAGGCACAGATTCCTTGAGTACCAGTCTGAGAGCAGGAAGCCTCAGTGGGTCTGGTGCTTGTGGCTAAAAACCAAACATAGCCCCTGGGGGCTTCTGACAGGATCTGGGGTTCTGTCTTGGAAATAGCTCCTGAAAGAGGCAGTAGAGTCCCAGAGGATGTGTGAGCTGATGAAGCAGCAAGAGACCCACCTGAAGCAACAGGTGAGAGCATATAACCTGACCCTGTGCCTTCAAGTTTCCCTCACTGGGCCCCATCCTGGGGGTAGTGAAATGGGACCCTCATTCTAGGACTGGCTGTGTCCTGGCTGCTATGACGCCTTGGTTGAGCCTTTGTTCTCTCCGGACCTGCACAGTACCTATGTGGTGGTGACCAGGTAGTTAGGTGGGCTCAGAGGACTTCATTTGTAGCTCAGAAATGTATTGCTTTTGAGGAGGTAGGAACAGAAGAGTTTGAAAATCAACATAAAGGCAAAATAAAAGTCACCCTAAGTCTCCTACTTTCCAGGCTTAGCATTTTGGATTATATCCTTCCAAATATATAGCTTTGCTTTGTTTTAAGGAAAAATAGTATCTCAATAGAATTACTGGTCAGAGAGTCAAGGACGGGTCTGAGTGTGTTGACCAGAGTGCCTCCCAGAGAAACCCAGTCTTATCTGTGGGCTGCTTTCTCCCCACAGCTTGCCCTATACACAGAGAAGTTTGAGGAGTTCCAGAACACACTTTCCAAAAGCAGCGAGGTATTCACCACATTCAAGCAGGAGATGGAAAAGGTAACTGTGGTCCAGGCCAGGCATGGCTGCTGGGGCATAAGCTGCTTCATTCAAAATTGTTGGGCCTGCCTTCAGGAAGCTCCCATCTGGGGTGTCTCAAGGGCAGGGCTGTTAGGAAGGTTCACAGCCTTTCCCCTCTTGAGGCAGTATCAGTGGTATGTATACACTCCAGGTTGTCCCAGGGAATGGGGCAGTCTTTTCTGTTTGTTTGGTTTTTTTGGGGGGTTTGTTGTTGTTGTTGTTGTTGTTGTTGTTGTTTGAGATGGAGACTCACCTATTGCCCAGGCTGGAGTGCAGTGGCATGATCTCAGCTCATTGCAGCCTTTGCCCCCCGGGTTCAAGTGATTCTCCTGCCTCAGCCTCCTGACTAGCTGGAATTACAGGCGCGTGCCACCATGCCTGGCTAATTTTTTCTTTCTTTTTTTTTTGTATTTTTAGTAGAGACGGGGTTTCACCATGTTGGCCAGGCTGGTCTCGAACTCTTGGCCTCAAGTGATCTGCCCGCCTTGGCCTCCCAAAGTGCTGGGATTATAGGCGTGAGCCACCATGCCTGGCCCCTTACCATTCCTTGTTATTGGTGGTGGACACCTCTGACTTCCTGGTGGTGAGGTGGCACAGAGGGCATTGACTGCATCCTGTAATGCCTTGCGCCTTGGGATCAATCATTCCCCACCTTGGAGACACAGGTGCAGTCCCCACCTTGGAGACACAGACCTTGGAGAGGCCAGCTCTGACCATTTCCTTCTGTCTGTCACATAACCTAGATGACTAAGAAGATCAAGAAGCTGGAGAAAGAAACCACCATGTACCGGTCCCGGTGGGAGAGCAGCAACAAGGCCCTGCTTGAGATGGCTGAGGAGGTGGGCTGTCTGTGATCTGCAGCCAGGGTGGGGGTGTGCACTTAGCGCATATCAGGCCCTTTCCTGTATGTTCTACCCATCAGTGACACAGCTAGCATGAGGTAGAGGTGAGATTTGCACACAATGTCCAAGTCCAAAGTTAATGCTGTTCTCTCCCCATGGGAGGTGGTGAGCCCAGTGGTAGGTCTCCAGTGGGAGTGAAGGGAGCAAATGGAAGAAAGGAATAAAAGAGCAGAAAAAAACGGGTGCCAGTGATGTGCCTGGTTTACATGTAAAGCAGCCCAGGTAGTTTGTGATTTCACAGCTTGTAATGTAGAAGAAAGGAACTAACGATGGAGCAGCAACTGCAAGCCAGACCTTGCTGAAAGTTTTTGGGTTTTTTTTGTCTTTTTTGCTGCTGAATGTTTTTAGGTACGTTGTTCATTGAACCTTCTCTTGAGCTCTGAGGATGGTATTAGTAGTCCTGTTTTATAGATGAGACAGGCTCAAAAGTCAAGTCCTTTGCCAAGGTCACGTGGTAGATAAATGGAGGAATACGTTATCTCCAAGCCGTGCCCCTTTTCTGCACCATGCTGCCCCACCTGACAGCCTAGTCATGGCTTCAACTAGGACTGTTTCCTAGAGGGGGCCAGCTTTGGACTCGGTCTGCTCTCAGCCTTGTTAAAGTGTTTGCCGCCAAGTGGTGATGGTAAGTGGGAGGTTGATGGGGCACGGCACTGAAGGTCTCATTTCTTTCCCTAGAAAACAGTCCGGGATAAAGAACTGGAGGGCCTGCAGGTAAAAATCCAACGGCTGGAGAAGCTGTGCCGGGCACTGCAGACAGAGCGCAATGACCTGAACAAGAGGGTACAGGACCTGAGTGCTGGTGGCCAGGGCTCCCTCACTGACAGTGGCCCTGAGAGGAGGCCAGAGGGGCCTGGGGCTCAAGCACCCAGCTCCCCCAGGGTCACAGAAGCGCCTTGCTACCCAGGAGCACCGAGCACAGAAGCATCAGGCCAGACTGGGCCTCAAGAGCCCACCTCCGCCAGGGCCTAGAGAGCCTGGTGTTGGGTCATGCTGGGAAGGGAGCGGCAGCCCAGCCAGGCCTGGCCCATAAAAGGCTCCCATGCTGAGCAGCCCATTGCTGAAGCCAGGATGTTCTGACCTGGCTGGCATCTGGCACTTGCAATTTTGGATTTTGTGGGTCAGTTTTACGTACATAGGGCATTTTGCAAGGCCTTGCAAATGCATTTATACCTGTAAGTGTACAGTGGGCTTGCATTGGGGATGGGGGTGTGTACAGATGAAGTCAGTGGCTTGTCTGTGAGCTGAAGAGTCTTGAGAGGGGCTGTCATCTGTAGCTGCCATCACAGTGAGTTGGCAGAAGTGACTTGAGCATTTCTCTGTCTGATTTGAGGCTCAGACCCCTCCCTGCCCTTCAGAGCTCAAGACAAGTAATACACCCAGGTCTTGACTGCATTTGTCTTGTGAGCAGGGCTTGCTTGGTCAGCTCAGGCCCTCCTAGCTGCTCTGGAGGCTCCTTTGATTCTCTAGACCTGGAAAAGGTGTCCCTAGGCAGAGCCCTGGCAGGGCGCTCAGAGCTGGGGATTTCCTGCCTGGAACAAGGGACCTGGAGAATGTTTTTGCGTGGGATGATGTGCTGGTCAGGAGCCCCTTGGGCATCGCTTCCCCTGCCCTTTGGTAGTGCCAGGACCAGGCCAATGATGCTTCTCAGTAGCCTTATCATTCACAGGTGCCTCTCTAGCCTGCACAAATGATTGACAAGAGATCACCCAAAGGATTATTTCTGAAGGTGTTTTTTTCTTTATTTCTTTTTCTTTTTTTTTTTTTTTCTTTTTCTTTTTTTTTTGCACATGACAGTGTTTGTATTGAGGACCTTCCAAGGAAGAGGGATGCTGTAGCAGTGGTGCCTGGGTGCCTGGCCTCCAGTGTCCCACCTCCTTCACCACCCCACTTGGCTCCTTTGCCATCTTGATGCTGAGGTTTCCTGTTTGGTGAGATCAGGTTGTTTGTGGTAAAAGAAAGGAAAGGGCTTCTGATGGCTTTGCCACAAGCTTACCTGTGGGTTTCAGTCCTGAGAGGCCACCACCAGTTCCCATCAGCACTGTCTCCATGCAGCAGTTGCTGGGTCCCATGTCCAGCTGCCTCTTTGGCTTCATGGGTTTTTCTGCTTCCTGCCCCCACCCCCACATGTGCAATCCTCAAGATTTGTCCTGATTCTATTTCCTGGCACCTCCCTGCCTGTCCTTGGGGATTCTACTTCTTCCTGTGTGGGAGCCCATAGCTGTTGTCTAACAGGTAAGAAATGAAATTGAACTATTGACTGGGCCCCAGAAATCCATAAAATGGCTGCAGACAGTTGTTTCTGTGTCCTGTTCTACCCCCACTCCAGTACATAACTACTATGTACTGTGTAGAGCCATTCTATATGCTGAATGTTCTGCTGTTGCAAACTTGCCAGGGTATTAGCCAGTGTTTGTGCCAAGCAGTTTTCTGGGACAACAGAATGACTCAGACCAAGATGGATAGGATGGTTAGGGCTTTGCTTCTTGCTGTTTTTCTTTGAAGCTAGTTCATTGTCCTGCAGGTCCCTTCATCTTCCATACCTAGCCCACTCTTTTAGCCCTTACCTTAAATCTCTCAGATAAGTTGGTTCACAAAGAATGTTAAGTACTGAATCATGTGTGACTGAGACCAGAGATGGCAAATGAATGGCACACCATTTCTCCTTCTCCTGCCCCAGGGCAGGTACCACTGATCTGCATCAGAGTTGCCTGCTATTCTCTGGTGTATCCTTCACATCTAGGTGCCCTCAAGCAGCTGTGTGAGTGTTGAGATCTCTGCCATCTCTGGCTGAGATACTGCTGTCCTGTGAAGTGTTTCCCATGACCTTTTTCTTCCCCTTTGAATCCCTCTGTCTGGAGTAGTCCTTGCCTCTTCCTGCTCCAGTAGGGCCTTTTCCCTACCCCAGCCCCTGTGCCAGGCTAAGCTGGTACAAGAGCTGCCAACCTCACAGAGTGTTTGCTAGGCGAGAGAGGTGCAGGGAAGAGGCAGAGGTATGCACCTTCCCCCTTGAAGAGAGGGGAAAGGCCTACAGTGGCCCACATAATTGCCTGACTCACACTTCAGCTACCTCTTAATGCCTGTGGAGGGACTGGAGCTGCTGGATCCCAGTGTGGTGGTGTAGGAGGCCACAGTGAGCAGGTGGCCCCAGCTGGGTTTCCCAGGTCAGGAATGTGGGCCCCAGGCAAGGTGCAGCCTTTGCTCACAGCTCCATCCATGTCTAGACCTTCAGGCCAGTCTGCAGATGAGGTTCCCTACCTTTTTCTTCTCTTCATTGACCAAATCAACCAATCACTACAGCTGCTCTGCTTCTGCTTTCCAAAGTAGCCCAGGTCCTGGGCCAGATGCAGGGGAGGTGCCTATCCATGAGTGAAGGCCAGTGTCTTCCTCACCTGGGTGGGTCCCACACTTGTGACCTCAGTTTTAGGACCAAGATCTGTGTTGGTTTCTTAGATTGCTAGCTTTTCCTCCAGGGGACCACAGCAGGTGAAGCTCAAGAGCGCATGGCTCTGCTAATAGTAAATTGTTTTCAGGGCCTTGTCCAGCTGAGAGCTTCATGTCCACCAGATTCTGAGAGGTGTCAGCAGCACTTTTTTTTTTTATTTGTTGTTTGTTTTCCATGAGGTTATCGGACCATGGGCTGAGCTCAGGCACTTTCTGTAGGAGACTGTTATTTCTGTAAAGATGGTTATTTAACCCTCCTCCACCCCATCACGGTGGCCCTGAGGGCTGACCCGGAGGCCAGTGGAGCTGCCTGGTGTCCACGGGGGAGGGCCAAGGCCTGCTGAGCTGATTCTCCAGCTGCTGCCCCAGCCTTTCCGCCTTGCACAGCACAGAGGTGGTCACCCCAGGGACAGCCAGGCACCTGCTCCTCTTGCCCTTCCTGGGGGAAGGGAGCTGCCTTCTGTCCCTGTAACTGCTTTCCTTATGGCCCAGCCCGGCCACTCAGACTTGTTTGAAGCTGCACTGGCAGCTTTTTTGTCTCCTTTGGGTATTCACAACAGCCAGGGACTTGATTTTGATGTATTTTAAACCACATTAAATAAAGAGTCTGTTGCCTTACTTGTTTCTCTCCTGACCTGTGTATTCCTTTGTTTCTGGATCTGATCCATTCAGCCCCTTCCATCATCACTGACTTGTTCAGGTCTGCTGCAGAGCGCCCATGGTGGTTCCCTGGTATCTTACATATTCCACAGTGTCTTTGAGCAGTCGCCACAGCCTCAGGATGCTGGCATATTCACTTGAGCTGCCTGAGTGGAGCCCTTGGCAAAGTTGGCAAGACCCTTGCCTCAGAGAGGATCACACACACACAAAAAAGTTTTCCCTGACCTGGGGGCTCACAGGCTAGTGAAGGGAAAAGGTACTTTTAGCTATAGACAGGTCAATGGTGCTGAGAGCAGAGAGGAGGCCCCTGCCCCCTTCAGCAAGGTGAGGGGGTGATACCTGGAATGGCCTTCTGAACCACAGGGCAGGTAGAAGATGAACGTCATTTAGTGATTAAATGGTACAGCTGGGAAGCAGGTCCATGGGACTGGGAGAGGGGGTGAGGCTGGGCCCAGAGTCTGGGTACCAGGTTAAGGAATGTGGGCTAGATCCAGAGGGCAGGGGGGGCAACTGAAGGTGTTTCAATAGGAAATTGATAGGCTCCAGCAGTAAGGCAAAAGGCATGGAGCCAGGCATAGGCCATTTGAGGCCCAGGTTAAGAGGGGTGGACACTCATCACTGCTATTTGGGTCTGAGCTGTGGGTAGGCTCCTATAGCCCTGGCCTGCCCAAGGGAATTCACAGGGGCCTCTAATTGTATGCATTCCTTAAGGAGAGCACATTCTCTGTTCAGTTTTTACACCCCCCATTTACCCACCTCAAGCATGGGACTCCTATATGGGAGACATGCTGCTGGTGGCCTCACCCAGCACCCTGTTCTCTCTGGGTCCTGGGTTGGTCAGGCACAAAGGATGATATGTGCTGAATGCCCAGGAAATGGCAGAGACAACCCACCTGCCCTTCCCTCCAGGCCTCCACAAATAGATGTGCCCACAATGACTGTGACAGTCCCAGCAGAGCCTCTGACCCTTCTAGCTGGGTCCTGATACATGTTTTCCATGCTGGCCATGTTATTTCTAGTCGCAGATCCTCTGGAGGGTGTGGGGGGGGTGCCGCCCCAACTCTTGGAGATTCCAAGCAAAGCAGCTCTGAGAATAATGAGGTTTCTGACCCCCCAGTGAAGCAGCTGAGGATGGGAACCACAGGGGTGCTCCCTCTGTCAGCAGCATTACCACTGTCTACTCTAGCAGCTCCGGTGGGGAAGGAGAGGGATTTCTGTTGTCCCCAGTCTGGGCCCCTGGTTATTGAAAAAGTTCGGAATTACTCTTTACCCTTGTGGAGTGTTCTGAGTGTTGGAAGTACCCAGGAAGAAGCCCTGAGCAGGTGCCCTCAGGAGCAGTGCCCATGGCTCCCCACATCAGCCAAGAGGCCCAACCCCAGGAAGCCACTCCTGCCCGGGGATGGGGAAGGTGGGCTGGGTGGCTGTGTGCACTGCCCTGGGCCAGCTCACTTGAGCCTGCTGAGCCGCCTGGCCAAACATGAGCCTCTCTCCTGTTGTATCAGATGCTGTTCTGGGGACCTGCGCCAGGAGCCTCTGCCAGGGCTTTAAATAGCTGCCCCCATTGATCTGGCTGCAGGCAGCAGCAGTCACACTGGGTCAGCCTCCATCAGGTGCTCAGGTTTCCCTGAGGACTGGAGTCAGGTGCCAGGGAATCGCGTGGTCTACCTTATGACCTGGTGCTCCCCACACCTGTCTCCTAGGCCTGGGGGGTGGGGAGGACTCCTGTCACTTCATCTGCGGCAAAATACAGCCCCCACCACTTACCAGAGAAAACTGTCTGGCATTGTAGAGAGAGGGGTTTTGCCCTCAAAAGACTGTTGCTTACTTTCAGTAGAATGGGGAATGACACTGGTATCTTCCTTAAGGGTTGTTATGGGGATGAAATGTATGTAAAGTGCTCAATAGGGCACTGGACTCACTCCATTGATGGCTGTCTTTGCTCGAAGTGTCTTCCTGATGCTGCTGCTGTTGCTGCTTGTGCTTCTTCTGTGCTTACATTCTCTCTCTCTCACTCACTCACTCTGTCTCTCCTCTCCCCCGCCCCACCCCCTTTCTGACAAAGCCACCACCATTTTGTAAGGAACTGTAGCTTCTCTCTGAAACTGCCGGGAAAGGGAAAATCTTTTTAAAATAGACATCACACAACCAACAGGGTCCCCTAGGTTCAGGCGGGGAGGTGAGGTCGAGTGAGAGGAACTGCTTAGCATACGCGGGGATGCTCCTCCCATCTCACCCCACCGCGCTAAGGAGAAGGTCACTTTCTCTTTAAATGCAAATGAACTCCCTCCAGCTTAGCTTTCACCCGGTGGTGTTCCCGGGAGGAGAGGGCGGAGGGCGGAGGGAACTTGCACCGAAGCATCACTCGAGACCCCAAACCTCCAGGTCAGTAGCCCCCTGAGGGAGTGAGGGCGGGGGCGGAATGACGCGGGTCTGACGCTCTGTCTTCGAGCGCGGCTGCGGAGCTGAGCGATGAGTTTGGCACATGGCTTTGGAGCCCGGGCTTGGGAAATAGATCCCCGGTCGCCCCAGCCGCTCCTGGGGAGCACAGGCTCCGGCTCCAGTTCTTCTATCAGGTCCCTAATTGGGTCAAGCTGCTGCACGGAGAGGCAGAGGATGCGCTCCTATCTCCCCTCCCCACACCCGCAGACCCCGTCAGTGGCAGCCAGCTATGTGTCAGTGTAAATGCTTAAGCGCCACCCACCCCCCCAACCCCCCCAGTCCCAGAATTCGAAGTTAGGCTCGGTAGCAGCAGCCTGGAATGAGACCCCCAGAGGAGGGAACCCCAGCCGACCGGAGGCTTGGGGGGCGCTGCTGGACCGGGGACCTCGGAGCAGCCCAGCCACAGGCGCAGCCTTTGTCGGAGGCCCAGGCAGCCAGCGGCCAACCACCCAGTCCACCCTGGCTGCAGCTGAAGCCCAGCAGGGACTTTCCGACTGGGAAAAATGAAGCAGCTGAAAGCACACCCGCGGGACCTATAGGGAGTCCCTAATATTTTCGGTTGGGGGTGGGTGGAAGTGGAGGGATGCCGGTGTCTATGTGGGGGAAACCCACAATGAACCCTGCCCTGTATGCTGCGGCTTCTCCTACAATTACCCACACGCTGGGGCTTTCCCAGGCGCCCCTACCTGCACCTTGTCCCCCTCCCATGCTGACAGGGTTTGTTAGCATCTGCTTAGGCCCCTGATAAATAGAATAGGGTTTAGTTAAGACATCCCTAATCTTCGGCTGGGCTTCTGCAGCTCACCTCCGTCTTGTCTCCCACTACATTTCCTCTGCCAGCCCCGCCCCCCAGCCACCGTGACAGGAAGCCCCAGTAGCGCCAAGATAGTTGTGACTGGTCCCACCCTTTCAGGAGGGGCCTAGGTTTTCAGGCAGAAGGGGAATTAGGTTGGGCCTTAGAAGGTCCTTCAAGTGTACATCCACGATCCCAGCAGCAGACACTGGCATCTGGCTCTGCCCCTACCGTATAGATGAGGTGACAAGCTGGAAGGTCCCAGGGCCCTTCCTTGGTGCAGCTCTCAGGGATTTCTGGGTGAAGGGCTAACTTTGCCCCTGGCTATCTTTGTGGGGTTGCTTCCCTCCTAGGCCTGAGGCCCAGCCAGCGCCCAATGGATGACAAAAAGAAGAAACGGAGTCCCAAGCCCTGCCTGGCCCAGCCAGCCCAGGCCCCAGGCACACTACGGAGGGTCCCTGTGCCTACCAGCCACAGCGGCTCCTTGGCCCTAGGACTTCCTCATCTGCCATCCCCCAAGCAGCGGGCCAAGTTCAAGAGGTGGGTACAGAAGGGAAGGAAAGGAGGAGGGACCCCAACTCTGGGTTGCACTGTAGAGAGGAAGGCAAGGGGGGCCTCCGCCTTTAGTTCCTAAGCAATAATTGATGCCTTTCTGGAGCAGACCCCTGAGAACTCAGAGCTCACTCAGACCCAGTCCCTACCCTCAACTGTGTGGCAAAAAGGCCAGGTGGGTCACTGGGATCACATAGCGTGAGGATTCGCCTCAGAGGAGGGAGTGAGCAACTCTGCAAGAAAGTGAATGTTCCACGCTGAGAGGCTTACCTGGTATAAATATGGAAGAAAGCTATTACCTGAAAGGTTTCAGGAACCACAGGTGGTTTGGGGGCCCTGGAGTATCAGGGAACAGGAAATGGTGAGGAAATACCTGGGGGCACAATTTGAATTCTCTGTTGAATTTTTTTTATGATTGGGAGTTTGCATGCTGCCTTATAATGTGTCCATGTTTGTTCCCCACTAAATACAATGTATTCTTTCTCCAGTTGCTCCAGATAAGACCACTGTGTTTCCCCCTGGTTTTGCACACCACTTGCCTAAGGGGCATGAAGCTCAAGGCTGTGGGGAGAGTAGCAGGAAAGGCAACTGGGAAGGCAGGAGGGCCAGGCTGGCAGGGGCATTCAATTTTATCCTGAGAGCAGTGGAAATTTTAAGACAGTTTTTTTGGTTTATTGGTTTGGCTTTGTTTTCTATGTATTTTTGTTTTTGTTTAAAAGAGTTTTTAAATAGAAGAGGGTTGGCTGGGCATGGTGGCTCAGCCTATAATCCCAGCACTTGGGGACGCTGAGGCAGGCAGATCACCTGAGGTCAGAAGTTTGAGACCAGCTTGGTCAACATGGTGAAACCTCATCTCTGTTAAAAATACAAAAGTTAGCCAGGCGTGATGGTGGGTGCCTATAATCCCAGCAACTTGGGAGGCTGAGGCACAAGAATCACTTGAACCTGGAAGGCAGAGGTTGCAGTGAACCGAGATTGTGCCACTGCACTCCAGCCTGTGTGACAGTGAGACTCTGTCTCAAACAAAAAAAAAATTTTTTTTTTAATTAAAAAAAAAGAAGAGGGCTAGGGGCAGTGGCTCAGGCCTGTAATCCTAGCACTGTGGAAGGCCAAGACAGGCAGATGACCTGAGGTCAGGAGTTCAAGACCAGCCTGGCCAACACGGTGAAACCCCAACTCTACTAAAAGTAAAAAAAATTAGCAGGGCATAGTGGCAGGCGCCCATAATGCCAGCAACTTGGGAGGCTGAGGCAAGAGAATCACTTGAACCCAGGAGGCGAGGTTGCAGTGAGCCGAGATCACACCACTGCACTCCAGCCTGGGCAACAGAGCGAGACTCTGTCTCAAAAAACAAAAAAAAAGAAGAGGGGCAGAAAGATATTTTGGGAGGAGGTAAGACAGCCCTGGTGGCAATAAGGGAGTAGCTGTCTCTATATACGCTGAAGACTAGGGAGGATAAGTGACTCATTCAGGGTCATAAAACAAATGAGTGAGGCACTCAGACAGGAACCCAGGGACCCCCTTTCAGGCACTGCTCTGGCTGTGTTATTAGCAGAAAAGACTTCTTTTTGACCTCTTCACGCCTCCTCACCCCTTCCCAGTGCCCAAGGGGAACCATAAAGTTACCCATTTATGCTAGTAAGTAGATGGGCAGATGAGTTAGTGCAGATAGACAGATAAACTGGTGCATAGGCAGATGGCACAAAAGATCGGGAGGTGCCTGACTGCCCCCTACCCTGTGATCATGGTCATGTCCACCCCACCCAGAGTAGGCAAAGAGAAGTGCCGCCCAGTCCTGGCTGGAGGTGGAAGCGGCTCTGCAGGCACGCCCCTGCAGCACTCCTTCCTGACCGAGGTGACTGATGTCTATGAGATGGAGGGGGGACTCCTGAACCTGCTCAATGATTTCCACTCTGGCCGGCTGCAGGCCTTCGGTGAGTCCTGGGGGCTGGTTTCAGCGGGTGTGTGGATAGGGCTGTAGGGCCCAGTCCATGGGGCATGGCTGGGACCATGGTTCCAGGGTTCCAGGGTTCCAGGACTCTTTCCCAGGGTTCAGACAGGGGCTTCGTTCCAGGGAAGGAATGCTCCTTTGAGCAGCTGGAGCACGTTCGGGAGATGCAGGAGAAGCTAGCCCGGCTGCACTTCAGCCTGGATGTGTGTGGGGAGGAGGAGGACGATGAAGAGGAAGAGGATGGGGTCACTGAGGGGCTGCCAGAGGAGCAGAAGAAGACAATGGCTGACCGTAACCTGGACCAGCTGCTTAGCAATGTGGGTTCATGTCTGGGTGCTTTGGTTCCTGGGGGCATGAGGGGTGGAGAAGGTACATACTCCCAAAGCCATTCCTGGGCCCTGGGTGAAAAGGTGGGAGTGCATGGATCCAAGAGCTCTGGGCCCCTCAACCTCCCCAGAAGATAGCCCCCAGAGCATTGGGGATTTGGCCTGGTTCCCCTCCTAACAGAAGCCTCCCTTTTTCTCTTTGTTGGCAGCTGGAAGACCTCAGTAATTCTATGTATCCTTTCCAAGGAACCCGTCTATGTGTGTGTGTTCCTGAGAGGTCAGTTTCCTCCTCTCCAGCCCTCCAGGAGTATTCACACACAACCAACTTCCCCACCTCTTGCAGTCCTGTCAGATTTAGCCACAGACTGCCCAAACCCAGGTACAGGAATTTAGAATTTCCCCAAAATTAGAAGAAAAGTGGTTGTAGGGGATGTTTTACTACTGATCAAAATCTTTGTGAGTACTTTAGCTGACATCAATCATAGCAAAGCTTGTCCGATGTCCTCCTATCCTTTCAGCATTGAACAATTATTTTTACTAATTTACACTACCACCTCACCTGGTCCTCAGTCAGAAACAGCGCGAGTGCGCGCGCACACACCCCAGTGTGTCTGACCTGCACGATCTGGATGAAGAGAGAGGGGGTGAGAGAGGGCAGGCGGGGACTGCAACCTCAGTCCACAGACGGCCCGAGACCCTCGTCCCCGGCCCTTTGCACAGGTGAGGGAACTAAACCTGTGCAAGATGGGAGACCGGGGTGGGAGGAAGGACTGGTCCAAAGCGCCACGATCCTTGACGGGCACAGCCAGAAGCTGCACCTGGCCGAGAACGCCGAGCCTGAGGAGCAGTCCGCTGCGTAGGCGTCCCACGCAGGCCCACACTGCCCCTCTCATTCTCTTCAAACTGTGACTTTTTACAGACTCGGGCGGGTGTTCTGCGGCCCCCCAGGTGCTATGGGGGAGGGGGGCGTTGAATGGAATTAAACCAGAAAGAAAGCAAGCGGCTCCGTGTCCTGCTTCCCCTCCTTGCGCCTTTCCTCCCGGTCTCCGCGGAGACAGCCCTCGGTTATGGAGGTACCGCCTGCGGGATTGGAGTGCCCCTTGCGGCTGTGGGAGGGGCAGTCGGGGGCTGGGGGGACGCAGGTACGCCTGTCGCCAGGACGCCTCTACCCTGGACGGTAGGAGGTTGCCGTGGGAACGGCTGGGGCAAAGCCCACGCCCGCGCATGCTCAGGAGCGACGCCGACCAATGACGTACTTCGCAGGCGCGCGGGCGGGCCTGGCAGTTGGCGCCCATGGAGCCAGAGCTGCTGGTTCGGAAGGTGTCTGCATTGCAGGTGCGGGGGCGGGCGCGGGGTTCACAGGATTTTTCCTTTAGGGAAATCATGGGGTCTCGTACCTGGACCTCCCAGCGAGATGCTACCACGTTCAGTCCCCTAACTGCGCGCCAACCTCTGGAGATACCGGCTGTCCCCAACCGCGCTGAGGAAAGCTGGGACCCACGGACTCCCTGCCCTGCGCGTCCCCACTCCCACCACACGCTCGCGCCGGATCAGGGAAACGGGAAGAGCCTTAAGGCGAGGAGGGGCATCCAGTCTGGCATCGTCCCTCGAGCCCCCCGGAGCCCTAGCGCACAGCCCACCTATCCTTTCCCCGCCGTCAGGTCCCCTCTTGCATTCGCCGGGACGACCTCTTCAGGACAGTCCTCCGAGATGCCCCCTCTCTTACCGTGATAAGGGACTTCTTTCCTCTCGTTCTCCATACCAGGCCTGCGTCCGGGGCTTCTTGGTCCGACGCCAGTTCCAGAGCCTGCGAGCTGAGTATGAGGCGATTGTACGAGAGGTCGAGGGCGACCTGGGCACGCTTCAGTGGACCGAGGGCCGCATTCCCAGGCCGCGATTCCTCCCAGAGGTAGAACACACCTAGGAGAGAAGGGAAGGAGGGACTTGGGCAGGGTGGAACCCACCCTTCCCAGTGATAAGCTTTTCTCACTGGAAGAGGCAGTAGACTCACCTCCTCACACCCCACTCCTTAACCCTCACCAACTTGTCTGCTAGATCATGGTGCCCAGATACTTGGAAGGGTTTAGCCCTGGGGCTCTCACATCTCTCTTGTTTCTCAGAAGGCAAAATCCCATCAGACCTGGAAAGCAGGAGACAGGGTAGCAAATCCAGAGCAGGGGCTGTGGAACCACTTCCCATGTGAAGAGTCTGAGGGAGAGGCCACCTGGGAGGAGATGGTGCTGAAGAAGTCAGGAGAGAGCTCAGCAAATCAAGGAAGCCTCTGCAGAGATCACAGCTCCTGGCTTCAGATGAAGCAGAACAGGAAACCCAGCCAAGAGAAGACCAGAGACACGACAAGGATGGAGAATCCAGGTACCTCTCTGCAAAGATCAGGGCAAGCCCCTGACCCTCACTGTGCCTCAGCCTCCCATCTGAAGAGTGAAAGGCTTGCGCTAGATAAGCTGCATCCCTTTCCCGTCTTCCCTCTGCCGGGATAGGGCCACCACATGGTTGGGCAGTGCAGGGGAGGGAGTTTCCAAAGTCTAAGGCTAGGCCATTTCCCAGGGTCTGGTCCCTCAAGGTTTTCTCCTTCCTTTCTTCCCTCCTTCACAGAAGCCACAGATCAAAGACTGCCCCACAGCCAACCTCAGCTTCAAGAGCTTCAGTACCACCGCAGCCACTTGGCCATGGAATTGCTGTGGCTGCAACAGGCCATCAATAGCCGTAAGGAGGTAACACTAACCTGGAACTCTTTCTGAACATTTAGGGTCAAGGGTGGGGGTTAGGGAGAGACGACCTGCCATGCCCAAGCAGGCCTGCTTGGTACAATGTATGTTCTCTCCCCCAACAGTACCTACTTCTTAAACAAACACTGAGATCCCCAGAGGCGGGCCCGATCAGAGAGGAACCCCGCGTGTTCCTAGAACATGGGGAACAGGCCTGTGAGAGGGACCAGTCACAACCAAGCGCACCACTGGAGGACCAGTCCTACAGAGACAGGACCACTGGAGAGCTAGAACAGGAGGATGACTCCTGTCACAGGGTCAAATCACCCCACAGATCCCCAGGAAGTTTGGCCACTACACAAAAAAACATTGCTGGGGCTAAGTGCAGAGAACCATGCTACAGCAAGTCTGGACCACCGTCGTCTATACCATCAAACAGCCAGGCCTTGGGGGACAGGCTCACCAAAGGGCCAGACGATGGAAGACAGACCTTTGGAGGGACCTGCCTGCTGCAGATGAAAATCCTGGAGGACCAGACCCCCAGAGGTTTAAAACCTAGGAACCATTGTCCCAGGAAGTCCAGGACACAGCTGTCTGCACTCTATGAGGACTCAAATATTAAGGAGATGTCTCCCAGAAAACTAGACCACAAAGAGCCTGACTGCCGAACAGTCAGGACACAAGAGTTGGGCCTCTCAGAGGACCACATCATCTGGGATGGTACCTTGGGGGGGCCAGAGCATAGTGTCCTCGATCTCTGGAGGACTAAACCACCCAAAGGCCAGGCCCCCACTGATAGAAGCTCCAGAGATGGAACCTCCAATGAGCCTAGTCATGAAGGACAGAAAAAGCAGAGGACTATACCATGGAGATCAAAGTCACCTGAGATTCTGTCTTCTACAAAGGCAGGCTGTACAGGAGAGGAACAGTGGAGGGGCAGGCCATGGAAAACAGAACCACCTGGCTAGACCCTAGGAAGCCAGGAGAGGATCAGGTTCCAAAGGGGAATGCTATGAAAGGGCAGTGAGACAAGACCTCATCCTACCTCCCTGACCAGCTCTGGCTTCTGCTCCTGCCCCTGGCCATTGGTGACTAGTGGGGCCAAGAGAAGCTGGAGCAGAGAGCTGGCATGAGTATAGGGAAGGAGGAAGGACACATTTTCAATCCTCTGCCTGTAGCTCAATCCAAATTTGTGGATAAGGGGCCGGGTGCAGTGGCTCACACCTGTAATCCCAGCACTTTGGGAGGCCAAGGTGAGTGGATCACCTGAGGTCAGAAGTTTGAGACCAGCCTGACCAACATGGTGAAATGAAACCCCATCTCAACTAAAAATATAAAAATTAGCCAGGCGTGGTGGTGCATGCCTGTAGTCCCAGTTACTCGGGAGGCTGAGACAGGAGAATCGCTTGAACCCAGGAGATGGAGATTGCAGTAGGCCAAGATGATGCCACTGCACTCCAGCCTGGGCTACAGAGCGAGACACGGTCTCAAAAAACAAATGTGTGGCTAAGGAGTTACCTGGGGGAAGTAGAATGAGAGGTCTGTTGGGAATAAAGGTTTTTCTTAGATTCTGAGTCTGGCTGCTTTCATTTCTGCTTCTGGCCAGGACAGATTCTGGGCCCTGCCGTTCACTTCCTACTGGCATGGGGCATTGACCCCGGAGCCAGCTGGGAGCCATGGCCCAGGAAAAGATCTAGCCATCCTCCTTAGGGAACAGCTCCCAAAGCTGATCCCCAATTGAGCTCAGCCTTGTGCTTTAGAGTGGCAAGGAGGCTCTGGAGAGTAGGGTAACACCTATGTTTAAGTGTGATCTCCCCAGGGCAGATGGGATAAAACCCTGAATGCAGATAAATGCTCCTGCCACAGTCTCCCTCTGCCTTCCTGGGTGAGAGGGCAGGACTCCACCTCTGATTGGCAATGTTCCCAGCCCTTCCTTGGTTGCCTGGCAACAGGTCTGTTTCTCTGACTGAGGATACACTATGGCAGGTGGCAGTCCAGCAGCCAAGAGGGTAGTGGTGTACCGGAATGGGGACCCATTCTTCCCAGGCTCCCAGCTGGTGGTGACTCAACGCCGCTTCCCCACCATGGAGGCCTTCCTCTGCGAGGTGACATCAGCTGTGCAGGCCCCACTGGCTGTGCGTGCCCTCTACACACCTTGTCATGGCCACCCTGTCACCAACCTGGCAGACTTGAAGAACAGAGGGCAGTATGTGGCCGCTGGATTTGAACGATTCCACAAGCTCCAGTGAGTGGGCTGGGGCTGGTCAAACAGCCTAGCAAGGGAGGTAACGGCAAGAGCGTGTATTCAGTACCTACCATGTATGTACCAGCATGTTACTGGTACTTACTGAACTCTATGTAGGGGGGGTGGTTTTGCCTCCATTAGAAAGGGAAAACAGACAGAAAACCTGCCTAAAAGTACATAACAAATAGTTGAACTGAAATTCAAATAGAATTCTGTGTGTTACTAATGTTTATGCCCATCACAGCCAAGATCAGCCTGTGGGAAGACCACTCTCCCACAGGGTGAGCCCCTTTTTCCAAAAGCTCTTCTTGCTTGGACCCCCTATCACTGAACACTCTAAATCCACCCATCCATTCCTCCCCACTGTGCATAGGCATCCCAGACTCTCCCGTTAGGCTAGGGCCATCCTCTGTTGCAGGAGGAGACTGTCTCCCAGGGTGGGAGAAGAATTTGAGTACCTGAGTCTCTGACTCATGTCTGGCTTCCAGGTCCTACTCTTAGCTCTCAGCTGAGGTTGCTTACTATAATGTAAGGATCAAGAGGGAGTAAGTGGCTGGGCACGGTGGTTCACGCCTGTAATCCTAACACTTTGGGAGGCCAAGGCGGGTGGATCACCTGAGGTCAGGTGTTCGAGACCAGCCTGGCCAACATGGCGAAACTCTGTCTCTACTAAAAATACAAAAATTGGCCAGGCACGATGGCTCACACCTGTAATCCCGGCACTTTGGAAGGCCAAGGCGGGCAGATCACCTGAGGTCAGGAGCTCAAGACCAGCCTGACCAACATGGAGAAACCCCATCTCTACTAAAACTACAACATTAGCTGAGCGTAGTGGCGCATGTCTGTAATCCCAGCTGCTCGGGTGGCTGAGGCAGGAGAATCGCTTGAACCTGGAGGCAGAGGTTGCAGTGAGCCGAGATCGTGCCACTGCACTCCAGCCTGGGCAATAAGAGTGAAACTCCATCTAAAAAAAAAAAAAAAAAAAAAAATCAGCCAGGCCTGGTAGCACGTGCCTATAATCACAGCTACTCAGGAGGCTGAGGCAGAAGAATCGCTTGAACCCGTGAGGCGGAGGTTGCAGTGAGCTGAGATCGCACAACTGCACTCCAGCCTGGGGGACAGAGTGAGACTCTGTCTCAAAAAGAAAAAAAAAGAGAAAAAAAGAAAAAAAAGGCCAGAGGAGGGAAGCTAGGTAGACTTAGAATCTAGGCTTCATTCCTTGTGTGACTTTGGGCAAGTCACTTAATTTCTTGGAATCTCATACAAAATGGAGATAAAACGACCTATCTCATGAATGAGAATATTCTTGGGATACAGCAGGATGCATAATGCACTAGTTTCTAGTTTCTCTTGACTTTTTTTTTTTTTGAGACAGGGTCTTGCTCTGTCACCCAGGCCGGAGTGCAGTGCACTGGCGCGATCATGGCTCACTGCAGCCTCGAACTCCTGAGCTCACGCAATCCTCCTGCCTCAGCCTCCCAAGTAGCTGGGGCCACAGGTGCATGCCACCATGCCTGGCTAATTTTTTTGTTTTTTGGTAGCAATGAGGTTGCCCAGGCTGGTCTCAAACTCCTGGGCTCAAGTGATCCTCCTGCCTCAGCCTCCCAAAGAGCTGGGATTACAGGCGTGAGCTGCCATGCCCAGCCTTCTTGACCTTTAATCTCATGGTTAGTACTGAGACCCCAGTCTGGATTTCCAGACTTACTCAGCACTTACCCAGACAGCACTTGAGCACTCAAGGGGTCCTAGGGCAGGTTCAGCTGCCAATATCTTGTTTCTGGACTGAGATGATTGCCACTATTCCATGGGGAGGGATATCTGGTGAGCTGCGCCCCAACCCAACACTGACATCTGCCAGGCTATTGAGGCCTCAGTCTCCACAAGATGACCTGTGATCTATCTGTCCTTTCAGCTATTTACCCCATAGAGGGAAGGACCCAGGTGGGAAGAGCTGCAGACTACAAGTGAGTCCCGGGGAACCTGTGCCCCAGCCCCTCTGTCTTCCCACTCCTCCTGGAACTGCCCCCAATTTGGTCTGGGAAGCCAGGGAAGCAGCAGGATCTGCCAGTTCCAGGGGGGTACTTTGGAGCCAGCTACTATCTTTCCTGGGGCGTGGGATTTCAAGACACTATTTCTTGCTTCTGTCGCAGCCTTTAACTCCACACTGGGGTCCCCAAAGGAAAGAGAAAGATGTGAAACACAGATTGGGGGAGGGGGTGGTTAGAATGTGACTTAGGGAACATCTAAGCACCGTTTGGTGAAAGGTGTAAACTGTCTTACTCCTCCTCGCCCCCTTCCTGCCCCAGTCTGGTTCCGGCCCCCTCACTCCACACCTTGGATGGGCCCACCCCTAACCAAAGGCCCCAACTCTCCTGATTTGGAGGCCTGACATGGGTTTCAGGGTCCTCCCGTGACTCGCCACTTGTGTGATGGGGCCATTGGACGGCAGCTGCCTGCAGGTGCTCCCAGCTATATCCAGTGAGTGCCAGTGTGAGGGAGCAGGGGTGTTGATGTTTGTTTTAGTAAGGCCAAGAAAATGGTGTTGGGTTTGTTCTAGGAGCCTCTGGTTACTGTTGGGAATGTAGAAGTCCAGCATGCTTGATGGGTGAAGAGAGACCAGTGTTATGGTTATTGCTGGCCCTGTGCCACCCTTCCCCTCACATGTAGGGACTCCTGGGGACACTCCCCCTTACCAGGCTTTTTGTCTCAGTGTGTTCAGGAATGGGGACCTGGTAAGTCCCCCATTTAGTCTGAAGCTGTCCCAGGCTGCCAGCCAGGACTGGGAAACTGTGTTGAAGCTCCTGACTGAGAAGGTCAAGTTGCAGAGTGGGGCTGTGTGCAAGTGAGTATGGGGACTGCGAGGGCCCAAAAGTCCCCAAAGAGAGCCTCGCCACTGGCTTCAGCTGTGGCTGAGGATGAAGAGGCAAAAGGAAAGCATGTTCCCCCACATGGGACTTCCCCCTATGCCACTGGGAGAGGGCCCTCTGCCCAGCCCTCAGAGGCAGGGTAGAGCCTGGGTGCCTAGAGGCCAGAGGGCACCTTGGAATAGCTGCACCCACCCCTTCAGTCTGCTGAATGTGAAGAAGCATCGAGTCTACCAGCCCTTATCCTCCTCACCTCTCTCTCCCAGACTCTGCACCCTAGAGGGGCTCCCACTGTCAGCAGGGAAGGAGCTGGTAACTGGCCATTACTATGTGGCTGTCGGAGAGGATGAGTTCAAGGACCTTCCCTATCTGGAGCTGCTGGTGCCCAGCCCCTCCCTGCCCAGGGGCTGCTGGTATGTATGTGGGAGGTGGAGCGGTAACAGGCCGGGCAGAGGAAGCCACCCTCTGGGTCTGTGTGCTTTGACTCTATGCCCTCTGCCCACTACAAGCCTTTCCTTTTGTCATTGTAGGCAACCTCCAGGCTCGAAGTCTAGGCCCCACAGGCAGGGGGTAGGTGACGCAGGGGACAATGAGGGGTGGGAAGAAGGGGAGTGACTGGCTGACAACTCTTCTGGCACAGGCTCTGACCTTATTTCACTGCATCCTCTCTTTTTTCTTTTTCTTTGAGACAGAGTCTTGCTCTGTAGTCCAGGCTGGAGTGCAGTGGCAGGATCTTGGCTCACTGCAACCTCCGCCTCCCAGGTCCCGGTTCAAGCAATTCTCCTGCCTCAGCCTCCTGAGTAGCTGGGATTATGGGCACGCTCCACCATATCCAGCTAATTTTGTATATTTTTAGTAGAGATGGGGTTTCACCATGTTGGCCAGGCTGGTCTTGAACTCCTGACCTTGTGATCTGCCCGCCTCAGCCTCCCAAAGTGCTGGGATTACAGGCGTGAGCCACCGTGCCCGGCCTCCTTTTTTCTTTTAAATATAGAGATGAGTCTCACGATATTGCGAAGGCTGGTCTTGAACTCCTGGGCTCAAGCAATCCTCCCACCTTGGCCTCCCAAAGTGCTGTGATTACACTATGCCCAGCCTGCATCCTCTTAATAATTTTTTTTTTTTTTTTTGAGACGGAGTTTCACTCTTGTTGCTCAGGCTGGAGTGCAATAGCACAATCTCAGCTCACTGCAACCTCCACCTTCTGGGTTCAAGTGATTCTCCTGCCTCAGCCTCCCGAGTAGCTGGGATTACAGGTATGTGCCACCACACCCGGCTAATTTTTTTTTTTTTTTTTTTTTTTGAGATGGAGTCTCGCTCTGTTGCCCAGGCTGGAATGCAGTGGCGCAATCTTGGCTCACTGCCAGCTCCGCCTCCCGGGTTCATGCCATTCTCCTGCCTCAGCCTCCCGAGCAGCTGGGACTACAGGCACCCACCACCATGCCCGGTTAATTTTTTTTGTATTTTTAGTAGAGACGGGGTTTCACCGTGTTAGCCAGGATGGTCTCGATCTCCTGACCTCGTGATCAGCCCACCTCAGCCTCCCAAAGTGCTGGGATTACAGGCGTGAGCCACCGCGCTCAGCCACACCCGGCTAATTTTTTTAATTTTTAGTAGAGACAGGGTTTCTCCATGTTGGTCAGGCTGGTCTCAAACTCCCTCAGGTGATCTGCCCACCTCAGCCTCCCAAAGTGCTGGGATTACAGTCGTGAGCCACCTCGCCTGGCCACTCTTAATAATCTTGTGAAAGAAAGATTATCCCCATTTTCCAGAGGTGGAAACTGAAGCTGAAAAGTGAAGTGGGCCTTGGGCACGATGGCTCACACGTGTAATCCCAGCACTTTGGGAGGCTGAGGAGAGTGAATTACCTGAGGTCAGGAGTTCAAGACCAGCCTGGCCAACATGGTAAAACCCCATCTCTACTAAAAGTACAAAAAAATTAGCTGGGCATGGTGGTGGGTGCTTGTAGTCCCAGCTACTTGGGAGGCTGAGGCAGGAGAATCACTTGAACCTGGGAGGCGGAGGTTGTGGTGAGCTGAGATCACACCACTGCACTCCAGCCTGGGTGAGAGAGTAAGACTCAAGTCTCAAAAAAAAAAAAAAAAAAAAAAAAAGTGAAGTGATTTGTTCAGGGTGACAGAGTTATTGAGTGGCAGGGGCCAGACCAGAATTCTCATCTGATTTGCAGGACTTAATACCTTCTTGCTAGGTTGGACGCTGGGAGAGAGAATTGGTATATTTGGCACAGCAGGGTCCAAGGGAACTTATATTATCCAGCTCTAAGCCCTCCCAAGAAATGAGCCAGTGAGCATGGGGCATGGTGGTGGGGGTGGGGAAGCACAGTCTGGTTTCACTGGGCATCGAGGAGTGCCAGGCATCTACTGCTCTGTCCCTGGATAAGTCAGGCTGGTGGGAAGAGGCAGCAAGGAGGGAGGACGTACTTTGTGAAGACAGACGGTGTCTCCTCTGCCATGTTCCTGCAGGCGTCAGGGGCTCTCTGAAGCCTGAACTGGGGAGTAGGAAAGGTAAGAATGGCCAGCAATCAGGGTCCAAGCCCAGTGTCCCTTCTCTAGGCCCAAGGCCACAGGGCCCAGGTAACCCAGCCCTCTCCAAAGGAACCAGACCGAATTAAGCCATCTGCTTTCTATGCCAGACCCCAGCAGACCATTCAGCCAAGAAGCAAGCTCCCCACACTCTCATTCCCATCAGGTGAGGGGTCCCTGGGGCTCAGGCCCTTCTCAGCTGCCCTTTGACAGTGACATAGGTTGGTCCCTGCTGTTGTTGGGGATGTCCATGGGAGCAGAATGCTCAGACACAAAGCCGGCACTGGAAAAAAAAAAAAAAGATAAAGGAGTCTGAACCTACTGTGGCTCAGGAGACTGCCCGTAAAAAAAAAAAAAGCTGGTACTGACCTCATCATAACTGTCTCCAGCTGCCCCCGTCTGTATATCCTGTCCCTTCTTCACAGGGCCTCATCACATGAAAAGAAGCACCTGGAAAGGGCAGTGCTTAAAGCGATAAGACTTCAGGGGTGGGATATAGAGGGGATGGGGGTGGGACCAAAGGCCCACCTCTCACTTCCTTGCCATCCTGGGAGGTGGTGGGGAATGCAGAACCAGGTTCAGGGGAGGGAAAGGGGCTAGCATGAAGGTCCAGGGCAGGAATGCTGAGGGCTCTTCAGCCTGGGCATCACCCAGTGCTGCCTCCCCTCTTTAGGAGTTATAGGAGTATATGGAGCTCCCCACCGAAGGAAGGAGACAGCGGGGGCCCTGGAAGTAGCAGATGATGAAGACACTCAGACAGAGGAGCCCTTGGATCAGGTAAGCTGTTGGATCAGGAAACAGTATGTTGGGGTGGGAGGAGCTCTGAGCTGGAAACTGGCAGCCTTGGGCCCCAGGAACAGTTCTCCTCCCTTGTGATTGAAAGTAAATGATCTCCTAACTTCCTACCTTGTTAAATGAGGAAGCAGTTCCTAATTTCCAGTTTCTTCCTTCCTTGGGGTTGGGGACCTCCTGGCTGAGAGCTGGAGGCTGGCCATACTCACGGCTCCATTCTGTATGGCCTTCCACCTCCTGCAGAGGGCAGCACAGATAGTGGAAGAGGCCTTGTCCCTGGAAAACCAGCCTGGGGCTGGGGCTGCTATCTCAGCCTCAGCCCCAGCTCTGCCATCTTGAGAGCCAGCAGCTCCAGAGGGCAACTGGGGACCACTACTCTGGCCACCTTTTGTCCTTAGCCTCCAGCAGCTTGTTCCTCAGGAGCCAGCACCTCCGCTGGGCTCACAGGGTACACTGCGGCCTCCTCAGCCCTCCCCGTTCTCCTGCTCCTAAACCCACAGCCCAGCCTTCCCTTCCTCTGAGCAGAGCAGCCCTGGCTGTGGGGGCTATTTCCTTATGGGATTCTCTGGCCAGAGAAAGGAGTAGCTGACTAAGCCTGGGAGAGGGTTTGTCACAATAAAAGAATACTTACTAACCTCTTGTCTGTTTACCATAGATTTATTGACAGCTACTACTCGCCAGGTGTGCTGGAGTCAGGTGGGGCTGGGGCTCACAGCTCTCTACCTGTTTAAGAGGGGCTGGCAGTGAGGATTTCTGCCTACCTCATGGGTGGGGCAGGCAAGGCTAATAGACAGCTCATTTCCTGCATCTGCCACTCCGACGCACCTTCTTCCCTCGGTTCCACCCCTCATTCAGCCAAAGCGCTCTGACTGAGTCCCAGAGGCCTCCCGTTTGCATTTCTGGCTCAAAGTCTGCAGCTGGCCCTTTCCATGCAGCTGGAGTTCTGCAGTCCATGGAACCTGCCACCATGATAGTCCAGATCAGGCCACAGTAATGGTGGCTGGGCTGGGAGCCTGAGATGTTAGCAGGAAGAGAGCTGCTGGGGCAGAAAGGTTGCTGAGGGTGAGCGTAGAGTCTCCTGTGCTAAATCCCCGCAGCTGAACAGCACTTGAAGGTTACAAAACTCTTTCACTCTTGTTCTCTTATTGTGATCCATGAGGTAGCTGTTATCCCCATAAGAGAGGAGGAAGCTAAGGCCAGAGAGGGGAAGTGCTAGGTCCATCCGCTCACTGCCAGCACTTCATGGCCCAGGGGCTTCCTGGAGGCAGCAGAGCTGGAAGTGGGTTCGGCCCACTCAAAGGGTAGACTGTTGCCCCTGGGTCTTACTCACTGAGCTTGTGATGCAGAGTGAAATTCCTATCACGGTGAGCACCATGCCAGCAACTGCTCCTGGGATAATAGGCAGAAATCAGGAGGGTCTGAGCTCAGCCATGCCAGTAGGAGCTGGTACAGGGCTGGAGGAAGGGCTCAGATGGGGTCTGGTCTTCAATCCCAAACCCCAGCCTCTGTCTTTCTCCAGACTGTCCAGGGGAAGGGAACTCTGATGGCCACAAGGAAGCAAAACAGCTGCAGAGGAAAGGGCAGGATGGGAAAAGGCCGTGTCCTCACCCACTCTGGGGAGATGGGTTCTGGGAAGGAACTAACACAGGTATGTCGAGATCCACAGAGCTGCGTCCCGCACTCGCAGTAGTCTAACTTACGTTTTCCACCAATATCTTCTCCAAGGGCCTTCCCAACAATCAGTGTGAAGATGATAGCCAGAGAGTTACAGATGGGCACAGCCAGGGTCAGATCTGGGTGGTCAGAATGAAAAGAATGCCTGAGATGCAACAAATGCCTTTCTAGGCACAAAACACTTCCATCATCATCATTTCATACCTTTAAAAAAGGTATCAAAACCCCATCTTCCAGATGAAGTCACAGCAAATCTCAGGACTCAAACCCACATCTCCTGACTCCACGTTCAGTGCTTCCCAGGATTCCAGCATGAAGACCTGAACTCTGAGGTCTGGGACCAGCCTGGTTTGATAATGAGAATGAGGTCTTTGCACTCAAAGAGAACTCGTGAGATCTCAAGGACATCTGGACGGACAGGCAGGCACCCAAATCCCAAAGGATGAGTAGAGAGTCAGGTAACACCAAGCACAGCCACCATTTATTAAGCACATACCATGGCCTAGGTGCTTTGTGTACATATCTCAGTTTTCACAACACTGCAAGAAGGGGATTATCACCATTTTGCGTAAAAGAAACAAAGGCTCAAAGAAGTCACATAAACTAAGGCAAGTTGAGGATTTAAACCAAGGCTTGCCTGACTCCAAAGCCTGCGCCGTTATTAAACTGTGGATATAGACAGAGCAGAACATCAGATGAAGCACATTTTGTTTCTGTTTCAGCCCAAGCTCAGGCCTTATGGAGTTAAAAATAAAAAGTGTCAGAAGGAAGGAGCAGGACCTGTTCAGGACATTGGGCTGGACCTGTGGTGTGGGTAGAGGGCATCATAGCCCAGGATCTGTTCCTTAATTTTGAAGTTCCAAGGGGCTGACTGCCAATAAGCAAACTTGAAAAAGAGTAATGGAGTTGGCTGGGTGCAGGGTGGCTCACGCCTGTAATCCCAGCACTTTGGGAGGCTGAGGCGGGCGGATCACCTGAGGTCAGGAGTTCAAGACCAGCTTGGCCAACATGGTGAAACCCCGTCTCTACTAAAAATACCAAAAATTAGCCAGGCATAGTGGCGGACGCCTGTAATCCCAGCTACTCAGGAGGCTGAGACAGGAGAATCGCTTGAACCCAGGAGGCAGAGGTTGCACTGAGCCAAGATCACACCACTGTACTCCAGCCTGAGAAACAAGAGTGAAACTCTGTCTCAAAAAAAAAAGAAAAAGACTAATGGAGTTAACTTAAAATTTGTTGAGGGTAGATCTCCTGTTAAGTGTTCTTATCACATCAAAAAAAGAGCCACAGCCAGGCGCAGTGGCTCATGCCTGTAATCCCAACATTTTGGAAGGCTGAGACGGGCGGATCACCTGAGGTTGGGAGTTAGAGACCAGCGTGACCAACATGGAGAAACCCCGTCTCTACTGAAAATACAAAATTAGGCTGGGTGTGGTGGCTCACGCCTGTAATCCCAGCACTTTGGGAGGCCGAGGCGGGTGGATCATTTGAGGTCAGGAGTTCAAGACCAGCCTGGCCAACATTGTGAAACCCCGTCTCTACTAAAAATACAAAAATTAGCCAGGCATGGTGGTGCATGCCTGTAGTCCCAGCTACTTGGGAGGCCGAGGCAGGAGAATTGCTTGAACCTGGTAGGCAGAGGTTGCAGTGACCAGAGATTGCACCACTGCACTCCAGCCTGGGTGACACAGCAAGGCTCCATCTCAAAAAACAAAAACAAAAGAACAAAATTAGCCAGGCGTGGTGGCACATGCCCATAATCCCAGCTAGTGGGGAGGCTAAGGAAGGAGAGTCACTTGAACCTGGGAGGCGGAGGTTGCAGTGAGCCAAGATCGCACCATTGCACTCCAGCTTGGGCAACAAGAGCGAAATGCCGTCTCAAAAAAAAAAAAAAAAAGCACCACATACACATAAAAAAGACCAATGGACGAATCAGCTGAGTTATCCATGGTAACAAGACTCAACTGCAGACCAGATGTTCACACTGGCTCCTCAGCAAATTCTTTCCCAGCACTCCCAGGGCTCGCCTGTGTGAGGCAAAGGAGCAAACTGTCCTGCTCCTCATCCCCTGGGAGGCCCCAGCATGGAGGCATTACCCATCTAAGAAATTGATACAACCCCACTTACAAAGAGCTGCTTTCTTTTTTGGTTGTTTTTCGTTTTTGTTGTTGTTGTTTTGAGACAGGGTCTCTCTCTGTTGCTCAGGCTGGAGTGCAGTGGTGAGGTCAAGGCTCACTGCAGCCTCAACCTCCTGAGCTCAAGCGATCCTCCCACCTCAGCCTCCTGAGCAGCTAGGACTACAGGCACACACCACCAAGCCCAGTTAATTTTCGTATTTTTGTTGTTGTTGTTGCCTAGGGTGATCTCTAGGCTCAGGTTATCTGCCCACCTCAGCCTCCAAAAGTGCTGGAATTATAGGCCTGAGCCACTGTGCCCTGCCCAGAGCTGCCTTCTTAAGTTTACATACCTTACAAGGAGTGTCATGGCTGCTAAGGTCTGGTTTGCAACAGTAGATGGAAGAAGGATGCAGCACGGTGCAGTGGAAAGTGAGGGCATTGGAGTGAGGCAGATCTGAGTTTCCCTTGCAATCTTGGTTAGGATATTCAAACACTCAACCTGTTTCCCCGCATGTAAAATAGGGGTCACAGTATACCATTTCTTTTGTTGGGTTGTCGTAAGATGAACTGTGATAATGCATGGATAGTCCCTGGCTGAAGTGGATGCTTCATAAATAGTTATTACTGTTCTGGTTATTAGAAAGGATGGATATTAAAGGATACAGGCAGAAAGGGTAATGAGATAAAAAGAACCTAAAACTGCAATTTGATTAAAACTTGGTGAATGGCTACCTGTAGTCAGCTGGTCAAGGGTTCAGCATTCTTCCACAGCAGTGAATGCATGAGGCCAGAGGTTTTCAAACTCTTTAAATAAGTGCATATTATTTCTTTCTTTCTGTTTTTGAGACAGAGTCTCGCTCTGTTGCCCAGGGACTGGAGTGCAGTGGCATGATCTCAGCTCACTGCAACCTCCGCCTCCCAGGTTCAAGCCATTCTCGCGCCTCAGCCTCCCAAGTAGCTGGGACTACAGGCACACACCACCACACCCAACTAATTTTGTTATTTTTAGTAGAGACGGGGTTTCAGCATGTTGGCCAGACTGGTCTCGAACTCCTGACCTCAAATGATCTGCCCTCCTTGGCCTCCCAAAGTGCTGGGATTACAGGCGTGAGTCACCATGCCCAGTCGAGCATAAACTTTTAATATATGGCTTCAAATCCTTCTGCACTGACATCCTGTGGGACTTGAGAGGTGAAATTGCACAAAGTTTTGCAACTTCATTTTCTAAGATAATCATATCTGCTTTACAGAGTCATGATTGGAATTAAATAATGTGTAAGACTAGTGCAGTATCTGACGTAGTAGAGGGCAGTCACAAATGTCAAGAGAAAGGAAATTTATGTATATGGAGCTCTGACTGTGTGCCAGGCACTCTCCTAGATGTTTCCCATTCATTAAATTTAATCCTCACAATGCTATGAAGCCAACTATATAAAACCAAGGCTCAAATGGGTGACTTGCTCATGGTCAGGTAGGTAGCACACAGTGGAAGCAAGAATGTGAAAGCCAGCACTTGGCACAGCAAAATGAACCTTCCTTCTTCCTCCGCTGGTCACACATGACTGCCAGGCTTCAAACCAACTCCAGTGCCTAGCAACATACTCATAACCAGCACACTGTGCCCCTCTTGTTCAGAGAAGAGGATAGTAAGAGGGAACTAGAGCTAGTCAGCCCTCTCTCACTGATGGGAATGAGGTGTTTCAAGCTCCACCCCGCCCCCCCCAATCACTCTTCCAGGTGGCCTCAAACACTAAGCAGAACAGTTCCAAGCCAGGACCCACCTGTCGATGCCAAGGTGAGGTAATAGAGAAGGGATCCACACTGGTTGAGGAGAAAGGGCATCAGGTACTGGAAAGAGGAGAAACCTGCAGTCAGTGTGATGGCCTGACTGAGCAGCACTGCCTTCTTTGAGCTCCTAGCGAATGTCTTTCCTTGGAGGGAGGCAGGGTTATAAGGACCCAGAGAACACTAATCCCTCTAAGGAGGATCCTTCCAGGGCAAAGAGGGAAACAGACTGAAGTCTGTGCCTTTGCTCAAACTACCCTCTCCCTCACCTCTGCTAGTTCCCATCCTGCAAGGCCTTGAAGCCAATGTCAGCCCCTCCAGGAAGCCTTCCCCAAGTCCTCCAGCTCCAGCCTTCCTCCTCTGAACTCCTCCCCTGCAGGGCCAATTTGAGCCCCAAGCCCTCCCTCTGGAAAGGCTCACAAATGTTGCCTTATGTAACTGAAGGAATCACAATAAAATGTGAATAATGGCAGCCATAGATTGAGCACTTACTATGTTCTAGGCCTAATGCTAAGTGCTCTACGTATCTCACCTAATTCCTGCAACTGACCTATCAGATGGTTATTATTATAATCGCCATTTACAGATGATGAAACTGAGGCTCAAGGACAACTGACTTTTCCGAGAATTTCTAGTGAGTAAGTGGTGGGGCTGACCCAGACCTGTTTGACTCCAAAGACCAAATTCTTGGCGGCAACTCCACCGAGAGAGGGGCCTTTCACAGAGACGCACCTCAGTATTCAAGAAGAGGGTCTTCATCTCCTGTAGCAACTGCTGGGCCCAGGTCGGCTCATGAACCCGCTGCAGGCCGGCGGAGGCCCGCTTCAGCAGCGGCTGCGTGCCACCCCACAGAGCGGCCACCAGCACCAGAGCCAACACCTGCCCTGAATGCAGACGAGTGAGTCACCCTGACCCCCACCCCAAACGGCCGCCCACCCCGCCCTCTCCTGGCCTTCTAGCCCCAGCTAGCCGCCCCCACTTCCCTCCTTCGCTCTCTTCGCCTCGGCTGCGACTGGCGGCTAAGGCAGGCCCAGGGAAGCTAGGGAGATGAATCCAGGAGTCCGGCCTCTGGGGTTGTAGCAGGGGTCGGGGTTAGAGGGTGGATGTGGAGCAGGAAATGAATTCGAGGCGAGGGTCGGGAAATCCATGGAAGGGCGGGGCCGGCTACCTACCCAGAGACGCCGCCATGGCAACGCCGCTGTCTTCTACTTCCGGGAACGAAGGGGCGGAGACCCATAATCCGGAAGTGACCTCGAAACCTTTTCCGGTCTTACTCACGTTGCGGCCTTCCTCGCGTCACAGCCGGGATGGTGAGTTTCAGAGTTAGGGGTATTGCAGTGGGGGTCCTGGGCTGAGGCTGGGGCCCAATTCCGAGCACTGACGTTACTGTCTTGTCCCCACAGAAGCCGATCCTACTGCAGGGCCATGAGCGGTCCATTACGCAGATTAAGTATAACCGCGAAGGAGACCTCCTCTTTACTGTGGCCAAGGACCCTGTGAGTGTTGGCTGGAGGGGGTCCGGGAGGGGCGGGATCCTTCTGCCAGGACGATGGGTGGACACGCCAGTTTTGCCGTTAGCGGGGAACCAAAGAGCAGCCCATTGTGAGAAGTAGGGAGAGGCCATGCCGGGGGTAGGTTGGCGAAAGTATTCTACCGGGAAAGGTGGGGAAGAACTCTATTGGCCGAGTGCGGTGGCTCACGCCTGTAATCCCAGCACTTTGAGAGGCCGAGGTGGGAGGGTCGCTTGAGCCCAGGAGTTGGAGACCAGCCTGAGCAACGTAGTAAGACCCATCTCTACACACAAAAAAATTAGCCTGACATGGTGGCCTCGCGCCTGTGGTCTCAGCTACTTCGGAGTCTGAAACGAGAGGATCGCTTGAGCGCGGTGAGCTGAGATCGTGCCACTGCACTCCAAGAAAAGCAAGAGACCACTGTGGAAAGGGGATAAAGATGAGGGTCAGCTTGCCCAGAGAACGGGATGCGACCTTTAGGGATAATCTAATCTTTCTACCAGGATAGGTGCAGGCTGTGTTATTCAGACACAGGGAACTTAATGAGGGTGTCTCTAGTCTCATTTTAAGTCAATCCCATCCTGCTACTCAATGCCAAACAATCCCTCATGATACTGCCTTTTGAGGCACCTGGCCATTTTATTTTATTTTTTCTTGAGACGGAGTCTCGCTCTGTCGCCTAGGCTGGAGTGCAGTGGCGCGATCTCGACTCACTGCAACCTCTGCCTCCCAGGTTCAAGCGATTCTCCTGCCTCAACCTCCCTAGTAGCTGGGACTACAGGCTCGTGCCACCATGCCCAGCTAATTTTTTGTATCTTTAGTAGAGATGGGGTTTCACCATGTTGGACAGGCTTGTCTTGAACTCCTGACCTCAGGTGATCCGCCTGCCTCGGCCTCCCAAAGTGCTAGGATTACAGGCATGAGTCACCACACCCGGCCTGGCCATTTTCAAGATGAGAAAACTGAAGTTCAGAGGAGAGAAGCACTGTATTTGAGATCATATAGTGAGACAGTGGCAGAGCAGGCACCAGAACCCAGACTTCCTTACTACCAGCTGCTCCCACTTGGATAAGACATCAGAGATACTGTTTTTCTGGACTGGAGCTCAACTTGGCCTTTTATTCTTTGGAGCCGTTGGGAGTCCCAGGAGAGCTGGAGCTAACAAATGAGGATGCCTTTACAAGCCGCCTGACTCCTCTGTTGCTTCCCTTCAGGAAGGGAGGAGAATCCAGGAGTTGGTCTTTTTACCAGCTCCCTGCTGTTTCCCAAGAAATAAACAGAAGAGGGCAGAATCAGCCTTGCTACAGGCTGCTGAGGGTTCCTGGGGCAAAATAGGAAGCCATTGCTCTTACTGGGATGTGTACTATCCTGTGGTTTGACTTTTCCAGATCGTCAATGTATGGTACTCTGTGAATGGTGAGAGGCTGGGCACCTACATGGGCCATACCGGAGCTGTGTGGTGTGTGGACGCTGACTGTATCCTTATTTTGGGTCTGAGTCCGTGTTGCTAGGGTCTGTCAGCGATGGAGAGGCTGAGTTGGGAGTTGGGAGTTGGGGGTGCTGTTGAGGGCCTAGAGAACGATACCTCCTACTCCCTGGTCTCTTCACTGACTGAGGAAACATTCAGGACAAATTCCAGTTCTGGATAAGGAGGTAAGAGGGGTAGAAAGGCTCTTTGGGGCTGAACAGGGAGATGATTCACTTGGCATCCCAAGAGGACAAGGGCTCGGGTGAACTTCGTCATATTTCTTAACAACTCTTCAGGGGACACCAAGCATGTCCTCACTGGCTCAGCTGACAACAGCTGTCGTCTCTGGGACTGTGAAACAGGTAAGCTGGGTTCATTCACCTTTTTAGCAAATATTGAGGACCTACAGTGTACCTGTTTGAGTAAACAGGTCCTAGGAAAATAGAGATGAAATCCATAGATAGTTTCCAGTCTAGGGAATAAGAGACAAGAAAGATAGATGAGAAAATACACGCCATGGTAGAGGAAGCATAGATTAAGTTTTCTTTTTTTTTTTTTTTTTCTTTTTCTTATTTTGGAGACAGAGTCTCACTGTCACCCAGGCTGGAGAGCAATGGCACTATCTCGGCTCACTGCAACCTCTGTCTCCCGGGTTCAAGGGATTCTCCTGTCTCAGCCAGCCCCAGTAGCTGGGATTATAGGCGCACGCCACCATGCTTGGCTGATTTTTTTTTTTGAGACAGATTCTCTCGCTGTGTCACCCAGGCTGGAGTGCAGTGGCACAATCTTGGCTTACTGCAACCTCCGCCTCCCAGGTTCAAGTGATTCTCCTGCCTCAGCCTCCCAAATAGCTGGGATTACAGACATGCGCCATCACACCTGGCTAATTTTTGTATTTTTAGTAGAGACAGGGTTTCACCATGTTGGCCAGACTGGTCTCAAACTCCAGACCTCAGGTAATCCACCCACCTCGGCCTTCCAAAGTGCTGGGATTACAGGCATGAGCCACTGCACCTGGCCACCAGCTAATTTTTGTATTTTTAGTAGAGACAGGGTTTCACCATGTTGGCCAGGCTGGTCTCGAACTCCTCAGCTCAAGTGATCCACCCGCCTTGGCCTCCCAAAGTGCTGAGATTACAGGCACAAGCCACTGTGCCCAGCCTAAGCTGTTCTGTTTAGTGCCAGGTCTATGCTGGGTACTGGGGACATGGAGGGAAATCAGATCAGGTCTTTGCTGTGGAGAAGCACAGTCTGAGGGAGAGACAGATATATTGCAGTCTACGTATGAGTAGTGCCACATTAGCAGGATGTCTGAGGAAAGAGTCTAGGTAAGAAGTTAAAATACTTGGCCAGGTGTGGTGGCTCACGCCTGTAATCCCAGCACTTTGGGAGGTTGAGGCAGGTGGATCACCTGAGGTCAGGAGTGCAAGACCAGCCTGGCCAACATGGTGAAACCCCGTCTATTAAAAATACAAAAATGAGCCAGGCATGGTGGTGGGCACCTGTAATCCCATCGACTCAGGAGGCTGAGGCAGAAGAATCGCTTGAAAGGTTGCAGTGAGCCGAGATCACACCATCGCACAGCAGCCTGCAGGACAAGAGCGAAACTCCATCTCAAAAAAAAAAAGGCCGGGCGCGGTGGCTCACACCTGTAATCCCAGCACTTTGGGAGGCTGAGGCGGGCGGATCACGGGTCAGGAGATCAAGACCATCCTGGCTAACACGGTGAAATCCCGTCTCTACTAAAAATACAAAAAATTAGCGGGGCATGGTGGCAGGCGCCTGTAGTCCCAGCTACTTGGGAGGCTGAGGCAGGAGAATGGCGTGAACCCGGGAGGCGGAGCTTGCAGTGAGAGCCGAGATTGCACCACTGCACTCCAGCCTGGGCAACAGAGTGAAACTGTCTCAAAAAAGAAAAAAAAAAAGAAAAGTTAAAATACTTTTTAAGTTTGGGTCACTGGAGCAAGACAAACAGTGAGATGTGATGGTAGCATTCTCTAGAATGTCCTCCCTGCAATTGCAATGGATGGTGTAGCCCAGACTTTGCCTGACTCCAGGAAAGCAGCTGGCCCTTCTCAAGACCAATTCGGCTGTCCGGACCTGCGGTTTTGACTTTGGGGGCAACATCATCATGTTCTCCACGGACAAGCAGATGGGCTACCAGTGCTTTGTGAGCTTTTTTGACCTGCGGGATCCGAGCCAGATTGGTGAGGGCTGGGAATAGGGCTGGGGTTGAGGTAAAGGGTACAGTTCTAGAGCCCAGGGCCTAACATCTACTGCCCCACACAGACAACAATGAGCCCTACATGAAGATCCCTTGCAATGACTCTAAAATCACCAGTGCTGTTTGGGGACCCCTGGGGGAGTGCATCATCGCTGGCCATGAGAGTGGAGAGCTCAACCAGTATAGTGCCAAGGTAAGAGGCCACATGGGGCCTGAGCCTACCAGAATAATTTTTTTTTTTTTTTTTAAGATAGAGTCTCTCTCTGTTGCCCAGGCTGGAGTGCAGTGGCGCCATCTCGGCTCACTGCGACCTCCACCTCCCTGGTTCAAGCAATTCCCCTGCCTTAGCCTCCCGAGTAGCTGGGATTACAGGTGCATGCCACCGCACCTGGCTAATTTTTTTTGTATTTTTAGTAGAGACAGGGTTTCACCATGTTGGTCAGTCTGGTCACGAACTCCTGACCTCAGGCAGTCCACCGCTCGTGGCTTTTTTTTTTTTTTTTTTTTTTTTTTGAGACAGAGTATCACCCTGTCACCCAGGCTGGAGTGCAGTGGTACGATCTCGGCTCACTGCAACCTCCACCTCCTGGGTTCAAGCCATTCTCCTGCCTCAGCCTCTTGAGTAGCTGGGACTATAGGCACCTGCCACCATGCCTGGGTAATTTTTGTATTTTTAGTAGAGATGGGGTTTCTCCATGTTGGCCAGGCTGGTCTTGAATCCTGACCTCCTGACCTCAGATGATCCACCTGCCTCGGGTCCTGGTGATAGCACACTAGTTCAGAACAAGGGCAGGGCTGTATGCTGTGGCTCACATCTGTAATCCCAGTGCCTTTGGGGGCCAAGGCAGGAGGATCTCTTGAGCCCAGGGGTTGGGGCTGCAGTGAGCTATGATTGCACCACTGCACTCCAGCCTGGGTGACAGTGAGACCCTGTCTCTAAAAAAAAAAAAAAAAAAAAAAAAGTTAATAAAAAATTTTAAAAAGAGCAGAGGTGAGATTCAAATGTAGATTTCACCACTTTCTAGCTGTGTGATCTTGGGCAATTTACATGACTTCTCTGACCCTGTTTATCTGTAAAATGTTTCAAGGATCAAATGATATCACATGTTTGAAAAACTTGTCACAAAGTACTCAGGACATGTTAATAAGGATCACAGGCCGGGTGTGGTGACTCACACTTGTAATCCCAACACTTTGGGAGGCTGTGGCAGGATTGCTTGAGACCCGGAGATTGAGATCAGCCTGGGCAATATAGGAAGACCCTGTCTCTACAAAAAAAAATTAAAAATTAGCTGGGTGTGGTGGAGTGTGCCTTTGGTCCCAGGTACTCAGGATGTTGAGGCTGAAAGATTGCTTGAGTCTGGGAGATTGAGGCTGCAGTGAGCCATGATTGTGCCACTGTACTCCAGCCTGGGTGATAGAACAAGACCCTGTCTCAAAAAAATAATTAAGGATCACAAATGAGCATTTCCTTGCCACCACTGAGTATAATGCCCTGTATAATGCTGAGTATAATGCTGAACTCCTAGAACAAAGAAGTAAATCAGATGCAGTCCCTTCCCCCATGGGGAGACAGACTTGCAAACAGCTAGCACCTGAGTCAGATTGTGAATTGTGCCACCATAGAGGTCTCAGCCAAGTGTGGAAGGTGCACTCTCCCAGGGAGGTGGCGTGTACATTAAACCCTGGAGAATAAATGGAGCTTCAAGCAGGAAGGAAAGAACATCCCACAGGCAAAAGGAACAGCAAAGGCAAAGGCACAGAGTTAAGAAAGTATGGAGTCTTCAGAAACCCTTGGGGTGTGGTCTTGGGGACAGAGGACGGGGAATAGATTTTAAACGTCCTTCAGTGTGAGGAGGTAAAGAGTTTTGACTTTCCTCCAGGCAGTAGGGAATCTTTAAAGGGTTATCAATGGCCAGATTTTCCTTCCAACAGCTTTTGCAGTTTATGTTTGGAGAGTGAACCTGAACTAGCCAATAGGCATAGGATGTACATTACTGGACAGAGTCAAGGGATATTTAGGGGTGACTGATAGGATAGAGGGGGTGAGGAAAACACAAAGTCCATGCTGTCTCAGCTTTCATTTGGGTGCTTGGGTTTCTGGGGAGCTGAGATTAGTAGGGATTGGGCCCATTCAGTGTCACTCTTCTTCCTTCCCTAGTCTGGAGAGGTGTTGGTGAATGTTAAGGAGCACTCCCGGCAGATCAACGACATCCAGTTATCCAGGGACATGACCATGTTTGTGACCGCGTCCAAGGACAACACAGCCAAGGTGAGCCTGGGCAGCGGTCTGGCAGGGCTGCTCCCTCCCTCCGGCTGCACAGCTCACCCTGCCCGACTTCCCCCAGGAAAGCTCTTTACAGATTTCCCCCCTGCCTTCTCTCTCCAGCTTTTTGACTCCACAACTCTTGAACATCAGAAGACTTTCCGGACAGAACGTCCTGTCAACTCAGCTGCCCTCTCCCCCAACTATGACCATGTAAGAGAACCCCACCTGCCTTCCTGCTGAAGCCTCAGGAAGCTTCCAAGTTCTAGATGCTTGTCCAGAAGTTGGGCTACAACATTGTGGGGGAAATGATGTCAGGCAGAGAGGAGATGCCCAGAGGAGTGACAAAGCTGGAAGGATTGAATAGCCCCAGGGCAGCCAGCAGGAGGTGGCAGAAGTGTCTGATCATCCCCTACCTTTGGTATCCTCCCATTGAGCCGTGTGAGATGTTAAAAATGTATATGGCAGCAGAAAAACACAAAATGGACTTGGTGTCCATTGGTCCCATCTAGAGTTTCTTCTTCCATTCAGGTGGTCCTGGGCGGTGGTCAGGAAGCCATGGATGTAACCACAACCTCCACCAGGATTGGCAAGTTTGAGGCCAGGTAAAGAAGAAGAGAGCTCTTCCAAATTAAAATCTCATGTGGTGTACCTTTTTTGTTTGTTTTTGTTTTTGAGATGGAGTCTCGCTCTGTCGCCTAGGCTGGAGCGCAGTGGCGTGATCTCTGCTCACTGCAAGCTCTGCCTCCCGGGTTGACGCCATTCTCCTGCCTCAGCGGCCCAGGCGCCCACCACCATGCCTGGCTAATTTTCTTTTTGTATTTTTAGTAGAGACGGGGTTTCACCGTGTTAGCAAGGATGGTCTCGATCTCCTGACCTCGTGATACGCCCGCCTCAGCCTCCCAAAGTGCTGGGATTACAGGCATGAGCCACCGTGCCCAGCCTTTTTTTTTTTTTTTTTTTTTGACACGGAGTCTTGCTCTGTCACCCAGGCTGGAGTGCAATGGCGCGATCTCTGCTCACTGCAACCTCTGCTTCCCGGGTTCAAGCAATTATCCTGCCTCTGCCTCCTGGGTGGCTGGGATTACAGGCACCCATGACCACGCCTGGCTAATTTTTGTATTTTTAGTAGAGACAGGATTTCACCATGTTTGCCAGGCTGGTCTTGAACTCCTGGCCTTAAGTAATCCGCCCACCTTGGCCTTCCAGAGTGCTGGGATTACAGGCATGAGCCACTGTGCCCAGCCTTCATTATATTTCTCTATGTCTAAATTTCCTCTACTGTATAATGAGACAATGACAATATACTTAACATAAAATTATGCAGATTAAATTATTCAGTTAATATTTATTAAGCTCTTTAAGCACTGCCCAGCACATAGTAGGCACTCTATAAGTATTAGTTATGTATTCAGGCAGACATCTGGGTCCAGTCTTCCCCATATAATAAAAAAGTTAAAAAAGTAAGAGACAGGGTCTCACTATGTTGCCCAGGCTGGCCTCGAACTCCTGGGCTCAAGCAATCCTCTGTCCTCAGCCTCCCAAAGTGCTGGGATTACAGGCGTGAACCATGGCACGCAGCCACCAATTTCCATCTTATTTTGTTCACATTCACTTCTTATCTCAATTTTTCTGCTTTATTATTATTATTTTTTGAGACAGGGTCTCACTCTGTTGCCCAGGCTGGAGTGCAGTGGCACCATCTCTGCTCACCGCAACCTCCTGGGCTCAAGCGATCCTTCTACCTCAGCTTCTGAGTAGCTGGGATTACAGGTACATGGCCACCGTCCCTGGCTGCTTTTTGTATTTTTAGTAGAGATGTTGGCCAGGCTGGTCTCAAACTCCTGGCCTCAAGTGATCCACCCGCCTCGGCCTCCCAAAGTGTTGGGATTACAGGCGTGAGCCACTGCGCCTCGGCTTCTGCTTTATTTTTTGTGATACAATTTGCATTTGAGGCCAGGTGTGGTGGCTCATGCCTGTAATCCCAGCACATTGGGAGGCTAAGGAAGGCGGCTTGAGGCCAGGAGTTCGTAACCAGCCTGGCCAACATGGTGAAACCCCATCTCTACTAAAAATACAAAAATTAGCCAGGCATCTGTAATCCCAACCACTCAGGAGGCTGAGGCAGGAGAATTGCTTGAACCCAGGAGGGGGAGGTTCCAGTGAACCGAGATTGCGCCACTGTACTCCACCCTGGGTGACAGAGTAAGACTCCATCTCAAAATAAATAAATAATAATAACAATTTGCATTTGGGGAGTGCCACCTCCAAAGTGTTTTGGAAGAAGATAGAAAGTGAATTAATTGTGTCCCTTTTCCTCCAGGTTCTTCCATTTGGCCTTTGAAGAAGAGTTTGGAAGAGTCAAGGGTCACTTTGGACCTATCAACAGTGTTGCCTTCCATCCTGATGGCAAGAGGTAGGGTACCAGTGAAGCAGCTGACCTAAGCCTGGGTTGGGTCTCTGCCTTTCCCAGAGTAAGCACCTGACTGGTGCCTGGCTATCTTTTTCCAGCTACAGCAGCGGCGGCGAAGATGGTTACGTCCGTATCCATTACTTCGACCCACAGTACTTCGAATTTGAGTTTGAGGCTTAAGAAGCTGGATCTCCTGCCGGGCGTGGTGGCTCATGCCTGTAATCCCACCACTTTTTTTTTAAGGCAGGCGGATCACCTGAGGTCAGGAGTTTAAGACCAGCCTGACCAACATGGAGAAACCTCGTCTCTACTAAAAATACAAAAATTAGCCAGGCATGGTGGCACACGCCTATAGTCCCAGCTACTCAGGAGGCTGAGGCAGGAGAATCACTTGAACCCAGGAGGCAGAGGTTGCAGTGAGCTGAGATCACGTCATTGCACTCCATCCTGAGCCACAAGAGCAAAACTCCGTCTCAAAAAAAAAAAAGAAGAAGGTGGATCTCCAACCAGGCCAGAGAAGATTCTCACAGAAGGTTTTGAACTCTAAGAAATAAATTGGTTTGGTAATAAATGGCTTCTGGTCAGATATTTTGTGGTGTCTGTTTCATCATTTTTCCTTTTCACTGACACCCCAGCAAGCTGATGCTGATCATGGAGACTTTTATTATTGAGACCTCCCTATACTTTGGACACTTCAAACTTAAGACCCTCAGTACTTTTGGCTAACCTGGGTTGCAGGCACCCTCATCCAAGGTGTAAAGGTCCTAAGGGGCCTGCAGAGGTTTCAGGAACATCTCAGCTGCTATCCAAGGAGCCAGTGCTTAGAATAGGGGCTCGGCTGAAGCAGTTGGCTGAGAGGCTTCTGTCTTCTCCCTTCCTGTCACTATTTGCCACACTCTTCCCCCATGCAGCTTCTGCAGGCTCAGGTGAGCAGGTCCAGCGCAGAAACAGGCCTGAGGAGGAGGAAGACAGGTCAGGACGCTGAGCAGAGGGGTAATACCCAGGGGAGAAGGTGTGGAGCTCACCTTGCCACAGCCGCAGGCTCTGGGGCTCCACAGATGGCCAAGGGATTGAGGAGGTAGAGTGGGTTCTGGAGTCTTTGTTGCTCTTTTGGCTGGTTGAGCCCAGACCACAGGGAGTGCATCTGAGTCCTCCCTTCACACGGCATCTGCAGAAAGGCAGGGAGTGAGTTTCCAGCCCCAGGTATGCCCTCTGGGAGTCTGGGTGGGCAGCCCTGGTTAGTAGGGTGACAGCCACTTTGGAGCAGTGATAACCTTTACTTTTCTCCTTTTTCTTGCAAACATTATTGCTAGTCAGATCTTGTACTAGGCACTAGAATAAAAGGGGAACAAGACAAAGTCCTACTTCTTAAGGAGTTCTATTTAAAGGGAGAAACCAATTTAGTTTTGCCTCAATGTCAGAGAAGGCTAATTAAGAATGTGATGTTTGAGCTGAGTCTCAACAGACCTAGCATACCCACTGTGCAAAGCAACAGCCAACATGGGGAGAACGGCATGAGCCAAAGAAAGAAGGCGGGAAAGGGCCCACTGTGAATATTGATAGGTCTGGACCCAGGAGCTTTTGAAAGAAAATTGATAACAATGAAGATGCAGAGAACAGTGAGGCGGCTGCCGGAGAGTCCAGATGGAAGAGACCAGTGTGGATGAAGACGGGGGGAGGGCCTTCTGGCAAGGGAGGACCAAACTCAGACAATTTTAGGAGAAAGACTAAAGATGAAGGATGGGGGAGAGGGAGGTAAATAGAGATGATCCAGGACTAGTGGGGTTAGTGAAGCAGGATGGGGTATAGAGGAAGACTGAGCAACAGAAGATAACTAAATCTGATCTTCACCCTGGAAAGGTGAACCCTCCCTCCCCGCATCTCTCAATCTCATAAGACAGCTGGCATCTGGGACTGATAGGCAGCATATGCAACAAGCCAACCAAATAATAAAAATACCACTTCTTTTATTTACTTATTTATTTATTTATTTATTTAATGGAGTCCCACCCTGTTGCCTAGGCTGGAATGCAATGGCATGATCTCGGCTCACTGCAACCTCTGCTTCCCAGGTGCAAGCAATTCTCATGCCTTAGCTTCCCAAGTGGCTGGGATTACAGGCATGTGCCAACACGCCCGGCTAATTATATTTTTTTGAGATGGAGTCTTGCTCTGACACCTAGGCTGGAGTGCAGTGGTGGGATCTTGGCTTACTGCAACCTCTGACTCCCAGGTTCAAGTGATTCTCCTGCCTCAGCCACCTGAGTAGCTGGGACTACAGGCGGGTGCCAACATGCCCGGCTAATTTTTTGTATTTTTAGTAGGCAGGGGGTTTCACCATGTTAGCCAGGGTGGTCTCGATCTCCTGACCTTGTGATCTGCCCACCTCAGCCTCCCAAAGTGCTGGGATTACAGGTGTGAGCCACCGTGCCAGGCCTAATTTTTTGTATTTTTAGTAGAGATGGGGTTTTACCATGTTGGCCAGGCTGGTCTCAAACTCCTGATCTCAGGTGACCTGCCTGCCTCAGCTCCCAAAGTGCTGGGATTACAGGCGTGAGCCACCGCGCCCGGCCAGATTATGGCTGCTCTTATCCCCTTCATGCTACCGATGAGATTGAGACTCAGACGGGTTTGCTATGAACACCCAGCAGGTGAGTGGTGAAACTGGAATTTGAGCCCAAATGATTCCACTCTGCTTTCAACCTCTGTTCTATTGCTTTGAAACAATCGACCTTGCAAAGTGGTAGAGAGCCTTATAAATTATTTTTGCAGCAAATTTCCCCTTTAATCCTTGTTTTCAAGGTAGGGGTTCACTTGCAATTGGCTATGGACAGAGTAGGTCTGTCTAAAGGATTGGCCTTGGACCTATTTATCTCTGGGTTTGCAGAAGTTAGGAGGAAGTATGAGATTTGGAGGTGGGGCAAGGAGAACACTCAGTTTTCCTAAAAGACAAACCCACTTGAATTCGGGAAAGATGGCTCCTAAGGAAGTAAGGTGCTGGCTGGGCGGAGTGACTCACGCTTGTAATCCCAGCACTTTAGGAGGCCGAGGTGGGCAGATCACCTGAGGTCAGGAGTTTGAGATCAGACTGGCCAATATGGTGAAACTCCATCTATACTAAAAGTATAAAAATTAGCCGGACGTGGTGGCACATTCCTGTAATCCCAGCTACTCGGGAGGCTGAGGCTGGAGAATAGCTTGAACCAGGGAGGCAAAGGTTGCAGTGAGCCCAGATCGTGCCACTGCGCTCCAGACCAGGCGACAGGTGACAGAGCGAGACTTCATCTCAAAAAAAAAAAAAAAAAGGAAGTAAGGCACTGATGGCACAGGTATCCAACCCTTTCCTGTGCCTGCCCCTAAGCTACCTCAACACCCCCTCAGCTCACCTCTCCTTTTCGCTGTTGCAGAGGAAGGTGCCAAAAGAGGAGGCATAGGCGTGCCCAAACAGCGCCAACAGTAGCCCTTCCCCAAACTCCAATGACAGTGGGAACCGGCAGCCCAGCTGCCACACGCAGTCCAGGAAGAGGAGAAAGGTGGGTGCCTCATGCTTGGGGTGGGCATGGGAGAAGGCTGAATGGGCACAGCGCAGCTGGAAGGGGTGGCTGGCCTGGGGAGGGGGCAGAGCAATGGGCACGAGGAAGCAAGTTTCTGGATGGAGGGTAAGGCTGGGGTTGGGTGGTCACTTACTTTCCTGGATCCACTTCCACTCCACCAGTTCCTGGAATCCAGCCATGGTCTTGCTCAAGGGGTCCAGGATGAGTTGGGCCAGTGAAGTCACAAGCAGGGTGCTGTCTGTGCCTTCAGCCCCATGTACCAGGCCAGGAATAGAATGGACCCAGTTCTAGGCTATATTTGCTTACTGAATCACAGTTTTGCATCCAGGGGTTGAGAGCCCTGCCCATCTCACCCTATTCTCTATGTCAATGGGGCCTTACCTCTCCATGCCCTGGACTGCCAGGCAGGTGGTGCTCAGTGCCTGCTTTACATGTTACAGTCAGCGGCAGCCGTCCAGCCGACTCAGCCAGTTGTCCATGCTTTGCTCCGAGTCCCCACAGGCCTCCACCAGGCGCATGAAGCTCTCCTGCAGGGGACGCCCTCTGGGCGGTGGGAGTCTGGTCATCTTTTCCAGCTCAAGCCCTTGCCAAGTACAGCCAGGGAGCAAGTGCTCAAGACCAATGAGGGAGACACAGAATCCTGTAAAGAGCCCATCTGATAAAAGGGACACAGAGCCCTTTAGGGAGTCCAGTCTCACGGCACACACGACCCACAGAGGAGTTCCTAATCTTTGAGACAGCGTCTCGTTCTGTCCATGAAATGGTTTTTTTTTTTTTTTGAGACGGAATCTTGCTCTGTCTCCAGGCTGGAGTGCAGTGGTGCGATCTCAGCTCACTGCAACCTCCGCCTCCCGGGTTTAAGTGATTCTTCTGCCTCAGCCTCCAGAGTAGCTGGGACTACAGGCGACCGCCACCACACCCAGCTAGTTTTTGCATTGTTAGGTTTCACCATGTTGGCCAGAATGGTCTCGGACTCCTGACCTTGTGATCCGCCCACCTCGGCCTCCCAAAGTGCTGGGATTACAGGCATGAGCCACCGCGCCCAGCCTAAAATGGTTTCTTAGCTTTGAGGATTCCTCAGTCTGATGGGAGAGACTCAAGACCCTTTGAGAAAGTACCTGGGGAAGGGTCACATAGCCCTCTGGGGAAACACACAATGTCCTGGGAAACCACCAATTTGATGGAAGTATCACAACACCCTTGATGTACACCAGTCTGATGGGAGCAACATAGCATTCCCTGGGGAGCCCCGGTCTGACAAGAAAAACACAGTTCTCTTGGAATTCTGCATCTGCTCCTACCTCCCAGAAACTGCTCTGTTCAAGGTTACTGGTGACCTCCTGCCAGAAAATCTAACAGCGACTTCTCAGCTCTGTTTAAAAGCCTTCAGTGGCTGCCCACTGCCTTGAGGATAAAGTCTAAGCTTATCTGTAGCCTCATCTGTCCTCCCATTTCATACTCGACACTCCCACCATACCAAAGGACATTAGTTGACCCCATCCATGGTTTCACTTTCTGAGGTTTCAGTTACCCATGGTCAACTGTGGCCTGAAAATATTAAATGGAAAATTCCAGAAATAAACAATTCATAAGTTTTAAATTGTAAGCCCTTCTGAATGTTGTGACGAAATCTTGAGTCACCCTGCTCTGTCTCGCTGGATAGGAGTCATCCCTTTGTCCAGCATATCCATGCTGCACACACTGTCTGCCCATTAGTCACTTAGTAGCTGTCTTGGTTATCAGAGTGACTGTGGCAGTACTGCAGTGGGCTTGTGTTCAAGGTCAGTAGGAGCCTAAGGCTGCATTACAAGGCCTATGTCATTCACCACATCTCATCACATGGGCATTTAAGCATCTCACATCATCACAAGAAGGGTGAGTATAGTACAATAAGATATTTTAAGAAAGAGATCACATTCATACAACTGTTTATTTTTTTTAGATTGAGTCTCACTCTAGGTCACCCAGGCTGGAGTGCAGTGGCGCAATCTCAGCTCACTGCAACCTCTGCCTCCTGGGTTCAAGCGATTCTCCTGCCTCAGCCTCCTGAGTAGCTGGGACTACAGGAGCCCGTCACCACACCTGGCTAATTTTTTTTGTATTTTTAGTAGAGACAGGGTTTCACCATGTTAGCCAGGATGGTCTCGATCTCCTGACCTCGTGACCCACCTAGCTCGGCCTCCCAAAGTGCTGGGATTACAGGCGTGAGCTACCATGCCCGGCCTCATACAACTTTTTTTTTTTGGAGTTTCACTCTTGTTGCCCAAGCTGGAGTGTAATGGCGTGATCTCGGCTCACTGCAACCTCCACCTCCCAGTTTCAAGCGATTCTCCTGCCTCAGCCTCCCAAATAGCTGGGATTACAGGCCCGCACCACACCTGGCTAATTTTTTGTATTTTTAGTAGAAGTGGGGTTTCACCATGTTAGCCAGGCTAGTCTCGAACTCCTGACCTCAGGTGATCCACCCGCCTTGGTCTCCCAAAGTGCCAGGATTACAGGCATGAGCCACCGCACCCGGCCATTTTTTTTTTGTTTTTTTTTTTGAGACAGGGTCTCATTCTGTCAGCCAGCCTCGAGTGCAGTGGTGTGATTACAGTTCACTGCAGCCTCCACCTCCCGGGGCTCCAGTGATCTCCCACCTCAGCCTCTTGAGTAGCTGGGCCTACAGGAGCACACCACCATGCCTGGCTAATTTTGGGACAGGATCTTGCTCTCACCCAGGCTGGAGTGCAGTGGCACAATTACAGCTCACTGCAACCTCTGCCTCCCAGGCTCAAGCCATCCACCTCAGCCTCTTGAGAAGCTGGGACTACAGGTGTGCACCACCACATGTAGCTAATTTTTTTTTTTTTTTTTTTTTGAGATGGAGTTTCATTCTTGTTGCCTAGGCTGGAGTGCAATGGTGCTATCTCAGCTCACTGCAACCTCTGCCTTTCAGGTTCAAGCGATTCTCCTGCCTCAGTCTCCTGAGTAGCTGGGATTAAAGGCATGTGCCATCACGCCCGGCTAATTTTGTATTTTTAGTAGAGACGGCGTTTCTCCATGTTGGTCAGGCTGGTCTCAAACTCCTGACCTCAGGTGATCTTCCCGCCTCAGCCTCCCAAAATGCTGGGATTACCAGCATGAGCCACCACACCCAGCCAATTTTTGTATTTTGTACAGAGACAGGGTCTCCCTATGTTGCCCAGGCTGGTCTCAAACTCTTGGGCTCAAGGGATCCACCCTCCTCAGCCTGCCAAAGTGCTGAGATGACAGGCATAAGTCACTGTGCCCAGCCACAATCTTCTAAATCTCCAAAAATACCTATCTTTTACCTCAGCACCTGACCTATACAACTTTTATTATAGCATATTATTGTAATTGTTCTACTTTATTATTAGTTATTGTTGTGCTTACTGTATAAATTAAACTTGGCTGGATGCAGTGGCTCACGCTTGTAATCCTAGTACTTTGGGAGACTGAAGCAGGTGGATTGCCCGAGCTCAGGAGTTCAAGACCACCCTGAGTGACATGATGAAACCCCATCTCTGCTAAAATACAAAAAAAAGGCTGGGCGTGGTGGCTCATGCCTGTAATCCCAACACTTTGGGAGGCTGAGATGGGCAGACCACTTGAGGTGAGGAGTTCCAGACTAGCCTGGCCAACATGGCAAAACCCCATCTCTGCTAAAAATACAAAAATTAGCCGGGCCTGGTGGCACGCGCCTGTAGTCCCAGCTACTCAGGAGACTGAGGCGAGAGAATCACTTGAACCCGGGGAATGGAGGTTGCAGTGAGCCAAGATCACACCACTGCACTCCAGACTGGGCAACAAAGAGAGATTCTATCTCAAAAATAATAATAATAAAATAAAATACAAAAAAAAAATTAGCTGGGCATGGTGGCAGGCTCCTGTAGTCCCAACTACTTGGGAGGCTGAGGTATGAGAATTGCTTGCATCTGGGAGGCAGAGGTTGCAGGGAGCTGAGATCGCACCATCACACTCCAGCCTGGGCGACAGAGTGAGACTCTGTCTCAAAAAATAATAAAATAAAATAAAATACAGAAAAGAAAATTAGCCAGGCATGGTGGCACGTGCATGTAGTCCCAGCTACTTGGGAGGCTGAGATGGGAGAGTTACTTGAACCCAGGAAATGGAGGTTGCAGAGAGCCAAGATCACGCTACTGCACTCCAGCCTGGGAAACAAAGCAAGACTCCATCTTAAAAAATAATTATTATGATAAAATAAAATAAGATAAAATACAAAAAAAAAAAAAAAATTAGCTGGGCGTGGTGGCAGGTGCCTGTAATCCCGGCTATTTGGGAAGCTGAGGCAGGAGAATCACTTGAACCTGGGAGGAGGAGGTTGCAGTGAGCCAAGATAGCGCCACTGCACTCCAGCTTGGGTGACAGAGCGAGACTCTTGTCTCAAAAAAATAAAATAAAATAAATAAAAATAATAAAATAAATTAAACTTTATCATAGGTATGGAAAAACATACTGTCTGTAGGGTTTGGTACTATCTGAGGCTTCAGGCATTCACTGGGGATCTTGGAACATACTTCCCGAGGATAAGGGGGGACTACTGTACTTGGCAGTTCCCCAAACAGGACAAATGACCAGGCTGTCTCTGCACCTGGACACTTGCAATTCCCTCCACATGCAGGGTCTTTCTTCTTCTGGCTCACTCCTCCATTTTTGGGTCTCAGCTAAAGCATCCTATTCTCAAGGAAACCTCTGATTACCTGAAGTTGGTGTAGTAAGAGAGGGGCACCTCCTCTGCGCTGCTGCTCATCTCAGGGGAGCCTGATTGCCCATTCTCTGCTGATCTCTGCCATGTCTGAGCCGGCCACTGTGGCAGCCCCTGTGCTCAGTGCTGGGTAAATAAATGAATAAACAGAGCTTTGTATTTTGGATAGGGAAGCAGTCTACTCTCCTCAAAACACAAAACTCCCTCAGGACCTCTTCTTGGCACTGCCATCGCCTGGAGACAGAGGGAACAGATCACATCTGTGCAGGTGCAGCCCTCAGGGAGGGGGTGCGTGTGTGCAGGGAGGTTGTTCCGGGAAGACAAATTTCAGTTTAATGTAAAGAGGTGCTTTTTCTTCCCAGGCAAAGTTGGGGTGCCTAAAGAGTAAGGAGCTCTCTCAGTGGTGGTGTGCAAGTGGGGTTGCTCATGTGGAGGGATGACACCAGGAAAGGCTTGAGTCTTCAAGGTTCCTGGAGGACCCCCCGCCTCCCGCCAACACATACTCACACACATGTACATTCACAGAGCCCTGCAGGAGAGGGCCTGGGAGAGGGTGGGAGGCCCCTTACCTCTCCAGGGACCAGTGCAACCAGCCAGGTTAAGCGGCCTTGGTCTCTGTGCCTCCGCCAGTCACGCGGGCTTGTTTCGCGGCCTGGGCCGAGAGCGTGTCCATGATGAAGCCCCGCGCCCAAGGACGAGCCCCCGCCAGCGCAGTTCGCAGCAGCTCCTGGTCCCTGTAGCAGCGCCGCTTCTGGGGACCAGTTAGGGGCTGGCTGGAGCGTAGCAGAACCTGCGGACCGGACTCAGTTCTGGAAGTGACCCCTCAGCCTTAGGGGTCCTCTAAGCCAGGTCTGCACAGCGACAGGCTGGAGTGCAACGACCAGGGCGAACTCACGAGGCTTCGGACCAGTCTGGGGGTGTTGTGGCCAAAGTGGTTTGGGACCCTATGAATAGACCGTGGGCGGGTCCTGGCTTGACAAAGAAGGGACTAAGCTTCGCGGGGCCCGGAACCGTCAGGGGCGGGGCCAGAGAAAGGTGATACCCTTCCCAGCGAAAAGGCGGGAGAGGGGCGGGACCAGAATGGGGCAGGAGTTGGGGCAGCGGCTACGCCGCGAATTGACCGGGCCAAAAAGAAAAGGCCCAGAAAGGACGCAGCCACCCAGGGGCGGAGCGTGGGGAGGGCGCGCTCCCTCTGCCGCTGGGAGCCGGGTGGTAGCTGAGCACCGGGAAGCGACCTCCCTGACGGAAGCGGGCGCTGCGCGCCAGGGCATCATCGTCCACCAAGTATGGCACGATCACCGCACGGGGGTATCTGGGGCACAAGCTGAAGTCCTCGTTCACCTCGCTCAGCCGCCACGCGTTGGTCTGCAGCGCAGGGAGGAGAGAGGCCAGGTCTAGGGCACCCAGGGAGTGCCCTGTCCCCGCGCCTCTTCCAGGCCCGGCGCTTCCACCTTCCCGGGCCCCTACGACCGCGCCCACTTCGCGAGCTACTCTCTTGCAGTAGAGTTCGGGCGGGAGGAAGTGCCAGGAGTCGCCCAATCTCAGGCCCTTGGGACGGTAGAATAAAGGGAAGGAGGTGATGACTGATTCCAGGGAGGACAGCGTCCGGAGAAGGAAGTCAGGGGCTCTGGGGAGGGTCGGAATTGTCTCGCCCGCGCCCTTTCCAGCCCCTCAGTCCTGTAGCTTCAGCTTCGGCCTCTCCAAGTACCCCGGACCACCCTGCATCCCCCTGCCATTTAGCTGCGGCTGCGGAGCCTCTTTGAACAGAAGCACCTTTTTATTCCCCTCTACGCGAGACAGGGAGAGCTTAAAGGGCTCGGGAGCTCCCTCGGCACACCTCGATGGAGCGGGCGATGCCCAGCGTCGCTTCCGCGCCCTCTATTTCCAGCTGCAGCACTCGCAGGTCTTTACAGCACAGGGTGATGGTGCCCGAGTCACTCGCAACCCTGGGGAGGGACGTTCCTTTCCCAGGAGAGGGGCAACGAGTTTCCCGGATTGGGCTTACGCAGGAGGGCGCCAGCTCTGACTGCGCTGGCCGTGCCCCCTACTCCGCCAAGCCGCGCGCTCCCCAACCCCGGGGACCCTCCCCCACCCCGCCACGTCTCACTGCTTCTCGAAGGAGTCGACGCTACGCAACAGCAGCAGCCACAGGTCCGGAGAGGACGCGGGCCCTGGCGACAGGAGCAGGTGGTGGACGGTGACTCACACCGTGCCGCGAAGCGGGGGCGCCTCCGGGCCCCGTAGAAACTCTGCTTGGGCTCAGCCCGTATGGATCAGCTCCGAGAACTCCATTCTGCCAGTGAGAGACCCGGGGCCCAGCAGAAGGCCAGACTCTGAGAGCGTCAGGAGGGGCAGGCTGGAGCTCCGAAAGGGATAGGAACTGCCTGGGCAGCTGGCGACGCCGTCTGGACAGCTGTTAAGGAGGCCCCTCAGAGGAAAGGATCACAGTTTCACAGGAATTTCCCCTCATATTGCCAATATTTCTTAGCGAGGTCCCTGGCCAGAGACTGTTATAAGCAAATCTCCATGTCATCGTCTGTGAAATGGGGAGAATAATCTTGCCTAAAGTCCTTAACCCTGTGCCTGGGTTGCAGGAGACACTCAATATTTTTGTATTTTTGTTTTTTCAAGCCCTGAGGTGCTAGCACTACTGCTAACTTTAAAAAGAAAGAAAGACTGGGCGCAGTGGCTCAGGCCTGTAATCCCAACACTTTGGGAGACCGAGGCGGGGCGGATCACCTGAGGTCAGGAGTTCGAGACCACCCTGGCTAACATGGTGAAACCCTGTTTCTACTAAAAATACAAAAAATTGGCCAGGCGTGGTGGCTCACACCTGTAATCCCAGCACTTTGGGAGGCCGAGGCGGGCCGATCACGAGGTCAGGAGATCGAGACCATCGTGGCCAACATAATGAAACCCCGTCTCCACTAAAAATACAAAACTAACTAGGCATGGTGGCGTGCACCTGTAATCCCAGCTACTCGGGAGGCTGAGGCAGGAGAATCGCTTGAACCCAGGAGACCAAGGTTGCAGTGAGATGAGATAGCGCCATTGCACTCCAGCCTGGGCAACAAGAGCAAACTCCGTCAAAAAAGAGAAAAGAAAGAAGAAAGGAAGGAAGGAGGGAGGGAGGGAAGGAAGGAAGGAAGGAAAGAAAGAAGGAAGGAAGGAAGGAAGGAAAGGAAGAAAGATAACTATCTCTTCCACCATACCCTGGTGGAAGGGCTGGAAAGTGGGTGTGAAACTGGGAACTGCCTACTTCCTCCCATACATAAGAAACTTGGGTTGGGGAAATCCTTTGGTCCACCTTAAATGCTGCAGCTGTGTAGCTGGCGTCCCTCCTCGACCTCGCAGCTGGAAGTCCCTGCCTGAGGGCGCCCTCTGTGCAGCCCACTTCTGGCTGAGTCCAGACCTCAAGAACCCCATCAGCTATCCACCATCGTTTCAGCAAGTGTGTATTACCTGTACAGTGAGTTAGCTGGGCCCTGTGTTTGGTGCTGGGGCCCAGGGATGACTGGGGAAGATTCTGTTCACAGGGTTTTCAGTCTGGCAAGAGACACAATTAAGCTGGTAAAATTGCAGGACGAGAGCTGAGCTGATTTACCACAGGACCCATCTATTCATCCATCCGTCTTCTTTTTCTTTTGTAAATATTTTTGTGGAGATGGGGGTCTCCCTGTTTTGCCCAGGCTGGTCTTCAACTCCAAGCCTCAAGCAATGCTCCTGCTGCATGGCCTCCCAAAGTGCTGGGATTACAGGCATGAGCCACCATGCCCAGCTTATTTTATTTATTTATTTATTTATTTATTTTCTTTCTTTCTTTTTAATTGAGAATAAAGGAATAGGGCTGGGTGCGGTGGCTTACCCCTGTAATCCCAACCCTTTGGGAGGCTGAGGTGGGTGGATACCTTGAGGCCAGAAGTTCAAGAACAGCCTGGCCAACATGGCTAAATCTGGTCTCTACTAAAAATACAAAAATTAGCCAGGCATGGTGGTATGTGCTTGTAGTCCCAGCTACTCGGGAAGCTGAGGCAGGAGAGTCCCTTGAACCCGAGAAACGGAGGCTGCAGTGAGCTGAGATCGCACCACTGCACTCTAGCCTGGGCAACAGAGCAAGACTCTGCCTCAAAAAAAAAAAAAAAAAAAAAAGCCAAGCGAGTTGGCTCACTCCTGTAATCCCAGCACTTTGGGAGTCCAAGGCAGGCGGATCACTTGAGGTCAGGAGTTCAAGACCAGCGTGGCCAATATGGTGAAACCCTGTCTCTACTAAAAATAGAAAAATTTGTCAGGCATGGTGGCTCGCACCTGTAGTCCTAGCTACTTGGGAGGCTGAGGCAGGAGAATTGCTTGAACCCAGGAGGTGGATGTTGCAGTGAGCTGAGATCACGCCACTGCACTCTAGCTTGGGCAATAGAGTGAGACTTGTATCAAAAAAAAAAAAAAAAAGAAAAGAAAAAAGAAAGAAAAAGAATAGAGGAATAGGGAGAGGAGTGGTGGCTCATGGCCATAATCCTAGCACTTTGGGAGACCGAGGCAGGAGGATCACTTGAGCCCAGGAGTTTGAGACCAGCCTGGGCAACATGGTGAAACCCCAACTCTACCAAAAACACAAAAAATTAGCCAGGTGTGGCATGGGCCTGTGGTCCCAGCTACTTGGGAGGCTGAGGTGGGAGGATCACTTGAGCCTGGGAGGTGGGGGTTGCAGTGAGCTGAGATTGCACCACTGCACTCCAGCTTGGGTGACAGAGTGAGACCCCGTCTCATTAAAAAAAAAAAAAAAAAAAAAAGAGGCCGGGCACGGTGGCTCACACCTGTAATCCCAGCACTTTGGGAGGCCAAGAAGAGCGGATCACGAGGTCAAGAGATCAAGACCATCCTGGCTGACACGGTGAAACCCTGTCTCTACTAAAAATACAAAAAAATTAGCGGGGCATGGTGGCAGGCACCTGTAGTCCCAGCTACTTGGGAGGCTGAGGCAGGAGAATGGCATGAACCCAGGAGGTGGAGCTTGCAGTAAGCCTAGATTGCACCACTGCACTCCAGCCTGGGCGACAAAGTGAGACTCCGTCTCAAAAAAATAAAAAAGAAAAGAATAGGCTGGGCGCAGTGGCTCACGCCTGTAATCCCAGCACTTTGGGAGGCTGAGGTGGGTGGATCACTTGAGGTCAGGAGTTCGAAACCAGCCTGGCCAACATGGCGAAACCCCGTCTCTACTAAAATATACAAAAATTAGTGGTGGCAGGCAACTTAATCCCAGCTACTTGGGAGGCAGAGGCAGGAGAATCTTTTGAACCCGGGAGGCGGAGGTTGCAATGAGCCGAGATTGAGCCATTGCACTCAAACCTGGGGGATGAGTGAGACTTCTCTCAAAAAAAAAAAAAAAAAAAAAAGAGAAGAAAAGAAAAAAAGAATAAAGGAATAAAACAATGGTACTTCATAGATACAGAAGCCTTTTTTTAATTTTTTATTTTGAGACAGGTCGGCCTCTGTCACCCAGGCCTGGAGTGTAGTGATGTGATCAGGGCTCACTGCAGCAGCTTTGCCCTTCTGGGCTCAAGCAATCCTTCCATCTCAGTCTCCCAGGTAGTTGGGCACAGGCATGTGCCACCATGCCCTAATTTTTTTTTCTTTCTCATCCTCTTTCAATCCTGTTATTTATTTATTTATTTTTTTGAGACGGAGTCTCGATCTCCTGACCTCGTGATCCGCCCGCCTCGGCCTCCCAAAGTGCTGGGATTACAGGCGTGAGCCACCGCGCCCGGCGAGACGGAGTCTCACTCTGTTGCCCAGGCTGGAGTGCAGTGGCGCAATCTCGGCTCACTGCAAGCTCCGCCTCCCGGGTTCACGCCATTCTCCTGCCTCAGCCTCCCAAGTAGCTGGGACTACAGGTGCCTGCCACCATGCCCAGCTAATTTTTTTGTATTTTTTTAGTAGAGATGGGGTTTCACCATGTTAGCCAGGATGGTCTCGATCTCCTGACCTCGTGATCCACCCACCTTGGCCTCCCAAAGTGCTGGGATTACAGGCGTGAACCACCGCGCCTGGCTGAGTTCAAAACCATTATGAGCAACAGAGGAAGACCTCATCTCTATCAAAAACTTAAAAAAAAAAAAAATTAGCTGGGTGTGGGGTCTTGGCCCTGTAAGTCCCAGCTACTGAGGAGGTCAAGCAAGAGAATCACCTGAGTCCAAGAGTTCAAGGTTGCAGTGAGCTGTAATCCCACCACTGCACTCCAGCCTGGCAACAAAGCAAGACCCTGTCTCGAAAAAAAAAAAAAGCATAAATTGTAAAATTCCAGACCAGCAGCAGCAGCTGGGATGGGAATTTGGTAGAAATGCAGATTACCAGGCCCCACCCCATACATACTGAATCTGAAACTCTGGGTGGTGGGGCCTAGCCATCTTAGCAAGCTTTCTAGGTGATTCTGATGCATGCTAAAGTTTGTGAACCACTAGAAGGCATATAAACAGAGAAAACTATGCTGTTAGAATGAGGGTGGTGTTACCCTTAGATTAGTGACAGGCCAGGAGCACATGGGAGGCTAACAGCGGTTCCTGGGTGCTGGTAATACTCTGTTGCTTGATCTGGGTGCTGGTTACATGGATGTGTTCAGTTTGGGAGAATTCATCGAGCCATACATTCATTTATTTACTTATTTACTTATTTTTTGAGATGGAGTTTCGCTCTTTTTGCCCAGGCTAGAGTGCAGTGGTGTGATCTTGGCTCACTGCAACCTCCGCCTCCAGGCTCCAGTGATTCTCCTGCCTCATCCTCCTGGGTAGCTGGGATTACAGGCATGCACCACCACGCCCAGCTCATTTTGTATTTTTAGTAGAGATAGGGTTTCACCATGTTGGCCAGGCTGGTCTTAAACTCCTGACCTCAGGTGATCTGCCCGCCTCAGCCTCCCAAAATGTTGGGATTACAGGCGTGAGCCACCGTGTCTCCATGCATTTATGATATGTACAGTTTTTCTGTGTGTATGTTACACTTCTTTCCCCTTCCTTCCTTCCTTCCTTCCTTCCTCCCTCCCTCCCTTCTCTCTCTCTCTCTCTCTCTTTCCTTCTTTCTTTCTTTTGACAGAGTCTTGCTTTGTCACCCAGGCTGGAATGCAATGGCTCGATCTCGGCTCACTGCAACCTCTGCCTCCCGGGTTCAAGCGATTCTCTTGCCTCAGCCTCCCAAGTAGCTGGGACTACAGATGCATGCTACCACACTCGGCTAATTTTTTGTATTTTTAGTAGAGACGGGGTTTCACCGTGTTAGCCAGGATGGTCTTAAACTCCTGACTTCGTGATCCGCCCACCTCGGCTTCCCAAAGTGCAGGGATTACAGGCGTGAGCCACTGCACCTGTCCTTCTGTGTGTATGTTATGTTTGAAAACAAAGTTTAAAAAAGGGAACTGCTCTGGTTGAAGCCCTGGGAGGGGCAGGGAGATGGAAGGCAAGGAGCCCATCCACAGCTCTGTCCTTCTCCTGCAGGCAGCCCTTGAGGGCTCCTTAGAGTATTAGCTTGAAATCCTTCATCTGTCCCAACAGAGCTCTGAGAAGGTCAGTGACTTGCCCAAGGTTCTGCAGAGCCAGCACTAGAACTCAGGTCTCCTGACTCCCAGGCCAGGGCCCTGGAGGCTAGTCCTTTCCTGAAGGGCTGGTGTCACGAGTAAGGACAAGGGGTGGCTAGGCAGCCTCCTTCCTGATCTCAGCTCCCTTAACATGAGTCTTGGGAGGAGGGCCAAGACTCTGGTATGAATGATGCTTTTCTCATCCTGGAGCAACTTCCTTTCTGGGAATTGGGTGTCTCCTTCTGGGCAAAGACAATAAAATTCATCCAAAGGGCCAGAGGAGCAGGGTTCCTCCGGCCCCCACCCAGATGGGCATCACGTGGCTCCCAAGTTAGCAGTCCAGGAAAATTCCAGCCCTTGCATACTTGGCCTCACACACCCATCTGCTCACTCACCCTGGCACATTCAGCCCCCCTAACCCACCTTGAACATTGACCACCACACACTCCCTGGCACGCTCTTCTCACCCTCAACTTCTGCCACCTCTCCCTGGGCAATACTGCCAGCCTTTCCCTAATCTCAGAGCTGCAGCCCTGCCCTGTCACTCACCTCAAACCTGCCATGTCCCTGGGGCTACTGAAATTCCAGGCAGTGGGTGAAGAGGACGAGGAGGATGAGGAGGGGGAGAGCCTGGACTCTGTGAAGGCACTGACAGCCAAGCTGCAGCTGCAGACTCGGCGGCCCTCATATCTGGAGTGGACAGCCCAGGTCCAGAGCCAGGCCTGGCGCAGGGCCCAAGCCAAACCTGGACCAGGGGGACCTGGGGACATCTGTGGTTTCGACTCAATGGACTCCGCCCTTGAGTGGCTCCGACGGGAGCTGGTGAGTCTGGTGGGGTGGGCAGCTTTGCCCAGGGCCTTCAGGCTGGTCCTCCTTAGGGTCCAAGACCACAGGCATGGGGAAGGGATGAGAATGGACCCTGCCTCCAGCAACCGCCCGCTCCGGTGTCCTGGGCTGAGGAGCCGGGAATGGACTTGTCCAGTGTTGTATTCAGGGAGGCTTGCTGAAGAAGGATTCCATCCAATCTACTGACCTTGTGCTCCTGTTGCTTAGGGGACAGAGCACTGGTGTTGGGGGGTGTGGGGCACCATTATAAATAGGGAAATACACAGCCTCCCCTACTCTGGGACTTTCTATGGCCTAAAGATACAGCGAAGTGCAAAAGGAGGCACTGGCCATGCTGCAGGCAGATTCTGAAGAGGTGAAGTTTCAGTAGGTGGCTCCCAACTCAACATGTGCAAATATAAAGATACCCAGGCTCCAACACAGAGATTCTGCTTAGTTGATTTGGGATGGGGCCCAGGCAGTTGGATTTGCTTAATAATGACTCCTTAGCTGGGTTTGAGAACCACCAGGTGAAGCCAGATTGGGAGATAGGGAGAGATCAAGCTGAGGTGAGAGGGGGCTGGGGAGGACACAGTCAGTGCAAAGGCCCAGCGTTGCCAGGAAGGGAGAAACGGCGCGCGGCCGAGGGCCTGTCCAGTAGGCTCACGCCCCCTCTCGGCCGCAGCGGGAGATGCAGGCGCAGGACAGGCAGCTGGCAGGGCAGCTGCTGCGGCTGCGGGCCCAGCTGCACCGACTGAAGATGGACCAAGCCTGTCACCTGCACCAGGAGCTGCTGGATGAGGCCGAGCTGGAGCTGGAGCTGGAGCCCGGGGCCGGCCTAGCCCTGGCCCCGCTGCTGCGGCACCTGGGCCTCACGCGCATGAACATCAGCGCCCGGCGCTTCACCCTCTGCTGAGGAACACCTGTGCCCCCCGACTCCCCGCCCCCTCTCCCAATGCCGCTTCCCCTGCCTGCCTGGGAAGAGGAAAGGGAGGGGTGCCCCAGAGGCACCAGCTCCTGGCGGGGGAGGAGGAACATTCAGGTTTCTGAGAGCTGAATTCCAAGAGTGCAAAACCCCAGCATCCTGTTTCCTCTGCTGACCCAGCTGGGAGGGGGAGGAGGAGGAGCTCACACCCTCAAACTCCTCAATAAACGCTTTCTCTGGTTCCCATCAAGGTCTCTTGCAGTCGTTTATTCAGGCCCAAGGCCGCTATCTGAATGTCGCCTGTCACTGGGACCACCCTAGTTCACTGCAGGCCCATGGGAGGTGACTTAGGTAAATTGGGCTCCTGAAGAATGCAGAATCTGAGAGACATGGGTTCAAAGCCAGCTACCCCGTTTATTTCTTTTTGTTGTTGTTATTTCTTCTGCTTCTTTTTTTTTTTTTTTTTTTGAGGCAGAGTCTCACTCTGTCACCCAGGCTGGAATGCAGTAGCACAATCTCAGCTCACTGCAACCTCCGCCTCCGGGGATCAAGCGATTCTCCTGCCTCAGCCTCCCAAGTAGCTGGGATTACAGGCGGCCACCACCTCGCCTGGCTAATTTCCTTTCTTTTCTTTTCTTTTTTTTTCTTTTTTTTGAGATGGAATTTCACTCTTTCGCCCAGGCTGGAGTAGTGGCGCGATCTTGGCTCACTGCAACCTCCACCTTCTGATTTCAAGCGATTCTCCTGCCTCAGCCTCCCAAGTAGCTGGGATTACAGGTGGCCACCACCTCGCCTAGCTAATTTCCTTTCTTTTCTTTTCTTTTTTTTTTCTTTTTTTTGAGATGGAATTTCACTCTTTCGCCCAGGCTGGAGTAGTGGCGCGATCTTGGCTCACTGCAACCTCCACCTTCCGATTTCAAGCGATTCTCCTGCCTCAGCCTCCCGAGTAGCTGGGATTATAGGCACCCGCCACCATGCCCGGCTAATTTTTGTATTTTTAATAGAGACAGGGTTTCAGCATGTTGGCCAGGCTGGTCTCAAACTCCTGACCTCAAGTGATCCACCTGCCTGGGGTTTCCAAAGTGCTAGGATTACAGGCCTGAGCCACCGTTTATTTCTATTCGACCCTGAGGAGCTCCCTTAACCCCTGAGTCTGTTTCCTCACCTCCACAATGGAGATGCTGATTCTCACTCCACAGGCAGCAGATGTGCCTTACGGGAGATAGTGCACAGTGAGCGCTCAGTGAATATGAACTATTACTCACTCCCAGCGCGGCAGTCTTTCTACTCTGTGCTGAGACAGGGAGATGGACCGTGAAGTGTTCAGGCTTACATTGCAAGGGAGTCTGGGCCCTGCACCAGGCTTGGAGCTCCAACTCTAGGCTCTGTGTCACTGTGAAGGTTTTTCACTTTGTCTCTCTCAGCCTTTGTTTCTGTGTTACCCTCTTTGTCTGACTTTCCAACTCAGGCTTCCTCTTCCCCCCACCTATTTCCTGCCCCCACTTCTCTCTGCAGCTGAGGTGCACACAGCATCGCTTCCACCTCACAAGCCCCAACAATGCTCTGTGGGTTCCCCTCCCCCTACCAGCTCACTCAGGCAGTGACGCATGTGCACTTTCCTCCTGGTGGGGTCAAGGCCGAGTTCTTGGACCTGATGAGGCCACCTGGAGTTCCTCATATCACTGGTGACCTGGCCCTCAGCTAATGATGGGTGCCCCCTCAGCCTGGCCCCAGGGGAAATGGAAATTCTTTGCCTGCCTGCTGCTCGTGACAATCTTCTTGCCTCCTGCTTATAACAGAAAGTCCTGACAGTCTGTGGCCTGCACCTGGGGGCCTGAGCGGCCCTGTTTGCTCTGTCTTCCACCTGTTGCAGGAGATAGTGCCAAGCCCTCCACCTCTGCCAGGGGCTGTGGCCTTGCCTCTACCTGAATTCGAACTGTTGCCCTACTCTCCAACCATGATTAATGGGTGTTGTCCTGGCCTCTGACTACAGCAGGGGCCGTTACTATGCCCTCTTGAAGACATGAGGTTGTCCTGTCTGCCTCCTGAAACAGGCTGTTTTCCAGCATTCTGTCTGTAAGAGGGATGGTAGCCTGCCATTCACCTACCCTTGACTATAATAAAGCTACTGTTCCATGCCCTGAGATGACATGGGAATTGTTCTCTCGGCCTGACCTGACTGTAACATGCATGGTCTGCTCACCAGCTATTTAACAGGGATATTGTCCTCTCCTCTGACTCTGAACGATGCTACCTTTGCTGCCAGACAGAAACAAAAGGGTCTCTCAGCTGCAACGGTGGTGCTGAGGTGCTGTTTGCCTCTCACCATAAGCTGAGTGTGTGTCCGCTTGCCCCCTGCTCACTGGGCCCAAAGGCTGCCCTTGAATCTCTTGCCCAGATGCACCCTGGAGGGCAGAAGGGAGGGTCTATCAGACATCCTCCCCTCAACTTTAAACCTCCCAGTGTCACCCTGGGACAGTAGGGGAAGATGGACCTGGTCTGGAGATGTAGGGGACCCCCAGGGGCTGAGAGGCAGGGGTCTATGGTGGCAGGAAGCTTGGCGTGCTAGAGGGTTGTGGTTGGGCTGCTGGGGCCCGGTTGGCTGCGGAGCCCTCCGGAGGAGGCAGGAAGTCAGGGTGGGACGTGGGCGCGGGGAGACAGGTGGTGGCTACGACGGCGAAGGGAGCTGAGACTGTCCAGGCAGCCAGGTTAGGCCAGGAGGACCATGTGAATGGGGCCAGAGGGCTCCCGGGCTGGGCAGGTAAGGAGCGCTGGTATTGGGGGCGCAGGCGCCGGGGTGAGAGGCCTGATAGCAGACGGCTGCAGCTGTGCGGGCCCAGGCTCCCTAGGGATGCAGCAGCCCTTTGTGGCTGGGGAGAGAAGATCCTCGCTCAAGGTCAGGTGGGAGGCAGGCAGTGTAGCTGGGTCGCCTCTTTCCTGCGAAGCTGGTGTCGCTTGCCTCTGTCGTGCTGTCCACCAGTGGCCCCACCTGACTGGGAGCGTGTTTCCTGGACACCAGGCACATGGACAGTCAGGTGTTAAAAAGGCTTCCAGAAACCACCAAGCCCAGTCCCTCAGGCCATGAGGATGAGGCTCCTGAGGCCCAGAGAGAACAAGGCACTCACTGCCCACGGTTTCTCAGCAAGGCAGTGGCAGGGCTGAGAGTGATGGCTGAGGCTGTGGCCACCCCGCCTGGAGCAGGGTGATGGACAGGCTGGACTCAGAGGACCCAGGAATCCTTCTGGTTTCTGGGGCAGACCCCAGTGACAAGAATCTCCTGAGAAAGAGAGAGAGAGAGAGAGAGAGAGAGAGAGAGAGAGAGAGAGACAGAGATCACCCAAGGCATCCAGATGGACATGCGAGGAGTGATTTTAGCCTCAGCGATCGAGGGAAGAATCTCCTGATGGGCGTGAACTGATATGTGTGGGGGTGTCCATCATCTGGGATGGAGCTCCAGGGTGGATGGACATATCTGATCTGAGTATGGGAAGTTGGAAGTGAAAGAGAATGATGGGAGAAAGGAAGAGGAAGTACTATTTTTATCCCAGACAGGGGTGCAGTTGGTCCTGGGTGAGGAAGCGCTGAACTTCCATCTGGAAAGTCACCATTCCTGCCCCTGCCAAGCGTCACAGCAGGATGTCCTCCCCTCGCCCCTGGCTCCCTCCCGCTTCAGCCCTGCCTGTGTAGGGCCAGTTGGTTTTGCTGATTCCTGCTTCAAACCCCAGGGAGGTGGAGAGAGACTGGGGAGGCATAGTTGCTACCTGCTCACCTCCTCACTTTTTAACTCTGAGCCTTAATTTTTTTGGGAAGTCCTCACTCAGCCAGATTTCCAGGTTTCCCCTGCTTCGTTGGAGTTTTTCTTGACACACACTTTCCGCCTAGTCAGCTGGTCCCAGCCTTTCTCCTGTCTACAGCTCCAAGTCCTGTAGCCTCTTGTGGGGGCTAGGGAACATGGTGGCTCTCCTCGCACTTCAGGGAGGGTCATTCACCCTGGACAGGCATGAGCAGTTCCTTCCACCCAGCCCTATGCTGACAGACGAATCAGACAGGGTCCCTTGCTCTTGGGCCCCAGGAACAGAGGCTCTTCTCAAAGAGAGAAGGGCCAAGTGGACAAGGGCCAAGAACAGGCTGAGCATTGGTTCAGAGGAGGGGAGAAGGTGTCTCTTAAGATCTGGAAAGCTTCCTGCAAGAGTCAAGACAGTTCTGAGAAGGAGAAAGACCCATTTTCAAGAGTGCGTAGGACATGAAGCCAAGGTCACTATCCCTGGATTCTGTTCCTTGGGTACCACGAGGGCAGAGACCTCAGAGCAAGACCAAAGGCCAGAGAGCCCACAGGTGTGGTGTGGAGCAGAGAATGTGCATTTCAGAGACAGGCCGACCCAGTCACAATTCCGCTGGACCATTTCCTTGAGCAAGTGGCTTCATCTCTCTCTCTGAGCTTCAGTTTACTTATCTGTAAAGAGGCAATAATCAAGCTGGGCACGGTGGCTCACACCTGTAATCCCAGCACTTTGGGAGGCTGAGGCGGGCAGATCATTTGAGGCCAGGAGCTTGAGACCAGGCTGGCCGACATGGTGAAACCCTGTCTTCGTTAAAAATGCAAAATTAGCCGAGCGTGGTGGCAGGTGCCTGTAATCCTAGCTACTCAGGGGGCTGAGGCAGAATTGCTTGAACCCGGGATGCACAGGTTGTAATGAGCAGAGATCGAGTCATTGCACTCCAGCCTAGGCAACAGAGCGAAACCCCATCTCAAACAAAAATGCCTCCCGGGTTCAAGTGATTCTCCTGCCTCAGCCTCCCAAGTGCTAGGATTAACAGGCGCGCCACCATGCCCAGCTAATTTTTGCATTTTTAGTAGAGATGGAGTTTCACTATATTGGCCAGGATGGTTTCGATCTCCTGACCTCGTGATCCGCCCACCTCGGCCCCCCAAAGTGCTGGGATTACAGGCATGAGCCACCGCACCTGGCCAGCACATAGTAGGTGTTTAAGGGAGGTGGGGCACTCCCTCCCCCTGCAAATGATGCACCAAAGGGAGGGCTGTCCACACCCAAATTATGCCCACTCAGCACCTTGGTGGGCCAGTGAACCACCCATTCCCTCACACTTGTGGTGTGGCTTTGCAAATCAGCCTGTTTCCTGTATACAGTGTGAGGAGTGTGAGAACTCAGGCAGGCTGGACTCTGAGCGGGGCCATGGGATCTACTTTAGAAGAGGGTCTCTCACGCAGCCACACACAGACACACACACACACACACACACACAAGCCAAAACACCATACATATCATGGGAAAATCTACGTGTACAGATGTGTTCAGAGGCAGGGCAGGGGCTACACATAAAACACAGACTACATCCTATAACTCCATGCACACACCCACGAGCTGATGGCTTCAAGGCCAAGCTCAATTCAGTGAAAGTAATTCTCAGTGGGGTGGGGTGGGGTAGGTGGTGAGGAGCAGGTGGGACCAAGGTACCATCCAGTAATGGGGCCTCTCACAATCAACCTCAGTGTTGATTTTAAAGTATCTGGAGCTAGGGGTTTGAGGCTGCAGTGAGCTGTGATCGCTCCACTGCACTCTGGCCTGGGTGACACAGCTAGATTCTGTCTCTAAAAAATAAACACGGCAGAGTGCAGTGGCTCACGCCTGTAATCCCAGCACTTTGGGAGGCCAAAGCAGGTGGATCACCTGAGGTCAGGAGTTCGAAACCAGCCTGGCCATCATGGTGAATCCCCATCTCCACTAAAAATACAAAAAATTAGCCAGGCATGGTGGTGCATGTCTGTAAACCTCCACCTCCCAGGTTCCAGTGATTCTCCTGCCTTAGCCTCCCCAGTAACTGGGATTACAGGCGTGTGCCACCATGTCTGGCTAAGTTTTGTGGGGTTTTTTTGGTTTGTTTGTTTTTTGTTTTTTTGAGACAGAGTTTTACTCTTGTTGCCCAGGATGGAGTGCAGTGGTGCGAGCTTGGCTCACTGCAACCTCCGTCTCCCTGGTTCAAGTGATTCTGCTGCCTCAGCCTCCCGAGTAGCTGGGATTACAGGCATGGACCACCACGCCCGGCTAATTTTGTGTTTTTAGTAGAGATGGGGTTTCTCCATGTTGGTCAGGCTGATCTTGAACTCCCGATCTCAGGTGATCCGCCTGCCTCAGCCTCCCAAAGTGCTGGGATTACAGGCATGAGCCACCTCGCCCGGCTGTTTTTGTTTCTAATTACAAAATTAGCACATTGCTGTTTTAAAAACACTCAAACAGGCCAGGCACAGTGGCTCGCACCTGTAATCCTAGCACTTTGGGGGGCCGTGATGGGAGGATCACATGGGCCCAGGAGTTTGAGACCTGCCTGGGCAACATAGGCAGACCCCATCTCTATTTAATTATTTAAAAAAAAAATAAAATTTAAAACTCAAACAGTAAGAGGCATATAAAGAAATACAAGAAATGCAGCCTCCTCCAATCCCACTTCTGGGATATGCCCATCGTGAAAAATTTGGTGTGTGTCCTTCCAGATTTTCCCATGTATGGCTGCTGAAAAACATGGAGGTTAAGTCTAGTCTCTGCAGGCTGGCAGACCGGGACTCACTTCACAACTCCACTGCTCATTTGTTTGTTATGAGGCCTCAGACAAATCATTTTACCTGGTTTGGGCCTCAGTCTTTGCATCTGTAAAATGGGGATAATAATAGCACTTCATAGGATTATTATGAGAATTACATGAAATAATGCAAATAAAGGCTTAGCACAGAGCTTATTTAAAAGAATCCCCTGTATACATATGTCAATGCAAATAGGCATATACTCTGCATTCTGTTCTGCAACTTGCTTGCCATGGTGTATGCGGGATGTCTTTCCGTGTCAATACATGTCAATACAAAATACCTCATCCTTTTAACTGTTTCACTAAACGTTAGCTTGGTAAATGGTTAACGGTGGTGATTTTGAAATGTTACTTCCTGGCAAGTGTTGCTGTCATGTGCGGCCATGTTGTCGGCAGTCACAGATATTATTGATCAGTGAGCTAACTACAAGCCTTATAGCCTCCTGTGAAAATGAAGTGACCCACCAGAGGGGCACCCACCTCTGTCACAGAGGGCAGGGCCAAATGCATGGGACGCTCTCTGTCTGCTTACTTCTGCATCCTCAGCTCTAGGTCAGAATCTGGCACATAGGAGGTACCCATTAAATTTATTTTTTTTTTTTTTTTTTTTGAGACAGTGTCTCAGTCTGTTGCCCCGGCTGGGGCACATGGTGTGATCATAGCTCACTGTAACTTCACACACCTGGGCTTGAGTGGTTCTCCCACCTCAGCTTCCTGAGTAGCCTAGGACTACAGATGTGTACCACCATGCCCAGCTAATTATAAAAAAATTCTTGGCCAGGCACAGTGGCTCATGCCTATAATCCCAATACTTTGGGAGGCTGAGGCAGGAAGATCTCTTGAGACTAGGCATTCAAGACTAGCCTGGGCAACATAGCAACACCCCGTCTCTATTAAAACATAATAATAACAATACAATTTATTTATTTATTTATTTAGTTATTTATAGATGGAGTCTTGCTCTGTCACCCAGGCTGGAGTGCAGTGGCACTATCTCAGCTCACTGCAACCTCTGTCTCCGGGTTCAAGCAATTCTCCTGCCTCAGCTTCCCAAGTAGCTGGGACTATAGGCACATGCCACCAAGCCCGGCTAACTTTTGTATTTTTAGTAGAAATGGGGTTTCTACTAAACTCCCAACACTTTGGGAGGGTGAGGTGGGTGCATCATCTGAGGTCAGGAGTTTGAAACCAGCCTGGCCAACATGGTGAAACCCTGTCTCTACTAAAAATACAACAAATTAGCCAGGCGTGGTGGCAGGCGCCTGTAATCCCAGTTACTTGGGAGGCTGAGACAGGAGAATTGCTTGAACTCGGGAAGTGGAGGTTGCAGTGAACCGAGATCGTGCCATTGCACTCCAGCCTGGGCAACAAGAGCAAAACTCTGTCTTAAAAAAAAAAAGTGTGTGGAGATAAGATCTCACTATTTTGCCCAAGCTGCACTCACACTATGTATGGTCTCAAGCAATCGTCCTACCTCACCCATTACATTTTTGTCAATAGGCCAGCTCCTTTAATCCACAAGCAGCAGCCTAAGCCCAAAGTTCTCTCTTGCAGTGTGGCATTTCCTAAAATATGACCTGTACACCACTCAGGTGTGTAAGTGATTTTAGGGGATAATGGATGACCATTTACGAATGTTAATTTATGTGTTTATTTTAGTGTGCGCTGTTGTTTCACTTCTATTTATGTCTCATGATTCTGGTTTTCCATTTATGGTAGTAAAGTTTCCATTTTAGGTACATATATCAAACGTGAAAAGGTAGCCCGTGGAAGTGCCAAAAATCATGAAGGAAAATGAAAATGATCAATCATTTTAGCCTGAAAGATGTTTAAGGCCAGTGTCTATGTAGCAAGCACTATGTTAAGCATTTTATTATATGAGATCATCTATATATCACGTATAATGCTCACCACAGCCAGCCTTAGATGCAAGTCTTATTTTTGTCATCATTTTGCTGATGAAGGAACTGAGGGAAGTGCAGAGGTTTAGTAAGCTGCCCAACAACCTTCTGCCAGTAAGTCTTGTTTTTTTTTTTTTTGTTTTTTTTGTTTTTTTGAGACAAGGTCTTGCTCTGTCGCCTAGGCTGGAGCGTAGTGGCCCAATCTTGGCTAACTGTAGCCTTGACCTCCCCAATCTCAGGTGATCCTCTCACCTCAGCCTCCCAAGTAGCTGGGACCACAAGCATGGGACACAAAGTCCGGCTAATTTTTGTATTTTTTTTGTACCGACGGGGTTTTGCCATGTTGCCCAGGCTGGTCTCAAACTCCTGGGCTCACGTATCTGTCTGCCCACCTTAGCCTCCCAAAGTGCTGGGATTATAGGTGTGAACCACCACGCCTGGTGCCCTTCTGCCAGCAAGTGATTGGGAGAACCTGGATTGAATTTGGGTTGCCATGGCATGGACATGGTGAACTGAGCTTCCAGAGCTGCCAGACTCCCAGAAACGTTTATAAAGCAGTGTGGATTGCCAAGCTGTAAGTAAGGCTCCATCCTAATAAAACTGTCCATGATACAAAAAGCACACCAAAGTACCCAAGGGAGCGGACTCAGTAAAAGGGATTATCAGGTATATTCACGTTACTGGTTGGGGGACTTCTACTAAAATACCAATTAGAATAATTGCTCTATATCCCTTATTTATAGCGATACTTGACTAGCAGAATCAGTTCTATGTTCAAGACACTCCCAATTTGTGAAAATAAATCCATTTTGTTTGCATCCAAAATAATGCTTTTTTTTTTGTTCTCTCTGTGTCGAGAGGCTACAGAGTTCATTCAAAAAAGGTATTAAGCCAGGTGTGGTGGCTTGCACCTATAATCACAGCATTTTGGGAGGCCAAAGCAAGGGGACTGCTTGAGCCCAGGAGCTCAAGACCAGCCTGGGGAACATAGGCAGACCCCGTCTCTACAAAAAATAAAAAAATTAACTGGGCTTGGTGGTGTGTACCTGTGGTCCCAGCTACTCAGGAGGCTGAGGTGGGAGGATCACTTGAGCCCAGGTGGTTGAGGCTGCAGTGAGCCATGATCATGCCACCGCACTCCAGCCTGGGCAACAGAGTGAGATCCCATCTCTAAAGGAAAAAAAAAAAAAAGAGAGAGAGCGGAATTAAAGCCAGGTGCAGTGGCTCCTGCCTGTAATCCCAGCTATTCGGGAGGCTGAGGTGGGAGGATTACTTGAGGCCAGAAGTTTCAGGTTGCAGTGAGCTACAATCATGTGCTGTACTACTCCAGCCTGGGTGACAGAGTGAGATGTGAGACTCCATCTCTTTAAAAAAAAAAAAAAAAACCAGGCTGGGCGCAGTGGCTCACACCTGTAATCCCAGCACTTTGGGAGGCGGAGGCAGGTGGATCACAACATCAGAAGTTCGAGACCAGCCTGACCAACATAGTGAAACTAAAATTAGTTTCTACTAAAAAACACGTCTCTACTAAAAATACAAAAAATTAGCTAGGCATGGTGGCGGGTGCCTGTAATCCCAGCTACTCGGGAGGCTGAGGCAGGAGAATCGCTTGAACCTGGGAGGTGGAGGTTGCAGTGAGCTGAGATCACGTCACTGCACTCCAGCCTGGGCAACAGTGCGAGACTCCGTCTCAAAAAAAAAAAAAAAAAAAACCCAGCCTGTGTGACGTGGTGAGACCCTGTCCCTACTAAAAATACAAAAATTATCCAGGCGTGGTGTTGCCCACCCATAGTGCCAGCTACTCAGGAGGCTGAGGTAGGAGGATCACCTGAGCTATGGGAGGTCGAGGCTGCAGTGAGCCATGATTGTGTCACTGCACTCCAGTCTGGGCCACAGAGTGAGATACCATCTCAAAAAAAAAAAAAGTATTATGTATTTAAACAAATATGAAAAAGGAGGTAGCCCAGGACACATCCCTGATTTACCCACTAGAAATTAATTACTGACGGGGCACGGTAGCCCATGCCTGTAATCCCAGCACTTTAAGGGGCTGAGGCAGTGGATTGCTTAAGCTCAGGAGTTTGAGACTAGCCTGAGCAACATGGCAAAACCCTGTCTCTACAAAAATTAAAAAAATACAAAAATTACCCGGGCCCTCTCATTCACAGCTTCTCAGGTAAAAAAAAAAAAAGAAAAAGAAAAAGAAAAAAAAAATAGCTGGAGGCTGGGTGCGGTGGCTCATGCCACACCTGTAATCCCACACTTTGGGAGGCCAATGCAGGCAGATCACTTGAGGCCAAGAGTTCTAGACTACCCTGGCCAACATGGTGAAACCCCATCTCTACTAAAAATACAAACATTAGCCAGGTGTGGTGGCACACGCCTGTAGTCCCAGCTCCTCGGGAGGCTGAGGTAGGATAATTGCTTGAACCTGGGAGGCAGAGGTTGCAGTGAGCCGAGATTGCACCACTGCACTCCAGCCTGGGCGATAGAGTGAGACTTCATCTAAAAAAATAAAAATAATAATAATAATAATAATGATAATAATAATAGCCAGGCGTGGTGGCACATGCCTGTTGTCCCAGTTACTCAGGAGGCTGAGGTGGGAGGATTGCTTGAGCCCGGGAGGTCGAGGCTTCAGTGAGCTGTGATTTTGCCACTGCACTCCAGTGGCACAAGAGAGCAAGAGAGCAAGAGGGCAAGACCCTGTCTCAAAATAAAATAAAATAAAGAAAGAAATTATTTGCCATGCCTGCTAGCCCTGATTCTTGATATTGCTTGATATTGTCATGAGGGTTCTATGTGGGCATGAATAGCTAAGGCTCTTTATTGAACATGGGCAGCTTTGTCATTAATCAAGTCTGGGTCGGGGCAAAGGCGAAGAAAATGTTTTAAATGATTCATTTTTTTTTAATTTTATTTTTATTTTTATTTTATTTTATTTTATTTTTGAGACAGAGTCTTGCTCTGTCGCCACGCTGGAGTGCAGTCCCGGGTTTAAGCAATTCTCCTGCCTCAGCCTTCCGAGTAGCTGGGACTACAGGTGTGCACCACCACGTTCAGCTAATTTTTTGTATTTTTAGTAGAGATGAGGTTTCGCCATGTTGGCCAGAATGGTCTCGATCTCTTGACCTCATGATCCACCCACCTCAGCCTCCCAAAGTGTTGGGGTTACAGGTGTGAACCACTGCGCCTGGCCTTTTATTTTTATTTTTACAGAGACAAAGTCTCACTATGTTGCCCAGGCTGGTCTTGAACTTCTGAGCTCAAGTGATTTTCCCATCTCGGCCCTAGGATTACAGGCGTGAGCCTCCAGCCCTGGCTATTCTAAATGATTTCTGACAGATTTTGCCATGAGGTGGTCCAGAGTACAACAATGGTCTGCAGTAGAATAGTCTGCTTGTTCTTTTTTCTTTTTTACTTTTTGTGCTCTACATGTTCAGAGAAACTGAACTAAAGAAATGATCCCTAAAGGAAGTATAGTCTTGTCTGCTGTTTTTTGTGTTGCTTTGTTTGTTTTGTTTTGTTTGAGAGAGGTTCTTGCTCTTTCCCCCAGGCTAGAGTACAGTGGTATGATATTGGCTCACTGCAACCTCAACCTCCTGGGCTCAGCGATCCTCCTACCTTAACCTCCTGAGTAGCTAGGACTACAGGCGTGCACCACCACACCTGGTTAATTTTTGTATTTTTTGTAGAGATGAGTTCTCACCATGTTGCCCAGGTTGGTCTTGAACTCCTGGCCTCGAGTGATCCTTCCACTTTGGCCTTCCAAAATGTTGAGATTACTGGCGTGAGCCATTGCATCCGACCACCTGCCTGTTCTTGATGTAAAGCATTGGCCCAAGAAACTCAGCCACGAAGCTGGCACACATTTTGGACAAAATGTTCAATAAATCAATAGGTCTATAGTTGGAGGAGAAAAAATGTTAACTTAAAAATTTTTTTTAATTTAATTTAATTAATTTTTTCTTTTTTTGAGACAGGGTCCCCTGTCGCCCAGACTGGTGTGCAGTGGTATAATCACGGCTCACTGCAGCCTTGACTTCCTGGGCTCAGTGATCCTCCCACTTCAGCCTCCTGGGTAGCTAGGACTACAGGCAAATGCCATCACGCCATCATGCTTGGCTAATTTTTTTTTTTTTTTTTTTTTTTTTGAGACAGAGTCTCACTCCATGGACCAGGCTGGAGTGCAGTGGCGTGATGTCCACTCACTGCAACCTCCGCTTCCCCAGTTCAAGAGATTCTCCTGCTGGCCGGGCATGGTGGTGGCTCAAGCCTGTAATCCCAGCACTTTGGGAGGCCGAGGTGGGCGGATCACGAAGTCAGGAGTTCAAGACCAGCCTAGCCAACATAGTGAAACCCCGTCTCTACTAAAAATACAAAAATTAGCTGGGCCTGGTGGAACGTGACTGTAATCCCAGCTACTTGGGAGGCTGAGGCAGGATAATCACTTGAACCTGGGAGTTGGAGGTTGCAGTGAGCCGAGATCGTGCCACTGCTCCCTAGCCTGGGCGACACAGTGAGACTCTGTCCTCTGTCTCAAAAAAAAAAAAAAAAAAAGGGCCAGGTGTGGTGGCTTACACCTGTAATCTCAGCACTTTGGAGGCCGAGGTGGGCAGATCATGAGGTCAGGAGTTTAAGACCAGCCTGACCAACATGGTGAAACCCCGTCTCTACTAAAAATACAAAAATTAGCCGGGCATACTAGGCGCATGCCTCCAATCCCAGCTACTCCGGAGGCTGAGGCAGGAGAATCGCTTGAACCTGGGAGGCAGAGGTTGCAGTGAACCGAGATCACACCATTGCACTCCAGCCTGGGCAACAGAACTAGACTCTGTCAGAAAAAAAAAAAAAAAAAAAAAAAGAGATTCTCCTGCCTCAGCCTCCCAAGTAGCTCAAGTAGCTGGGACTACAGTCACGTGCCACCACACCCAGATAATCTTTGTATTTTTAGTAGAGATGGGGTTTCACCATGTTGGCCAGGCTGGTCTCAAAATCCAGACCTCAAGTGATTCACCTGCCTCGGCCTCCCAAAGTGCTGGGGTTACAGGTGTGAGCCACGGCCCCCGGTAGCCGGACGCCGGCCACTAATTATATAGCTGAGCATGGTCGGGTGCCGTGGCTCACACCTGTAATCCCAGCACTTTGGGAAGCCGAGGCAGGTGAATCACTTGAGGACTGGATTTTGAGACCAGCCTGGCCAACATGGTGAAACCCCATCTCTGCTAAAAATACAAAAATCAGCTGGGTGTGGTGGTGCGTGCCTATAATCCCAGCTACTTGGGAGGCTGTGGCAGGAGAATCTCTTTTTCTTTTCTTTTTTTTTTTTTTGATGGAGTCTAGTTCTGTCACCCAGGCTTGAGTGCAATGGCGCGATCTCGGCTCACTGCAACCTCTGTCTCCTGGGTTCAAGCGATTCTCCTGCCTCAGCCTCCTGAGTAGCTGGGATTACAAGCATGCGCCTAGTACACCTGGCTAATTTTTGTATTTTTAGTAGAGACGGGGTTTCACCATGTTGGTCAGGCTGCTCTCGAACTCCTGGGCTCAAGGAGTCCTACTGCCTCAGCCTCCCAAAGTGCTGGGATTACAGGCGTGAGTCACCATGCCCAGACTCCTTCTGGTCTTAGTTTGATAAAGATTGCTGAGTAGCCAACATGATCTAACCAGGTTAATAAATGAGGTCAGTAAAAAGAAAATCAAAATTAAAGCTTAATATAAATTTCTCATTGTCTGAAAGAAAGAAGTGGAGGAAGGGAGAAAAAAAAAAAAAAAAAAACAGATGAAAGGAATCCCCAGGGCTCCCAGAACCAGCAATGAGGGCAGATTCTGGGGTGAATGAAACAGGACATTCTTTTCTCCCAATTTAGGAATCCAAGGTCACGAGTAAGAATTTCATAGATTCGAGGCTGCCTCTGACTAGGGCATGTAATGTTCTCAGTCAAACTTAAGGCTGCCCGTGGTCCACAGAACATTTTGTGATGATTATAAAAAGGCCACAGGCCAGGTCTGGTGACTCATGCCTGTCATCCCAGCACTTTGGGAAGCGGAGGTGGGCAGGCCACTTGAGGTTGGGAGTTCGAGACCAACCTGGCCAACATGGTGAAACCCTGTCTCTACTAAAAATAATAAAAATTAGCGGGCATGGTGGTGCATGCCTGTAATCTCAGCTACTTGGGAGGCTCAAACAGGAGAAATTGCTTGAACCCAGGATGTGGAGGTTGCAGTCAGCTGCGATTGTGCCACTGCACTCCAGCCTGGGGGACAGAGGAAGACTCCGTCTCAAAATAAATAAAATAAATAAATAAATAAATAAATAAATAAATAAATAAATAAATAAAAATTAGACTGGGCATGGTGGCCCATGCCTGCCATCCCAACACTTTCGGAGTCTGAGGTGGGAGGACTGCTTGAGCCCATGAGTTTGAGACCAGCCTGGGCAACATGGTGAAACCTTGTCACTGCAAAAAAGTAAAAATAAAAGGCTGGGCATGGTGGCTTATGCCTGTAATCCCAGCACTTTGGGAGGCCAAGGTGGCAGGTTAGTAATCCCAGCACTTTGGGAGGCCAAGGTGGCAGGTTACTTGAGCCCAGGAGTTCAAGACCAGACTGGCCAACATGGTGAAACCCCATCATTACAAAAAACACAAAAATTAGTCAGGCTTGGTGGCATGGGCCTGCAGTCCCCACTACTCAGGAGGCTGAGGTAAGAGGATCCCTTGAGCACAGGAGGCAGGAGTTTGCAGTGAGCTGAGACAGTGCCACTGCACTGCACTCCAGCCTGTGCGACAGAGCAAGACCCTGTTTAAAAAAAAAAAAAGAAGAAGACCGGAAGGATGGGGTATACCCACATTTTGTATAAACAGATGTATGCCTATATGACTTCACAATTACATAGGGACGGTCGCTGCTATTCATAGTCTCATTCTGTTATATATCCCTCTGCACACACAGACTCCTGCAAACCCACAGATATGCACCCATAAGCACAGGGCTCACTGCATATGTTTTCATATGCACAGACTTGCATTCAACAGGCAGGTAAATATATACCCAGAAACGTGCATTCCAGGTAGAGGGGGGATTGTCTTGAAGAGAAAAGCCTTTGTTAACAGCACAGTGGTCAAATTTTTGATGGGAAATGGACCCTACCCTGTCAGACCTGCCTTCCTGCCTCACATTCTCCTAGACCTCTCAGCCCTCCCCCTCCACCCTTAGACTTTCCAGGGAGTGAAAAGTAGAGGAGAGGATCTTGATAAAGGATGTAGGAGCCAAGCCAGGCATATGCCAGCAATCCCAGCTATTTGGGAGGCTGAGGTGGGAGAAGCGCTTGAGCCCAGGAGTTAGAGACCAGCCTGGGCAACGTAGTGAGACCTCGTCTAAAAAAAAAAGGATGTAAGGTTTTGATATGAGTTTTGCATCTGCCAGGAACCCTCAGTGTATTATTGGGACAATCACTGAACCTCTCCTTTTCCCCAGTTTTAAAATGAGGCTGATGAACTGTATTTGTGTTTCCTAAACTCTTGTGAAGACAAAGTGTCTTTTACCATTCCCTGTTCTACACTCCCTCTTCCCCACATGGATCTCATGATTTTAAAGTTTTTACCTACTAAGCTACCTCATTTAGATGCAAATTTTCTTATTTTCAAGTTAAAAAAATTTTTCTTTTAATAGAGAAAGGGTCTCACCACGTTGCCCAGGCTGGTCTCAAACTCCGGGGCTCAATCGATCCTCTCTCCTCAGCCTCCCAAAGTGCTGGGATTACAGGTGTGAGTCACTGCACCTGGCCTCAAGTTTACATTTTAATCAAAGATTTGGCTGGGCACAGTGGCTCTCGCTTGTAATCTCAGCACTTTGGGAGGCCGAGGCAGGTGGATCACCTGAGGTCAGGAGTTCAAGACCAGCTTGGGCAACATGGTGAAACCTCATCTCTACTAAAAATAGAGAGATTAGCTGGGCGTGGCGGCACGTGCCTGTAATCCCAGCTGCTCGGGAGGCTGAGGCACGGAGGTTGCAGTGAGCCAAGATTGCGCCACTGCACTCCAGCCTGGGTGACAGAGTGAGACTTTGTCTCAAAAAAAAAAAAAAATGTAATCAGCGATTTAATTAAGTATGCAATGAAGAAATAAATAATACAATTTGTCAAAACAAGAAACAAAGTATAGTGGAATTTCCTTTCAGATTTTTGAAATATTAAAATAACCTAAAGGCCTCCCCGGCACTAGCCTGGGACTTCCTGGGAGCATGTAAACTTCAGGCTGGGAGCCTCTGACTACAAACATTTCTGGCATTGCCAGATCCTATGGACTTACGATTGCTGCCAGGCCCTATCCTCCAAAGCTCACATGCTTATAGAGGGCAGGAACTGCCACCTGTAGCTGGGGGGCCATAGAGGAAACAGTAGAGGCCAGATACCCTGCAAAGCTAGAGTTCCTCTGATCTTAATTTAACATAGGCTGACTTTTTCTCACTTTTTGCCCAGTCTTAAGTCGGGGATTTTCTGGCCCAGATTCAGTCCAGAATCTAGGACCTGCCTTGCATGCTTTCCTGGATCCTAGCCCAAGGCCTTGTGATTCCTTTTCCCTCCCCACCTGACCCCAGCCTGGACCAGGTACCAGCTTCCAGCCCCATGATCTCCAACCTAGATTCCTTCTGCTTCTTCTACTGGCCTTTTCTCACTGTTGCACCATAGTTTATCTCTTCTCCTTCTCCTCCTCCTTCTTCTTCCTCTTCTTTTTTTCCTTTATATAGAGACTGAGTCTTGCTACGTTGCCCAGGCTGGTCTGAAACTCTTGGCAATTCTCCTGCCTTGGTTTCCCAAAGGGATTACAGACATGAGCTACAGCACCCGGCCTTGTTTTGAGACAGGGTGTTGCTCTCTTGCTCTGTTATCCAGGCTGGAGTGCAGTGGCGTGTTCACGGCTCACTGCCGCCTCAACCTCCCAGGCTCAAGTGATCCTCCCCACTCAGCCTCCTGAGTAGCTAGGACTACAGGGGCGCACCACCATGCCCTGCTAATTTTCAGATTTTTTTTGTAGAGATAAGGTCTCACTGTGTTACCCAGGCACTGGTCTCTAATTCCTGGGCTCAAGAGATCCTCCTGGCCGGGCACGGTGGCTCACGCCTGTGATCCCAGAACTTTGGGAGGCTGAGGCGGGCAAATCACAAGGTCAGGAGATCAAGACCATCCTGGCTAACATGGTGAAACCCCGTCTCTACTAAAAATACAAAAAAAAAAAAATAGCCGGGCACAGTGGCGGGCGCCGGTAGTTCCAGCTACTCGGGAGGCTGAGGCAGGAGAAGGGCGTGAACCCAGGAGGCAGAGCTTGCAGTGAATGAGTCGTGATCACGCCACTGCACTCCAGCCTGGGCAACAGAGCGAGACTCTGTCTCAAAAAAAAAAAAAAAAAAGAGAGATCCTCCTGCCTCAGCCTCCAAAAGGGCTGAGATTATAGGCCTGAGCTACTACGCCCTTTCTTCCTCCTCCTCCTCCTCCGCCACCACCACCTCCTCTCCTCCTTCACCTCCTCCTCCTCTTCCTCCTCCCCCTCCTCATCCCTCTCCTCCCCCTCCCCTTCCCCCTCCTCCCCATCCCCTTCCCCCTCCTCCCCCTCCCCTTCCCCCTCCTCCCCCTCCTCTTCCCCCTCCTCCCCTCCCCCTCCCCTTCCCCCTCCTCCCCCTCCTCTTCCCCCTCCTCCCCCTCCCCCTCCCCTTCCCCCTCCCTTTCTTTCTCCTCCTTCTTCTTCTTTCCCATCTCTCCCTTCCTCCTATACATTCCCTCTTCTTAACCTCAAACTTCTACAATCTTTCTCTTGCCTTTTTCTAAAGGCTCCAAGAATGTCAAGCCTGGCAGGGACCTTACTGGTCTAAGTCCACATTCCATCTGATGTTGGTATTCTCTTTACAACACAACCAACTTGTGGTTTCCTAAGGCTCATACGACTATCACAAACAACAGGATGCTCACTACCTCACAAAACAGCTCAGCTTATCTGAGACCAGTTCCAGGTTGCTGTTAGTCCTTTACTGGGGGCTCTTGTTGCTAATTACTCTCAGGCTATAATAGTCAAAAAGTCATTTGCAGTCACAGATGGGTGCACTCTGGTCTAGCAGGATTTCCCAAATGTCCACCTCCCCCCAGGACTCCTAACAGTAGGGGAAAGAGTGAATACGTACCCTTTTCCTGGAAAGTTTCTTGATTTGATTTAAAATTCCATGCACATTTTGCATTTTCCTCCATAATAGGTCATGTTTGTTTAACTTACATGAATAAGGTCAGGAAACACTCATGCTCTGGAAAAATGCACACCATGACATGACTTCCGGTACCCATGGGAGGCTGAGTATCTCAGTTTAAGAAACAGGAGTCGAGCTGGGCACGGTGGCTCACGTCTGTAGTCCCAGCACTTTGGGAGGTCGAGGAGGGCAGATCACCTGAAGTCAGGAGTTCAAGACCAGCCAGACCAACATGGTGAAACCCTGTCTCTACTAAAAATACAAAATTAGGCCGGGCATGGTGGCTCATGCCTGTAATCCCAGCACTTTGAGAGGCCGAGGCGGGCAGATCACCTGAGGTCGAGAGATTGAGACCAGCCTGACCAACATGGAGAAATCCAGTCTCTTAAAAAATACAGAATTAGCCGGGTGTGGTGGCACACGCCTGTAATCCCAGTTACTTGGGAGGCTGAGGCAGGAGAATCACTTGAACCTGGGAGGTGGATATTGCAGTGAGCCGAGATCACACCATTGCACTCCAGCCTGGGCAACAAGAGCGAAACTCTGTCTCAAAAAATAATAATAATAAGGCCGGGCACAGTGGCTCACGCCTGTAATCCCAGCACTTTGGGAGGCCGAGGCAGGAGGATCACAAGGTGAGGAGATTGAGACCATCCTGGCAAACACGATGAAACCCCATCTCTACTAAAAATATAAAAAATCAGCCAGGTGTGGCGGCACGCGCCTGTAGTCCCAGCTACTAGGGAGGCTGAGGCAGGAGAATCGCTTGAACCCAGGAGGCGGAGGTTGCAGTGAGCTGAGATCGCGCCACTGCACTCCAGCCTGGGAGACAGAGTGAGACTCTGTCTCAAAAAAAATAAAAAAGAAAAAAGTAATGAGAGAAATGCAAATGCAGAAAGAGAAATGCAAATGCCTGGCAGTATGTTGGGCTTCTTTTCAAAACTTAAAAAAATTTATTATTATTATTCATTTATTTATTTACTTTAGACAAGGGGTCTTGTTCTGTCACCCAGGCTGGAGTGCAGTGGTGCAATCGTAGCTCACTGTGGCCTTGAACTCCTGGGCTCAAGTGATCCTCCTGCCTCAGCCTCCCAAGCACCTGGGATTATAGGCATGCACCACCATGCCCAGCTAGTTTTTATAATAATAATAATAATAAGAGGCTTGCTTGAGGTGATGGATAGCTCATTTATCCCTTTTGTGATTATTACACATTGTATGCCTCTATCAAAATATATCATGTACCCCATAAACATATATACTTACCAGATACCCATAAAAGTAAATAAATAAATAAGTAAATAAATAAATATACAAAATTAGCCGGGCGTGGTGGCACATGCCTGTAATCCCAGCTACTTGGGAGACTGAGGTAGGAGAATCGCTTGAACCTGGGAGGCAGAGGTTGCGGTGGGCCGAGATCGTGCCATTGCACTCCAGCTTGGGCAACAAGAGCAAAACTCCGTCTCAAAAAAAAAAAAAAAAGAAAAGAAAAGAAACAGGAGTCTAGGGCTGGGCACAGTGGCTCATTGCCTGTAATCCCAGCACTTTGGGAGGCTGAGGTCAGGAGTTCGAGACCAGCCTGGCCAACGTGGCAAAACTCTGTCTCTACTAAAAATACAAAACACAAAATACAAAAATTAGCCAGGCGTGGTGGTGCACGCCTGTAGTCCCACCTGCTTAGGGAGGCTGAGGGAGGAGAGACAGAGCTTGCAGTGAGCCCAGATCACACCACTGCACTCCAGCCTGGGCAACAGAGCAAGTCTAAAAAAAAAAAAAAAAGGAAAGAGAGAAAAGAAACAGGAGTCTAGGCTGGGCATGGTGGTTCACGCCTGTAATCCCAGCACTTTGGGAGGCTGAGGTGGGTGGATCACTTGAGGTCAGGAGTTCAAGACCACCCTGGCCAACATGGTGAAACCCCCATCTCTACTAAAATTACAAAAATTAGCTGGGCGTGGTGACACATGCCTGTAGTCCTAGCTAGTCAGGGGGCTGAGGCAGGAGAATCACTTGAACCTGGGAGGTGGAGGTTCCAGTGAGCCAAGTTCACACCACTGAACTCCAGCCTAGGTGACAGAGTGAGATTCTGTCTGTTTTTTTTTCTTTTGAGATGGTATCTTGCTCTGTCACCTAGGCTAGAGTGCAATGGCGTGGTCTCAGCTCACTGCAACCTCCACCTCCATGGTTCAAGCAATTCTCCTGCCTCAGCCTCCCAAGAAGCTGGGATTACAGGCGCGCACCACCACGCCCAGCTAATTTTTGTATTTTTAGTAGAGACAGGGTTTCACCATGTTGGCCAGGCTTGTCTCGAACTCCTGACCATGTGATTTGCCCTCCTCAGCCTCCCAAAGTGCTGGGATTACAGGCATGAGCCACCGCGCCCAGCCGAGACTCTATTAAAAAAAGAAAAAAGAAAGAAACAGGAGTCTAAAGCAAAGGAGATTAATTACCCAGTCCCATTCTTCCACCTTCCAAAGCAGGAGTTGGTAGGACAGAATTGTGCACTGGTGAAAGTGTTTCTAAGCACTAAACTAAGCTAACATTCATGTGAGCTTATGAGAAATGGATGAAGAGCCCCATTTGACAGAAGAGGAAAAGTGAGGCTTAGGAGGAATGATTTCAGCAAAGTCACACAGTAAGTGTCAAAATTGCTATTTGAACTTAGGTCTCTAACTATGGGGACAGTCTTCTGAGTTTTGCTAATGAGAAACTTCCACTGCTCCCTGCTTCCACTTAGACCCAGCATGAATTCTCTCTCTCTGTCTCTCTTTTGTTTTTTCTTTTTAGACAGAGTCTCTGTCACCCAAGTTGGAGTGAACAGTGCGGTGGCAGTGGCAGGATCTAGGCTCACTGCAACCTCCACCTCTTGAGTTCAAGCAATTCTCCAGCCACCATGCCCAGCTAACTTTTTTTTTTTTTTTTTTTTTGTATTTTTAGTAGAGACAGGGTTTCACCATTGTTGGCCAGGCTGGTTGTCTTGAACTTCTGACCCCAGGTGATCCACCCACCTTGGCCTCCCAAAGTGCTGGGATTACAAGCATGAGCCACCGTGCCCAGCCTGCTCTTTTGAGATGGAGTCTCGCTCTGTCATCCAGGCTGGAGTGCAGTGGCTTGATCTCGGCTCACTGCAACCTCTGCCTCCCGGGTTCAAGTGATTCTCCTGCCTCAGCCTCCTGAGTAGCTGGGATTACAGGCGTGTGCCACCATGCCTGGCTAATTTTTGTATTTTTAGTAGACACGGGGTTTCACCATGTTGGTCAGGCTGGTCTTGAACACCTGACCTCGTGATCCACCCGCCTCAGCCTCCCAAAGTGCTGGGATTACAGGAATGAGCCATCGTGCCCGGACTTTTTTTTTTTTTTTTTTTTTTTTTTGAGACGGACGGAATCTCACTCTGTTGCCAGGCTGGAGTGCAATGGCGCAATTCCGGCTCACTGCAACCTCTACCTCCTGGGTTTAAGCGATTCTCCTGCCTCAGCCTCCTGAGTAGCTGAGATTACAGGCACCTGCCACCAAGCCCGATTAATTTTTGGATTTTTAGTAGAGGCAGGGTTGCACCATGTTGGCCAGGATGGTCTCGATCCCTTAATCTTGTGACCCACCCGCCTTGGCCTCCCAAAGTGCTGGGATTACAGGTGTGAGCCACCGCGCCTGGCCTTTTTTTTTTTTTTTTTGAGACAGGCTCTCGCTCTGTTATCCAGGCTGGAGTGCAGTGGCACAATCGTAGCTCATTGCAGCCTTGAGCTCCTGGGCTCAAGTGATCTTTTTGCCTCAGCCTCCCAAGTAGCTGGAACTACAGGCATGCCCCATCACACCTGGCTAATTTTTTGATTTTTTTTCTAGAGATGAGGTCTCACTATGTTGCCCAGGCTAGTCTGGAACTTCTGAGTTTGAATGGTCTTACTGCCTCAGTCTCCCAAAGTGCCGCGATTACAGATGTGAGCCACCACGCCCGGCCAGCAACTCCAGCTTTGCTCTACTCCAAATAGGTTGTGTGACTTTAAGCATACCTCTGTGGGCCTCAGTTTGCTCATCTAAAATCAGAGGTTTAGCCAGGTATGGCAGCTCATGCCTGTAATCCCAGCACTTTGGGAGGCCAAGAAGGAAGGATCACTTGAAGCCAAGAATTTGAGACCAGTCCGGGCAACATAGCAATACCCCCATCTCTAGAACAAATAAAAAATCACCTGGGCTCAGTGGTGCCAGCTACCCAGGAGGCTGAAGTTAGAGGATCACTTGAGCCCAGGAGTTTGAGGTTCCAGTGAGTTAGGATTGGGTCATTGCACTGCAGTCTGGGCAAGAGAGTGACACTTTATCTCAAAAATAAATCAACAAATAATAAAATTGGAGATTAGGCTTGCTGGTTTCTAAGACCTTTGCAGATGGGAGACTCTATGCATTAACACTGCATGTTCCAGTTGACATTTATTAACTAATTTTGGGTGCTGGTGGCTTTCAGACAAATAAACTACAGCTTCTGCTCTTGATGAACCCCCACTCTCATCAAAGGTATGGGAGAGGCAGTGGGACCCTGGGGCTGACATGTAAATCAGTAATCATGGAACTCTGTGTCTAAGTTGATTATTGAGGTCTGAATAGAATGTTGCAGGAGACTGGGGTGAGAGGGAAGCAAAGAGCATTGGGAAGTCTTCAGACTAGGTGATATTTAGGCCAGGTGCCTGTAATCCGAGCACTTTGGGAGGCTGAGGCAGGAGAATTGCTTGAGGCCAGGAGTTCGAGACCAGCCTGGCCAACATGGTGAAACCCTGTCTCTACTAAAAATACAAAAGTTAGCCAAGCGTGATGGTGCATGCCTGTAATCCCAACTACTCAGGAGGCCGAGGCAGGAGAATTGCTTGAACCTGGGAGGTAGAGGTTGCAGGAAAAAAAAAAAAGGTAATATTTCAGCTGAGCCTTGAAGGTTGAGTTAGAATTCAGCAGTTGGACAAAAGAGAGCATGCCGACTGGGTTCGGTGGTGCATGCCTATAATCCTAGCATTTGGGGAGGCCAAGGCAGGAGGATTGCTTGAGCCCAGGAGTTCGAGATCAGACTGGGCAACATAGTGAGACCTCATCTCTACAAAAAAATAATCAGCTGGGCATGATGGTGTGCACCTTTAGTCTCAGCTACTGGGGAGGTTGAGGTGGGAAGATTGCTTGAGCCCAGGAGGTCTAAGGGGATTGCGCCACTGCACTTCAGCCTGGGAGAGGAAGGGAGACCCTGTCTCAAGAGAGAGAGAGAAAGAGAGAGAGAGAGAGAAAGAGAGAGAGAGAGAGAAAGAGAGAGAGAGAGAGAGAGAGAGAGCGAGAGAGCGCACGCATTTCAAAGCAGGGAGAACCACAAGTACAAAGGCATTAAGTAAGAAAATAGCATGGGGTGTTTGGGAAAGGCAAGAATAGTTCAGAACACAGGCTGTGTGTGTGGGGGTGTGTGGGGGTGCCTGTGTGTGGGTGTTTGTGTGTGTGTGAGTGTGGGTGTGTGGGGGTATCTATGGAGGGGATGCCTGTGTGTGTGTGTAAGGTGAGTGTGTGGATGTGTGCATGGGTGTGGGTGAGTGTGTGGAGGTGCCTGTGTGTGTGTATGAATGTGTGTTGGGGAGGGGAGAATGTGTGTGTGTGGGGTGAGTGCGTGTGTGTGGGGGTGAATGCGTGTGTGTGTGTATGTGGGTGTGACTGTGTGGGTGTGTGGACGAGTGTGTGTGTTCCTGGGTGTGGGAGCCTGTGTGTGTAGGGGGAGTATGTATAGGGTGTGTGCATGAATGTGTGTGTGGGTACGTGTGTGAGAGTGGGTGCCTGTGTGTGGGGGGTGAGTGTGTGTGTGGGGGGGCACTTGTGGAGGGTGAGTGTATGTGTTTACTGAGTGTGAGTGTGGGTGCCTGTGTGTGGGAGGGTGAGTCTGTGTGTGAGTGTGTGGGGGAGTACCTGTGAGGGGTGAGTGTGTGTGTTTATGTGAAAGTGTGTGTGTGTGGATGCCTCTGTGGAGGTGGGATAGGGGGTGCCTCTGTGTGTGTGTGTGAGAGTGTGTGTGTGTAGGGTGTGTATATGTATAGGGTGTGTGTGAGTGTGTGTGTGTGAGAGAGTGTGTGTGTGGCAGAATAGACTGCGGAGGTGGATTTCATCTTGATATGAAAGGTCTGGAATGCATGGTACATTAAACTTTGAGGACAGCGCTTTCCAAGCACTCTGAGGAGCAGCCCTAGAGAAGGAGGAGCTGCAGGGACTCCGGGGGCTTCAAAGTGAGGGCCCCACTCTGCTTCAGGCAAAACAGGCACACATTTATCACTTTATCTATGGAGTTCTGCTTGATTTCATCAGACAAAAAATTTCCACTGCTAAAACAGGCAAATAAACAAAAAAAAAGTTATGGCCAACAGAGTCACTGGAGGGTTTTCTGCTGGGGAGAAGCAAGCCCGTGTTTGAAGGAACCCTGTGAGATGACTGTGGGCTGTGTGAGGGGAACAGCGGGGGCTTGATGGTGGACTTCGGGAGCAGAAGCCTCTTTCTCAGCCTCCTCAGCTAGACAGGGGAATTATAATAGGAGGTGTGGCGTGCACACCTCTCCAGTAGGGGAGGGTCTGATAAGTCAGGTCTCTCCCAGGCTTGGGAAAGTGTGTGTCATCTCTAGGAGGTGGTCCTCCCAACACAGGGTACTGGCAGAGGGAGAGGGAGGGGGCAGAGGCAGGAAGTGGGTAACTAGACTAACAAAGGTGCCTGTGGCGGTTTGCCCATCCCAGGTGGGAGGGTGGGGCTAGGGCTCAGGGGCCGTGTGTGAATTTACTTGTAGCCTGAGGGCTCAGAGGGAGCACCGGTTTGGAGCTGGGACCCCCTATTTTAGCTTTTCTGTGGCTGGTGAATGGGGATCCCAGGATCTCACAATCTCAGGTACTTTTGGAACTTTCCAGGGCAAGGCCCCATTATATCTGATGTTGGGGGAGCAGATCTTGGGGGAGCCCCTTCAGCCCCCTCTTCCATTCCCTCAGGGACCATGGGCTGTGGCTGCAGCTCACACCCGGAAGATGACTGGATGGAAAACATCGATGTGTGTGAGAACTGCCATTATCCCATAGTCCCACTGGATGGCAAGGGCACGGTAAGAGGCGAGACAGGGGCCTTGGTGAGGGAGTTGGGTAGAGAATGCAACCCAGGAGAAAGAAATGACCAGCACTACAGGCCCTTGAAAGAATAGAGTGGCCCTCTCCCCTGAAATACAGAAAGGAAAAGAGGCCCAGAGAGGGGAAGGGAATCTCCTAAGATCACACAGAAAGTAGTTGGTAAACTCAGGGATAACATCTAACCAGGCTGGAGAGGCTGAGAGCAGAGCAGGGGGGAAGGGGGCCAGGGTCTGACCCAATCTTCTGCTTTCTGACCCCACCCTCATCCCCCACTCCACAGCTGCTCATCCGAAATGGCTCTGAGGTGCGGGACCCACTGGTTACCTACGAAGGCTCCAATCCGCCGGCTTCCCCACTGCAAGGTGACCCCAGGCAGCAGGGCCTGAAAGACAAGGCCTGCGGATCCCTGGCTGTTGGCTTCCACCTCTCCCCCACCTACTTTCTCCCCGGTCTTGCCTTCCTTGTCCCCCACCCTGTAACTCCAGGCTTCCTGCCGATCCCAGCTCGGTTCTCCCTGATGCCCCTTGTCTTTACAGACAACCTGGTTATCGCTCTGCACAGCTATGAGCCCTCTCACGACGGAGATCTGGGCTTTGAGAAGGGGGAACAGCTCCGCATCCTGGAGCAGTGAGTCCCTCTCCACCTTGCTCTGGCGGAGTCCGTGAGGGAGCGGCGATCTCCGCGACCCGCAGCCCTCCTGCGGCCCTTGACCAGCTCGGGGTGGCCGCCCTTGGGACAAAATTCGAGGCTCAGTATTGCTGAGCCAGGGTTGGGGGAGGCTGGCTTAAGGGGTGGAGGGGTCTTTGAGGGAGGGTCTCAGGTCGACGGCTGAGCGAGCCACACTGACCCACCTCCGTGGCGCAGGAGCGGCGAGTGGTGGAAGGCGCAGTCCCTGACCACGGGCCAGGAAGGCTTCATCCCCTTCAATTTTGTGGCCAAAGCGAACAGCCTGGAGCCCGAACCGTAAGTGGGGACCCGTCGTGGGGGTGGGTAGGAGCAGATCTAGGGATCCTGGAGCAGGGAGTAGGCCTGGGGTGGCGGTGAAGGCTTGAGGGCCACGGAGGAAGATCCGACGACAGCCGACGGCCTTCGTTCGCTTCCGCCCTGCACAGCTGGTTCTTCAAGAACCTGAGCCGCAAGGACGCGGAGCGGCAGCTCCTGGCGCCCGGGAACACTCACGGCTCCTTCCTCATCCGGGAGAGCGAGAGCACCGCGGGTGAGCGGGCGGCGGTCTCGACCGGGCGCGGGGGTGCCCCGGGGTGTGCCCGAGGGGGGGCGCAGGGTGAGCCCGAGGTGGAGACACGGGGTGAGTCGGAGGGGGACGCGGGATGAGCCCGAGGTGGGGGCGCGGGATGACCCGGAGTTGGGGGTGCTGGGTGAGCCCAAGGTGGGGGCGCGGTGGCGGGCCAGACTCACTGCGTTCTTTCGTCGCTTTGTCCATCCATTCATTCATTCAGGATCGTTTTCACTGTCGGTCCGGGACTTCGACCAGAACCAGGGAGAGGTGGTGAAACATTACAAGATCCGTAATCTGGACAACGGTGGCTTCTACATCTCCCCTCGAATCACTTTTCCCGGCCTGCATGAACTGGTCCGCCATTACACCAGTGAGCCCGACGGGACCCCTCCCCCGTGCCCTATCAGCCTATCTCCCCTCAGTCCCCCTCAGGTGTCCCCCATCCATCTTTCAATGCCCTACTCCATTCCCCGCAGTGGGTGAGGTGTGGAACCTGACCCTACGGCCCCAAGTGTTTGGGTGACAGCCCCACACCCCCTTGCTAGTCCACTTCACCTAGATGGGGGCTTGGAGAAGTGGGGGAGGTGGTGTCAATACGAGGCCTGCCCTATTGACAGCCTTCACCCCTCCCTCGTCCTCGCAGATGCTTCAGATGGGCTGTGCACACGGTTGAGCCGCCCCTGCCAGACCCAGAAGCCCCAGAAGCCGTGGTGGGAGGACGAGTGGGAGGTTCCCAGGGAGACGCTGAAGCTGGTGGAGCGGCTGGGGGCTGGACAGTTCGGGGAGGTGTGGATGGGTGAGTGTGGCCTCCAGGACTGCCTGGGAAGAGGGGAACGGGAGGGGCCGCTGAGGTGATGAGAGTCCCAGGACAGCTGCCTGGCGACTTTCCCACTCCTTCCCTTCCCCGACCCAGGGTACTACAACGGGCACACGAAGGTGGCGGTGAAGAGCCTGAAGCAGGGCAGCATGTCCCCGGACGCCTTCCTGGCCGAGGCCAACCTCATGAAGCAGCTGCAACACCAGCGGCTGGTTCGGCTCTACGCTGTGGTCACCCAGGAGCCCATCTACATCATCACTGAATACATGGAGAATGGTGGGTGCTACCCGAGTCGGCTACCAGGGGATACTGCTCTCCCTGCTGTCCCTGCCAGAGGGTGGAAATACACCTTTTCTTCTGGCCCAAAGCTCAAGCAAGGAGGGTTTCTTGAGCTTTCCTGCCCCCTGGAGACTCACCTCCAGCCGGGCGCGGTGGCTCAGGCCTGTAATCCCAGCACTTTGGGAGCCGAGGCGGGCAGATCACGAGGTCAGGAGTTCGAGACCAGCCTGACCAATATGGTGAAACTCTGTCTCTACTAAAAATACAAAAAGTAGCCAGGTGTGGTGGCACATGCCTGTAATCCCAGCTACTCAGAAGACTGAGGCAGGAGAATCCCTTTAATCCGGGAGGTGGAGGCTACAGTTGCAGTGAGCTGAGATCATGCCACTGAACTCCAGCCTGGGTGACAGAGCAAGACTCTATCAAAAAAAAAAAAAAAAAAAAGACTCACCTCCAGGCATGAGAAAAAGGTGTATCCTCTGATCTGATCCTGTCTGGGGGCAAGCCTAAGGTGGCAAGAATGTTCTGGAAGAGCATTCACCCCAACCTTCCCTGACCTGCCATTCTGTTTGCCTTCTTCAAAGCCCTACCTTGATCTCAGGATGCTTGATCTCAGAAAGCAAGTGGGTCCCTAGCCCTGTTTCTCTCCCTTCTGCCCCTGAGCCCTAGGAGGGCAGATCTGCCCCCAAAGCCCTCTTTTTCAGTTCTGAGTGAGACCCCCACCCCTGCACCCCTCTTGGTCTGTTACTGGACAGAGTGAGAGCCCCAGGAAGAGGAATATGAGTTTCTAGCTTCAGCTTTGTTCACACCGATTTGCCGTGTGACAGGCCAAGTGCCTGCACTGTCTCTGGTGCTCAGTTTCCCCAAGTATAACAGCAGAAATCTAAATGGGCTCACCAGAAATAATACAGAGTATTCATCAAGGCCTCTAGAGTCTGACTGCCTGGGTCAGAAGCCTGGCTTCATGATTTTATGGCTTTGTGATAATTATATCACCTCTTTCTGCCATGGTTTCCTACTATAATAACGCGTTAGTAACTTCCTCACAGGGTCTTGTGAGGATGAAATAATTAATGCATACAGAGCAGTTAGAACTATGCCTACTTCCAGGTGCTGTGGCTCAAGCCTATAACTCCAGCACTTTGGGAGGCCAAGGTGGGTGGATCACTTGAGCCCAGAAGTTCAAGACCAGTCTGTGCAACATAGCGAGACTTCATTCCTACAAAAAAATGTTTAAAAATTAGCTGGGCATAGTGGTGTATGCCTGTAGTCCCAGCTACTTGGGAGGCTGAGGTGGGAGGATCACTTGAGCCCAGGAGGTTGAGGCTGCACTGAGCTGTGATTGCACCACTGCACTCCAACCTGGGTAACAGAGCGAGACCTTGTCTCAAAACAAAAAACCCACAAAACTATGGCTACCATATAGTAACTGATCAATAAGTTTGTTGCTGTTATCTGGCTCTGATTCTTTGGGAGTGTAAGATCTATCCTTTTTTCAGGAAGAGAAACAAGCTGTTCATTGGCTAATGGGAAATGGCAAATAGATTATGTCATGTGTATCTTTTTTTTTTTTGAGTCTCACTCTGTCCTCCAGGCTGGAGTGCAGTGGCATGATCTCGGCTCACTTCAGCCTCCCCCTCCTGGGTTCAAATGATTCTCATGCCTCAGTCTCCCAAGTAGCTGGGACTACAAGCATGTGCCACCATGCCTGGCTAATTTTTGTATTTTTAGTAGAGACAGGTTTTCGCCTTGTTGGCTAGGCTGGTCTCGATCTCCTGTCCTCAGGTGATCCTCCCGCCTTGGCCTCCCAAAGTGCTGGGATTACAGATGTGAGCCACCATGCCCAGCCTATCATGTGTATCGACTTTGATTGGTAGTTGCTTGTAGTGCTGGAGAAGGATTCTGAGGTTCATTGGAAGTGAGTGCCAGGAATGATTAGTAACATCTGCCATGGATACAATGGAAGAATGGCAGTATATCTATGTCTATGTATTTGCTGTGTGTAGGTGAGGTCTTTGTCTTTGGTAACTAGTTCAGCACTCAAAGTGGGGACACTCAGGTTGCTGTCATCCTTTTACAGGGTTTTAATCTCTTGGGAAGGGCCATTGGTCACTCACTGCATCCTAGCAACTCCCATCCATGTCCAGCTGCCCTCCACTATTAGAGAGGTGGTCCCTCAGACCCCCAGACCCCCTCTTTCTTATTCCATCCAATATATTCAGCACATAGTTATTGTTTCTTACTCTCGGCTGGGCACCAGGAACATGGATGGATGAAACAAGGTTCCTGTTGTCAGGGAAACCTGATTTTAGTTACAGCTACTGGGGAAACCAGAGTTTGTGCCATGGGAAAGTTCCAGCATGCCCATGGGAGTGTAGATGATGATCCAGTTTATTATGCCTGGTAGGATCTAGAGAGGCTTCCTAGTGGGGCAGTCTAGCAGGGCCACGAAAGAAAAGTAGAATTTTTTTTAGCAGGCAGAGATGAAACAAAGAGGCTTTGGGGTGAGAGCCTAGTGGTCTGAGTGCAGGATCTCAAAATTGCTAAACTGTTTGAAGTCAAAGGCAGAGTGGGGGAAAGAGAAGAAGCTACCAGTGTGGACCATGCCAAGCTTAGGATACTAGTTGAGGATTCTAGGTTCTACCTTATTGGTGATGAAAAACCTACAGATCCCTCCCAGCATGCTCTACCCTAGCCCCTCTGCAAAAAAACCTTTACATATCCTGGGCATCCTTACCCTGAACACACACTCCTCCATTCTCACTCTTCAATCTTCCTTTTCACATGTCAGACACACTTCTAGACTCCCAGTTGGAGGAGAAAGGTCTGGGGGCCTCCCCCTGGGGCAACTTGGGCCAGCAACTCTTGCTTCTGCCCACAGGGAGTCTAGTGGATTTTCTCAAGACCCCTTCAGGCATCAAGTTGACCATCAACAAACTCCTGGACATGGCAGCCCAAGTAAGGAGACTGGGGAGGGGGGCTGGGCAAGGGAACAGACCAGTGACGTGAAGACATCTGGCTCAGGACCGCTGATCTGTGTTTGGCCTGCAGATTGCAGAAGGCATGGCATTCATTGAAGAGCGGAATTATATTCATCGTGACCTTCGGGCTGCCAACATTCTGGTGTCTGACACCCTGAGCTGCAAGATTGCAGACTTTGGCCTAGCACGCCTCATTGAGGACAACGAGTACACAGCCAGGGAGGGTACGTGTGAGATTTAAGGGTGGTCTGGGCCCTGCAGGGTCTGGCCAAGCAGACCCAGGTGACCTCACTCTGCCTCCTCCTTAGGGGCCAAGTTTCCCATTAAGTGGACAGCGCCAGAAGCCATTAACTACGGGACATTCACCATCAAGTCAGATGTGTGGTCTTTTGGGATCCTGCTGACGGAAATTGTCACCCACGGCCGCATCCCTTACCCAGGTTAGAGCCAAGGGCAGGAACTGAAAGGGTGATGGGAAGGGCAAGTCCATGTCTTCCCATTCAATTCTTTCCAGTCTCAGAATCTGAAACTTTGTAGCTGCATCTCCTCTATCTTCTCAGGGGTATGAGTCCAACGTCCCCAGGCAGATGCCACATCTCCCAGGGCTGGCTTCCATCTCCGTATCTCTCTTTAATAACCCCAGCTCTTTTCTTTTTCTCTTTTTTTCTTTTTCTTTTTTTTTTTTTTTTTTTTTTTTTTTTTTGAGACGGAGTCTTGCTCTGTCTCCCAGGCTGGGGTGCAGTGGCGCCATCTTGGATCACTGCAACCTCTGCCTCCTGGGTTCAAGTGATTCTCCTGCCTCAGCCTCCCAAATAGCTAGGATTACAGGTACGTGCCACCATGCGCAGCTAATTTTTTGTATTTTTAGTAGAGACAGGGTTTCACCATGTTAGCCAGGATGGCCTCAATCTCCTGACCTCGTGATTGGCCTGCCTCGGCCTCCCAGTGTTGGGATTACAGGCGTGAGCCACCACACCCGGCCCCAGCTCTTTTCTTTAGTTCTGGCCCAGGCAGCCTGGTATGGTAGAAGAAGATCTAGCTCAGGAACAAGAGGCCTACCTTTTATCAGCAGATCTGCCACTGTTGCTAACTTTCTGTTTGGCTTTGTTCAGATCATTACTGTAACTAGTGAAGCTAGTCACTTCACTTCTCTAAGCCTCAGTTTCCTGATACTAAAAATAAGAGACTAGGCCAGGTACAGTGGCTTATGCCTATAATCTCAGAACTTTGGGAGACCAAGGTGGGAGGACTGCTTGAGCCCAGGAGTTCGAGACCAGCCTGGGAAACTGGTCGAAACCCCATCTCTACAAAAACAAAAGTTAGCCAGGTTTGGTGGCATGTGCCTCTAGTCCCAGCTACTCAGAAGGCTGAGGTGGGAGGATCACCTGAGCCAGGGAGGCAGAGGTTGCAGTGAGCCAAGACCATGCCATAACACTCCAGCCTAGGGCAATAGACCAAGACCCTGTCTCAAAACAAGAAAAAGAGAGACTCCATCTCTACAAAAAAAAAAAAACAAACAAACAAAAAAAACATTTAAAAATTAGCTGGGCATGGTGGCACACACCCGTAGTTTCAGCTATTTGGGAGGCTGAGGTGGGAGGATCATTTGAGCCCAGGAGGTTGAGGGTGCAGTGAGCCATGATTGTTCTATTGCACTCCAGCCTGAGCAACAGAGAGAGAATTTGTCTCAAAAAAAAAAAAAAAGAAAAAGAAAAAGAAAAAAGAAAAAATGAGAGACCATTTGTGAAAGAGCCTGACTCATAGTAGGTTGTCAGTATACACTGACTCCTCCCACCATCTCCTGGACAAAGCCCTTTACCCCTGAATTCAGCCAAGACAGGGATGGAATTTTTGAAAGGAACTTGCTAAGAAACTCTGGGGAAAGGAAATGGAGCATAAAGACAGGAGTAGGGGGGTCATGCGGCACAGTGGCTAGATTTGTAGAAGCTTCCCATATCCCCAGAGCAAGGTGAACAGACCTTTGCTCCAAGGAAGGTAAAGACACCTTGGAAGGCCGGATGCAGTGGCTCACACCTGTAATACCAGCACTTTGGGAGGCCGAGGCGGGTGGATCACAAGGTCAGGTGTTCGAGACCAGCCTGACCAACATGGTGAAACCCCGTCTCTACTAAAAAAAATATATATAAAAATTATCTGGGCATGGTGGCACGCGCCTGTAACCCTAGATACTCAGGAGGCTGAGGCAGGAGAATTGCTTGAACCCAGGAGGCAGAGGTTGCAGTGAGCTGAGATCATGCCACCGCACTCCAGCCTGGGTGACAAAGTGAGACTCTGTTTCAAAACAAAAACAAAAACAACCACCTTGGAAACAGGTGAAAAGCTGAGGGGCTTCCCTGCCCTGGGCTTGCCCCAAACCAGCGTCCAGGGGTAGTGCTGGAGCTGGAAATACAGAAATATTCTCCAGTTATCCTGCCAGGGGTCCTCACTGCTCCTTCCCGGTTCCCACAGAGGCAAACCCATAGGGAATGTATCTATTAGAAGAAAATAGGCAGTGAAAGCATGATGATAAATGGCAACTGACATATAGCATTAGGGTCAGGGAGACAATGGGGAGAAATGGGGACCTTGGTAAACTTGCAGCTGCTCCAGCAGATGGCTGCAATTAAGGCGTGGGGGACCCAAAAAAACAGATCTTTTGTTTTTTTAAGAGAAGCCCAAACTTGGAGTTTTAGGAAAATCTGTTCATTTCCATTTATTGGCGATTGATTCAAATTGTTTAAAAGCACTCTAGGGGCTGGGCACGGTGACTCACACCTGTAATCCCAGCACTTTGGGAAGCTGAGGTGGGTGGATCACAAGGTGAGGAGTTTGAGACCAGCCTGGCCAACATGGTGAAACCCTGCCTCTACTAAAAATACAAAAATATTAGCCAGGCGTGGTGTTGGGCACTGGTAGTCCCAGCCACTCAAGAGGCTGGGGCAAGAGAATCACTTGAACCCTGGAGGCGGAAGTTGCAGTGAGCCATGATCACGCTGTTGCACTCCAGCCTGGGTGACAGAGTGAGAGTCCATCTCAAAAATAAATATAAATAAATTAAATAAATAAATTAATTAAATGAATAAATAAATAAAACCACTCTAGGGCCAATCCAAAGTGGATCTGTGGGCTATACTCAGGCTGGATTTAGCCTGTGGGCTTGCACCCTTAACTCTGGCCATGGGTGTTTAGTTCCGTGGCCTATGTCCTCCTATGCCCCAGTTTTAAAATGTGAGAGTCCCAGCCAGGCGTGGTGGGTCACGCCTGCAACCCAGCACTTTGGGAGGCTGAGATGAGCGGATCACGTGGTCAGGAGGTGGAGACCAGCCTGACCAACATAGTGAAACCCCATCTCTACTAAAAATACAAAAATTAACCGGGTGTGGTGGCATGCACCTGTAGTCCCAGCTACTCGGGAAGCTGAGACAGGGGAATCATTTGAACCTGGGAGGCGGAGGTTGCAGTGAGCCGAGACTGTACCATTGCACTCCAGCCTGGGCAACAGAGCGAGACTCTGTCTCAAAAAAAAAAAAAAAAAAAAAAAATTGTGAGAGTCCCATAGGCAGAGGCTCCCTTGTACAAGTCCTGGGGAAAAAGGGTCTCTGTTGACCAGGCTTTAGTCCCAAGCTTTCCAGGAGCAAAACTTTGATTTTGTAAATACCCTATAAGGTTTTGGTCTTTGGGAACTGCTTGTCACAATCTTTGTTCAGAAGACTGAAGGAGAAACCAGACACTACATGAGCAATTTAGAAATAGGGAAGGAGGGAGCTATGTTACTGCTGTGATCATGTAGTTCTCCAGAGCAGCTCTTCTTGGGGTCTACATGCCAAAAGCCTGCCAGAGGGGCCAGGACCAGCATAAAGGGAGGGAACCAGCCCAAAGACTATTTCATCTGGGTCATGGAGGGGCCTGGGGAACCTTCTCAAGTCCAAGCAAGGTCTGCTTTGCTAGGCCCAGGGTCCATTTGGCTTCGTGATGCAGGATGTCATGTGCCTGGTCTTAAAACTGGAGAGACCTCACCACTGTCTTGGTTGTGGGTGCCCATCCTGCCCTGGGCCCTGACCATCTCATCATTCCTACCAAATAATAATAATCCCAGGTGCCCTTTATTATTTATTTATTTATGTATTTATTTCAGACAGAGTCTCTGTCACCCAGGCTGGAGTGCAGTGGCATGATCTCAGCTCACTGCAACCTCTACCTCCTGGGTTTAAGCGATTCTCCTGCCTCAGTCTCTCGGGTAGCTGGAATTACAGGTGTGTGCCACCACGCCCAGCTAATTTTTGTATTTTTTTAGTACAGACAGGTTTTTACTATGTTGACCAGGCTGGTTTCAAACTCCTGACCCCAGGTGATCCACCCGGCTTGGCCTCCCAAAGTGTTGGGATTACAGGCGTGAGCCACCGCAGATGGCCTCAGGTGCCCTTTATGAAGCATCTCCGATCCAGACTTTCTGTGCCTGGATAGATTTGATGCTTTCTGTGATATATATATATATATATATCTGTGAGATATATATATCTGTGAGATATATATATATCTGTGAGAGATATATATATGTGAGATATATATATAATAATATATATATTATTTTTATTTTTAATTTTTTTGAGACAAGAGTCTGGCTTGAGTTGCTCAGGCTGGAGTGCAGTGGCACAGTCTCAGCTCACTACAACCTCTGCACCTCCACCTCCCAGGTTCAAGCAATTACTGTGACTCAGCCTCCCAAATAGCTGGGACTACAGGCGCATACCACCAAGCCTGGCTAATTTTTGTATTTTTAGTAAAGATGGGGTTTTGCCATGTTGGTCAGGCTGGTCTTGAACTCCTGGCCTCAAGTGATCTGCCTGCTTTGGCCTCCCACCATGCTGGGATTACAGGCATGAGCCACCATGCCTGGCCTGTGCACTATATTTGATGCTTTCTGTGCACAATCTCATTTAATCCTCATAACAATTCTATGAGGTAGGAACAGTTATTTACTCTATTTTCCAAATAAGGAAACTGGGCTCGCCCAAGGTTCCACAACTAACATGTGTGTATTATTGAGCATTTAATTTACACCAGGGAAGCAGGTTGTGGTGGTGTGCACCTGTTGTCCAGCTATTTAGGAGGCTGAGGTGAAAGGATCACTTGAACGGAGGAGTTCAAATTTGCAATGTGCTATGATTGTGCCTGTGAACAGCTGCTGCACTCCAGCCTGGGCAACATAGTGAGATCCCTTATCTAAAACATTTTTTTTAAGTAAATAATCAGGTGGGCACGGTGGCTCACGCCTGTAATCCAGCACTTTGGGAGGCTGAGGCGGGCGGATCACCTGAGGTCAGGAGTTCAAGACCAGCCTGACCAACATGGAGAAACCCGTCTCTACTAAAAATACAAAATTAGCTTGGCGTGGTGGTGCATGCCTGTAATCCCAGCTACTCGAGAAGCTGAGGCAGGAGAATTGTTTGAACCTGGGAGGTGGAGGTTGCGGTGAGCCGAGATCGCACCATTGCACTCCAGCCTGGGCAACAAGAGTGAAATTGCATCTCAAAAAAAAAGAAAAGGAAATAATCTATACCAGGCACTCCAAGTGGTGTGACTGATATTCAACAAGTACCTCTAGTGTGACCTTACCATTGATGAAGACCAAGATTCTTTTGGATTGGTGCTCACACTGTGCCAGTTAAATATTCCGAACATTACCCTTGCCTGTGGGCTTCCAGTGCCTGACCTTGATGTCCTTTCACCCATCAACCCGTAGGGATGACCAACCCGGAGGTGATTCAGAACCTGGAGCGAGGCTACCGCATGGTGCGCCCTGACAACTGTCCAGAGGAGCTGTACCAACTCATGAGGCTGTGCTGGAAGGAGCGCCCAGAGGACCGGCCCACCTTTGACTACCTGCGCAGTGTGCTGGAGGACTTCTTCACGGCCACAGAGGGCCAGTACCAGCCTCAGCCTTGAGAGGCCTTGAGAGGCCCTGGGGTTCTCCCCCTTTCTCTCCAGCCTGACTTGGGGAGATGGAGTTCTTGTGCCATAGTCACATGGCCTATGCACATATGGACTCTGCACATGAATCCCACCCACATGTGACACATATGCACCTTGTGTCTGTACACGTGTCCTGTAGTTGCGTGGACTCTGCACATGTCTTGTACATGTGTAGCCTGTGCATGTATGTCTTGGACACTGTACAAGGTACCCCTTTCTGGCTCTCCCATTTCCTGAGACCACAGAGAGAGGGGAGAAGCCTGGGATTGACAGAAGCTTCTGCCCACCTACTTTTCTTTCCTCAGATCATCCAGAAGTTCCTCAAGGGCCAGGACTTTATCTAATACCTCTGTGTGCTCCTCCTTGGTGCCTGGCCTGGCACACATCAGGAGTTCAATAAATGTCTGTTGATGACTGTTGTACATCTCTTTGCTGTCCACTCTTTGTGGGTGGGCAGTGGGGGTTAAGAAAATGGTAATTAGGTCACCCTGAGTTGGGGTGAAAGATGGGATGAGTGGATGTCTGGAGGCTCTGCAGACCCCTTCAAATGGGACAGTGCTCCTCACCCCTCCCCAAAGGATTCAGGGTGACTCCTACCTGGAATCCCTTAGGGAATGGGTGCGTCAAAGGACCTTCCTCCCCATTATAAAAGGGCAACAGCATTTTTTACTGATTCAAGGGCTATATTTGACCTCAGATTTTGTTTTTTTAAGGCTAGTCAAATGAAGCGGCGGGAATGGAGGAGGAACAAATAAATCTGTAACTATCCTCAGATTTTTTTTTTTTTTTGAGACTGGGTCTCACTTTTTCATCCAGGCTGGAGTGCAGTCGCATGATCACGGCTCACTGTAGCCTCAACCTCTCCAGCTCAAATGCTCCTCCTGTCTCAGCCTCCCGAGTACCTGGGACTACTTTCTTGAGGCCAGGAATTCAAGAACAGAGTAAGATCCTGGTCTCCAAAAAAAGTTTTAAAAAAATCAAACACACTTAGCCGAGCATAGTAGCTCATGCTTGTAGTCCCAGCAGATCAGGAGGCTGAGGCATGAGGATTGCTTGAGATATGATTGTGCCACTGTGGCACTCCAGAGTAGGCGACGAAGGGAGATCCTGTCTCAAAAAAAAAAAAAAAAAAAAAGGGAAGGCTTCATTGAGAAGGTAGGTGGCTTTTGAGCAAAGATTCCAAGGTGAAGGAGTGAGCCTTGTATGGAGGAGGGGAGGAGCAGTCAGCCAGAGGGAACAGGGTGAGGCAGGCGTTTACCGGGCATGCTCTGAGAGAGGGGGATAGATCCTACAGGCCTGGGGCCTTGTGGCCTCTGCAGAAGCCATTTTGAGGAAACTTTGCAGGAATCTCTGCAAAGCTGATATGATCTGAATTACATTTTATTTTATTTATTTATTTTTGAAATAAATAATGAAATTATTTATTTATTTTTTCTTGCTCTGTCGCCCAGGCTGGAGTGCAGTGGCGCGATCTCGGCTCACTGCAAGCTCTGCCTCCCGGGTTCATGCCATTCTCCTGCCTCAGTCTCCCGAGTAGCTGGGACTACAGGCGTCCACCACCAAGCCTGGGTAATTTTTTTGTATTTTTAGTAGAGATGGGGTTTCACCGTGTTAGCCAGGATGGTCTGGATCTCCTGACCTTGTGATCCGCCTGCCTCGGCCTCCCAAAGTGCTGGGATTACAGGTGTGAGCCACCACACCCGGCCTCTTTTTTTTATTTTTAATTGAGATGGGGTCTCACTCTGTCACCCAGGCTGGAGAACAAAGGTGAAATCTCGGCTCCCTGCAGCCTCTGCCTCCTGGGCTCAAACAATCCTCCCACCTCAGCCTCCTCAGTAGCTGGGACCACAGGCATACACCAACACTCCCGGCTAATTTTTTGTATTTTCGGTGGAGACGGGGTTTCACCATGTTGCCCAGGCTGATCTCAAACTCCTAAGCTCAAGTGATCCATGTTCCTCAGCCTCCCAAAGTGCTGGGATTATAGGCGTGAGCCATAGCGTCCAGCCCTGACTTACATTTTAAAAGGATGGCTCTTGCTGCTGTCTTGAAAATAGACTGAGTTAGTCAGTTTATAAAACTGGGGAGATTTTGCATAAAACTCCAGATTTCTGCCTTCTCTTGAAAAATAGGGGCTAGGTGCGTTGGCTCACTCCTATAATCCCAGCATTTTGGAAGGCCAAGGTGGGCAGATTGCTTGAGCCCAGGAGTTTAAGACCAGACTGGACAACATGGCAAAACCCTGTCTCTACCAAAAAAAAAAAAAAATTAGCAGGGTGTGGTGGTGCACACCTGCAGTCCCAGCTACTCAGGAGGCAAGCTTGTATTCCTAGCTACTTAGGAGGATAGTTTGAGCCCAGGAAGTCAAGGCTGCAGTGAGCATGATCCTGCCATTGCACTCCAGCCAGAGCAAAAAAGAGAGCGAAACCCCATCTCAAAAAAAAGGGAAGATTTAGCTATGTTGGACTTACCTGTCCTCATGGAGCTGAATAATGGCCACCCCTCCAGGTAGGGCCTGAACTCTACCTTTGCCAGAGTCCCCTCCACTCCCTGTTGGTCTTAGACAATGAAACTGAGTGTTAGTAGCTATTTACCACCAAGCTCATGCTTGTTGTTCTTATAATAAAGATAAATGGTTTAATAAATGGTATGATAAAGAAAATTATATTATGGTATTATACCATTTAATAAATGGTATAATAAAGAAAATGGTTTTTTGCACCCACATTTCCATTAAAAAGTGAGAAAATTAAAGATACCTGAGGATGGCAGAGTGTTTGATGAAAGATAGGGAAATGTTGGCCAGGCACCGTGGCTCACACCTGTAATCCCAGCAGTTTAGGAGGCCGGGGCAGGCGGATCACAAGGTCAGGAGTTCAAGATCAGCCTGGCCAACATAGTGAAACCCCGTCTCTACTAAAAATACAAAAAATTAGCCGGGAGTGGTGGCAGGTGCCTACAATCCCAGCTACTCGGAAGGCTGAATGGCGCGATCTCAGCTCATTGCAACCTCTGCCTCCCAGGTTCAAGCCATTCTTCTGCCTTAGCCTCCCTAGTAGCTGGGATTACAGGCGCCTGCCACCATGCCTAGCTAATTTTTATATTTTTAGTAGACGTGGGGTTTCGCCATGTTGGCCAGGCTGGTCTCAAACTCCTGACCTTGGGTGATCTGCCCGCCTCGGTCTCCCAAACTGCTGGGATTACAGGAGTGAGCCACAGTGCCCGGCCTCTAATTTTTATTTTTAATTTTTTTAATTTTTATTTTTTTAATTTTTATTTTATTTATTTTTTGTAATTTTTAAAATATACAAAAAAAGGGCCGGGTGTGGTGGCTCACGCCTGTAATCCCAGCACTTTTTGGGAGGCTGAGGTGGGTGGATCACGAGGTCAGGAGATCGAGACCATCCTGGCTAACATGGTGAAACCCTGTCTCTACTAAAAATATAAAAAAATTAGCCGGGCCTGGTGGCAGGTGCCTGTAGTCCCAGCTACTCGGGAGGCTGAGACAGGAGAATGGCGTGAACTCGAGAGGTGGAGCTTGCAGTGAGCCAAGATCGCACCACTACACTCCAGCCTGGGCGACAGAGTGAGACTTCATCTCAAAAAAAAAAAAAATTATATATATATATATACATATATATATGCAAACAAAGAGCATCTGAGTCATAATAATGTAAATCTATCACCTGACTGACCTGCTGCCACACCTCATGATCTCATCTGATCCCCACACTCCTTCTCTTTGGGATACTGTGTACAGCCATAGCGTGGGTGAACTTTGTATTCCTATCCTCCCCATTTTTGTTATTTTATTTTATTTCTTATTTATTTGAGACAGAGTCTCACTCTGTCATCCAGACTGTAATGCAGTGGCCTGATCTCGGCTCACTGCAACCTCCACCTCCCGGTTTCAAGCGAATCTCCTGCCTCAGCCTCCTAAGTAGCTGGGACCTACAGGCACACACCACCACGCCCAGCTAATTTTTGCATTTTTAATAGAGACGGGGTTTCACCGTGCTGGGCAGGCTGGTCTCGAACTCCTGACCTCAGGTGATTTGCCCACCTCAGCCTTCCAAATTGTTAGGATTACAGGCATGAGTCACTGTGCCCGGCCTCCTCCCCATTTTATAACAAGGGAAATGGAGGCCCAGAATGGTTAAGTAAACCCACCCAGGGCTAGCTGAGAATTAGCAACAGAGAACTGGGAGTAGAATTTGTTCCCTGGCCCTTTGCTGTTTCTATTATAAGCCACCCAGTCTTAGATTTTCTGTTACCTTATAATTAATGACTCAAATGCAGTTTCTGAGTGAGAAACACAAGTCCCAAACACTCTTTAAAGAGGCATAAAGATGTATCTTGTTGTTTTCTTTTGTTTGAGACAAGGCCTGGCTCTATTGCCCAGGCTGGAGTGTGGTGACATGATCTTGGCTCACTGCAACATCTGTCTCCTGGGCTCAAGCCATCATCCCACCTCAGCCTCCTGAGTAGCTGGAACTACAGGAGCGCGCCCCCACACCTGGGTAATTTTTCTATTTTTTGTAGAGATGGGGTTTTGCCATGTTGCCCAGGCTGGTCTCGAACTCCTGAGCTCAAGTGATCCACCCATCTTGGCCTCCCAAAGTGCTGGGATTACAGGCGTGAGCCACTGTGCCCAGCCTCTTGTTGACTGTAGGACCACAAGTTGGCGGCTAACTTAGAGCAATGTTTGGCACACAGGAAGCACTCATTAAATATTGACATTATTGTAGTTATTTTAATAGCCCAGCATTGCACTTTTAGGTCTTTCAGCTTTCAGTGATGATCAGTTGATAATTGATGATCTGGTGGAGTGGTTCTTAATGGTAGAGTTGGGGGCAATTTTACACTCCCTTACACCCCACTAATCTTCCCCCCAACCCAATGGTAAAGCTATTGCACAGTACTTGGCAATGTCTAGAGACAATTTTGGTTGTCACAGCCTGGGGGGAAGGTGCTACTGGCATCTAGTGGGTAGAGGCTAAGGATGCTGCTTAATTTTTTTTTTTTTTGAGACAAGAGTTTCACTCTAGTTGCCCAGGCACAGAACAGCTTCACAGAAGCTGTTAATGCACAGAATAGCTTCCTACAAAAAAGCATTACCTGGCCCAAAATGTCATTAGCTACCAGGCTGAGAAACCTGCCCTCCTAGGCCGGGCGCTGTGGCTCACGCCCGTAATCTCAGCATATTGGGAGGCCGAGGTGGGCGGATCCTGAGGTCAGGAGTTCGAGACCACCTGGACCAACACGGAGAAACCCAGTCTCTACCAAAAATACAAAATTAGCCGGGCATGGTGGCACATGCTTGTAATCCCAGCTACTCGGGAGGCTGAGGCAGGAGAACCGCTTGAACACAGAGGCAGAGATTGTGGTGAGCCGAGATCACACCATTGCACTCCAGCCTGGGCAACTAGAGCGAAACTCTTGTCTCAAAAAAAAAAAAAAAAAAAAAAACAGGGAAAGAAAAGAAAGGAAACCTGCCCTCCTATCATAGGATAATCCCATTTCCTCCTGTCTAAAGAGACGCCTACTTAGTCATCCTGGGTGACTGCATCAGGGAGGTAGATTTTGGAGTCTGAAAGGCTGGGTTCTGTCACTTTGTTACAGTGCCTCTGGTGCAAAGAAAGCATTTTAAAAACCCTGTACAATTAAAAAATTGAATTTAATTACTTTGTGTAACTTTGAATAATTCACAGAAGTCTGAACTTCTTTATCCTGTCCTGTAAAATGGAGGTAAAAAGCCCTTGGCCGAGAGCTGTTTTGAGGAAAAACTGAAATAACATTGGTAAAGTGTCGCACAGTACTTGGCACACAGCAGCCCCTCGACAAACATTAGCTTTCTTTCCCTTTCTTGTCGGTTTCTTCCTCTCCAAACCCGCGTGTTGCTTTTCTTTTTAATTATTTTTCTGTAGCCCTCCTTTGCGGCCACAAACTCGCTTTCTAACCCAGGTTCAGCCCTTTTATTGGCTGAGTGACCTTGTGCAAGTCACTTTTCCCCTGTAGGCCTCGGTTTATTCTCCGTAAAATCAGAAAGTTGGCCTCCGATCTCCAAGCACGCTTTTCACGACGAAGTGGGACTGTTAAGTTTACAGAGCTGCTTTCCTCCCCCGGGACTGATGGTACGGTCCCCGGGCGGCTCCCCACCCATCTGTCGCAGACCTTGGTACAGGCCCAGGGGGCCCTCGGCGGCCTCTCCGGGCTGCCCTTGCCCCCTGCCGAGTTCCGGGCCCGTGTCTGCGCAAGCTGATTGGCTGGAGCGGTGCCCGGGCTGCGCGGCTATAGGTGAGCCCAGGAGGGGACGGGCGGGGCGGGCCGGAGGCCCGCCCCCTCCCCCCTGGGTCGGACGCTGAGCGGAGCCGCGGGCGGGAGGGCGGACGGACCGACTGACGGTAGGGACGGGAGGCGAGCAAGATGGCGCAGACGCAGGGCACCCGGAGGAAAGTCTGTTACTACTACGACGGTGAGCACCGTCCTCGCGGCGGGGGCGGGGCCAGGCCGGGCCGGACCGGGAACCTGGAGGCTGAGGCTGGAGCGCCGATGGGAGGCTGCGGGAGGCTGAGGCGCTGGGGAGAGGCTCGGAGAGGAGGCTGCGAGGGGGAAGTCGAGGCTGAGGGAGGAGGCTGCGAGGAAGGGAGATCGAGGCTGAGACCAAGAGGGGATCGCGTGGGGGAAGCGTGAGGTAATCTTGATGGGAAGATTCTGAGGAAGTCTGATGTGGAGAGTTTGAGTGGGACTCCTAGAGGGGAGGGTGCGTCGGAGCGGGGAGGCTGAATCTGATGGAGACGGCTGCAAGGATACATTTTCTTGCCGAGAACCCAAAGCTCTTCCCTGCCCCGTCCCTTCCTCATCTTTTCTGGGGGAAGAGTCCTGCACGACTGGTTGCCCGCCTCCCCTCCCCCAGCCTCTGAGCGGGGCCTGCGGTTGCTACTGCGACGTGGGGCGCCAGGGGTTGCAAGGAGAAGGATGCAACCTGTTAAAACAGACTTCTCACTTAATCTCTCAAGCAGGTTACTGTGTTCGAGGAAGTGTTGAGGGGCTGGGGCCGTGGGGTTGATCGGGTCACCCTTCCCAGTGACCGAAGTTCTCTCCGTGTCAGAGCTCAGAGTGTTAGGGGAGCACAGAGAAGAGGCACCGAACTCCACCTGAGGAGTCAGCGAAGGAGGGGACATCTTAGTTAGGACCTGAAGAACAGGAGTTCTTAGCCAGGCACAGGGAAGGCAAAGATAACAGCAAGTTTCAGAGGCAAGAGAGAGGACAGGACCTTTGAAAAACAGGCATTTGGCCGGGCGTGGTGGCTCACGCCTGTAATCCCAGCACTTTGGGAGGCCGAGGCTGGTGGATCACCTGAGGTCAGGAGTTCGAGACCAGCCTGGCCAACATGGTGAAACCCCGTCTCTACTAAAAATACAAAATTAGCCGCGCATGGTGGTGTGCGCCTGTAATCCCAGCTACTCTGGAGCCTAAGGCAGGAGAATCCCTTAGAACCCGGGAGGCAGAGGTTGCAGTGAGCTGAGATCGTGCCACTGCACTCCAGCTTGGACAACAGAGCGAGGCTCTGTCTTAAAAAAAAAAAAAAAAAAAGATGTAAATAGGGACCGGACCATGAAGGGCTGGGCATGCTGTCCCAAGGAAGTTGGACTTTATTGAGGGCACTTGTGAGTGATTCAAGTTTTATGCAGGTTATTGACATCATCAGGTTTATACCTTAGAAATTAAAGTAATGGGGGCCAGGTGCAGTGGCTCACACCTCTCTAATCCCAGTACTTTGGGAGGCTGAGGCAGGCAGATCACTCGGGGCCAGGAGTTCAGGACCAGCCTGGCCAACACGGTGAAACCCCATCTCTACTAAAAATACAAAATTTAGGCTGGGCACGGTGGCTCACGCCTGTAATCCCGGCACTTTGGGAGGCTGAGGCGGGCGGATCATGAGGTCAGGAGTTCAAGACCAGCCTGACCAACATGGTGAAACCCTGTCTCTACTAAAAATACAAAAATTACCCGGGTGTGGTGGTGCGCACCTGTAATCCCAGCTACTCAGGAGGCTGAGGCAGGAGAGTCGCTTGAACCCAGGAGGCAGAGGTTGCAGTGAGCCAAGATTGCACCGCTGCACTCCAGCCTGGGCAACAGGGTGAGACTCCATCTCAAAAAAAAAAAAAAAAATTAGCGAGGTGTGGTGGCACATGCCTGTAGTCCCAGCTACTCAGGAGGCTGAGGTGCGAGAGTTGTTTGAACCTGGGAGGCAGAGGTTGCAGTGGGCTGAGATCTCACCACTGCACTCCGTCCTGGGCAACAGAGCGAGACTTCGTCTCAAAAAAAAAAAAAACAAAAAAATTCAGATTGTAGGGGTAAGGAAGAAGGCATGGATCCCAAGTTCCTGGTGTGGGCAGTATTTTTTATTTTTTGAGATGATGTCTAGCTCTGTCACCCAGGCTGGAGTGCAGTGGCTTGATCTCGGCTCACTGCAACTGCAACCTCCACCTCCCAGATTCAAGGGATTCTCCTGCCTCAGCCTCCTGAGTAGCTGGGATTACAGGCGTGCGCCACCATGCCTGGCTAGTTTTTGTATTTTTATTAGAGATGGGGTTTCACGATGTTGGCCAGGCTGGTCTCAAACTGACCTCCAGTGCTCCATCTGCCTCAGCCTCCCAAAGTGCTGGGATTATAGGCATGAGCCACACTTCCTGGCCTCTGATGTGGGCAATTTGATGGTGAGTGTTTGGAGGTTTGGAGAATGCCATGTCAGTTGATAACTTTTTTTTTTTTTTTTTTTTGAGATGGAGTCTCGCTCTGTCGCCCAGGCTGGAGTGCAGTGGCGCAATCTCGGCTCACTGCTGCAAGCTCCACCTCCCGGGTCCATGCCATTCTCCTGCCTCAGCCTCTCCAGTAGCTGGGACTACAGGCGCCCGCCACCACACTGGGCTGATTTTTTGTATTTTTAGTAGAGACAGGGTTTCACCGTGTTAGCCAGGATGGTCTGGATCTCCTGACCTCATGATCCGCCCGCCTCGGCCTCCCAAAGTGCTGGGATTACAGGTGTGAGCCACCGCACCCGGCCCCAACTTTTTTTTTTTTTTTTTAAACTTCTAGAGATGGGGTCTCAATATGTTGCCTGGGCTTGTCTTGAACTCCTGTGCCTGGCCTCAAGCAATCCTGCCACCTTGGCCTCCCAAAGTGCTGGGATTACAGGCCTAAGCCACTGTTTTTTTTGTTGTTGTTGTTTGTTTGTTTAGAAATAACTATTGATAACTGTTAAGATGTTTAGGGGACATCCAAGTAGAGGCATCCAGTAGGCAGTTTAGAAGATAGAAATTTTTTGGTAGTCATCAGTATCTTAGTCTGCTATAACAGAACACTGTTTATAAAGAACAGAAATTGCTGAATGTGGTGGCTCACGCCTATAATCCCAGTACTTTGGTAGGCTGGGGCGGATGGTTCTCTTGAGCCCAGGAGTTTGAGACCAGCCTGGGCAACTTAGGGAGACTCTGTCTCTACAAAAAGTAAAAAAATTAGCTGGGCATGATGGCATGTGCCTGTAGAGAGGCTGAAGTGGGAGGATCACTTGATCCTGGGAGGTCGACTCTGCAGTGAGCCATGATCGCACCAGTGCACTCCAGCCTGGGGGACAGAGTGAGACCTTGTGTCAAAAAAAAAAAAAGAACATAAATGTATTTCTCATAGTTCTGGAGGCTGAGAAGTCCAAGGCTAGAAAGTCCAAGATCAGGGTGCCAGCATTTGGTGTCTGGTGAGGGTCTGGTCTCTACTTCCAATATGGTGCTTTGAATTCAGTGTTTTCATATGACAGAAGGTGGAAAGGCAAAAAAGGATAAACTCTGTTTTTTTATATGGCCATTAATGTATTAGTGAGGATGGTAGAGCCCTTGAGACCTAAACACCTCCCAAAAGGCTCCACTTCCAAACACTGTTGGCATTGGGGAATATGTTTCCAACACATGAATTTTGGGGGACACATTCAGACCATAACAATCAGCATATGGATAGTTATTTTATTTGTTTGTTTGTTTGTTTGTTTGTTGTAGAGATGTTGTCTTGCCATGTTGTCCAGGCTGGCCTTGAAGTCCTGGGCTCAGCCTCCCAAAGTGTTGGGATTATAGGCATGACCCACCATTCCTGGCTGCTAGCAATTTTAATTGTAGTAAATTTAGTCATAAAGGATGCAGTCACCCAATAAGTTATATAGAATTCCAGGGTGGAATTCTAAGGAAGTGGATTGAGGAAAAGTTTAGTGCCCCTCATGCTGTGTACTCCCCCGTGATAGTATTTGTCACTGTGTAGAGGAATTGCCCATTTACTTGGTCATATTTCTTGTAGAGAGGAGGCTCTTTAGGGAAAGGGGCCGTGCCTTGTCTACCTCTGTATCCCCAGCACCAAAAACAATGCCTAGCTCATGGTAGGTTCTCAATAAATATTTGTTGATTAAATGTATAATGATAGAGAGTGAGGGGCCGGAGAGGTAGGTGAACCAGAAAGTACTGGGTTGCAGAAGCTAAAGAAGGGAGGGATTGGGCAAGTGTTGGCGGCAACTGGGGCAGAAGCTAGATTGTGGTAGATTGCAGTACATGGATGGCTAACTGAAGAGGAGACATCAGGTTGAACCCTTTTTTTGGAGACAGGGCCTCACTCTGTCACTCAGGCTGGAGTGCAGTGGCATGATCCTGGCTCACTACCACCTCTGCCTCCCAGGCTCAAGCAGTCCTCCCACCTCAGCCTTCCAAGTAGCTGGAACCACAGGTGTGCACCCTTTTTGTATTTTTTGTTTAGAAGACAAACGGTTGTCTTTTGTTTAGAGACAGGATTTCGCCATGTTGCCCAGGCTGGTCTCAAACTCCTGAGCTCAAGTCATCTACCCGCCTCAGCCTCCCAAAGTGCTGGGTTTACAGGCGTGAGCCATCATGCCCAGCTGGTTGAACCCTTTTAAAGGGAAGCTTGTGTGAGGTAGGGAGAGAGGATTGTTGATAAGGGAGATGGAGATGTAGTGGCTAAAAGTTGAGCATATTGAAATAATTCTTATGGAAAATAGCCAGAAGAGAGGGAGAGGCTGAAGATACAGGAAAGGGACTAGTAGTGATGGAGCTTCCTGAGGAGACCAGGGGAGATGGAAACCGGAGCCCAGCTAGAGACACTAACCTTCAACAAATTCCTTTGTGATGCGAGGGTAAATGTCAAGGAAAAGTTCAAATGGAGGTAAGTTTGAAGAGGAGAAGATAAGGAGAAAGTTGAGGGAGTTCTCAAGATCAGGAAAGAGAATATTCCTTTTCCTGAGGGTGGGGTAGGGCAGTTGGTGGAGCAGGAATCTTGAAGAGAGGAGATTTAAATAGCTTTTGCAAAAGTGGGGGGCTAGGGAAAGAAATTTGGAAGGATTGCTGGCAGTGATAAGAATCATTTTGAGGCTGGAACCTGTGATTTTTGTAGTCATATCATTTTGCACAGTTTTATGATAACATTTTATGATAACATTGTCAGTTTAAAAGAAGAAAAAAATGGGCTGGGCATGGTGGTTCACGCCTGTAATCCCAGTAGTTTGGGAGGCCAAGGCGGAAGGATCACTTGAGACCAGGCGTTCAAGACCAGCCTGGGCAACAAAATGAGACCTCCCCCAGCTCTACAAAACAACACAAAAAAATAAGCTGGGTGTGGTGGCACTTGCCTGTAATCGCAGCTACTTGGGAGGTTGAGGTGGGAGACTGAGGCAGGTGGATGGTTTGAGCCCAGGTGGAGCCTGCAGTGACCCATAATGGCACCACTGCACTCAGCTTGAGTGACAAAGCAAGACCCTGCCTCAAAAAAAGAAAAAGAAAAAGTACAAAGACCTCAGTCTTTAGATAAGGGAATAGACTTCTTTTTTTGCGGGGGGGACGGAGTCTTGCTCTGTCGCCCAGGCTGGAGTGCAGTGGCGCCATCTCGGCTCACTGCAAGCTCTGCCTCCAGGGTTCATGCCATTCTCCTGCCTCAGCCTCCCGAGGAGCTGGGACTGGAGGCGCATGACACTACGCCTGGCTAATTTTTTTTTTTTTTTTTTTTTTTTTTTTTTGAGATGGAGTCTTGCTCTTTCACCCAGGCTGGAGCGCAGTGGCGCGATCTCGGCTCACTGCAACCTCCACCTCCCAGGTTCACGCCATTCTCCTGCCTCAGCCTCCCGAGTAACTGGTACTACAGGCGCCTACCACCACACCTGGCCAATTTTTTGTATTTTTAGTAGAGACGGGGTTTCACCGTGTTAGCCAGGATGGTCTCCATCTCCTGACCTTGTGATTCGCCCGCCTCGGCCTCCCAAAGTGGTGGGATTACAGGCGTGAGCCAGCGCGCCCGGCCTTTTTTTTTTTTTTTTGAGACCAAGTTTTGCTCTTGTTGCCCAGGCTGGAGCGCAGTGGCGCAATCTCAACTCACTGCAACCTCCGCCTCCCAGGTTTAAGCGATTCTCCTGCCTCAGCCTTCCTGAGTAGCTGGGATTACAGGCATATGCCACCACGCCCGGCTAATTTTGTATTTTTAGTAGAGACGGGGTTTCTCCATGTTGGTCAGGCTGGTCTTGAACTCTCGACCTCAGATGATCGCCTGCCTCGGCCTCCCAAAGTGTTGGGATTACAGGCGTCAGGCACCGCGCCCGGCCATTTTTTGTATTTTTAGTAGAGACGGGTTTCACCGTGTTAGCCAGGATGTTCTTGATCTCCTTACCTCATGATCCACCCGCCTCGGCCCAAAGTGCTGGGATTACAGGCGTGAGCCACTAGGCCCAGCCGGGAATAGACTTCTTACTTGAGAAACTGAGTTTTGCAGTGAGGTCATTACTTTGGGATTCAGATTTGGCTCTGCCATTGAGAAGCTTTGTAATATCAGGCAAGTCACCTTACATTTCAGATTTCTCTCCTATAAAATCAAAATGATAGGAGTTCCTATTATGAGAACAATGATGGGAAAGCTCTTTAAGAGTTTAAAGTATGGCTGGCGCCATGGCTCACGTCTGTAATCCCAGCACTTTGAGAGGCCGAGGTGGGCGGATCACTTGAGGTCAGGAGTTCAAGACAAGCCTGGGCAACATGGTGAAACCCTGACTCTACTAAAAATACAAAACTTAGCCAGGCGTGGTGGCACATGTCTGTAATCCCAGCTACTCAGGAGGCTGAGGCAGGAGAATTGTTTGAACCTGGGAGGCAGAGGTTGCAGTGAGCCTGAGATCGCACCACTGCACTCCAGCCTGGGTGACAGAGTGAGACTCTGTCTCCAAAAATAAAAATTAAAATTAAGTAGTACCTAAATAAAAAGGACCATTTCTTTTAAAGTCTCTCAGCAACCTGATTAAGATATAGAGATATATCTTTATTTTAATTACAGTAAATTTAATCATAAAGGATGCAGTCACCCAAGAAGTTATATAGAAGAGGATCCAGGGTGGAATTCTAAGGAAGTGGACAGTGTCCCTCATGCTGTGTGCTCCCCTGTCATAGCATTTGTCAATGTGTATAGGAATACACACAGCACGGGTTGGCAAACTAATTAAAAACTGTTAAGAAAAGGATGGTTGGCCTGCACTGTTGGAGGCTCACATCTGTAATCCCAGCACTTTAGAAGGCTGATCAGGAGTTTGAAACCAGCCTGGGCAACAAAGCAAGATGCCATCTCTACAAACAAACAAACAAAAACATCAAACAAAAAAAAACATAAAAAGAAAAGGATGCTGTCTCAGAGCCCCACCCTCACTACCCTCACCTCAGATACTCCCTTAACCTTCTGGATAAGATATCTTAGTCCCCCAGGTCTGAGCCTTGGCTGGATCTAGGCTTGATAGGCAAGGGAGTTGCTAGGGATCAAGGCTCATGCCTTTTTTTCACTGGGTGCCTAGAGCTCTGCCTCATCCTAATAAATCTCTAAGGAGAGATCTTTGGGTGTGTAGTTCACTTGATTTTGCAACATTGTTCAAGGAATTTTCTATCAGGTAGACTTATAGAGCCCTCTAGATTAAGTGCAAACTGAAGTAGGTACCTGAGAAGCCCAATGTAGGGCCTGGCACGGTGGCTCACACCTGTAATCCCAGCACTTTGGGAGGCCGAGGTGGACGGATCACGAGGTCAGGAGATCAAGACCATCCTGGTTAACACGGTGAAACCCCGTCTTTACTAAAAGTACAAAAAAAATTAGCCGGGCTTGATGGCAGGCATCTGTAGTCCCAGCTGCTTGGGAGGCTGAGGCAGGAGAATGGCGTGAACCCTGGAGGCGGAGCTTGCAGTGAGCCGAGATCGCACCACTGCACTCCAGCCTGGGCGACAGAGCGAGACTCTGTCTCAAAAAAAAAGAAAAAAGGAAAATCCAATGTAGCTTTTAGCATATTGGATTTGGAGTCCGAAGAGTGGACTCCAGATCAGTCATTAGCTGTGTGATCTTGAGCAGGCACTTAACTTCTCTGAGTCTCAATTCAATTCATTGAATCTTTATTGAGCCTCTGTGATATACAAGGCATATTAATCCTTGCCTTCAAGGGGTACCCAGTCTTGTGGATATAGTCATGTAAATAATTCAGATATAAAACAATCCTAGCACTTTGGGAGGCTGAGGTGGGCATATCACTTGAGGTGAGGAGTTCCAGACCAGCCAGGCCAACATAGTGAAACCCCACCTCTACTAAATATGAAAATTAGCTGGATTTGGTGGCACGCACCTGTAATCCCAGCAATTTAGGAGGCTGAGGCAGGAGAACTGCTTGAACCTGGGAGGCAGAGGTTGCACTGAGCCGCCGAGATAGTACCATTGCACTCCAGCCTAGGCGACAGAGTGAGACTCCGTCTCAAGAAATAAAAAAAAAAAGAAAAGAAAACTAATGAAGTGCTGTATACAAATTGCATGTAGAGGAAAAGACCATTTATTTTGATCAAGAAAGGGTTTGGAGCTTGAGGTGGGCTTTGTAGTATGAGCATCATCAAAGAAAGGAGGACATTTCAGGTCAAAGGAATAGTCTGCACAGAGGATACTGTGGTGTGAAGGTGAATGTCATGTTCAGGATACTGATCATAATCTGGTGTGTCTGGAGCACAGGTTGGCAAACTTTTTCTATATAGGGCCAGATAGTAAATATTTTAGGCTTTATTTTGCCATATGCTTGGGTGTCTGTGGCAACTAAACTGCTCAGCTCTGCCACTGTAGTGTGAAAACAGCCATAGAGGAACTGTAAACGGATGGGCATGGCTGTGTTCCAATAAAATTTTATTTACCAAAACAGGCAACTAGTTGTATTTGTCCCAAGGGCCATAGTTTGCCTACTCCAGTCTAGAGCAAAGAGAGAGAGAGAGTGAGTGTGTGTGTGTTGTGGGAAAGGGTGGTAGCAGGAGATGAAGCTGGAAAGGCAGGTTAAGAAAGTCCTTGGATGAAGCTGGAAAGGCAGATTAAGAAAGTCCTTGGCCGGGCGCGGTGGCTCATGCCTGTAATCCCAGCACTTTGGGAGGCCGAGGCGGGCAGATCACAAGGTCAGGAGATCAAGACCATCCTGGCTAACACAATGAAACCCCGTCTGTACTAAAAATACAAAAAATTAGCTGGGCATGGTGGCAGGCGCCTGTAGTCCCAGCTACTCGGGAGGCTGAGGCAGGAGAATGGCGTGAACCCTGGAGGCGGAGCTTGCAGTGAGCTGAGATCGCGCCACTGCACTCCAGCCTGGGCAACACAGCGAGACTCTGTCTCAAAAAAATAAATAAATAAAGTAAAAGAAAGTCCTTGAATGCTGGCCAGGCGCGGTGGCTCACACCTGTAATCCCGGCACTTTGGGAGGCCGAGGTGAGTGGATCAACTGAGGTTAGGAGTTTGAGACCAGCCTGACCAACAAGGTGAAACCCCTTCTCTACTAAAAATACAAAAATTAGCCAGGCATGGTAGCACATGCCTGTGATGCCAGCTACTTGAGAGGCTGAGGCAGGAGAATTGTTTGAACCCAGGAGGCGAAGGTTGCAGTGAGCTGAGATTGCACCACTGCACTCCAGCTTGGGCAACAGATCGAGACTTGTCTCAAAAAAAAGAAAGTCCTTGAATGCCAGTCTTCTGAAGTTATTATTATTAAATGTTGAGACCCAGCCTGGTCTTGAACTCCTGGGCTCAAGTGATTTTCCTGCCTCAGCCTCCAGAGTAACTGGGATTACAGGCTCATGCCACCATGCCTATCTCTATTAAAGTTATTCTTTACTCTTTATCCTGTAGGGGATGGGGAGCCATAAGGATTTTTTGAGCGAAGGAGTGATGTTATCAGAATTGTGGATTAGGAAAATAACTCTGGTGACAGTGTGGCAGGTAGTGTGAATTGAAGGTAGAGGGACCAATTAGAAGGCTAGTGTTATAGATTAAGCATGTGATAAGTTTTAGTTTTCTTATCTGTAAGGTGAGAATAATAATACCCCCTGTCCTACCCATGTTACTGTGAGGATCCAGTAAGAAAACGAAGTGAATGTGCTTTGACACCATAAGTGTTACAATATGTAGGAGGTGAATTGTGGCTTCTAATAATTCTGAGTAGCGATGGTTATTTTTCTGTTGTGGGAGGGAATTCCTTGGAGGTATAGTGAGGTGAATCATTTCACTGGCTGTTGTTCCCCAGTAGCTTTGGAATGAACCCCTCTTGCTATGTAGTGCCTGTGGGTTCCAGAAGAAAGTGAGCTAGACTGAACCTTAAATGTTCACCTCACCAGGGTCCCTGCTTTTTTTTTTTTTTTTCTTTTGGAGTTACCCTTCAAAAGGTGGGAGAGAATCTTGGAAACTAGAAATGAGCCAGAAAGAATTTGACTGGGAGTTCGCTGTAAAAATTCCTGGGTTCTCCTGGTAGTGTATGCCTAACTGTGTTAGTGAAGCTGTCACTCTCTCTTCTTCAGGGGATGTTGGAAATTACTATTATGGACAAGGCCACCCAATGAAGCCTCACCGAATCCGCATGACTCATAATTTGCTGCTCAACTATGGTCTCTACCGAAAAATGGAAATCTATGTGAGTTACCAGAGGTGCTACCGCTCCCTAACCTCATCTGCTCTGGTTCCCCATATGCCATTCATTATCTCATTTTCTCCACCACTCATTCACTCATTCATCAAATGCATGTTGACTGCTGTTACAAGGCAGGTACTGTAAATGATAAAGATTTTTGGCTGGGCATGGTGGCTCACGCCTGTAATCACAGCACTTCAGGAGGTGAAGGCAAGAGGATCACTTGAGCCTAGGAGTTCTAGGCCAGCCTGGGCAACATAGGGAGACCCTGTCTCTACAACAAAATTTAAAAATTAGCTGGCCATGGTGGCATGTGCCTGTGGTCCCAGATACTTGGGAGGCTAAGGTGGGAAGACTGCTAGAGCCTGGGAGGTCGAGGCTGTAGTGAGCTATGATTGTGCCACTGCATTCCAGCTTGGGGGGCAGAGCAAGACTCTGTCTTAAAAAAACAAAGCCAGGTGCGGTGGCTCATGCCTGTCATCCTAGCACTTTGGGAGGCTGAGATGGGCAGATTGCTTGAGCCCAGGAGTTCGAGACCATCCGGGTCAACATGGCAAGACCTCATCTCTACAAAAAATTAGCCAGGCATGGTGGCACATGCCTGTAGTCCCGGCTACTTAGGAGCCTAAGCTAGGAGGATCATTTTGAGTCTGGGAAGCAGAGGTTACAGTGAGCCGTGATTGCACCACTGTGCTCCAGCCTGAGCGACAGAGTGAGACCCTGTCTCAAAAAAACAAAACAAAACAAAAAAACCAAAAATTTAATGCCTAAATAAGAGTGATTGGGACCATGTTGAAGCAGATGCCAAATCTCTAGTTATTAGAGAGTATAGACGGTCTAACCTGTAGATTCAGCTACAGGTGATTTGTCACTGATCTTTGAGTTTTTAAAGAGAAGCTGGAAATCCAGATTATTATGTAAAATCTCCTAGGTTTAAAATGTTATCCCAAGAAACCTTGTCTGTACAAAAAATATGAAAAAAATTAGCTGGTATCCTGGCCTGCACCTGTAGTCCCAGCTATCTGGGAGGCTGAGGTGGGAGGACCACTTGAGCCTGGGAGGTCAAGGCTGCGGTGAGCTGTGATTGCACCACTGCACTCCAGCCTAGATGACAGAATGAGATTTTGTCTCAAAAAAAAAGTTAACCCAGAGTTTTTGCTTTTTGGTTTTTATTTTAAGCATGTATACAAACCAAACACATTAGTACATCTGTAGACCAAATAGGTCCAATGGTTCCCAGTTTTAACCTCTCTGGAGACAGTGAGGAGGAACAAGTGAAGGGTTTTAAATGAAAGAGAGATAGGAACGGGCATGCATTTTAGAAGCAGGGAGGCTAGGTAAGTGGCTGTTACAAGAGTCCAAATGAGAAAATAAAGAGGGGCTGGAGGTGATGTTGCCTTACTACATAAGAATCTGTGGTTAAAGTCTGTTTCTACAGCTTGAGTAAACTACCAACAGTGGTATTTTTGTCACCATTCCAGAGACTGAAAGGAGATGAGTGTTCTTTCCTAGATGGCCTTGTCATGTCTCTGGAGCCAGTGGAGGCAACTGGGGAAGCAAGGAAGGAAAGTAGAGGAGAAGACAGACCTTGGGACTACGGAGCTTTTTTAGGTGTGAAGGCAGCTGGGAATGAAAAACAGAAAAGGCAGAAGATATTTTTAGGTACTCTAGGGAGCAGACTATCTCTGCTCCCGAGAGCTCTGCTCCCTGCAGGCTGGAGTGCAGTGGTGTGATCATAGCTCACTACAGCCTTGAACTCCTGGGCTCAAGTTATCTTCCCACATCAACCTCCCAAGTAGCTAGGACTACAGGCAGGCACCACCATGCCTGGCTTTATTTTATTTTTTTCTTTTTTTTGAGACAGGGTCTCACTCTGTCACCCAGACTAGAGTGCAGTGGTGCAATCTTGGCTCACTGCAACCTCTGCTTTCTGGGCTCAAGTGATTCTCCAGCCTCAGCCTGCCAAGTAGCTGGGATTAAAGGTGTAAGCCACCACGCCTGGCTAATTTTTTGGTAGAAATGGGGTTTCACCATTTTGCCCAGGCTGGTCTTAAATTCCTGAGCTCAAAGCAATCCGCCTGCCTCGGCCTCCCAAAGTGCTGGGATTACAGGCATGAGCCACCATACCCAGCCTCTCTTGGCTAATTCAGAAAAATTTTTTTGTAGAAACAGGGTCTTGCTGTTTTGTCCAGGCTGGTGTCAAACCCCTGGCCTCAAGAGATCTTCTTACTTTGGTCTCCCAAAGTGCTGAGATTATAAGCATCAGCCACCATGCCTGTATTCTTTTTTAAAAATTATAAAAATGATTTTTATTTTTTACCTGCAGTTCCAAGCACAGTATGTTTTAGTTTTACATGTTTGATTGTTATATAGATGGAGCCATACAGTATTTATTATGTGACTGACTTTTTTTGCTAAACATGTTCTTGAGACTCACCCATGTTGATACCTGTAGCTGTATTTATTTTTACTGTATTTCATTGAAATAAATGTATTCTAGTCTGTTATCTCTTTGATGAGCATTTGATTTGCTTCTGGGGTTTGACTATTGCAAATACTGCTGCTATGAACTTTCTTGAACATGTCTCTTGATGCATATATGCTAAAGTTTCACTAAAGGATATACTAGGATTAGAATTGGGTCAGGACATATGCACATATTCACCTGTGTTAGATAAAGCCAAAATGGTTTCCAATTGCCAGCTATGTAGGAGAATTGCAGTTGCTCTGAGTCCTTGCCAACACTTGATTTTGTCAGATTTCAATTTTGTTGCTAATTTAGGTAGACATGAAATGTTATCTTACTATTATTTTAATTTATATTCCCCTACTGAAATTCCTATTCAACCTTTTTGCCCATTTTCCCATTGGTTGTCTTTTTTTTTTTTTTTTTTCCCTGAGACAATGTCTCACTCTGGCACTCAGGCTGCAGTGCACTGGTGCGATCTCGGCTCACTGCAACCTCTGCCTCCCAGGCTCAAGCCATCTTTCTACCTCAGCCTCCTGAGTAGCTGGGACCACAGGTGCATGTCACCACACTCGGCTAATTTTTATATTTTTGTAGAGATGGGGTTTTGCTGTGTTAACCAGGCTGGTCTGAAACTCCTAGGCTCAAGTGATCTGTCCACCTTGGCCTCCCTAAGTGCTGAGATTACAGGCGTGAGCCACAGTGCCTGACCCATTTCTTTTATATATTAAATGTCCATTTTTATTCATTCATTGCATATATACTCATCAAGCACCTACTTTGTGCCAGGCAATATGTGTGTGTCTGGTTTTGGGCTCTCTGTTCGGTTGACTTGGTCTGTTTATTGACCCATATGCCAATACCACAGTGGCTTAATTACAGTAGCTTTATATTATAGTAAGTCTTGTTATCTGGTAGCACAGTCCTCCCACTTTGTTCTTCTGAAAAAGTGATTTGGCTATTTGCCCTTTCACTTTTTTTTCTTTTTCTTTTTCTTTTTTTTTTTTTTTGAGACAGAGTTTTGCTCTTGTTGCCCAGGCTGGAGTGCAATGGCGCGATCTTGGCTCACTGCAATCTCCGCCTCCCTAGTAGCTGGGATTACAGGCATGCGCCACCACGGCCAGCTAATTTTGTATTTTTGGTAGAGATGGGGTTTCTCCACGTTGGTCAGGCTGGTCTCGAACTCCCAACCTCAGGTGATCCGCCCGCCTTGGCCTCGCAAAGTCCTGGGATTACATGTGTGAGCCATGGCGCCCGGCCTCTTTTTCTCTCTTTTAGAGACAGGGTTTTACTCTGTTGCCTGGGCTAGAGTGCAGTGGCACAGTCATAGCTCATTGCAGCCTCAAGCTCCTGGACTCAAGTAATCCTCCCTCCTCAGCCTCCTGAGTAGCACTTCTTTTTAATTTAATTACGATTTTGATATACATTTCACTAATTCACCAAGGTCTATGTAGATCTGATTCTGTTGTTTGTTGTTGTTTCTGTAGGATCCTGGACTGTGTTTCCTGTGTATTTTGTGATTTTTGACTGTGGGATAATGCAGTAGGCCACTCTTATCTGAGGGGGGATACTTTCTAGTATGCCCAGTAGATTCCTGAAACCATGGATAGTACTGTATCCTATATATGTTATATTTTTTCTAATACATACATACCTCTGATAAAGCTTAATTTATAAATTAGGTACAGTAAGAAATTAACAATAATAAACTAGGACAATTATAGCAATAAGCCGTTTACAGTTTCATGCATAGAAGATTCATTCCTGGCCGGGCGTGGTGGCTCATGTCTGTAATCCCAGCACTTTGGGAGGCCAAAGCCGGTGGATCATCTGAGGTCAGGAGTTCGAGACCACCTTGATTAACATGGTGAAACCCCATCTCTACTAAAAATACAAAATTAGCCAGACGTGGTGGTGCATACCTGTAGTCCCAGCTACTCAGGAGGCTGAGACAGGAGAATCATTTGAACCTGGGAGGCAGAGGTTGCAGTGAGCTGAGATCTCACCATTGCACTCTAGCGTGGGCAACAAGAGTGAAACTCCTTCCCAAAAATAAAAAAAAAGAAGATTCATTCCTACTGTAGATCTTAGCTCTTAGCGACTTCAGCACAGGATTTTTTTCTTTCCTTATATTGAGAACTTCAACCTTTTCATGTAAAGGAAGCACAGCACAGCTTCTCTTTGGCATATCAAAATTGCCAGCATCACTACTCGTGGACTTTGGGGCCATTATTAAGTAAAACAAGGGCTTCTTGAATACAAACAGTGTGATACCTTGATAATCGATCTGATTACTGAGAGGGCTACTAAGTGACTCACAGGTGGGTAGTATACAGTGTGGATATGCCAGATAAAGGGATGATTCACACCCAGGGGACAGAGCTGGATGTTACAAAATTTCATAACAAATGGTTCACAATTTGAAACTTATGAATTGCTTGTTTCTGGCATTTTTCATGTAATATTTTTGGACAGTGATTGTGTGTAACTGGAACTGTAGAAACCAAAACTGAGGATAAGAGGGCACTGCTGTATTCTTTGGAACTTTGAGTCCTGGGATGAAGATGGATTGTTAGAAGGTGATTTGCTTTTACTTTGTAAAAGAGGTGGCATTTGAGATGAGCCCTTTCCTTCAGAGATTTGGGATAAGGGATGAATTTCAAATAATAGGAAGAACATGAGCACGGACACTGTTGAAAAGCTCTATACCTCTCTAGATCTTAAGGAAGAGTTGTTTGGAGTATAATATTTGTGAAAGAGAGCAGGGGCAATTAAATTGGGAAAGGAACCTTGTAAAGTTTCTTGATTGCTATATCAAAGAGCTTAGAGTCTTTACTTCGGGCCGGGCGCAGTGGCTCACGCCTGTAATCCCAGCACTTTGGGAGGCCAAGGTGGGCGGATCACCTGAGGTCGGGAGTTTGAGACCAGCCTGACCAACATGGAGAAACCCCATCTCTACTAAAAATACAAAATTAGCTGGGCATGGTGGCACATGCCTGTAATCCCAGCTACTAGGGAGGCTGAGGCAGAAGAATAGCTTGAACCTGGGAGGCAGAGGTTGCAGTGAGCCGAGATCGTGCCATTGCACTCCAGCCTGGGCAACAAGAGTGAAACTCCGTCTCAAAAAAAAGAATATTTACTTCGTCAACAGGGTGTCATTGAATGAGAGCAGTACTTTAACGTTTTAAGATTTTTGTGATACCAATATGGAAGATGGAAGATGATAAGGCTGGATAGAAATAGGACCAATTAGGAGGCCAAAAATACTCCAAGTGAGATTTAATTTGTGTATGGGTTTTGTTTTGTTTTGTTTTTTTAATTTTTATTTATTTATTTTCTGGGACGGAGTCTTGATCTGTCACCCAGGCTGGAGTGCAGTGGCGCAATCTCGGCCCACTGCAAGCTCCACCTCTTGGGTTCATGCCATTCTCCTGCCTCAGCCTCCCGAGTAGCTGGGACTACAGGCACCTGCCACCACGCCTGGCTAATTTTTTGTATTTTTAGTAGAGACGGGGTTTCCCCGTGTTAGTCAGGATGGTCTCGATCTCCTGACCTCGTGATCTGCCTGCCTCAGCCTCCCAAAGTGCTGGGATTACAGGCGTGAGCCACGGCGCCTGGCCCGTTTTATTTTTTTAGATAGGGTGTTGCTCTGTCATCCAGGCTGGAGTGCAGTGATGTGATCACATCTCACTGCAGCCTCACCCTCCTGGGCTCAAGTGATCCTCCCACCTCAGCTTCCTGAGTAGCTGGAACTACACTGTGTGCTACTATACCTGGCTAATTTTTGTATTTTTTATAGAGATGGGGTTTCACCTTGTTGCCCAAGCTGGTCTCAAAGTGCTGGGCCCAAGCAGTCTGCCCCCCTTAGCCTCCCAAAGCGTTAGGATTATAGGCATGAGCCACCACGCCCAGCCAAGAGTTCATTTGTTAGGTCAACAGTTATTCATTGAGCAGGTGCTATATGTCAGGCACCATGCTTGTTGCTTCAAATAAAGGTAGAACCTGCTCCTGGCCTCCCAGAGTAGACCAAGCAAACATGCAATTTATATGCAGTTTGGTGAGTGTAATGATAAGGGAAGTACAGGCTTCTCAGGGTAGCATTTCAGAGAGTTACTTAACTGAGATTCTGAGAGGTCAAGGACAGCTTTTTGGGGGAATTGGCTTTTCTTCTCTTTCTCTCTCTCTCTCTTTTTTAAGAGACAGCCTTGGCTGGGTGCCGTGGCTCACGCCTGCAATCCCAGCACTTTGGGAGGCCGAGGCAGGCGGATCACCTGAGATCAGGAGTTCAAGACAAACCTGGCCAACATGGTGAAACCCTCTCTCTACTAAAAATACAAAAATTAGCTGGGCATGGTGGTGGATGCCTGTAATCCCGACTACTCAGGAGGCTGAGGCAGGAAAATCGCTTGAACCTGGGTGGCGGAGATTGCAGTGAGCTGAGGTCGTGCCACTGTACTCCAGCCTGGGCAACAGAGCGAGTCTCAAAAAAAAAAAAAAAAAAAAAACAAGCCTTGCTCTGTTGCCCAGGATGGAATGCAGTGGCTATTCCTAGGTGAGATTATAATGCACTATAGCCTCAAACTCCTGTCTGTGCTCAAGTGATTCTCCTGCCTCAGCCTCCCAAGTAGTTGAGACTACAAGTGTGTGCCTGGGTTGACTTTTCATTTGCAACCTAAAGGTTGAGTAGAGGGTGTGAAGAGAACAGTGTTGTAGGTCATAGCATGTATAAAGGCCTAAATGTGAGAGAGATGGCCCTTGGGGAAGTGCAAGCAAAATGGTGCTTGGCAGATTGGCACAGTGAATGAGATCAATTCAGTCTCTCAAACATGTTTTATTTAACTCAAAGTATTTTAAGGGCATTAGGTTAGTGGCCAACCTTTAAAAAATGAAATTGTCCAGAAAGGATCTGGCAGTTGGGCCCAAATTCCCTCATGGCAGCCATCAGCTAGAGCTATGTAAATAAAGATTGTCCTCTGCTCACCAGTGTTTTGTTTATGTTTGTTTTAAGCTAGCTAAACTGACTGGCGCTTATGAGTGATTTGAGTTTGGTGTTCCCTGGCATACAGCACAAAATATTTAGGTGAGTGTAAGGGGGTGAGCAGGGATCAGATTATTCTGGTTTTCCAAGCCAGGTTAAAGAGTTTGAACTTGATATTTTGAGTAATGATGCCTTTGAAGTGTTTTTAGAGGGGAGTGACATGATTCAGTTTGCATTTTAAGACTGATAACTCTATAACAGGCACAGTGACACACGCTTGTAATCCCAGCTACTAGCAAGGCTAAGGCAAGAAGATCACTTGAGCCCAGGAGTTCGAGACCAGCCTGGGCAACACAGGGAGATTCTGTCTCTAAATAAAAAAGAAAAAGACAGGCCGGGCGCAGTGGCTCACGCTTGTAGTCCCAGCACTTTGGGAGGCTGAGGCGGATGGATCACCTGAGGTCAGCAGTTTGAGACCAGCCTGGCCAACATGGTGAAACCCCATCTCTACTAAAAATACAAAAATTAGCCGGGAGTGGTGGTGGGAGCCTGTAATCCCAGCTACTCGGGAGGCTGGGGCAAGAGAATTGCTTGAATCTGGGAGGCGGAGGTTGCAGTGAGCCAAGATTGTGCCATTGCACTGCAGCTGGGTGACAAGAGTGAAAGTCGGTGAAAAAAAGAAAAAAAAAATAGAGAGACAGAAAGAAACAGGGAGAGGGAGGGAGAGAGAGAAAGACAAAGAAGGAAGGAAGAAAGGAAGGAAAGAAGAGAGAAAAGAAAAAAAAAGAAAGAGAGACAGAAAACTCTGCCTGTAGTATTCAGCATAAATTAACAATGGTTAAGAAGGAGGCTAGTATACCAGTTAGGAGATTGTTGCCAGAATCCAAGTCAAAAAAAGTGGTAGCCCAGGATGGAAGTGGACAGATTTGACAGATAATACATTGGTGGTAGTTTCAAGAGAAGTTGAATGTAGCGGATGAAAAAAGAAGAATCAAAGATGATTCTTGCCTGGTGTGGTGTGGTGGCTCATGCCTGTAACCCTGGCGCTTTGGGAAGCCAAGGCCAGCAGATCACCTGAGGTCAGGAGTTTGAGACTAGCCTGGCCAACATGGTGAAACCCTATCTCTACTAAAAATACAAAAATTAGCCGGGCGTGGTCGCGGGTGCCTGTAATCCCAGCTACTCAGGAGTCTGAGACGGGAGAATCGCTGAACTTGGGCAGCAGAAGTTGCAATGAGCCGAGATCGTGCCATTACACTCCAGCCTGGGTGACAGAGTGAGACTCTGTCTCGAAAAAAAAACAAAGATGATACCCTGGCTTCGATCTTGAACAACTAGGTGGTTGGTGCTGAGAATAGGAAACCCGGGAAAGAAGGACATAGGAAAAATAGGGTAGTAGATGCAATCAATATTATGGAGGCATAATGAGAGAGATTGGCAATGGATTGAAACAGGAAGGCAAAAAAGGACAGAGTTTAAAATGACACTTAGGTTTTCAGCCTGAGTGGATGTTGGTATCATTAACAAAAATAATGAAAGAGAACTTTTGGAAGTTAAGTGGAATTTGAGTGCTTCTAGGCTCTCAACAACAAATTGTTGAGTCCAGTTGAATTTGAAGTGCCTTTAGGGTTTGTGGGTGGAGCAGACTGAGAAGCTATTTGAACTGTGAATCTGGAGCTCAGAACTAAGATCAAAATGGAGTTTGTGCAGTCATCTGTGTAGAAGGGATAGCCAGACCAAAGTTTTGATGACATTAGGAAGAGAGTAAAGGGCTTAGTATAGTAAAAAAACAACTTGGTATTTGGAGCTAAGTCTTTTTTCTTTCACTGTGGGTGTTTTGGTTTGCCTTTTTAGAAACAGGGTCTCACTGTGTTTGCCCAGGCTGGCCTTGAACTCCTGGGCTCAAGTGATCCTTACATCTTAGATTCCTGAGCAGCTGGGACTACGGTGCATGCCACTGCATCTGGCTTCACTATGGCTGTTTTTGATAAAACAGTATCTGTCGTTCAGTCTTATTATGCCTCATTAAATTAAGTGAGGATTAAATGAGAGAGTCAAAGTACCCAGAGCCAGATCTCTGGATTCCTTCCAGTTTACCAGCTGTGTAACCCCAGGCAAATTACTTAACCTCTCTCTTCTATAGTTTCCTCCCTGTGAAATAAGGATAATAATAGTATGAATTTTTTATTTTTATTTTTTCTTTGTGATGTAGTTTCACTCTGTTGCCCAGGCTGGAGTGCAGTGGCATGACCTAAGCTCACTGCAACCTCTGCCTCCTGGATTTAAGCGATGCTTTGCCTCAGCCTCCCGAGTAGCTGGGTTTACAGGCGCCCGCCACCACACTCAGCTAATTTTTTATATTTTTAGTAGAGATGGGGTTTTACCATGTTAGCCAGACTGGTCTCGAACTCCTGACTTCAAGTGATCTGCCCCGCTCAGCCTCTCAAAGTGCTGGGATTACAGGCGTGAGCCACTGTGCCTGGCTATGAACTTTTTTTTGTTTGTTTGCTTGTTTTTTGAGACAGAGTCTCGCTCTGTCGCCCAGGCTGGAGTGCAGTGGCACAATCTGGGCTCACTGCAACCTCTGCCTCCTAAGTTCAAGTGATTCTCATGCTGCAGCCTCCTGAGTAGCTGGGATTACAGGAGCCTGCCACCACGCCCAGCTAATTTTTGTATTTTTTGCAGAGATGGGATTTCGCCATGTTGGCCAGACTGGTTTGAAACTCCTGGCCTCAAGCAATCCTCCCACCTCGGCCTCCCAAAATGCTGGGATTATAGGCGTGAGCCACCGCACCTGGCCATGAACTTTAAAAGGTGTTTTTTTGTTTTGTTTTGTTTTTCAGAGATGGGGTCTTAGGAATCTGAACACATTCTGGCCTGGAGAGATTGCCCAATAACTTATTTTATTTTATTTATTTATTTATTTATTTATTTATTTGAGATGGAGTCTCGCTTTGTTGCCCAGGCTGGAACGCAGTGGCATGATCTCAGCTCAATGCAGCCTCTGCCTCCGAGTTCAAGCAATTCTCCTGCCTCAGCCTCCTGAGTAGCTGGGATTCCAGGCACCTGCCATGACGCCCGGCTAATTTTTGTATTTTTATTGGAGATGGGGTTTCGCTGTGTTGGCCAGGGTGGTCTTGAACTCCTGGCCTCAGGTGAGCCACCCACCTCGGCCTCCCAAAGTGCTGGGATTACAGGTGTGAGCCACTGCGCCTGGCCCCGATAATTATTTTAAAAAAGAGAAAAAGACAGGGTCTCACTATGTTGTCCAGGCTAGCCTTGAAGTCCTAGGCTCAAGCGATCCTCCAGGGCTTAGATCTTTAAAAGGTTGTTGTAAGAATCATATGAGATAGCGTTTAAAGTGCCTGAAAGAGTGACTGTCACAGAGGAAACAATAAATGTTGGCTGTGTATTGAAAATGCTTTATAAACTGCAGAAAATATGGCAGGTTCTCAAATAACATCACTTCGCTCAGCATCATTTAGTTATAACGTTGAGGAGAAAAATAACTGATTCCTGGCATGGCCACTATCTGTATGGTGTTTGCATATTCTCCCCATGTCTGTGTAGGTTTTCTCCGGGTACTCCATTTTTCTCCCACATCCCAAAGATGTGCATGTGAGGTGAGTTGGCATGTTTCCATGGTCCTAGTCTGAGCAAGTGTGGATATGGGTGTGAGTGCACCCTGTGATGGAATGGCGTCCTGTCCAAGGTTGGTTCCTTGTGTTGAGCTGCGGGACAGGCTCTGGCCACCCTTGGAAATGAATGATTGAATTCAAATTATTGTCAAGTAAAAATTCATAAAGTAGACAATAATCATACAGATGCACAACAATAAAAGATGTGATACAGAAACACTCAGCGAGCCTGCCATATTTGTTATTGTTCGTTTTTGAACTGCATGATGGTAGAAGGTTCTCCTTGCAATTTTAACTTTGCATACATTTATTATTTGATTTAACCCACCACCACAACAACCGCCATCACTCACTGATTCACCAAAAATTGGGTAAATAATAATGTATATATTTTTTGAGACGGGGTCTTGCTCTGTTGCCCAGACTGTAGTGCAGTGGCAAGATCACAGCTCACTGCAGCCTGGACTTCCCTGGGCTCAGGTGATCCTCCCACCTTAGCCTCTTGAGTAGTTAGGACTATAGGCAAGTGCCACCACAGCCAGCTAATTTTTTATATTTTTGTAGAGACAGGGTTTCACCACGTTGCCCAGGCTGGTCTCAAACTCCTGGGTTCAAGTGATCCACCTGCCTCAGCCTCCCGAAGTACTGGGATTTTAGGCATGAGCCACTGCACCCAGCCCAATAATGATCTTCCTTATTTTTATAAATATTTCTTAAATATAGAGATATTTCGCCGGGCAAGGTGGCTCATGCCTGTAATCCCAGCACTTTGGGAGGCCGAGGCGGGTGGATCACGAGGTCAGGAGATCGAGACCATCCTGGCTAACATGGTGAAACCCCATCTCTACTAAATGTACAAAAAATTAGCCAGGTGTGATGGCGGGCGCCTGTAGTCCCAGCTACTTGGGAGGCTGAGGCAGGAGAATGGTGTGAACCTGGGAGACAGAGCTTGCAGTGAGCCGAGATCGCGCCACTGCACTCCAGCCTGGGCGACAGAGCGAGACTCCGTCTCAAAAAAAAAAAAAAAAAAGGGATATTTCACATTTATTTCAGTATTTGATGTTTGAAGTGTTTTGGGTCTTTATTTAGAATTTTAGTGATGTTTTTGTGACAGAAATATGCTGTAGGAGCTTAAGTTCTTGTTTATATCAATTAGCCTATGGTAAAATTGGTTTCTTTATACATTGTTTTGCCTATAGTCACAATTTCCAAGAACCTGTGGATGACATTAAGTGAGGACTTTTGTTGTATTGGTAATTAGAGAGGCAGAGGGTCATGTTTGAAGAAGACCTACCTTTAAGGGATGGGAGGAAAAGGAAATAATTTTAAAAAGGGAAGGAGGAGTCAGAATGTTGGGATAACCAGGAAATTAGCTTGTCAAGGAAGTGTTAGTGGGGAGGATGTGATCAAAATTGTTGATGTGATGACTTATAAAGGATTTCCCATCTGTTTCAGTTTTCATTAGATACCCTTTTTTCGTGAACTCTTGGAGCCATTTTGTCCATAATTTTATAATACGTATATATACATATATATTTTTTTTAATTTATTTTTTTGAGAGGAAGTTTCACTCTTGTTGCCCAGGATGGAGTGCAGTGGCACAATCTCAGCTCACTGCAACCTCCACCTCCCAGGTTCAAGCGATTCTCCTGTCTCAGCCTCCTGAGTAGTTGGGATTACAGGTGCATGCCACCACGTCCAGCTAATTTTTGTATTTTTAGTAGAGACCAGATTTCATCATATTGGTCAGGATGGTCTCGAACTTCTAACCTCAGGTGATCCACCCGCCTCAGCCTCCCAAAGTGCTGGGATTACAGGCGTGAGCCACTGCACTCGGCCAGTTTTATATAATAATAAGTAATAATTTTGTAGGCCGGGCGCAGTGGCTCATGCCTGTAATCCAGCACTTTGGGAGGCCGAGGAGGGCGGATCACCTGAGGTCAGGAGTTCGAGACCATCCTGACCAACATGGTAAAACCCCATCTCTACTAAAAATACAAAAATTAGCCAGCGTCGTGGTGGGCGCCTGTAATCCCAACTACTCGGGAGGCTGAGGCAGGAGAATCGCTTGAACCCAGGAGGCGAAGGTTGCAGTGAGTCGAGATCATGCCATTGCACTCCAGCCTGGGTGACAGAGTGAGACTCCGCCTCAAAACAAACAAACAAACAAAAAAAAACGAAAAAAAAGGTCGGGCTTGGTGGCTCATGCCTGTAATCTCAGCACTTTGGAAGGCCGAGGCGGGCGGATCACGAGGTCAGGAGATCAAGACCATCCTAGCTAACACGGTGAAACCCTGTCTCTACTAAAAATACAAAAAAAATTAGCCGGGCGTGGTGGTGGGCGTCTGTAGTCCCAGCTACTTGGAAGGCTGAGGCAGGAGAATGGCGTGAAGCCGGGAGGCGGAGCTTGCAGTGAGCCGAGATTGCGCCACTGCACTCTAGCCTGGGAGACAGAGCGAGACTCCGTCTCAAAAAAAAAAAGTAATAATTTTGTAAAGCACCTTACAGTTTACAAAGAGATTTAACAACCTCTTCCAATTCTCTCAACTTCCCTGTGTGGTCTATGTTGTCCCTGTTTAGTAAATGAGGAAATGGAGGTTCAAGAGACAGTAACTTGCCTAAGCAACAGAGCTTGAGCTGCTGTAGGTCTTCTGATACTCTGTCTCCTTTGATAATCTTGTTTGCCTAGTTAGATTGTAAATTTCTTGAAGCCTGAATCTAACCAGTTATTTCTTTTTATTCTTTATAGCACCTAGCTCCATGCTGCGCAGGAAATATAAATATTCAAACTAGATTGACTGGACTGGCCGTGGTCAAAAATAACTTGCCCTTTCTCCCTTCTGCCCTCTAGCGCCCTCACAAAGCCAATGCTGAGGAGATGACCAAGTACCACAGCGATGACTACATTAAATTCTTGCGCTCCATCCGTCCAGATAACATGTCGGAGTACAGCAAGCAGATGCAGAGATGTAAGTCCATTCTGTTCCCTCACACTCTGAAGCCGCCAGTTGCATCTCCCTTTCCACTGTAGAGGCCCATTCTGCCGTCCTCGCACCTCCCATTCAGTGGACACCTGATTTCCCCTACCTCCTAAAGGTGCCAGAGTGCTTTTTCCCCTCAAGTCGGATTTTTCATGTTTCCTGATTTGTAAACGATAGAGGTAGTACTTTTTCTGGTTATGTTCACAACACTGTCCCAAGAGTACTGTAATTATTGTAGTGGAAAAAGCACTGACCTGGGACGGGGAGACAATAGATACAGTAAAATTTAACTCTAACTCTCAGCTGAGTGGGCAAGTCACTTCCCCTCAGATTCTTCTTTTGTAAAGTGGGCTGGGCCACATGATCTCTGATTTCTGTCCAACTGTAACTGTTTTGACTTAGTGGGTATTAATTGAGAATTTAGAGGCCACTCAGGACAGATTCTAGATGGTGTAATCTTTGAGATGAGGTGATGCTGCCCCTGATCCCTTGGACTTGAACTTCAGAGCAGGTCCCATCTTGGAAGCCACGCTTAGTTTGTAGGAATCGTGGGAATTATTTTAGCTGTGAGGGGGAAAAAAAAAGTATTCAAATTTGGGACAAAACTATCATACCTGACTTCCCCCTTGTGTTATTTTAGAAATTATCTCTTAGCACCTAAGACTTCATATAGTATAACAGCACTGTCCAGAAGAAGTTTTGATTAACTTATGACAGCTTATATGGAAGTGTCAGAAAATATGCGGCACTTGTTTGTTGCTGCTGACCACAAGGTAGTCTTACTCCCAAGGAAGAAAGTTATTTATAACTATTATTACAACTAATAATAACTGTACAGTGGTATTGATGGCAGAACCACAGAGACCTTCCTTGAAGCATTAAGCTTCTTTGCTACCGACAACTCCAGGAGCTGCCAGCTGCTGTGAGTGAGGTGTTTGCTCTCTGAATTGCAGGGTCTTATTTCCCTCCAAGATGAGGCAAATTCATGCCTTTCCTGTAGATGGCTTTAGAGGTTTCCATAACCCATTTAGGCCAAGGATCAGGCTCTACTCTCAGCACAGTGGGCTCTCACTAGAGGAGCAACTTGCTATTAAAGTAAGAAAATAAGCTTTCATGTCTTAGTTTGAATCCTTGGTTTCCTAGCCCCTCTGGTGTTATTTCCCGCCCCTGCCACTTTTTTTTGAGACAGAGTTTCGCTCTTGTTGCCCAGGCTGGAGTGCAATGGGGCGATCTCTACTCACCACAACCTCCGTCTCCCGGCTTCAAGCGATTATCCTGCCTCAGCCTCCTGAGTAGCTGGGATTACAGGGATGTGCCACCACGCCCGGCTAATTTTGTATTTTTAGGTTTCTCCATGTTAGTCAGGCTGGTCTCAAACTCCCGACCTCAGGTGATATGCCAGCCTCGGCTTCCCCAAGTGCTGGGATTATAGGCCTGAGCCACTGTGCCCGACCTGTTTTCCCTCTTTAAGAGGAAGACAGGACAGGCACAGCGGTTCATGCCTGTAATCCTAGCACTTTGGGAGCCCAAGGTGGGAGGATTGCTTGAGCCCAGCCAGGAGTTTGAGACCAGCCTGGGCAACATAGTGAGACCCTCATCTCTACAAAAAAATAAAAAAATTAGCTGGGCATGGCGGTGCACACCTGTGGTCCCAGCTACTCAGGAGGTTGAGGAGGGAGGATCTTTTGAGCCTGGAAGGTCGAGGCTGCAGTGAGCCATGATTGTACTACTGCACTCCAGCCTGGGCAACAGAGCGAGACCAAAAAAAAAAAGACATTAGTGCCTATTTCATAGTCAAGGATGGGGGAATAAGTGAAGATAATATATTTAAATATATATAATATGTCTACCCTCAATGAATTGCTTTTGCTATTTTTGCTATTGCATAATCACTTTTGCTATTATGACTTACTATTTTTATTATTTACAAACTTATCAAGGCAGACAAAATGCTATGCCCTGAGGAGTGTGCAGGTTCTGCTCTGGTGCGCCAATTTTTCCGAATCCAGCATTCTAAAGTTGTACATTAAAAAATTCAGTCTGGCTGGGTGTGGTGGCTTACGCCTGTAATCCCAGCAGTTTGGGAGGCTGAGGCAAGCAGATCACCTGGGGTCGGGAGTTTGAGACCAGCCTGGCCAACATAGTGAAACCCCATCTCTACTAAAAATACAAAAATTAGCTTGGTTTGGTGGTACATGCCTGTAATTCCAGCTACTCAGGAGGCTGAGGCAGGAGAATTGCTTGAACCCAGGAGGCAGAGGTTGCAGTGAGCCAAGATCGCGCCACTGCACTCCAGCCTGGGCGACAGAGCGAGACTCCGTCTCAAAAAAAAAAAATTCAGTCTGGGTGCCTATAGTCTCAGCTACTTAGGAGGCTGAAGCAGGAAGATTTCTTGAGCCCAGGAGTTCAAGGCCAGTCTGGGTAATATAGTGAGACCTGGTCTCTAAAAAAAATTTTTCTAATTAAAATAATTAGGTCTTGGATTTTTCTGTCATCAGAAATGGGGGCAGGAAGAATAAGCCTCTCTAAGAACTTCAGAGTACCTCACTGAGTTGATTTGTAGGGTTATGGAGGGTCAGAGTAGACAGAGACTTTAGATGTCACTTAACACAGTGCTTTATAACCTGGGGTATCTACCAAGACAGTAATGAGCCCTTTTTAAAAAAAGAATTATTTTTATTTTTATTCTTGTTTTTAGAGATGGGGTCTTGCTTTGTCATCCAGGGTACAGTACAGTGGCAAGATCATAGCTCACTGCAGCCTCAAATTCCTTAATCCTTAACTTGCCCTTTTAGAATATGTACCAATATCTAACCTAGGCGCTGGACATGGTAGCATGCACCTGTAATGCCAGTGCTTTGAAGGGCAAGGCAGGAGGGATAGCTTGAGGCCAGGAGTTCAAGACCAGCCTGGGCAGCATAGTGAGACCCCCATCTCTTATTTTATCTTAAAAAAATAAAAATAAAAAATTAGTTGTGTATGGTGGCACATGCCTGTGATTCTGGCTACTCAGGAGCCTGAGGCAGGAGGATCCCTTGAGCCCAGTTCAGGGCTGCATTGAGGTATGGTCTCATTTCGCCACCACACTCCAGCCTGGGCAACATAGCAAGAACTCGTCTCAATAAAAAAAAAACACACATGGCCAGGCGTGGTGGCTCATGCCTGTAATCCCAGCACTTTGGGAGGCCGAGGTGGGCGGATCACGAGGTCAGTACATCGAGACACCATCCTGGCTAACACGGTGAAACCCCGTCTCCACTAAAAATTTACAAAAAATTAGCCGGACGTGGTGGCAGGCGCTTGTGGTCCCAGCTACTCGGGAGGCTGAGGCACCAGAATGGTGTGAACCCGACAGGCGGAGCTTGCAGTGAGCCGAGATCACGCCACTGTACTCCAGCTTGGGCGACAGAGCGAGACTCCTTCTCAAAAAGAAAAAAAAAAAAACCCACACACACACAAAAACATCCCACACACCTAATCTAGGAAGTTATGCTTATGATAAGATCGAGTAAATCAGGTTTCCTTGCTTGTGGCTGAAATGTAATAAACCCTTTCTGGTCACTTTGAGAGCCTTGACCAGAAGTTCTGACCTAATATTTAGCAAGTGAAAATGGGAACACAAATAAATGCATTTAGGGGGCTTTTGGTGAAAACATGATAAAAGGGATTGGTAAAAAATTGGGAGACATTCTCATCCATTTTACAGACATGTAAACTTTCCCAGTCACACAGCAAGGTGATGGTAGAATGCAGAATGGAACTCTAGTCCCCCAATTCTGTAGTTTTAAAAAATATAGTGTATATAAAATATTTTAGATACACAGGCCAGGCAGGGTAGCTCATGCCTGTAATCCCAGCACTTTGGGAGGCTGAGGCAGGTGGATCACTTGAGGCCAGGAGTTTGAGACCAGCCTGGCCAGCGTGGTGAAACCCTGTCTCCACCAAAAGTACAAAAATTAGCCATGTGTGGTGGTATATGCCTGTAATCCCAGCTACTCGGGAGGCTGAGGCATGAGAATTGTTTGAACCTGGAGGGCAGAGGTTGCAGTGAGCCAAGATCGCGCCACTGCACTCCAGCCTGGGCGACAGAGCAAGACTCCATCTCAAAAAAAAAAAAAAAAAAAAAAAACAGAAAAAGAAAAAAACATATTTTAGACACACACAAAAAGCATCAAAAAATAATATAATGCACTTTGGGAGGCCGAGGCGGGCAGATCACGAGGTCAGGAGATCAAGACCATCCTGGCTAACACAGTGAAACCCCATCTCTACTAAAAATACAAAAAATTAGCCGGGTGTGGTGGTGGGTGCCTGTAGTCCCAGCTACTTGGGAGGCTGAGGCAGGAGAATGGTGTGAACCCAGGAGGCGGAGCTTGCAGTGAGCTGACATTGCGCCACTGCACTCCAGGCTGGGCAACAGAGCAAGACTCTGTCTCAAAAAAAAAAAAATAATAATAATAATATAATGAACATCCATGTGTGCCCAATACCCAGCCTGAGAAAGAAAACATTATCAATACAGTTGATGCCCCCTTGGGCATCTTTCCTTGATCACATACCCTTTCTCTCCCACTCCCCCAGCCCCCCACCCCATTACCAGCACTGCCAAGGTATAAGCACTATCCTGAGGTTAGTGTTTAATCTTCCCATCTCTTTGCAATGAGCATTTGACTGCCTTCTCTGCCTACGTCTGCTTCCACCTCTCACCCAGTATTGCTTCCCTTTAGTCTAAAGCTAGTGTGAGAATGAGAAAAGCGTTTATAGCAGAAAGAGAGAAAACCCATGGAAAAGTCTTCCCTACCCTCACAGATTAGCTCACATGAGTATCTGCTCTTCCATTTGCCCCCTTTCCATCTCTAATCACATAGCTTATTGACTAGGAATAAAAGGGCTGGTCATTTGAGCTACATGTTGGTTTGGTGCCTGAAGAAAAATATTTTTTTTTTTCTCACGTCCAAAACACCCATTCCTTCCCATGGAGGCTCCATATCCCAAATAAGAGTATAAACAAAGCTTTGGAAACGCAGGCAGGCCAAACTCTGTGCAGGAGGAAGTGGCCAGAGAGGGAAATCAGTTGCCAATGGATAAACAGCCGGGGCCCAGGGACCAAAGTTCTTATTTACACAGCCTCCCAGTGTTTACCCAGGAAGTGAGGAAGAGACCCACCCGCTGCACACTCCCTCATGCAGCCATGCTTCTTCCTCAGAGCACCGGATCTTGGCACCCTCCAAGTTTAGTGCAGAACCAGAGCTGGTAACTCTTGTGGTTATTGTAGATCTTGAGCTTCAACTGTGTCTTGAGATTTTACCAGCACAATCCAAACTGAGCTCTTCTGCTCTCACCCCAGGGCTGCTCCTTCCTCTACTTTTGGAAATCTTGATAACAGTGGGTACAGTAGAAGGCTGGGCAAGAGAATAAGTATGCAGCCCCACACCTCCTGCCTCTGACTTCCTGTAGCTCATTGATGTCTCAGCAGTTACTTTTTTTTTTTTTTTCTCCTGAGATGGAGTCTCGCCCTGTCACCCAGGCTGGAATGCAGGGGTGCAATCTTGGCTCACTGCAACCTCCACGTTTTGGGTTCAAGTGATTCTCCTGCCTCAGCCTCCTGAGTAGCTGGGATTACAGGCACATGCCTGGCTAATTTTTGTATTTTTAGTAGAGACGGGGTTTCTCCATGTTGGCCAGGCTAGTCTTGAACTCGTGACCTCAAGTGATCCACCTGCCTTGGCCTCCCAAAGTGCTGGGATTACAGGTGTGAGCCACCGCGCCCGGCCAGTAGTTACCTTTTCTGTAAGAGGAGATTTGGAGCTATAAAGTTCCTCTAGGTCTGTGAGTCTACAGCCTCCAGGTGTGCTTTCCTTCCTGTTTTCATTTCATTTGCCTTATTGTTTGCATATGTTTCCACATTATGTACTACTTGGTACTTTTACCCCATTAGGCCCGAAATAACTTTACTCCACTTGTCACTGTGAATGTAGCAGTAAGACACTGGGCTACGGGAGTCAAGACACCGGGACCCTGATTCTGGTTCTGCTACTGCCTGGTTTTATAACCTTGGGCAAATCACTTAACTTCTCGGTATCTGTTTGTTCCTCCGCACAGTGGGGTTGATATCTGGCTTGTCCAGCTCATAGAGTTGTTGTGAGGATCAAATGAGGTTGTATATGTGAAAGGACTTGGAAAAGGGCCGGGATATATTTTCACAGGCTTTTAAGACAGACAGGCTGGCTGGGCACGGTGGCTTATGCCTGTAATCCCAGCACTTTGGGAGGCCGAGGCGGGCGGATCACAGGGTCAGGAGTTTGAGACCAGCCTGGCCAACATGGTGAAACCCCGTCTCTACTAAGAATGCGGAAATCAGCCAGGTGTGGTGGCAGGTACCTGTAATCCCAGCTACTCGGGAGGCTGAGGCAGGAGAATGGCTTGAAACTGGAGGGCAGAGATTACAGTGAGCCAAGATCACTTCACTATACTCCAGCCTGGGCAACAAGAGCAAAACTCCGTCTCAAAAAAAAAACAGACAAACCAAAGCTTGAGGCTTGCATACTGCTTCTGCCATTTACTAACAGCTCACCTCTCTGAACCTGTTTCCCTACTTATTTATTTATTTATTTTTTTGAGACAGGGTCTCACTCTTGTCTCGCCCAGGCTGGAGTGCAGTTGCGCGATCTCAGCTCACTGCAACCTCTGCCTCCCGGGTTCAAGTGGTTCTTGTGCCTCAGCCTCCCAAGTAGCCGGGATTACAGGCAGCTGCCACCACACCTGGCTAATTTTTATGTTTTTGGTAGAGATGGGGTTTCTCCATGTTGCCCAGGCTGGTCTTGAACTCCTGGCCTCAAGTGGTCCTCCTGCCTTAGCCTCCCGAAGTGCTGGGATTACAGGTGTGAGCCACTGTGCCAGGCCTTGTTTCCCTACTTATAAGATGGGACCAAATCTTACCTCAGAAGCTTGTGTGAAGATGAATGATCTCGGGTATTTAACGCATGTAGCGCAGTGTCTGGCGTGTTGTACGTGCGCAGTGAACGATAGTTCTCTGGGTCTCTGTTCTTGCCCCTTGTTTGTCAGCTGGCGTGAGGGCCAGAGGATAAGTTTTTCTCCCTCAAGAAACGAACCAACATTTTCCAAGTTGCTAACTGCTTCTCCATATTAGATTTTTGTTAATTTTCTGACCAGTGGGTGAGGTGGGATATCAGTTTTGCTTGTTATAGATAATGGGCTAAGACCAGGTGTGATGGCACATGCCTATTGGGAGGCCAAGGCAAGAAGACTGCATGAGGCCTAGGGAACATAGTGAGGCTCTGTCTCTAAAAAAAAAAAAAAGAAAAAAAAATTAGCTGGGTATAGTGGCATGCACCTGTAGTCCAAAGTACTTGGGAGACTGAGGTGGAAGGATTGCTTGAGCCCAGGAGGTGAGGGTCAAAGCTGCTGCACATGAGCCATGTTTGTGCCACTGCACTCCAGCATGGGCAACAGAGCAAGCCCCTGGCTCTAAAAAATAAAAAAATAATAATGGGCTAAAGCTCAAAGATGTTAAACAACTTGATGCAGTCATACAGCCAGGAAGTAGAGCCTGGACTAGAACCCACACCTCCTGAATTTAAATTCTGTGTTTTTTTCCATCAGCTCATAAATATGTAAACTAAAGGAAATTGTGGAAACTAACCTTTTGCTTATTTCTTTCAAGTCAACGTTGGTGAGGACTGTCCAGTATTCGATGGCCTGTTTGAGTTCTGTCAGTTGTCTACTGGTGGTTCTGTGGGTAAGGAATATTCATCTTCTCCCCAGGGGTAGACTGGGTTGTTCTAGTGAGGTCTGCCTTTTAGGCTGCTATCCTAGTTGGCTGATCTGAAACCATGTAGAATGGTCCTGTGGTTTTTACTGAAGTCTCTAAAATGGCTGGTGTAGTGTCTCACACCTGTAATCCCAGCACTTTGAGAGGCTGAGGAGGAGGATTGCTTGAGGTCAGGAGTTCAAGACCAGCCCAGGCAACATAGACCCTCCTGTCTATAAAAAAATAAAATAAGTAAAAACAATTAGCCGGGCATGGTGACTCGTGCCTGTAGTCCCAGCTACTCAGGAGGCTGAGGCTTAAACCCAGTAGGTTGAGGCTGCAGTGAGTCGTGGTCACACCACTACACTCTAGCCTGGGCAACAAAGCAAGACCCTGCCTCCAAAAAAAAAATTTAAAAAGCCTCTAAAATGTCCCTCTGGTTCAGTCCCAGCCCAGGTTCAATCTCTGACATGGTACTGACAGGTGTCCTTGACTGTCCTTTCCTACTAAGAGATCTTATGTACAGGCGTTCCCCGCAGACCTCCTGGGGTTGTTAAGATGCTGTACGTAAAAGCAATTTGTGAACTGCAAAGTGCTATAAAAATGGAAGTGTCATCATCTGTGAATCTGTCCTATGAAAAAGTATGGTAATTACCTTTAGAGGTCAGAAATACTCCTCATGTATCTCCCACTTCCATTTGCAACTTTTGGGTTATCTCCAGGATTACTCTAAACGCTTTCTTAACAAATATTTATTTTCCTGTGATCCCCCACCAATATAATCATTGTGTCCATCCCCGCTGCCCCACCAATATAATCACAGAAAACAAAGAAGTGCACAGAAAAAAACACAATCACCCACAGTCACAGGGTTGGTGGATAACCTCTGTTACCATGTTGGTGTTTGTATGGCCATTCTTTTGTGTGTGTGTTTATATCTGTGTCACACATATACAACATCTATATTTTACAAAAGTGGGTTATATACATATCACATATATATGGTTTTATGCCTGCATTTCCTACTTAACGAAATTGTCTGTAGTTTTCTACAGCTTGCTTTCTTGTGGCTCTATGATTATTCCATGTTGTGGATTTACTTGAGTTGATATAATCTGTCCCTCTTCTTGATAATTTGGATCAATCTATGCTTTTATTGCTGTTAAAATCAACACTGCAGCTGGACACGGTGGCACATGCCTGTAATCTCAGCACTTTGGGAGGCTGAAGAGGGTGGATCACCTGAGGTCAGGAGTTTGAGACCAGCCTGACCAACATGGTGAAACCCCATCTATACTAAAAAATACAAAAATTAGCCGGGCGTGGTGGTGTGTGCCTGTAATCCCAGCTACTTGGGAGGCTGAGGCAGGAGAATTGCTTGAACCTGGGAGGCGGAGGTTGCAGTGAGCCGAGATCGCGCCACTGCACTTCAGCCTGGGTGACAGAGTGAGACTCCATCTCAAAAAACAACAACAAATTAACACTGCCACAAATGCACTTGCACACATGGGTGTGTATTTATCTTTTACTTCTTCTGGGACCTATTCGTGCTAGTGCTTTTTGACCTAGTGTATCAGCACTATCTTTGGTAATTTTTCTTTTTCTTTTTTTTTGAAATAGAGTCTCCCTCCATCACCCAGGCTGGAGTGCAGTGGCGTGATCTTGGCTCACTGCAACCTCCGCCTCCTGGGTTCAAGCGATTCTCCTGCCTCAGCCTCCCCAGGTAGCTGGGACTACAAGTGTATGTCACCACGCCCAGCTAAATTTTTTCGTATTTTTAATAGAGATGAGGTTTAACCATGTTGGCCAGGCTGGTATCGAACTCTTGACCTCAGGTGATGTGCCCGCCTTGGCCTCCCAAACTTCTGGGATTACAGGTGTGAGCCACCGCGCATGGCCTATCTTTGGTATTTTTTCAAAGTTCCTTGACCATGAGCCATAGTAAGAAATAAATTTACACATGCAATCCAGGATACATATAACATATGCATGCATGCACACACTCACTCACTCTGAAGCCAGAGTTTTACAAAAGAGCAGTTACCCTTACTGTTACTCTGATATTTTTTTCTATGCTATTTCATTAAAAAAATATATATATATATACACACACACACTAATCATGATGTACTAAATCAATTTTAAGGCCTGCTAATGGGTTACTACCCTCAGTTTGGAAAATCGTTTTTTACGAGTAGACAGTATCATGTATTCCCTGCTGAAGTAGGGTGGGAGGGAGGGGACTGGTCTATGAATTGCACAATACAGCTGTTGAATAGGCAGGTCTTAACCTTTCACTAGGTTCCCTGGGCTTCTTGGAGGAAGGGGAGAGTGGCTTAGTAACAGGCTTATGTTCTCTTTTCTCATGCCCAGCAAGTGCTGTGAAACTTAATAAGCAGCAGACGGACATCGCTGTGAATTGGGCTGGGGGCCTGCACCATGCAAAGAAGTCCGAGGCATCTGGCTTCTGTTACGTCAATGATATCGTCTTGGCCATCCTGGAACTGCTAAAGTATGCCTGCCTGGCCTTGTCTCTTGGAAGAGCACCTTAGGCCAGGTTCCCATTTCCCTCTTCCCCTGGGCTTGCCTCCCTAGTTTGCTTTTCCTACCGATGTGCTGGCTAGGATGTGCTCGGTGAGTGTCTCTGGCCATCATCTCCTTGATGGGGTCTTGGTTTGATCTGAGCCACGGCATGATCAGGGGCAGATGCTGCTCAGATCCTGCCTCCAGAGTGTCCCTGTGTGGCTGGAGTTGACCCTGGCTGTAGAGTAGGAAGATCGGACTTGGTCGGCTTGGTCAGGCCTCTGGAGACACCCGGCCGCTCTTCCACCTTCCTTCAGCCAGTTTCCACGTCTCTGGTGCTTAGAGATACCTGAGGGAGGCAGCCAGCCCGGTAAGCTGGGAGCTAGCGCCCTTGGCACGTCCCATCCCCAAAGAGCCCCCAGACCCCTGACCCCCTTCTGATCCTAGGTATCACCAGAGGGTGCTGTACATTGACATTGATATTCACCATGGTGACGGCGTGGAAGAGGCCTTCTACACCACGGACCGGGTCATGACTGTGTCCTTTCATAAGTATGGAGAGTACTTCCCAGGAACTGGGGACCTACGGGTGAGAACGCCCTTTAGGAGCCAACCGGCTTACCCTCAGCTGGCAGCTCTACTTCTCTCTCCTATCTCATGCCACTAAAAATTGCTTCTTGCCTCTTCTGCCAATCAGAATACCACATCCCAATCTGAAGCACTTGCCCTGATCTCTTTCCCTTCCTTATTCTGGAGGAAGGGAATGATGGGACATAAAGGGCCAGAGAAAGAAGAGGGGTCTCCTGACTCACTGTACTTTCCTCCTGGCCACAGCTGGGTTGCATCACACTATTCTTATGTCTCATAAGCCTTGAGTTTGGGGGTAGGAATTGGGACTCTGAAGGACATCTCAAGTGTTCTTCATGTTTTTGGGTCACTTTCCCCTTTAGCCTTTTGACTGAAAACTATGGACTGTCTCTCCAGAAAAGTACATGAGATTTTACATCTGATATAGAATAGTTAATAGACAAGTCCCCTTACTGAAGCCCATCCATGAACCTTAGGATAAGAATCCTTGGAAGCTACTTCGTTGAACTGTTCCATCTGCTTCTATTAGCATGAATGTGGTGAAATCAGCTGCTTTGCCATGCCTGGTAGCCCTTGGGTAAAAAAGTGGCACTAATTCAGTTGTTTGCCATGGCAAGCGTTAGAATAAATGAGCATTCACTTTTTTTTTTTTTTTGAGACAGTCTCTCTCTGTCACCCAGCCTGGAGTGCAGTGGCGTGATCTCGGTTCACTGCAGCCTCCGCCTCCCGCCTCCAGGCGATCTTGTGCCTCAGCCTCCGAATAGCCGGGATTTAGCTGGGATTATAAGTGCGTGCAACTATGCCCGGCTAATTTTTGTATTTTTAAAAGAGATGGGGTTTTGCCATGTTGGCCAGGCTGGTCTCGAACTCCTGACCTCAAGATTCACCCGCCTCAGCCTCCCAAAGTGCTGGACTTAAATAGGCGCACTCACTATTTTGAGGTTACTGGGAAGGACTTTCTTACCTCTCTCCTTCCCTCCACAACACCCTAGAGAGGGAGCATGGGGGAAGAGGAGTGAGCATTAGAGCTCTCTGGAGTGGAAAGGGTTGTCAAGGGTGGCTGTCACTTCTGTGACTCACCTGCCAGCCAGCTCTAACCCAATCCCAAGGTAGAAATCTTGTGCTATAGGGTAGGCTATTCAATCTCTGGTCCCATCAAGAGCTCTCAGTCTGGGGGTAGGCTTAATGCTATGTCCAGAGATGATTTGCCAGTGAAGCTAGATTTGCCAGTGAAGAGAATGGTACTAACAAGGTACCTCTGTTCTGTCCTGGCCCACATCATGGGCCTAGCTTGTCTCTCTTGAACCTCTTCCTTTATCCCTCCAGCCCCTATCCTTGACCTTCCTTCAAGCTTCATCCTTCAGTTTTACTTTAATGGCCTTTTTAATTAGGATATCGGGGCTGGCAAAGGCAAGTATTATGCTGTTAACTACCCGCTCCGAGACGGGATTGATGACGAGTCCTATGAGGCCATTTTCAAGCCGGTAAGTGGCTTTATCCACCCCTTGGGCTACAAACAGGGGATTGGTTGGCGGTGGAGGGGAGCAAAGCACCCCCACCATACCTCAGGAATCTCTCCTTACTAAAGCTGGTGGGGAGATAGAAGTGTTTGAACCCTGGATTGCTGTGTGGTCAGTTAGGGGAACAAACACCCATATTTATTGGTTCCTTCTATGGGTCAGGTCTTCTGCTGGATACAAAAATATCTAAGACATGATCTTTGCCCTCACGGACTATGGTGGGGAAGGCAGGCACATACCCAGTAGTCTATGATTAGTACTGTTTTTGTATCTCCATTTCTTTGGGCTGCTGGGAGATTATTGTGTTCTTTTGGTAGTGGTATGTCTCCTTGGTTTTTTGTGTTCCTCATTGCCTTACATTGATGTCTGCACATTAGAAGAAGTAGGGACTTACTCCAGTCTTTGCAGACTGGCTTTGTCTGGGAAAGCCCTTTGCCAGTCAGCCCATCCAGAGATTCTGGAAAGGCTGTGTGGCATGTTCCATGGGTAGGCTGGCCTAGTGCCTGTGTTTTTGAGGGATGATCAGAGGAATGAGAGACAAACTACTGCCTGGGCTGGCAGGAGGGTAGCCAGGGATGATTTCACAGAGGTGCTGATGTTTAAGCTGGACTTTGGAAAATGAGGAGGTGCCCATGTGAAGAAGGAGGTGATGGCAGTAAGGGTGGCATTTAGTAGAAGGAATGGCACTAGCAGAAGTGCAGAGGTGCCAGTGTGGCAGCATGTAGGCCAGTGTGGTGTATGGGAGGAGTGCTGAAGGAGGCGGTGGGAAGTGTATGCTGGGCTCAGTATTTCAAAGGGAGCCTTGAATGCCATGCCAAGGAGTTAAATCTTCACTTATAAACAGTAAGAAACTGCTTAACCTAATAAGGTCAGGTAGTCATTCAGCAAACACTGACTGCCCACTATGTGCCTAGTATTTAATAAGGGCTACAGAAGTGGGAGTTGTGGTCTCGGTCTCAGTAACGTTAGACTCTGCTTGTGAGAATAAGATAAACTAAAAGTGCTTGCTCATAATGTAAGGCTTCAAGTCTGTAAGACCGAATGAGTAGAGTAGATGCAGCTAAAGGTCAGGAAGGCTTCCTGGAGGAAGTGGCACTAGAGCTTGGGCAACAGAAGAGACTTAGGGAGTTGAGAGGGAGGCCATTCTAGGTTCAGTGTTACTAGAGTGTTAGAAGGGTCTTAGAGAACTTTTTAAATTGGAAAATTGAAATCCCAAGTGGGCAAGCAAGGGCTCCAGCCTAGCACTCCCTTTTCTCTCCCACATAGCATGAGGGAGAGTGGAAAGGTAGGAGTGGGTGGGAAAGTGTTGCACCCAGCCTTTCCACTCCAAACCTCGTATTGCTTTCTTGAGGTTGGTGGTGACCAGGATGTATCATTTTAGGTCATGTCCAAAGTAATGGAGATGTTCCAGCCTAGTGCGGTGGTCTTACAGTGTGGCTCAGACTCCCTATCTGGGGATCGGTTAGGTTGCTTCAATCTAACTATCAAAGGTGAGACCAGGTAGCACAAGGATGGGTGGGCGGGGTCCTGCTTGGTGCTCCTGTAACTCAGCACCCCTTCTCCCACCAAAGGACACGCCAAGTGTGTGGAATTTGTCAAGAGCTTTAACCTGCCTATGCTGATGCTGGGAGGCGGTGGTTACACCATTCGTAACGTTGCCCGGTGCTGGACATATGAGACAGCTGTGGCCCTGGATACGGAGATCCCTAATGGTAATAGCTGCAGGGCCAGGTTCGGCTGGGCTGGGTGGGAGCTGGAGCTCATCTGTCCTTAAGTTTATAACCCCTTCCCCGTTGGTCATATGACCGCTCCTCTTCTGATACTAGTCACTGAGTCTCCTGCCTGTCCTCTTGTGATCAGCAGACCATAACCATCACTTTTTCCCTAGTCCTTTTTAGCTCTCTCCCCTCTCCCTCCTGCTTTTGGTCTGGACAAAGTTCTCATTGGTAATTTACAGCTTTGGAATTTCTACTCTGTAGAGTAACTGGAGTAGCGAGTGAAGGGAGCGCTCATAATGAGCATGGCCTCAAGTGTCCTAAACCAGGGACATGGGCCTTCTCCTAGCGACATATACACCACTGGTACAGACATAGGAGAGTGATGTTAAAAAGATGGAAATCCCATAGGTACCCGTGTCTCACAGTGTCTTGGAGGCATTCTCCTCTGTTTGGATAAATAGGCCCAGAGAAACCTACAAATGCTTTAGGGTGCTTACGTGCAAATGGTTAGGGTGCGGTGGCCAGGTCTCTTGACGGTCTTCTCTCCTGCCCCAATCAGAGCTTCCATACAATGACTACTTTGAATACTTTGGACCAGATTTCAAGCTCCACATCAGTCCTTCCAATATGACTAACCAGAACACGAATGAGTACCTGGAGAAGATCAAGTGAGTATATCCTCCAGCCACCCCTTGGTTGAACATTCCTGACTTTGGTTTGTCCCTGACCAGAGCCCTGCTACTCTCTCCCATTGGCCACAGACAGCGACTGTTTGAGAACCTTAGAATGCTGCCGCACGCACCTGGGGTCCAAATGCAGGCGATTCCTGAGGACGCCATCCCTGAGGAGAGTGGCGATGAGGACGAAGACGACCCTGACAAGCGCATCTCGAGTGAGACCCAGACCTAGAGCCCTATGCCTTCCATTCAATAGGCAGCTCACACTTCCACCACCATTCCTGGCTGCACACTCCCTCCAAGCTCCCCACCTGTAGAGAAATCTGTTTTCGAGTTCCAGTGCCTGTAGGAACAGGTTAGGGAGCCCGAGTTCCTCCCTCTTCTGGTTCCCTTTCCCTTGGTGTCTCTTGGAGGACACGCAGGGAAGCACTGGGCATAGATGCTGAGCTAAATCAGCACCCGCCTGCCCTCTCACCCATGCTTCCCACTCCCTCCCAGTCTGCTCCTCTGACAAACGAATTGCCTGTGAGGAAGAGTTCTCCGATTCTGAAGAGGAGGGAGAGGGGGGCCGCAAGAACTCTTCCAACTTCAAAAAAGCCAAGAGAGTCAAAACAGAGGATGAAAAAGAGAAAGACCCAGAGGAGAAGAAAGGTGGGTTTGGGTTCAGCTGGGACTTGGGTCTCGAGCCTGAGAGGATGAATCTATGTAGGGCAGTGGGAGGAGGGAGTGACTCAGGCCCTGCCAGCTCCTGTGGGGCTCTTCCTCAGTTCCTTGAGCCTTTCAGTGGCTCCCAGAAGTGGCAGAGCCCACAAAACAATGAACCTCTACTGCCTGAGCACGGCTCTCACATACCACCCCAGCCCTTTTCCCAGCACTGCACCCCAGTTTCCCAGGGGGCTGCCTCCGCCCACCAGGTTCTGGCTGTAGCAGGCTGGGAAACCAGTCCAACCTGTTCTCAACAGGGCTCACTGGGAGGACCAGGGATGGGCTTTTCTCTCTTTATGTCCAGTGAGCTGTAGTGTTGGGGAAGGGGTCTCAGGGTAAATGAAGACCTCATGGGTCTTCCCAGAGGTGCTGCCCTTGGCCATCCCTGTACTCTTGTGTTCTAGAAGTCACCGAAGAGGAGAAAACCAAGGAGGAGAAGCCAGAAGCCAAAGGGTGAGGAAGGAGCTGCCTGTGGCCATCTCCCTGGCATTGGAGCACCAGCCCCTTTGTCCCACCACTCTGAGGAAAGGCACAGGGACAGCTGGTCCAGCTTACAAAGGCCTCTTTCAGGGACCAGTCTGTCCAGCTCTGCAGTTCTAGGCAGAGCTAGGAGCCCCAGCCCCCAGTAGTCACCTAGGATCCTGTGGAAGTCACTGTCTGCACTTTTGCCCTGAGGCTCTGGGCTGGGTCATCTCATGCCAGTCTCTGCTCTCTCCACAGGGTCAAGGAGGAGGTCAAGTTGGCCTGAATGGACCTCTCCAGCTCTGGCTTCCTGCTGAGTCCCTCACGTTTCTTCCCCAACCCCTCAGATTTTATATTTTCTATTTCTCTGTGTATTTATATAAAAATTTATTAAATATAAATATCCCCAGGGACAGAAACCAAGGCCCCGAGCTCAGGGCAGCTGTGCTGGGTGAGCTCTTCCAGGAGCCACCTTGCCACCCATTCTTCCCGTTCTTAACTTTGAACCATAAAGGGTGCCAGGTCTGGGTGAAAGGGATACTTTTATGCAACCATAAGACAAACTCCTGAAATGCCAAGTGCCTGCTTAGTAGCTTTGGAAAGGTGCCCTTATTGAACATTCTAGAAGGGGTGGCTGGGTCTTCAAGGATCTCCTGTTTTTTTCAGGCTCCTAAAGTAACATCAGCCATTTTTAGATTGGTTCTGTTTTCGTACCTTCCCACTGGCCTCAAGTGAGCCAAGAAACACTGCCTGCCCTCTGTCTGTCTTCTCCTAATTCTGCAGGTGGAGGTTGCTAGTCTAGTTTCCTTTTTGAGATACTATTTTCATTTTTGTGAGCCTCTTTGTAATAAAATGGTACATTTCTATATCCTCCTGAGCTTGTTTCCTATGTGTCCCTGGGTTGGTTTCAACTCTACTTCCCTGCCGTTCTGGTGTCCATGAGTATTGGGGCAACCCCCTGAACAAGAAAACCCCATAAACTTACCTGCCTGCCTTAACTCCTCCCTTGAGGTTTGAGGTAAACTACTTTCCACCAATCTTCTCACCCTACCCCCAGAAGACCACTCATTAAAGCACCACTAAAGGGACGACATTTATTCCTTTTCCAAATGTTACAGTAAAACCAGGTGGAAGAGAATGGTTTTAGCAGTTAGAAAAAAAAAAAAAGTACAAATCTGGGGTTTGGCCATTAAAAGTTATTTACAACAGTGGGAGAAAAAAAGACAAGAAGTTGTTTCACATTACAGACCTCCCCCCACCCCAAAGCCTAATACTTGCTTACCAAGTCAAAAAAGAGACACAGTTGATTCACAGGCTGGAGGTTTGAACTTGAGTAAGACATTTATAAAAACCTAGACGGGGCAGTGTCCTCCCCAGCCCAGGTGCCACTAGGCACAGCACAAGAGACTAAAAACAACAGGGGAAGGCTGGACACTCAAGGTTTGGGAGTATAAGCACCCCACTTCTGGCTCAGGGATTTGGGGAGTAGGGTAAACAAAACCTACTTGGAAAAGAATTGGGGAAGAAAACCAACAACTGCCTTATGCAGGGGTGGGGACAGGGAAGGAGGTAGGGCCAGGGACAGGAGCATTTCACATCACTAACCTAACTTGGGAAGCTGTAAGGGACCATCTTCAACTGGCCTTAAGAGGAGAACCAGATGGCTGATGGGAGAATCCACAGGAGGGAGAGGAGGAAAGGGAACGTGGCTGGGAGGAGGCAATAGCCCCTTCCTTTCTGGGCACAGGAAGGCAGCCAGGGCACCAGGTCCAGGCAGTGACCTCACAAGGACAGCACAGTTTTTGCAGCTTAGAGATCACCCACCTGCCCCTACCTAGCTACTCATTCTGCTCAGCGCTGGCTGGTGTAGGGCCACTCTCCGGCCCCGAGGGAGTGGATGGCTCTGTAGCCTGGGGCCCTGCCTCTTCTTCTGAGGCTGCACTAGCCTCTGCCCCCTTGGCCTGGGGTTCCTGGCTCTCAGGGGTGGCTGCGGCCTTCCCTTCCTGAGCAGTGCCCTCGTCGCTGCAGGCACCGATCTCCCCCTGCTCCTGCTCTTCCTCTGTGGGTGAGGAGGCAGAAGAATCACCCCCACCCTCCTTCCGATTTCTCTTGAAGGACAGGCCGCTCAATTTGAAAGGCTTCTTGAAAGAGAATTTCTTCTTCTTCTTGGGGGTCTCCTTGGGGGGGACCTCCCCCTTGGCCTCAGCACCCTGGCTAGGGGGTGCTGGCTCGATGGCATCGCCAGTGGCCCCGGCTGCCTCATCTGTTCCGTTCACAGGGGGCGACTCCCCTTCACCCTTGGGGGATAAGTCTCCATTGCTTTTCACGTGGCCATTCTCCTGCAGGGCAGAGGGAATAGCAATGAGGGCAGGGGCTCCCCCTCCCCCAGCCCGCTTCTGATCCCTTCTAGAGGAAGGGGTCCTCGATTCGATTCTACTGCAACCCGAAAGTCTGGCTTCAGCCTCACCCACACCCAGGATCCCGTCAAACACCTCCCTCTCGCCCCTCACGGGCGCGCGGGGAGCGAGCGCGCAGAGGGCGCGACCGGCAGGAGGCGCTGGGGTCCCGTGGCCCCCACCCCCGTCCCCCGGGGCGCGCTCTCTATTCCGCGCGGAACCGCTCCGGATCTGCTGTGCGGATCCCGGGCAGGCGGGCGAGCCGCTCTAGGCGACATTGGGCGGGAAGCCGCCCCGGGGCGCTGTCTCTCTGCACCTGGACGGCCTATTTTCCCAGCCTCCCGCTTTGTGTAAGTGGCCCCCACCCACCCCAGGCTCTCCCGCATCTCGGCTCCCCCTTAAAAAAAAAAAGACCGTGGGCCACCGAGGTCGGGTCGGCGGGTGGAGTGCGCTCCCCGCCGGGCCCCAGCTCCGCGGCCCCTGGGCGCCCCCTTGGCGTGGCCCAGCAGCGCCTTTGTTCCCCGCGCGGCACTCGGGGCGGCCGGGGGGCAGCGCCGGGGACCGGGGCCGCGAACAAAGAAGGCGGCAGGGCCCGGCCGGCGCCCCCTCCCCGCCCCTCCCCTCGCTTCGCCCGCGGGGGCTGCGGCGCCGAGAACAAAGGGACCGGGCGGGGGAGGGGGCGCCGCGTGTCCCGGGCCGGACAAAGCGCGCGGCCCCGGCCCCGGCCCCGGGCCCTAGAAGGGGCGAGGTGCGAGAGGAGGGGCTGGGGCCGGCCGGGCCAAGCGTACCCACCTGGCCGTTGGCCTTCGCGGGGGAAGCGCCTGCTGCCTCCTCGGCGGTCACGTCGCCCCGGGGAGCCTTGGAGCTCTGGCTGCCCATGATGGGGGTCTGCTGGGGGGCGCTTGGAGCCGCCCCGGGCTCGCGCCGCAGGGGATAGTACGGCGGGGTCGGCCCGGCCGGCGGAGGGGTGGGGCTGGCGCCCGAGGGGGAGGGGTGCCGGGGGAAGCCGAGCTGCACCTCCGCTCCGCGGCCGACCCGCTAGCTGCGCCCGCCGCCGCTCCGCTCCGCGCCAGAATGCCGCCCGCCGCCCGCCGAGCTGCCTATATATAAGCGCCCGGAGCTCGGGGCGGGGCCGGACATTTAAATGCGCGCCCAATCGAGGGGCGGAGGCGGGGTTGGCTCGCAGGCCCCACTTGCGCAGCAGGCGACGCTGGCGGTCGGGTACCCCCCACCCCACCCGAATCCCAGGGGCAGGTAGAGTCCGGTGTGGGCAGGAGCGAGGCCAGTCCTCCCGCGAGCTGGGCGGGGCGGGGCGGGGGGCCTGGAGGAAGGAGACGGGCAGTCATTCCATCCTCTCCGCTCCACCTCTCCGGTGGGCGCCCCCGCAGCCTGGAGCGGCCCCCAACGCCTTGGTCCTGCAGCCGCTGGCAGTCTCCCGCTTGAACCCTTCGAAGGGCTCACACGACCAGGCTCGTCAGATGGCTGGTCCTGAATTATACTCTAGAAATGTGGTCATAGAAGCTGCAGGGCCCCTGCGCTGGGCTCGGCACCCGCTCCGGCCTGGAGAGCGGTCAGAGGTCCCACCCACGTCCCTGCCTGCCTGCCATGGCCAGCCGGGGAGCGGAGGGCTCTGCCTTGCCTCGGGGTCACTCTGGTCGGACTAGTGAGGCCTTTCCCTCATTCCTCCTTTCAGTCCCTTGGTGGCCAGTCATTCTGAGTGGGGACAGACAGATTCGCCTTGAGCCCCTCCTGCCCTCAGCCTGGACCCACTGCAAAGTCCCACGTGGGGGACTTTGTGACCTTGAAGGGCATCTCCATCCCCATTGAAAGGCCAAGGCTCAGAGGCATTGACAACCTGTCTGACTTGGCTCTGGTCCTTCCTCTTTACCTCCACACACAACTCTGCTCCCCTACATCAGGGTGCCCCAGGCCGGCAGAGGAACCCCAGCTGGGGACTCAACAAACCTCAAAACACCCCAGTTTCTGAAGGGGAGGGATAGGATGCTACCAAGGGTCCCTTCAAGGGACAGCCCCTTGAGGACAGCCCTCAAAGCTGCCCAGCCCAGCTTCCCACCCTGCCTGAGAGCAAGGGAGCCCGGAGGTGCTCCGGGCTGGAGACTCCCTAGCTTTGGTCCTCTGCCACCTCTCCTTCTGCTGGCCTGGATAGGCTGGTGGGAACCCCAGAATCCTGGCCGGCCCCGGATGTCTGTGTCCGGCTGCCAGCCCTCAGCCCCCAGGAGGAAAGGGATGGGGGCTGGAAGGAAGCAAAGTGTTGCAAATGCAAGGCTGTGTCCCAGCCAGCTCAGCAAGTCCCTCCCCTCCCTCCTACGGTGAAGCCTCCTGGGAGGCCTGAGGCTGTGAAGTGTGGAGACACCCCAGGGCCTGAGAAATTGGGAACTCCCCAGAGATCTGACCACAGAGGGGCGGGGAGGGCTGAGGTGGCTTCTGCATTCTGCACTCACTCCTGTATCCTCCATCCCCACCCCCACCCTGAGACTACAGAATACCCTCAGCTATCTCAGCTTCACTTGCCCCCCACCCCCGCCCCATTTCACAGACTGGGACCCTGAGGTTCAGGAAGAGAAAGTGACATGCCCAAGGGCACACAGCAGCTACCAGTAGCTGAGGGTGAGAAAAGGCTTGGAGAGGTTTGATAACATGGGCCAAGGGCTGTAAGGAATCCCCTGGCAGAATTTTCTGTTGAGATCTGGGGCTGCCTGGTCAGAGTGGGAGGCAAGGGCTAGCTTTGGGACGGGGAGAGGCACTGTGCCCCCACTGCAGCTCACTGAAAGTACCGTGACTTCTCCACAGCTTGCCACTAAGGGAAGGATGTCATGACCTGCTCTCTGTCTCAGCCACAATAGGGAACCCACAATGCTGCCAGGCGCTGCCCGCACCAGCTGGCTGGGCTCAGAGGGACGGAGGGTGTGTGAGTCTTGCACGGGTTGGGGTCAGAGGTTAAGAGCAGAACCTAAGGCTTCTGATCCCCAGGCACTGCCTGGCGGGGATGAGAGGCAAATCTTCCCAAGGATCCCAGGAGGGGCATCGAAGAGCATCAGGGTAAAAGACCCCAAGTCCCCAGAGCCCCAGAGGGAGCCTGGTCCCCAGGGGATGCCCTGTATCCCCACCAGACATCCCAGGAGGCTGGGGAGGGGGCGCCTGGGAGCCTGATCCCTCAGCAAATCCAGGTCCCAGCAGAATCTGACTTCTGGAAGAGGCAAGAGGTTTAGGATGCTTCAGGGTGGGGGTGGGAGGTTACAGCAGCCCCATGGCCTCCTCGGTCCACACTGCAGCTCCTTCCTCCCCAGCTGCTGCCAACCCAGACAATGCGCCCATTGTTCTGCGTCTCCGGGAGCCAGTGTGCAACTGCGTGTATCTGTTTCTCTCTGTGTGTGACTGTGTGTATTGCTCTGTGTCTGTGTGTGTGAGACTTTCTGGCTGTGTGTGTGTGTGCGCGTGTGCCCAGGTGTGCACATTTGTGGTTGCGTGCGTCTGGATCTTTGTTTGGCCCTGTATATTCAAGGGTGAAGGAGAGAGCCTGGTGATCCTGGTAACTGAGACTTGCTGGGTTTGTGCCTGCCCTTCCTTGAGACTGTTGGTGACTGTGTCTGACTGGGTGTGAAACTGAGTGTGTGGCTGTATGAGAGAATATCGATGGGCCGGGCGTGGTGGCTTCTCGCCTGTCATCCCGGTGCTTTGGGAGGCTGGGGCGGGAAGACTGCTTAAGCCCAGAGTTCGGGAATATCTGAATGTGTGGAGCAAAGAGCGGCTCCTTTATGTCTGGGTGAGTGTTCCTGTGGCGGTGGGGAGCTGTGTGTGCCTCAGTGTGTCACTGAGGCTGTGGCTGTGGTGGTTAGAACCTTTGAGATGTGGGCGTTTGCCAGGATGGAGTGACAGGGAAAGGAGGAATGAGGACAGGGTGACGCTGGGATGGATGGGGGAATGGAAGGTGCAGAGACCAGAGACCCCACGTTCATACAACTCCTCATCTGTCCCAGTTCTCCTAGTAAGGGCTCTGGCCCTGGCCCTGGCCTGAGATGCTCCCGGCCCCACCATGAATCAGGCACGGACAGCAGGGGATGAATTTCCCTGGCAGGCAACCTGGGGCCTCTGGAGAGACGCAGGGCAGGGGTGAAGATGGGAGGGGGCAGCAGAAACCAATGCCCCATGAAGGAGGTTGGGGGATACTTTAAGGTCTGTCAGGCCCCGGAGCCTTGTGTTGAGGACTGGATTAGATGCCAGGGGAGGTGTGAATGGGCAATATGTAGTCAGAGATGGAGGCATGGGCCTTCCTAGCGGAGGGACTGGCATATGTAAAGGCCTTGAGATGGGAAGACACATCATCAGAGGTCCCAACGGAGGCCCTAGGGAACAGCTACTTGGCACAGCCCCAGTCCCCATCTCCTTCTGGGGAGCATCAGCTGGACCTGGAGACCTCGGTTCTTGCCCCAGGTTGGGCACTTCTTGCTGTCACCATCAGCCAGTCCTCTCTCCTCTTTGGCCTCAGTTGGCTCATCTGTACAGTGAGAGGTTGGGCTCTGTGATTCATAGTTGCAGATACTGACTGGAGTTCCTCTTTCTGCTCACACTTAGACGTCTAAGAGTAAGTAGTGAGTCAGGCAGGGTCCCAGCCCTCAGGGGTTTCCCATGACGGGAGGGAGAAAAGAGACAGGCCATATCTTAGGGAGAAGAAAGCCAGACCTAGCATTAGATGAAGGAACTGTGGGCTGCCTGGAGGAAGAAGAACATGGAGAAGAGCTCAGAGCAAGACAAAGTGGGAACAGGAATGGTAGGTGTGAGGGTGCAGAGGGAGGCAGAGGCCTTTGCTGGAGCAAGGTTTGGGAGGTGGGATCTCTAGGATTTGGTAACTGGCTGCGTGCAGGGACCAGATACTGATGCTGCCCACCTTTCTGTTTGGGGTGACAGTGGGTGAAGTGGACCTGTCAACTGAGATAGGCCATCAAAGGGAAAAAGAACATGGGAGGGAGTTGCTGAATCTAGCCCTGTTGCGTTTGCGATGTCCAAGGAAGATTCAGGGGGATGCGCAGAAGGCAGCCTGAAGTCTGTATACTTCACATAGACATGTGATCACATTTCCTGAGCCAAAGGCTGTTCCTAAAGGCTGGCTAGTGACTTTACAGGGACAACAGACAGAAGGTTTTTAAGTCAGGACTGACCCCTGGAAATCTAGGCCTCTGATTGTTGCCAATAAGAGGGTAACGGCAGCCAAGTCGTGCATCAGACGCCCAGGAGATGCCTGGGTGGCAGGAGCACTGCATTGGTGGGCAGCAGCAGGAGAGGGCTCTGGGAAGAAGCCAGCAGCTGACTAGGGGCAGGAGAAAGCACAGAGTGCAGACCAATGGGAAGAATCTTTAAAAGGCAGAAAGGGGGCAGGGCGCATCCCAGCACTTTGGGAGGCCGAGGTGGGCAGGTTGCTTGAGGCCAGGAGTTTGAGACCAGCCTGCCCAACACGGTGAAATCCCACCTCTATCAAAAAATACAAAAATTAGCTGAGTGTGGTGGCGCATGCCTGTAGTCCTAGCTACTCGGGAGGCTGAGGCTGGAGAATCGCTTGAAACCGGGAGGCAGAGGTTGCAGTGAGCAGAGATTGCACCATTGCACTCTAGCCTGGGTGACAGAATGAGAATCTGTCTTAAAAAAGAAAAATAGGCAAAAGGCAGGAATAGGGGCAGGGTGCGGTGGCTCACACCTGTAATTCCAGCACTTTGGGAGGCTGAGGCAGAAGGATTGCTTGAGCCCAGAAGTCTTAAGACTAGCCTGGCTTGTAACATAGCAAGGCCCCATCTCTACAAAAAATAAGATAGGCCGGGTACAGTGGCTTATGTCTGTAATCCCAGCACTTTGGGAGGCCGAGGCAGGCAGATCACTTGAGGGCAGGAGTTCAAGACCAGCCATGGCCAACATGGTAAATCCCCATCTCTACTAAAAATACAAAAATTAGCCGGGTGTGGTGGTGTGTGCCTGTAGTCCCAGCTACTTGGGAGGCTAGGGGATGGCGGGGTGGTTGGGGTTGCAGTGAGCCGAGGTTGCACCACTGCACTCCAGTGTGGGCAACAGAGTGAGACTGTCTCAAAAATAAGTAAATAAATAAATAAATAAATAAATGTTTTTAAAGGCAGGAAGAACAGAGAGTAATCACCGTCATTGCTGCCGGCGTTGGTTGCGTGCCTGTTGTATGGCAAGCCTTGTGCCGCCTGCTTTCCATATGTTCCCTCTGGCCCTGTGAGATGTGTACCACCATTGTCCCCATTTCCAGAGGAGGAAACAAGGCCAGGACTGGGGGAAGGTGGCTTTCAAGAGCTCTGAGGCGTGTGTGGTGCTAGGGTCAGCTGGAGGCATCCAGAGAGGGTTGTGAGCTCAGGATGAGAGGAGCTGCCAGAGGTGCTGGCAAGGAGAGCTGAGGCAGCTGCAGGGCCTGCCCCAGGGGCTGGACACTGCAGAACCAGAGCTATTCTCATTCGCCTGGGCTCTCTGGCTCCCGGCTTGGTTGTCAGCAAGACCCAGGTGTGCTGCGTCCCTGCCAGTGACAGGCCTTGAGCCCTGCTCTGGATACGGGGGCACCTCAGGGGCCCTTCACTGGGACCTGCCATCCAGACAGTGACCAAATCATAAGGACAGGGGTTCGAAAGTTCCCTTTCAGAATTCTAGGCCACCCAGACCTTTCATTTCTCCCTTCCCCTCCCCCTTCCCCTGGTTGTGTGTGTGTATGCACTTGTGCACAGGTGCACACGCATGTGTATGTGTGGTGGTTGCATAGACTGGATGAGGCCCAGCCACTATCTGATAGAGCTGTCTCTCTGGGGCTCAGTTTCCCCAATAGCAAAGAAGCCTGTAATTCCAGCTCACCTGCTGACCTCCCCCAGGCTTGATGAGGTCACCAGAAATTCAACCCAGTTTATCTGGGCTGCCCGGAGCTTACCCTCTCCCACTTCTCACCTCTTCCTGACTTTCAGTTTCTTTACAGATCCTGGGTACCTTTGGGAAAGGAGTGGCCAAACCAGTGGAATGCGGGTTGCTTACAACTTTCCAACCAAAATCCCCACTTAGGGGAAGTCCCTTCAAAAGAGAAACTGGGCCGGGCATGGTGGCTCATGCTTGTAATCCCAGCATTTTGGGAGGCTGAGGCAGGCGGATCACCTGAGGTCAGGAGCTTGAGACCAGCCTGGCCAACATGGTGAAACCTCGTCTCTGCTAAAAATACAAAATTAGCTGGGCATAGTGGCGTGTTCCTGTAATCCCAGCTACTCGGGAGGCTAAGGCAGGAGAATTGCTTGAACCCGGGAGGCGGAGGCTGCAGTGAGCCAAGATCGCTCCATTGCACTCCAGCCTGGGTGACAAGAGCAAAACTCTGTCTCAAAACAACAACAACAAAAAGAGAAACTGAAACTCCCTCCTAGCTAGTCCCCAATCCCACCCCTTTCTACATCACTCCAACCCCACCCCACCACCTCTCCTATTCCGCCTCTTCCCCCAGATGATCCGAGCCCACGCTACTGCTGCCTTCCAGCTTTGCAGCCCTAGACAGGTCCCTTCCCCTTGCTAGCCCCACTCGCCCACTCTAAAATGAAGACACTGGGAACCCCTTCAGGTGGTTGTGAGGATTGGGTGAGGTGTCGTTGTGTTGAGGTGGTGTTCGTGGTGAAGAGGTGGCTCCATCACCACTGTGTGACTTCAGGGCCTCTCTGAGTGAGCCTCAGTATCCTCATCTATAAAATGGGAATGATAATAGTACTCATTCTGTGGGGTTATTGCGAAATAAATGAGTTGGAAGCATCAAGGAAAGCCCTTAAAACAGAGCATCCTGGCTGGGCGCGGTCGCTCACGCCTGTAATCCCAGCACCTTGGGAGGCCGAGGCAGACAGATCACCTGAAGTCAAGAGACCGAGACCATCCTGTCCAACATGGTGAAACCCCATCTCTACTAAAAATACAAAAATTAGCTGGGCGTGGTGGCGTATACCTGTAATCCCAGCTACTTCGGAGGCTGAGGCAGGAGAATCGCTTGAACCCGGAAGGCAGAGGTTGCAGTCAGCTGAGATCACGCCACTGTACTCCAGCCTGGTGACAGAGGGAGATTCTGTCTCAAAAAACAAAACAAAACATACAGACACACACACACACACACACACACACACACACACACACACACCAAAAAACCCGTGCATTTGAGGTGCAGACCACACTGGAGGATTTCAATAATGTTCCTCAGGGCTGTTACATAAAATTCCGGGGCAGGTGCCAGACACAAACTTGGTGCTCAACAGTTTCCCATTCTTGTCCTCTCTCTCTCTCCTCTCTTTCTGCCCTGGGGAGGGGAGCTGGGAGCCTAGGATTGCCCTGAGTCAGCCCTGTGGCCCCTTCATCATCTTTCGTCTGGGGCAGGTAGTGAAGGCACTGACTGGGCTGTTCCAAGGATGGGAATTGTTCAGGGGGGAATTTATTTGGCTTCAATAAATTTCCTTATTTCCTTCCTTCTCTTCTTCTCTTTTTCTTTCTTTCTTTTTCTTTTCTTTCTTTTTTTGTTTTTGTTTTTTTTTTTTAACAGGGTCTTGCTCTGTCACCCAGGCTGGAGTGCAATGGTGCATTCATAGCTCATTGCAGCCTCGACCTCCCTGGGCTCAGGTGATCCTCTCACTTCAGCCTCCCAAGTAGCTGGGACTACAGGTGCACACCATCATGGCCAGCTTTTTTTTTTTTTTTTTTCCACAGAGACAATGTCTCGCCATGTTGCCCAAGCTGGCCTTAGAACTCCTGGACTTAAGTGATCCTCCCACTTCGGCCTCCCAAAGTGTTGGGATTACAGGCGTGAGCCACTGGCCTCAATTAATTTCTTATATGAGAAAGGAATGTGCCTCTTCCTCAGAATCCTGAAGATTCTCTCCCTTTCCTCTTGCAACCCATAAGTGTCCTCCTGGGACCTTTTAGTGCCTTTTTCCAGAAAAATATACTCTGGAGTGGCCCCCCACCCGCACCCAAACACATACTTCATCTTTCTGTCCCCTCCCAGCCCCTCCTTAAATTCTCCTTCTCTTTTTTTTTTTTTTTTTTTTTTTTTTTGAGACAGAGTCTCGCTCTGTCGCCCAGGCTGGAGTGCAATGGCGTGATCTCAGCTCACTGCAACCTCCGCCTCCCGGGTTCAAGTGATTCTCCAGCCTCAGCTTCCCAAGTAGCTGGGATTACAGGTGCCTGCCACCACGCTCAGCTAATTTTTGTATTTTTAGTAGAGACAGGGTTTCACCATGCTGGCCTGGCTGGTCTCGAACTCCTGACCTCAGGCTATCTGCCTGCTTCAGCCTCCCAAAGTGCTGGGATTACAGGCATGAGCCACTGCACCAGGCCTAAATTCCCCTTCTCTTCTGCTTGTTCAGAGAGGTCTCATATCCCTAGCGACCCTTCCCTAGTGCCTCACCTCTCACCACTGTTGCATTGGGGAATACACATACTTTTGGGGGGACACATTCAAGCCATAGCACTCCAGTTGGCCTGCTGAGCTTCAACTCGACTGGCTTCTCAGTTCCTCTGAGTGCTGAGCTCCGTCCTGCCTCAGGGCCTTTGAACATGCTGTTTCCTCTGCCCAGCATTCCTCTCTACTTGCTAAATTTCTACTCTTCTCTTTTTTTTTTTTTTTTTTTTGAGACGGAGTCTCACTCTGTCGCCCAGGCTAGAGTGCAGTGGCACAATCTCGGCTCACTGCAACCTCCACCTCCCGAGTTCAAGCAATTCTCCTGCCTCAACCTCCCGAGTAGCTGGGATTACAGGTGCCCACCACTATGCCCAGCTAATTTTTGTATTTTTAGTAGAGATGGGGTTTCACCATGTTGGCCAGGCTGGTCTCAAACTGCTGACCTCAAATGATCTGCCCGCCTCGGCCTCCCAAAGTGCTGGGATTACAGGGGTGAACCACTGCGCCCGGCCTACTCTTCTTTTAAAACCCAGATCAAGCCACTCCCGAGGAGCTTTCCAGAGTCCCCAGGAGGAAGGACTGGCTCTTCCCACCATAGACTCCATCGCTCTGAGCTTTGGGCTCGGCACCTCTCACACCTTACTTACCTCCTCCACTGCCCAAGCCAGGAACCTGGACTGATCTCAGCTCATTGCTCCTCTCCATGCCTCGCCCTGTGGAAGACCCTTCATTCACCTGGGCTGGGTTACGTCATCAGCTTCTCACTGACCTCTCTGCCAACCAGTTCTGCCCCTCCAGACATTCTCCACTGTCTCAGGGTCACTTTCTAATAGAGGGTGCTCAGCAGCTATTTGTTGACAGACAAAGTAAACGAGGGGAGGAATGAACAAAGGCGTGACAGAAGTGTAAAAACAAATGTGCTCCCCTTGGATTTTAACCTTTCAGTGGCTCCCTATTGCTCTCAGGACCAAGCCCGAGCCTTACATTTAAGGTATTTGCTATCGGAGCCCCACAACACACTCTGGGCTTCTGGCCAAGCCATAACCTTGCTCTCCTTCCTGCCTTTGCACAGGCAGTCCCCTCTGCCTGGCTGTCTTTCCCTGCTGTTGCAGTAATCGAGGTCAGAGATGATGGGGCCTGAACTCAAGTGGAAGGGAGAGTTGGCCAGCACCCACGTGTCTTGAGCTCATGGTTCTCCCTGCTCTCAGTGCCGGGGCTTAAGAGGGTAGCCTTGGAGTTGAAGTTCCAGGTGCCTGTTAGAATCCCCATGGAGCCATCAGGCTGGCAGTTAATACCTGAAGCTCCATCTCCAGGTAATAGTTCAGGGGTGATCCCAAATTTGAAGCCAAAGGGCTCAACGGGATCCACTAGAGAGAAAGAGTGGCTCAAGAAGGGAAGGCAGAGCCAGGCTTGGTGCGGTGGCTCATGCCTGTAATCCCAGCACTTTGGGAGGCTGAGGCGGGAGGATTGCTTGAGCCCAGGAGTTCGAGACCAGCCTGGGCAATGTAGTGAGACCCCCCATCTCTAAAAGAAAAAAAAAAAAGAAGGCAGAAGACATTTAGACTCCCATCAGGGGATCAGCTGATGGCCAGTGAGCCAGGAGCAGGGGTGTCCTCAAGGCTGGGGGAAGAAACAGCTTCCGGAAGGAGTGAGTGATCCACCATGTTAAATGCCACTGAAAGGCAGAGGAAAGGAGAGGGAAGGAGCACGGGGGACGTTCAGGAGCAGCAGCCACAGGACTCAGGGAAGGACTCAACGTGGGAGTGGGGAGGTGGGAGGGCTGAGAGGGACCGAAGGTCTGGCTTGGGAAAATGGGCAGAAGGGCGTGTCAAGCACCACGGAGGAAGCTGGGGAAGAGCAGCGGTGTGTGCATAGAAAAAGAGGGGTCGGTTTGGTCCAGGCTAAACCAAGGTGGCTTTGGGATGTCATTAGATCTATGGCCTGGAGAGAAATCTGTGTTGGAGAGAAAAAATGAGACCATCGACCACCCCTCTGTCTGTCTTTTCTCTCTCCTATATCTATGAGCTCAGCTATATGCTACTCTGAAGTCTCTATCTCCAGCCTAGATCTTTGTCCAGAACTCCCGGTGACCTTGGAGGTCACCCTGGATGTCCCATAGGGACCTGTAAAACAGACAAACAGGCCCCAGTGGACACAGATCAGAGAGGACAGAGTTGGAGGCAGGAAACCCAGGGAAAAGTCAATGGACTCGTCCAGACAAAGGCAATGGTGGCCTGAACTAGGCGAGGGAACAGGGTAGAGGAGGAGAGGATGAAGTCTAGAGACATTCCTGGATCAGAGAGCCCCAGAGATGGGGACTAGGTTCTGCGCGAAGGGAGAGGGGCTGGAGGAGGGAGGGACATGGCTGCTGCTCCGGAGAGCTGGGTATGGGGCTGCCCTGAGCTGGCCTCATTTGAGGTGGAGCCCACCTGGCTGCCAGTCTCACCTGTTTCTTTGACTGAGAGCCCCGTAAAGGGCAGGGGATGGATCATAGGGTTTTTTTGTTTCTTTTGTTTTGTTTTGACAGAGTTTTGCTCTTGTTGCCCAGGCTGGATTGCAGTAGTGTGATCTCGGCTCACTGCAACCTCCGCCTCCTGGGTTCAAGTGATTCTGCCTCAGCCTCCCAAGTAGCTGGGATTACAGGTGCCCCACACCACTAATTTTTGTATTTTTAGTAAAGACAGGGTTTTGCCATATTGGCCAGACTGGTCTCAAACTCCTGACCTCAGGCGATCTGCCTGCCTCAGCCTCACAAAGTGCTGGGATTATAGGCGTCAGCCACAGTGCCTGGCCCATAGGGGGGTCTTATGTGGGTGAGGGAGGGGGGCTCCTGTTGAGCAGTGAGTGGATGAGTCAGGGCAGCTCTTTCCTCTAGCCATCAGCAACCTCTGCCAGACCTTTGCACGGAGGCTTGGGGGAAACCCATCAAGGCCACAGTCCTGGACAGGACCTGGGAGAGTGGGTAAGAGAGGGTGCAAGGACAGGTGCCTGAGGCCTCAGACCTAGCTGACAGCCAGGGACCAATCGCCAGACCGCACCCCTCCCCTGCTTTATTTATTTATTTATTTATTTATTATTTTTTGAGACAGAGTCTCGCTCTGTCGCCCAGGCTGGAATGCAGTGGCGTGATCTTGGCTCACTATAAGCTCCACCTCCTGGGTTCAAGTGGTTCTCCTGCCTCAGCCTCCCGAGTAGCTGGAATTACAGGTGCACGCCACCATGCCCAGCTATTTTGTATTTTTAGTAGAGACGGGGTTTCACTGTGTTGGCCAGGCTGGTCTCGAACTCCTTACCTCAAGAGATCCACCCACCTCGGCCTCTCAAAGTGCTGGGATTACAGGCGTGAGCCACCGCACCCAGCCCCTCCCCTGCTTTAAACCTGTTCATGACTCCCTGTTTCTGCCTGGATAACCCCTTGTACTGGCTTTCAAGGTCTTTGAAGCTATGCCCTGGCTGGCCTCATTTTAGGGAGAGCCCGCTTGGCTGCCAGTCTCACAAATCCCCAAACCTTTCTCCACGCTGTGCCCTCTGCCTGGAATATAGCTCCCTGGGCATGTGCACCCCAGTGCCCGCCCACCTGTCAAGAACCAGCTCCAGGGACCCCTCCAGAAGACTTTCCTGACCCACCAGATGACCCACTGTGCTCCAAACTAATGTCACCTTCCTGTGACACTGTACTCAGCTGGTGCATGTCTCCTCTTTCTGTGGCACTTTGAGAGTCAGGAGAGGAGGAACCAGGCCTTTTTCATCCATTATCCCCCCAAGGAGCTCATGGGTGGGGTGGGCATGGTGGGAAGGTCAAGAGGTGATGGCAGAATCTCTTCCAGCCCTGTAGGTTTGGTCAACTCAGTGTGTGTCAATGGGAAAAACCGAGATCATCCCCTCAAAGTAGAGATAGCCAGAGTGAGGCCACAGCGATTTTATTTGGAGAATGAAGGGCAGAACCACAGAGATCTCAGGAGGGAGGGCAAAGGTAACTCATCGTCATCCACAGAGAGGGGACTCAGGATTACGCTGTGCGTCCAGGCCATCTTCCCTCCCAGCCCAGCCTTGGCACAAGTCGGCCCCAGGATCATCATGTGATAGAGCCTGAAGCCTGTCTCCCCAAGTCCCTGGAAAGTAGACATCTGTGACAATCCTCCCGAATCCCAGGGCACAGGGAGCATGGCTGAGCACGCCAGACTGCCTGGGCTCAAATTCTGTCCTGCCATGAACTGCCTGGGTGTCTTTGGACAAGTCATTTGACAGCTCTGAGCCTCCGCCTTCTCATCTGAGGACAACAGGAATAATGAGGGTACCCACCTCATGGGGATGTGATGAGGCTTAAAGAAGAAAATGCATGCAAAGTTTTAGCACAGTACCTGGCAGTGAGTATATGTGCAATAATATTAATTATTACTATTTTATCAAGAGGCCTGGATTCTGGTCCCAGTTCTGCCACTGTTTTCCCTCCCTGGGCCTGCTTGAGTTTCTGTCTATAAAGTAGGTGTTAATTGATTAAATGAGATAATGGATGCCAAAGAAGCTTCTGAGATGAGTGATTATTTCTGCCCTTTGAAGTTCACTTCCCCGAGGCTGCAGGGTGTTGTCACCCCCACTCTGTCAGGTCTTTACTGGGCTCTCCGTCTAGGCCAGGACCCGTTGCTGAAGGGTCAGCCCATCTCCTCCCTTCTGCCCACAAGGCAGAATAAGAGGAAAAGGCTGGGGTTGCCTCAGCGGGGTCTGTGGTTAGACAGGACGAAGAACTTCCTTCCGGACTGCAGGATGCTGCCCTGGGAAGGAGCCAGAGGTCGTGGGACTGATGCTGTTGTGGGGAGGAGTTGCTTCCAGGGGAATGGCCAGGCCCAGCCAGTTAAGCCAGAGTTAGCCAGTGGGGTGAATCTGTTGGGCAGTGACCTCACTTCCAGAGACCCTGATGGGGCCCTGTTTAAACTGGCCCCAGGGCTCCCAGGATCACAGACTACAAACAAAAAAGACACAGAAACACTATTCTCCAGGCACAGAGAGCCAGAGGCAAGTGGTTACCAACAAGACTACACTGTTCCGTCCACCAAGAACACTCTTCCCAAGCTCTGGAAGCGGCTGACCATCCTTGCTAGCCTCGTTTAAGACTTGCCTCCTCAGAAGTGACCTCCCGACAACACATGCATTCTCTCAGCATTTACTGTGCCCCAGCTATGTGTTAGGCACTGTTCTAGACCTGTGAACAAGACCAAGTCCCGGCATGGCGTGGTGGCTCACGCCTGTAATCCCAGCACTTTGGGAGGCCAAGGCGGGCAGATCACAAGGTCAGGAGATCGAGACCATCCTGGCTAACATGGTGAAACCCCATCTCTACTAAAAATACAAAAAATTAGCCGGGCGTGGTGGCAGACTGAGGCAGGAGAATGGCGTGAACCCAGGAGGCGGAGCTTGCAGTGAGCCGAGATTGCGCCACTGCACTCCAGCCTGGGCGACAGAGCGAGACTCCGTCCCCCTGCCCCCTCAAGAAAAGACCAAGTCCCTGCCCATCCCATATCAAGTAGCACCTGACCCAGCCCTGTTCTTCTCAAACATAACACACTGTTTCTCTCTCCAGTTTATGGCCTGTCTCCCCACCAGAATGTATGTTCCATGAGGGCAGGGACCTCAACTGTTTGCTTCACCAGTGTAAACCCAGTGATTAACTCAGTGTATAAACCTGTCACAAATCACTAAAACATGCCCTTGATAAATAATTGTTTTGTTTTTGTTTTTTTTTGAGACAAGGTCTGCTGTATTGCCCAGGCTGGAGTGCAGTGGTGCGATCTTGGCTCACTGCAACCTCTGCCTCCTGGGCTCAAGTGATTCTCCCACCTAAGCCTCCTGAGTAGCTGGGACTACAGGTGCACGCCACCACGCCTAGCTAATTTTTCACATTTTTAGTAGAGATGGGGTTTCGCCATGTTGCCCAGGCTGGTCTAGAACTCCTGGCCTCAAGCAATCTGCCCCCCTAAGCCTCCCAAAGTGCTGGGATTACAGGCGTGAGCCACCACACCTGGCCAAGCCCTTGATAAATATTCGTTGACTAAATAGACACATAGATCAGAGATAGAACACACAGAAACAGAACCACACTCAGAGGTGGTACAGACTTTCAGAGATGCACCGAAATGTGAACACAGACACACAGGATGATCACCACGACAGGGCCCTTCAAACTGACCCCGAGCTTCCCTTCCCTTGGTCATTCAGCTTCGCCTCTAGGCCCAGGGCTGGAGTCACCTTTGCTCTGACCCAGTTGGTGCCCACCCGAGTGCACCACTTTCCTGGTCCCCGACTCCCTGCACTGGGCACAGAGCTGGTATTATGTTTGAGGAGTCCTATTTGGGGCTCCTCTACTTTTTTGGGGATGTCTCCTGACAAACAGAAATTTCAACATAGTCAAATTTGTCAATCTTTTTAAAAGTATGTTTGTGTCAGCCCAAGAAGAGCGGGGAAAAATAACCCTGCAAAGACCACGCCCTGCACTCGGGGCCCCTCTGACTGCGGCTCATCTGCACAGGGTCCTGGAGCCTCGCAGGCCGCGACTGCAGCAGGCCAACCTCGTGCTCGGGCCTCGCCCCTCCCCCACGCCTCTAGCTAGGCCCCGCCCAAGACCTGCCCCTCCGCGAGCCCCCGCCCACCTACAGCGCCCCCTGTGGCCACGCCCCTCACCGGCTCTCACGGGCGCAAGGGAACTAGATGTCGCTTCCTTTTGCCCAGAAAATAGTAGTTAATATTCTGCCACCGGTGCTTCCACCTGGAGGGAAGGGAAATCGGGAAGACGGGATTGGGGCAAGTGTCCCTTCCCTCCGGGTCTGCGCCCACTCCGCCTAGCCCCGCCCCTTCCTTCCGCTCCCGGTCGCCCTCAGACCCCGCCCTTCCCACCCAGTTCCGCCCCCTCCCCTCGCCCCCAGGCCCGGATCCTCGGCTCTGGATCCGCCCCTTCCTTAGACCTCGCCCCTTCGCATAGGCCCCGGTCACCCCGTCTACTCCCCGGGCCCTCGCCCCGCCCCTCCCGGCGCACTCACGTGAGTCTCGGGCGCGCGCCGTAGCAGCTGGGCCAGCGCGCCGAGGGTACGTCGGCCAGGCCGGTGGCCGGGGGCAGCAGTAACAGGTTGCGTGCGGGCCAGTGCCAGGCGGCACCCGGAGGGTGGCGGCGCTGCGGGCTCAGCCAGTAGTCGCCCAGGCTGCGGCGGGCGGCGGGCGCCGGCAAGACCGGGCCCCGGCTGCCCCAGAAACACAACTCCTGGTCCAGGCGGTGCGGGGCCGTGGCCTGGGGCCGCCTGCGGGGGAGATGGGACAGCGGTCACCCCAGGAGAACACGACAGGCGGGGAGGAGGAAGTTGCCTCCGATCGGACGAGGCAGGGCACGGGCCGGGGTCACTCCTGGTCGATTTAGAGGGACGTGGAAAGGGACTGGAGGCCCCCACTGGCGCCTTCCCAAGGACCTGAGTGCCTCCTCCCCCAGCTGCCAGACCAGGGCGCTTTATCCAGCTGGCGCCCTCCCTCGGGCCCCCTCACTGGGACAGAAGAAAATTCACCACGAAGTGAGCAGTCTCGGTGAATAGCATGGTGTCCAGCCGGTCTGGCCCGACTTCGGCCTCTCTTTAATACCTGCCTGGGCGAGGAGGGGGAGGCCTGAAAACCCATATTCCCCCCGGGCCCGGCTGTTTTTAGCAGAAGGCCAGGAGGCGTCAGCTGGCAGAGGGGTTGGGGGCAGAGCTGGTCTCTCTCGTGAGGTCTAGTCTAGTCTGCCCCCACTAGCCGCTTCAGTGGGAGGGGGCTGGTCACCAGATCTCCAGGTTCCCCAGAGACACTCCTCCCCAGGGTCAAGGACAGAAGTGCAAGGACAAACAGAGGCAGCAGGAGGGGGCCAGGGACAGGAAGGTCAGCTGCCCATTGGAGAAACCCTTCCTCATCCCACCCAGGGCTTCCAGCCCCTGCTCACACACTTTTTTTTTGAGACAGGATCTCACTTTGTCATCCAGGCTGGAGTGCAGTGGGGCGATCATAGCTCACTGCAGCCTCGACCTCCTAGGCTCTAACGATCCTCCTGCCTCAGCCCCCCAAGTAACTGGGACTATAGGCACTCACCACCAGACCTGGCTAATTTTTTGTATTTTTTTGTAGATACAGGGTTTCACTATGTAGCCAAGGCTAGTCTTGAATTCGTGAGCTCAAGTGAATCACCGGCCTTGGCCTCTCAAGTCTAGGATTACAGGTGAGCCACCATGCCCAACCTTTTTTTATTTTCTTTTTTCTTTTTTTTTTGAGACAGGGTCTCAACTCTGGCACCCAGGCTGGAGTGCAGTGGCACAATCACTGCTCACTGCATCCTCGACCTCCTAGGGCCCTAGCAGTCCTCCTACATTAGCTGGAGGATTGCTGGGATTGCAGCAGCTGGAACCACAGGCCTGCACCACCAAGTACAGCTAATTTTTGTGTGTGTGTGTGTGTGTGTGTGTTTGCTTTGTTTTGTAGAGACTTTTGCCATGTTGTCTAGGCTGGTCTCAAACTCCTGGGATCAAGCAATCTGCCCCCCTCCCAGTCAGCTTCCCAAAAGTGCTGGGATTACAGGCATGAGCCACCACTCCTGGCTGGCCTCCCACACTCCTGATGGTGTGCTCAGGCACAAATCACGCCTCAAAGGGCCTCCTCTTCTCCCAGGCTTAGGCACACCCTGACCTGCTCCCCATGGCTTTCATGGGAGCCTTTTCCCTAATTCTATGCATGCTTAAATGGCAGCTCCTCAGCCAACTCTAGTTCAGGAGGCTGCTGGGGCTCCAGGACTCCCTAAACTGTCAGCAAAGTCCTGACACTTTCCTTCCCCAAAACTGAAAAGCCCTTGATCTGTTTAACCCTCTCTTTTTGCAGAAGAGGAAACTGAGGTTCACAATCGGGCAGTGAAAAGCCAAAAGTAAAACCTAGGCTTTCTACAACTCTGCCTGCTCCTACAAAAGGTGAGACAACCCTTCTGTGTGTCCTTGTCCAGCTCAGCATGGGGTTCAGGGCTCAGAGCCCAGGCTGGGCCCTGCTCCTCCCTGACCCCTGGGGATCCTAAGGAACATGCTGGCCCAGCTCCCCTTCCCACACTGCCAGTTTGGGCTATTTCCCCCCCAGTGACTCACACTGGCTGCCGGAGAGAGTGGGCAGCTGTTCTGAGCCCCCAGAGCCCAGTACAGGCCCTGACTTGCCCCCCAAGTTCTGCAGCCATATTTGGGAATTTAATGTTTTTCCTCCTTGGGGACTCTCCTTCCCTTAATCCCTTCCTTTTTTCCCTGTCTTCAACCATTTTTCCTTATCTTCAGCCTCACCCTCCCTGATGGCTTCTTCCATAGGCAGACAAACAGGCTCTAGTCTTTCATATCTTTGAAAAAAAGAAAGCCCTCCCTCAACTCCACATCCTTCGCCAGCTCCCCTCTGCAGCCAGCATTCTTGAAGGAGTTGTATACACACGTTGTTTCTACTTCCTCACTCAGCCCCTGCAATCTGGCTTCCTCCCCCACCATTCCACAGGAACAGCCTGCCAAGGTCACTGCTGACCTCCTTGTTGCTAAATCCAAGGGATGCTTAAAAGTCTTTATCTGCCTTGACCCCTTAGCAGTGGCCAGCTTTGACACAAATACTCCTTCCTCTTTCAGATACTTTTAGGCCCTTGTATTTCTGGACACTGTGCACTTTTGATTTTCTTGCTATCTTATGGGTTGCTGCCACATGGCAAATTTCTTATCCTTTGCTCACTGCCTAATCATGGTTGTTCCCAGGCCTGCTACAGTCTGTCCCCAGGGAGTCTCATCAGCTCCCATGCCTTCAGCATCCAGCCCATGTCAGAAACTCATGTCTCTTTCTCAGTCCAGCCCTCTCCCCAACCCCACACCTGCCTCCTGGACCCCTCCTGCTGGATGTCCCACCTCTCAGGAAACAGGCTGCATACCTGCCCTCCCTCCATGTTCCCCAGCTTAGCCATCTCCCAGTTGTCTGAACCTGAAATCTGGACTTGGTTCTAGATTCTGCCCTCTCTCGCCTTTTTTTTTTTTTTTTTTTGAGACAGAGTCTTGCTGTGTCGCCCAGGCTGGAGTGCAGTGGTGCAATCTCGGCTCTCTGCAACCTCTGCCTCCCGGGTTCAAGCAATTCTCCTGCCTCAGCTTCCTGAGTAACTGGGACTATAGGCGTGCACCACCATGCCCGGCTAATTTTTATATTTTTAGTAGAGATGGGGTTTCACCATGTTGGCCATGCTGGTCTTGAACTCCTGACCTCATGATCCACCCTCCTCGGCCTCCCAGTGCTGGGATTACAGGTGTGAGCCACTGTGCCCAGCTTCTCTCACCCTTTTCATCCTCAAGCAGCTATGAAAACCTGTCCTTTCAGGACGTACCTAAAATCCCATAGCTTCTCTCCACTTCCGCCACCAACACTTGAGCCAAGGGCCCATCACCTTTCACCTCCTGCAGCAGCCTCCTGACCTGTCTCCCTGCTGCCACTCTCAATCCCCTGTGTGGTCTGTTCCTATAGGGCAGCTGGGTGTGTCTTTCCAACATAGGAATATGTCTCCCTGCACCATGTCTTTAGCATCAAGTTCACCCAACCCATGCCCCTGCCAACCCCAGTATTGGGGCATTCCTCAGTCTTTGCCTGGGTAACAGCTTCTCATCCTTCAGTTCAAGCGTCCGTTCCTCATGAGAGCCATTTCCAAACTCCCAGCCAGGCAGGTGGCTCTGCTATTTCTTCTCCTCACAGCACCAAGGCCTCTCCTCTGTGGACATCGCAAGCAGTCATTCACAAACTAGTCTAATCTGCAGATTCCTGAGCCCTCCTGTTCTAGATCCTGGGGATGTCAGGAGGAGGACAGTCCAGCCCCTGGCCCCTGTCATGTAATGGGGAAGACAGGCATTAAGCTGAGATCAGGAATAGATACGGACACTGAAGGCAACACAGTGGCCATGCAGGCCCTAAGGATGGTGGTCAGGGGGACTGTCTTTGAGGGTGATCTGTGGGGTCAGGGGAAGCTATTCCAGGCAGAAGGGATGGTGTACTTAAGGTAGGAGGAATGTTTTGTGATGATTTGAAAGGTGTCCAGTGTGGCTGCACAAGTGATGTGAAGAAGCCATTGATGAGGTTTAAATAGGAGACTGACCCAGCTGCGTTTGTGGTCTTTATAAAATAATTCTGGATTGGAGGAATCAATTGAGGAAGGAAGGAGGGAAACCTGGCAGGGAGCTGCCGGGATAATTGGGTGAGTAGTAAGGGGGGCCTGACTCAGGGCAGTGGCAGTGGATTTGGGGCAGACTGAACTGTGGTTGCCTGTACTGGAGTCAGGGAAGAGGGAGGGAATGAGAATGATTCTGGTCTTCCTACCCTAATGGTGGGTGGGAGAGGGCAGTGGGAACTGGACCACCCATATCCCTGTGGTGACCGTACCTGCAGTCCCTCATCCATCCTTTGTCTTTTTTCTTTTTTTTTTTTTTTTGAGACAGAGTCTCGCTTTGTCACCCAGGCTGGAGTGCAGTGGCACGATCTCAGCTCACTGCAACGTCCACCTCCCGGGTACAAGTGATTCTCCTGCCTCAGCCTCCTGAGTAGCTGGGATTACAAGCACACGCCACCATGTCTGGCTCATTTTTGTATTTTTAGTAGAGACGGGGTTTCACCATTTTGGTCAGGCTGGTCTTGAACTCCTGACCTTGTGATCTGCCTGCCTCGGCCTCCGAAAGTGCTGGGATTACAGGTGTGAACCACTGCGCCTGGCCATCTTTTTTTCTTTTATTCATGCAGTGACATGATCTCAGCTCACTGTAGCCTTGACCTTCCAGGCTCAAGCGAGCCTCCTAGCTCAGCCTCCTGAGTAGCTGGGACTACAAGCACACGCTACCACACCCGGCTAATATTTTTAATTTGTAGAGACGCCATGTTGTCCAGGCTGGTCTTGAACTCCTGTGTTCAAAAGATACACCTGCCTCAGCCTCCCAGAGTGCTGGGATTACAGGTGTGAGCCACTGCACTGGCCTCATCCTTTTTCTTTTCTTTCCTTCCTTTCCCTTTCCTTTTTCCTTCCCTCCTTTCCTCCCTTCCTCCCTTCCTTACTTTCCTTTTTCTTTCTCTTTCCTTGCTTCCTTCCTTTTCTTCTTTCTTTCTTTCTTTTCTTTCTTCCTTCCTTTCTTCCTTTATCTCTCTTTTCTTTCTTTCTCTCTCTCTTTCCCTTTCTTTTTTATTTTTGAGACAGAGTCTCACTCTGGTGCCCAGCCAGGAGTGCAGTGGCATGATCTTGGCTCATGGCAACCTCAACCTCCTGAACTCAGGTGATCCTCCCGCCTCAGCCTCCCAAATAGTTGGGACTACAGGCATGTGCCACCACGCCTGGCTATTTTTTTTTTTTTTTTTTTGTAGAGACAGGGTTTTGCCATGTTGCCCAGGCTGGTCTCAAACTCCTGGCCTCAAGAGGTCTGCCCACCTCAGCCTCCCAAAGTGCTGGGATTACAGGCATAAGCCACCATGCCTGGGCACCCATCCTTTTTCTTAGAAGAGCAGATGGAGGCCCCTAAGAGGTAGAAGGCTGCTAATAAGGCCTAGGACAAGGCAGAGGGGAGGAGAAGGGAAAGTTGGGTCCGAGTCCGGATGTGATGAGGTTTCAGGGAAAGTGGCATCTGGGGTTTCCTCAGAGCCTGGAAATTCCACTGTTTCCGGGACCACTCTGAGATCCCCAAATCCTGAGATGCTCAAACCCTGAGGCCCAGTCCTTGTAAGTCCTGGGGGCCCTCTAGGGGGTGTGAGTCTGTATCTGGAGGTCCACAATCCCCTGACAAGTTTCAAGGTGGTGAGTAGGATTCTTGACCGTCCCTAATGCCAATGTACAGTTCGGGTGAGGCACACCCCACGCCTGTTACCTGCATGATCCCATGTCATCCTCATGTAATCCTTGGAGGCACATAGCTTATTTATTCCCATGGCACCTATGAGACTTCAAAGGGTTAAAGAACTTGCTCAAATTCACACGGCTAGGATGAGGCAGAGTGAGGATTTGAACCAAGGTTTGACTGACATCAGAGTCTGTGCTTTTAACTCCTGTGCTATATTAAGTCTGGCGACCCCCCTGGTTGATTGGCTCAGTAAGAGGAGGAGGATTTGTGGGGGATTTGCTTGTGGTTGGGGTGGCTGTCCCCCTCTCATATCAAGCGATGGGAAAGGGTAGCGCTGACGTCGATTATTGCCATGGTGATACAGCAACCCTTTCCCTGCTGTCTCCATGGTAACCTGGGGGGTCCATCTGTACTTCGCCCCCTCCTTCTAAAAGGGGGTCCCTTAGGGAGGGGCTGGCTAATAAGGTGTCTGGGAAATAAGTCAGGGAAGGCAGTGATTGGAGCATCCCCCTTTGCCTGGCCCCTCCCCATTCCTCAGGCCCAGAGAGTAAGGCTGGGATCTGCATTGGGTCCTGCACTGGGGTCCGGGGACAGATGTAACCTTTAGGGTGAGGGAGGCAGCTCTGTCTTTTCCACCTGGGGATTCCCTTGGAAATTCCCCTGCCCCCAATCCCCCCACCAAGTTCTTAGGCTCCTGAACAGAACTGCTAGGAAGTTGGCAGAGAGAGGCAAGAGGGTTTCCTCAGCCCTCTTCAGGGCTGGACATCACCCAACCCCTGGGGACAGTGTCTTTGGCTGTCTGGCTGTCTGCTGTCCCTTGAAGCCAAAGGTAGGAGCAGCAGCCGTAGCAGTCTCTCTTGCTTATCAAGTGGTAGCTTTGGCAGTGATTCCTGCATGGTGCTATACATACAGGTCCTTACTGAAACTTTCTACCAGGTGTCAATTAGCCCTACTTAACAGATTTGAAGATGGAGGCTCAGAGGGGCTAAGTAACTAGCTCAAGACTGCACAGTTAGAGAAACAGCAGAGTTAGGACTTGAACTCAGCACTAGTTTCGGCCAGTGGCTCTTCCAGTGGAAAGGAGTAAGAAGAAACAGAACAGGATGGAAGAGAAGAGAAATAGGAGAATGAAGTGACCCAGGTAGGAGCCTGTCGTGCTCTGCCTGCCTGCAGAACAAAGTTCAAACTCCTTCACCTGGTACGCAAAGGTCTCCTTGATCCAGCTTCTCTTCTGTTAACCCATTCCTGGATCCCCTGCATTCTATGCTCTGAAAGGGAAAATGATGTCAGATTCAGGGCTGGGTTCTCAGTACCAGGCATGGCCCAGGAAGGTGTTGATGAAAATTGATGAACTGAGTTTCTTGAAATTGTCCTTCACTTTCCTGCCTCCAGGCCTTTACCCACAATGCTTCCTCCCCAAAGGGAATGCCCTTTCTCTTGCTCATGGACATTCTAGAGCTAACTAGCCCCATTGGCAAGGACTGCGTCTAGAATCTTTGTATCCCTCACAAATCAGGTACGTGGGATGTGGCAGTAACTGGTTTCTAAATTTTTTTTTTTTTTTTGAGATGGAGTCTCACTCTGTCACCTAGGCTGGAGTGCAGTGGTGCGATCTCAGCTCACTGCAAGCTCCACCTCCTGGGTTCACACCATTCTCCTGCCTCAGCCTCCCGAGTAGCTGGGACTACAGGTTCCCGCCACCACGCCTGGCTAATTTTTTTGTATTTTTAGTAGAGACGGGGTTTCACCATGTTAGCCAGGATGGTCTTCATCTCCTGACCTCATGATCCACCTGCCTCGGCCTCCCAAAGTGCTGGGATTATAGGCGTGATCCATCATGCCCAGCCTAATTTTTTTTAGAGACAGGATCTCACTCTGTTGCTCAGGCTGGAGTGCAGTGGTGTGACCTTGGCTCATTGCAGCGTCAAACTCCTGGGCTCAAGCAATCTTCCTGCCTCAGGCTCCCCGGTAGCTAGGACTACAAGCACACGCCACCATACCTGGTTTTTTTGTTTTGTTTTGTTTTTAGAGATGGGATCTTGCTGTTTTCCATGCTGGTCTTGAACTCCTGGGCTCAAGTGATCCTCCTGCCTCAGCCTCCCAAAGTGCTGGGATTACAGGCCTGAGCCACCATGCCTGGCCTATTTTTTTTTTTTTTTTAAGGAAAGGAGGGTTGAGAAGAGAGGAGAAGGAAGTGGGAGAGATGGAAAAAAAGGAAGAATGAGAAGGATTCACTATTTGGGGGCTGGCAGAGTCCAAAGAGACCAGCTGATGCCTTTTTTTTTTAAACCAGTGAGGAAATAGGCCCTTTTAGTAAGCCTCCTACATGGGGACTGCCTGGGAGAGCATTTTATGTGGAAACTGAGAAGGGTATCCCTTTTGGGTGACGTGGAATTTTAAGGTGCTCTAGGGAAAGCTTGGACTTCTCTACCCTATGAGGATTAGAGGAGGGTGTTGAATCAATTGTCCTTAGATCTCAGGGGACAGGAGACTGAACCTGACCTTTAGGTTACACTCCCCCCGTAACAAAATTGGAAAGTAGAATATACGGGCTCATTAAAGCCAAATTGGAAAGTAGGAAATAGTTGTTTAGCTTAAATACTAGCACCTCCAGGCAGGCTTCCTGTCATGGGCCCCTCCGAGGGCAGATCTTAGGTCATGTGGTCTCAGGATGCTGAGGAGTGTGCTAGACTCTCATTGGGGGACCTTGGGTAAGTCTCAAAGGCTCAGTTCACTCATCTGTAAAATAGGAAGTTAAACCAACGTCTTTCTTTCTCTCTCTTTTTTTTTTTTTTTTGGATAGAGTCTTGCTCTGTTGCCCAGGCTGGAGTGCAGTGGCATGATCTCAGCTCACTGCAACCTCTGCCTCCTGGGTTCAAGGAATTCTCCTGCCTCAGCCTCCCGAGTGGCTGGGATTACAGGTGCGTACCACCACACCCAGCTAATTTTTGTATTTTTAGTAGAGACGGGGTTTCGCCATGTTGGCCAGGCTGGTCTCGAACTCCTGACCTTGTGATCCACCTGCCTCGGTCTCCCAAAGTGCTGGGATTACAGGCGTGAGCCACCGCGCCTGGCAAGCCACCATTTTTCAAATGGCCTCTTCCCCAATCTTTTTATGATCACTTCAGTCCTGGGAGAAACCAAGGCTCAGGATGGACTGGGGCAGCTCCAAACCCTTCCAATAAGGAAGGTCCCAGGCACCTAGGGCCACAAAGAGCAAGTCGCAGAACTTTGTCGCAGAACTTCTCGCTCGAGAGGATTAAAATGGGTCTGGTCGGGTGCCTGTAGTCCCAGCTACTTGGGAGGCTGAGGCAGGAGAATTGTTTGAACCTGGGAGGCAGAGGTTGCAGTGAACAGAGATCATGCCACTGCAGTCCAGCCTGGGAAACAGAGCGAGACTCCATCTCATAGATAGATAGATAGATAGATAGATAGATAGATAGATAGATAGATAGATGATAGATAGATAAGATAGATAGATAGCCTGGTGTGGGTGGCCTATGGCTGTATTCTATGTTACTTGTCGGTCCACCTCTTCCTCCTGTTCCCCGCTTCTGTGGGTTGCCAGGGTCCAGCACAGTGATGTGAATTTCACCGGAGAATCACCAGAGGGTTAGAGAGATGGACCAGGGCAGGGCCCAAGGGAAAGGCTGCCCAGGAGGGGTCAGGACCAGCAAGATACGAGAGGAGTGAAGTGGCGTAGGTTGAAAGGCGGAAGGGCGGGCCCCTAAGGCTGGGTCCAAACGAGGAGGCTGCGGAAGGGAAAGTGTTATTGGACTGGGCAGAGCAGCTGGTGGGCCCGACGGATAGACATACACTGCCAGCCCGGAGTGGAAAGAACAGTTTGTGCTGTGCTTTATTAAAATGTGCATCATTCTTTTATTTTAAAATGTGCATCATTGTCTCGTGCTCGGCGCATGCGACCTCAGCGTGGTGGCCCGCTGGGGGCCTCGTTCCCGCCCAGCTCCCGCGGAGCCGCAGGGAGCAGGCGCACTCACGTGGCGCGGGCCCGGGGGCTCCCGCCCATGGCGAGGTAGACGTCGATGGGCACGTGCAGCAGCGTCAGGCAGTGGCATCCAGGGCAGCGACGAAGCGGCCTGGGGAAATTGACGCGCGACAGGGGCCGCTGAGGCAGGGGCTTGGCCCATCCTGTGGGGCGCACCCAGGGAGTGCACCTGGGGTCCCCGGGGGTCCGGACGTGGATGCGGGGTCCTGACTGCTGGGGGCGCCAAGTGGGACGGAGGGCGGGGCCGCGGGACGGGCGGAGGCGGGGGTGGGGCGCGGGCCTTACCTGACCGGGTTGTGCTCCGTCGCTACCGCCTCCGGGCTGTCCTGGGACTCGGGGGCGGCGGCAAGGCCACGGGAGTCTCCGGCCTCAATGGGGAATCTCCGACCCTGCGGGGGCTCCTGGGCGCTCATGTCCAAGCCCCGGGGCGCTCTGCGCGGGGAGTGGCGGTCAGGCCTCTCCCGGGTCGCCGGGCGCCGCCGCCTCGCGCCCGCCCCCTGGGCCGTCGCTCACCTCCCGGCGGTTGAGACCGGTCCCAGGCTAGAAGCAGCTGCCGGAGCCCTGGCCGCGGGAGAACGCTCCGGTCCAGGCGGAGCCGGGCAGGTCTCTGTGGCGTGCCCGGGCCCGGGCGTCGAGGAGGGCAGCATTGTGACCCGGGCCGCGGCGCGCTGACCTCACAGAGCACGTTCCTCCCACTGGAGAACCCCCAACGGTGCCCCCTGCCGCCCCTGGCACTCAGCGCGGGCCAGAATCGGGGACTGGAGGCCTCTGGCCATGGCGCCTGGAGACGGGGTCGCGCAGACCCCGGACACCCGAGGGGGGCGCAGCAGGCCAGGGCAACCCGCCGCGAGGCGGCGTCCACGCCGAGGAGCCGCGCATTCCCGGTCCACACAGACGCGGCGGAGCGCCCTCCCAGGCGGGACTACAACTCAATGCCTGGCACGGGGGCGGGCTCGGCGGTGACTTAATCCGGGCTGAGTTTGGTGGTGGTAGTGAGGGCAGGTAGGGGCACTGCCCATTTTGGCCAAGGGTCACACAGCATCTACATCACAATTGCACCGGAGTTTAAAAATGTCTGGCCCTGTCCCTCCCCACCACCCGCCGCTGTGTCCAGACAGAGAATGTTCTAACGCTGGGGGCGGCTGCGGATGAAGTCCTTGGGGAGAAAAGGAGCAGGCCAAGGGCGATGGTGGAGTAGAGCTGCCTCTCAGAGGCAGCATGAGCTGAGAGGGTGATAGGAAGGCGGCGCTAGACAGCATGGAGGACTTTCTGCTCTCCAATGGGTACCAGCTGGGCAAGACCATTGGGGAAGGGACCTACTCAAAAGTCAAAGAAGCATTTTCCAAAAAACACCAAAGAAAAGTGGCAATTAAAGTTATAGACAAGATGGGAGGGCCAGAAGGTGAGCCGGGGCCCCTTTGGAGGGAAGGAGGGAGGACTGGCTGAGGTGGGTGGGTGCTTCCTCCTGTTTGTTAGAACGATCATTCGATCATTCCCTGCTCCCGCTGGCCTGGAACCAAGCAAGCCCGATGGCAGCTCTGGAGTGGGTCAGTGGGGAACAGAGGGGTTCTGGGAGTCCAGGAACATTACACCCCCCCAGAATGCAAGATGAAAGTGGCATGAGGTGAAGGATCCTCAGAGGCAAAACCTGAGCCAGGCTTTCCTTTCCGGCAGGGGAACAGAGACTGGCAGAGGCCACAACCAGGGCTGGTAGAGAACAGGGGCTGGTGCCAAGGCCCGTGGAGATGGGAAAAAGGAAGACAGGGCTCATGGAAAGAATTGTGGGGTCAGGGGACAGTGGCGGGAGGAGCTGGCTCACCACCCTGTGGACAAATCAGGCCTTATAATTTGTGATTCTGTGGCTTTGTCTAAAAGTCCCTAAAGCACCTTGATATCCAGTCTCACAGACTGCTCACAACAGTCCACAAGGCTGGTGGGGAGTGCTTCTTTTGAATGATATACTAACGACAAAAATAATAGAAGTGAACATTCTTTGCAATGTCCAAGCAGCTAGACACACTTAAGACCATTAAGAAAGCCAAGAAATAAGACCCAGACAAGGTGGGCAGAAGTTGGAAGGCAGGAGACAGGTGTGAGGAGGTGGGCCTTTCTGATCTGCCAGCCCATCTCTCCTCCCCTTACTTCCTCAGAGTTTATCCAGAGATTCCTCCCTCGGGAGCTCCAAATCGTCCGTACCCTGGACCACAAGAACATCATCCAGGTGTATGAGATGCTGGAGTCTGCCGACGGGAAAATCTGCCTGGTGATGGAGCTCGCTGAGGGAGGGGATGTCTTTGACTGCGTGCTGAATGGGGGGCCACTGCCTGAAAGCCGGGCCAAGGCCCTCTTCCGTCAGATGGTTGAGGCCATCCGCTACTGCCATGGCTGTGGTGTGGCCCACCGGGACCTCAAATGTGAGAACGCCTTGTTGCAGGGCTTCAACCTGAAGCTGACTGACTTTGGCTTTGCCAAGGTGTTGCCCAAGTCACACCGGGAGCTGAGCCAGACCTTCTGCGGCAGTACAGCCTATGCTGCCCCCGAGGTGCTGCAGGGCATTCCCCACGATAGCAAAAAAGGTGATGTCTGGAGCATGGGTGTGGTCCTGTATGTCATGCTCTGTGCCAGCCTACCTTTTGACGACACAGACATCCCCAAGATGCTGTGGCAGCAGCAGAAGGGGGTGTCCTTCCCCACTCATCTGAGCATCTCGGCCGATTGCCAGGACCTGCTCAAGAGGCTCCTGGAACCCGATATGATCCTCCGGCCTTCAATTGAAGAAGTTAGTTGGCATCCATGGCTAGCAAGCACTTGATAAAAGCAATGGCAAGTGCTCTCCAATAAAGTAGGGGGAGAAAGCAAACCCAAAAACCCGCTTCTAAAATGGTGATATATATTTTACGCTTTAAGTTTACTTATCCTAAAACTTACCTACATCTACCCCAGCCTTACTACTACTCTTTCCTTTTAGAGATCTTCATGGAATCAAAGGGCCTCATTCAGACTTCCTTTTTTTTTTTTAAGAGTCTTGCTCTGTCGCCCAGGCTGGAATGCAGTGGCACGATTCCAGTTCACTGCAACTCTGCTTCCCAGGTTCAAGCGATTCTCCTGCCTCAGCCTCCCCAGTAGCTGGGATTACAGGCACCTCCCACCACGCCTGGCTATTTCTGTATTTTTAGTAGAGATGGGGTTTCACCATGTTGGCCAGGCTGGTCTGGAACTCCTGACCTTAGTGATCCACCCACCTTGGCCTCCCAAAATGTTGGGATTACAGGCATGAGCCACTGCGCCTGGCATGACAAGTGATTTTCATACTAAAGTTAATTAAAATAGACCCAAGAATCATATACAAACAGGGGGAAGAGAGGATAAAAATGACCAAGAGCAACTGAAGCCATTCTTGTTGCAACTTCCTTTCCAAAGGAAAGCAGAGGCACTGGGAGTGCAGAGATGGCCTCCCGACTCCTTGTCCCAGTGAGAGGCCTGTTGCGAGCCCTGACCCTTTCTCATCCCAAAGGCAAAGCTGAATCTGGGATGAGGACAAGGTACGTCCTCTGGACCTAGGCTATCCCCCTACCCTGTCTCTGGCTCCAAGTGGGAAGCCAGTCCTGCCCTGGCCCAGTGCAGCTGCCAAGGGGACAAAAACAGACCCCCAGACACCTTTCAGCTTCGGGTGAATCACTTTAATGCTGTTAACGGCAAGTCTGTAAAAGGTTCAGGACAAAGTTCTTTTTTCTTTCTTTTTTAATTATAAAACTAACAGCTGTTAGAATCTTTTTTTCTTTTTTTCCTTTTTTCTTTTCCCAGCTACAAAATACTCTGGGGAGATGCATTATAATTTAAAATATATAATATTGCACAAACAACCAAAAGGTTAATTAAACTAAAGAAATAATTACAAAGAGAAAAACCCCATCCCGTCAAAAAAAAGATTCAGCATTCTCTCCATCCCACCCCCTCACTGAAGGTTTGAAGTGGAAGTGACCTCACTCTCTCGGTGTCCCTGACCCACGATCCCTTTCACTCATTGGTGAGCACACCAGATTAGGTACAAGAATCACCAGAGCAGCATCGTGAAGCACCAGGCTCTCCAGAGATTCCTGCAGCCCCTCATTCCCCCAGAGGTGCAGCTTTACCAGAGTGGAGGGTGAGAGCACAAAGGCTGGGTCTGTCTTCAGGAAGAAGAGCTTTTGCAGAAGCCTGATGAGAGTTTCAAGTTCACCCCCAGGATAGCCCTTCCAGAAGCAGAAGGGCTGAGGCGGAGAAGCTAGGCTTACCAGAGTTGTAAGTACTCGGCTTTGATCACCGCTCTGTACCGCTGGTAGCTGTTTTGTGTCCTAAACTACAGGGGAGTTGAGGTGGGTAGCTGGTTGGACAAGGTATCCTGCCAGGCAACACACAGAAGGGCCTGAAGTAGCCCCCTCCCTTCTTGGGGAGGGGAAGAAACGCAAGAGCGAACTCCTGCAGGTGGCACAGCTGGGCTAAGGACTTGGGTGCATCCGACATGAAGAAGCCCTGGGAAGGCATGGGGACAGACCAGCGTGGGCTGGAGGAAAGGAAGGAGGTGGGTCAGGGTTTGGTCTCTGGATTCTGAACCCCAAAGGAGCCTTTCCAGGAATGGAAAATGCCTGGGAGGGGGAGAGTCCCAAGAGAGGCAAATTTCCCAGAGATAAGTGCCTCTTACCCACTGGGATAGGAACCAAAATGTGTTCACTGTCCCTGTTTAGCCAAGGGTAGGTGGCATGGCCCTCCCTGCCTGCTTATGTATGGACAGAGTATGTTGTCTCAGCTTCCTCCGAGAGAGACTGGTGGTTTAGCTTCTGTCTACACAGGCAGAAGGGCTAGAACTATCCCTTGGGACTTCCCAGCAGGAGTCCTCAGGAACAGTGGGTGTTCAGCAGAAAAACACAGGCTCTTCTGGTGAGGAGGATAGGTTTCCTCTCCCTTGGGTCATCCTATTGTTGGCACAAGTCAGAGTTTCTGGCCGGGATTTAGAGAGCCCCTTCCCAGGTGTGAGCAGAGGCCCAAGAGGGCCAGCAGGGAGCCACCAGAATCTGTGCCCAGAGCTCTGGTTGGCAGAGGAGATTTGGGGGAACATTCTCAGTCTTCCAGGGCTGGGCTGAGACGAGCGAGGGAGGCGAGAGATGCCATGGGTGGGGGAGCTGCTCCCTCTGGCTCCCTCACTCCCAGTCCTCCCACTCTACATCTTCCAGCTGCAAATGGGAGGGGGTAATGGAAATCACAAACACATAGTTACTCCTGAGTCAGGCCCAGACCTAACCTCCACTTGCTGAGCAGAGCCACCTCCCATCCCCTACCCCAGGCCATACTCTGAGGTCCCACTGAGAGTGAACCCCTAGTCTTAAGGAATGTGTCTGAGGGGCAGAGCTGCCCTCTGCCTGAGGGGTGGGCCTGATGCTCTGATTACCTCAGACCTAAAGGAAACACTTCCCCCAACCAACACCAGACACCACAAGGTGATGGCTGCCTACAGGAACCAAGTCAGCCTCAGTCCTTTAAGGAGAACTTGCCTCCTGCTGAGCAGATAATGCCATGGCTCTGAGAAGCAGAGAACTCAGGAGGCCTGAGCAGATACTTGGCCCTGGACACAAAAGACCAGTGTAATCAAGGGCAAGTTACTTAGTCTTTGGGTGAATGGAGGCCACTGCCTGAGTGGCACTGTGGCCAAAAGCAGAGGTGGCAGTGGCCTACAGATGCCCACTAGGTCTTCACTAGGGGCACCAACACCCTAATTCCCAGCTCAAGTCTCCCCACGGAACGTTTTCTTGCTTTGTTCCTACTCTTGGCCTGCTGTCGGCTAAGCCCTGGTATAGCAGGTTCTAGAATGCTCACGTGTACTGCACGTCAGGTTTTAAAGGGGGCTGCAAAGACACAAAAAGCCAGCAAGCCCCTGTGGCCTGACAGGGCACTATGGGCTTTCTCTGTCCTGGGTATAGTGAGGTAGTCACAAGTGCAAAATACTCCTGAGTAGGTAAAATACTCCCCCAAGGCTTCAGTTTCCCATCATGAAAAAGGAGGCCCTTCACATGTCTCTCTAATCTGTCCACCTCTTTCTAACAGGCTCATAAGTTACATGATGGAAGGACTCATGTGGTTCTTATGTGACAGTGGAACTAACGCTGACATGAATCAGATGTCTGGGTTGCAGCCTCAGTCCTGTCACTTATTAGCTGGGAGAGCTTTGGACTGTTCCAGCCTCTCAATCTAAATGAGCCACTTTTGATTCTGAGAGGTAGTGAAGAATAACAGTACTAAGGCCTCCTTGAGCTTAATAACTGGAATGGGTTTTGTGGGGTTTATCACTAATGTCTCCTGAGTGCTGGTCACCATGTCTCAGGCAATAGCCCTAAGGTGTCTACATGGATCACCTCATTACAGCTTATAGCCAGGTCTTATAATGATCAATTCCATGTTTTAGATGAGGAACCAGGGGCTCAGGTTAAGTAACTTGCCCTTGCCCTTGATCACACTGGTCTTTTGTCTCCAAGGCCAAGTATATACTCAGGCCTCATACCTGAGGACCACAACTCAGAAGGTCAGGCAGGGTTTGATGTCTGTTTTCTTTTTTCCTTTTTTTTTTTTTTTCAAAAACAGAAATGGGGTCTCACTATATTGGCCAGGCTGGTCTTGAACTCCTCGCCTCAAGCAATCCTCCCACCTTGGCCTCCCAAAGTGTTGGGATTACAGGTGTGAGCCACCGCGCTCAGCATGACATCTGTTTTCTTAAGCAGTTTCTCAGGCAATTTTGATACAGAGCTAAGGTCAAGAACTTGACCCTCTATCCACCCTGGAACTGAGGAAAAGTGCAGCCTGCTGATGACCAATGTTGTGGGTCTGAGCAGGAAGCTCCAGCTCCTTTCCCACCACCTGTCACCTCAGACAGGAGCAGGGACCCTCCTGAGGGGACAGCTGGGCTGGCTGGGGAGAGCTCTCACACCCAGGACCATTAGGCTCGCTTCCCTCTGACCCACCAGGCCCACTCACCTCCCCGGAGGCATCCACTTTGGAAAGTGCCATCTGCACCTCCTCTTCAGTCATGTCCAAGTCAAAGTCTTTCTCCCAGTCCTCACTGATGTCCGTGCTTGAGCCTGGAACCACGAGCCACAGTGTGAAAAGCAGGAGGAGGCAGGGAAGGGGCACCTGAAGAGGGTGTAGCTGGGGAGATAGCATGCTTCAAAAGGGTCTCACAAATACACAAGTCTTTACATTTTGTGTTCACTCTGGCGCACCAATCGTACTTTTTTTTTTTGTTTTCTTAGATGGAGTCTTGCTGTCACCCAGGCTGGAGTGCAGTGGTGTGATCCCGGCCCACTGCAACCTCTGCTTCCCAGGTTCAAGCGATTCTCCTGCCTCAGCCTCCCAAGTAGCTGGGACTACAGGCGCACGCCCCACACACCTGGCTAATTTTTGTATTTTTAGTAGAGACGGGGTTTCACCATGTTGGCCAGGCTGGTTTCAAACTCCTGACCTCAATGATCTGGCCACCTCGGCCTCCCAAGGTGCTGGGATTATAGGTGTGAGCCACCGCACCTGGCCCCCACTTTTAAGAATCTATTCTAAGGAAAAATCTTGGATTCAGTCAGAAATTTAGCAAAGAGTGTTCACTGCAGTGCTGTCATAGTGATGGAAACCTAGAAACAATCTGAAAGCCCACTGACAGGGAATTAGACAAGTAAACAGTGAGTTACATGGTGGAACACTGTAGGCTGTTAGAGGTTAGGCTGGAGAAGAACTTCACATCCATGCCAAACAGCCTTAAACTATTACCTCGGAAAAGGCAGGTTACTAAAGAGCGGAGAAGCACTTTGGCCCAGAGGCTCCAAGAGAGTCACAGAAATCTTCCAGAGGAAATCAACAGTGAACTGAGACCTTGTCTCTAGAAAAAAATTTAAAAATTAGCCAGGCATGGTAGTACACACCTAAGGAGTCCCAGCTACTCAGGAGGCTGAGGTGTGGTGATCACTTGAGCCCAGGAGTTCAAGGCTGCAGTGAGCTATGATCATGCCACTGCAGTCCAGCCTGTTGACAGTGCAAAACCCTGTCTCTAAAGAAAACAAAAACCTCCCCTCGGACCCCCAAACAGTAGACCTCTTCTTCCTCACTCCATTCTGCCCACACTAATCTTGTTCCTCCAGAAACATACCAGGCGCATTCCCAACTTAGGGCTTTTGCATGGGCTGTTCCCTGCACCTGGAACTCGTATCCTCAGATATCTACAAGACCAACTTTTCACCTCCTTCATGCCATTGCTCAAATCGTACCTTCTAGATGTGGCCTACACTGACCATCCTAGTTTAAAGAGCAACCCATCATCACCCTCACTCTGCTCTAGTTGTTCTTTTTTTTCTGAGACAGAGTCTCGCTCTGTCACCCAGGCTGGAGTGCAGTGGCACGATCTCAGCTCCCTGCAACCTCCGCCTCCTGGGTTCAAGAGATTCTCTTGCCTCAGCCTCCTGAGTAGCTGGGATTACAGGCACCTGCCTGGTACCACATCCAGCTAATTTTTGTATTTTTACTTATTTATTTATTTTTTGAGACGGAGTCTCGCTCTGTTGCCCAGGCTGGAGTGCAGTGGCGCGATCCTAGCTCACTGCAACCTCTGCCTCGCAGGTTCAAGTGATTCTCCTGCCTCAGCCTCCTGAGTAGCTGAGATTACAGGGGCATGCCACCATGCCTGGATAATTTTTGTATTTTTAGTAGAAACGGGGTTTCACTATGTTGGCCAGGCTGGTCTCAAACTCCTGACCTTAGGTGATCCGCCTGCTTTGACCTCCCAAAGTACTGGGATTATAGGCGTGAGCCACTGCGCCTGGCTCTGGATTGTTCTTTTTCCCATTGTAGTGATCACTTTCTAACATATTACATAATCAGACTTAATATGTTTATTGTATATTAATAGAGGAGTTAGAATATAAGCCCTGTGAGTGCCAGGATCTTTTGTTTTGTTCTCTTATGTATTTCAAGTTTTTAGAACACATAGTTGGCACTCAATAGTCACAGACCCTTTCTGTAAACCAGGGGTTGGCAAACTATGGCCCAGGGATCAAATCTAGCCATGTCGCCGGGCGTGGTGGCTCACGCTTGTAATCCCAGCACTTTGGGAGGCCGAGACAGGTGGATCACGAGGTCAGAAGATCGAGACCACCCTGGCTAATGTGGTGAAACCCCATCTCTACTAAAAATACAAAAAATTAGCTGGGGGTGGTGGCAAGCGCCTGTTAGTCCCAGCTACTCGGGAGGCTGAGGCAGAAGAATCGCTTGAACCCGGGAGGCAGAGCTTGCAGTGAGCCAAGATCCCGCCATTGCACTCCAGCCTGGGTGACAGAGTGAGACTCCGTCTCAAAAAAAAAAAAAAAAAAAAAAAAAAAAATTCTAGCCATGTCACATCATTTGTTTACATACTGTCTATGGCTGCTTTCATGCTGCAAGAGCGGAGATGAGTAATTTTGACTGCATGGCCCAAAAAGCCTAAAATATTTATGGTCTGGTCCTATACAGAAAAAGCTTACCACCCTCTGCTCTAGATGATTCTGATGCCTGTCTGTACTATTTGATGATCATTGCTCTAAACATTCATATTTGGCTATGACTTCTTACAGGTAATATTAAAAAGATATATATAAAAGTTATTACTAAGAAGTAAACTACACAAATAGTTCCTTTCAATAAAGCATGTACAGTAAGATTCCAGCTTTAAAATGTGCCCATAGATGCATGCACACATGCAGAAGAGATGAGCAAGATATCCAAATACACTAGCAAAGTTATCTCTAGGTGATGAGTTCATGAGGTGATTTTCCTTAATTTTTTTCCTAAAATGAACACATACGACTTTGTAATCTTTTTTTTTTTTTTTTTTTTTTTATTTGAGATGGAGTCTCACTCTCGCCCAGGCTGGAGTGCAGTGGCACAATCTCGGCTCACTGCAAGCTCTGCCTCCTGGGTTCACACCATTCTCCTGCCTCAGCCTCCTGAGTAGCTGGGACTACAGGCGCCCGCCACCACGCCCGGCTAATTTTTTATATTTTTAGTAGAGATGGGGTTTCACCGTGTTAGCCAGGATGGTCTCGATCTCCTGACCTCGTGATCTGCCCGCCTCGGCTTCCCAAAGTGCTGAGATTACAAGCGTGAGCCACCGCACCCAGCCTGTAGTCTTTTTTTTTAAGTACCTTTAAAAAGAGTGGGTCCCTGATCCTCCAACGGCATGACCAGTAAACATCTCCGTTTCTTCTTCTCCGACCTACTCCTCACCAGATGCCTCCGCGCTGAGACCTACCCCTCAGCCCCGCTCCCACATTCCTTCTATGGTATCCTGCATCATCCTCTCTTCTAGCCAGAGCATGGTCTCTGGGGCCAGGCAGACCTGGGTTGAATACCTACTCCTTTACTGTGTAGTCTTGGGCAAATTATTGTTGGCTTCAGTCTATTTATAAAATATGGATAAAAGCAACCTCTGCAAAGAACCACTGGAGAAGCGTATTAAAATACAGACTCCTACCCTGCCCACCCCCAGTCCCAACTAAGACTCAGCAGGTCTAGCTGGTGGCTGGGAAGGCTGCATTATAAGCAGGTACCTGTGTGTTCTGTGTAGACCTGGCCCTGCCGTTTGAGAAACAATGGTGTTAGAATTAGAGGTATGAATGTAAAGTGCCTATTACATACATACACATGGCTATGTAATGAATGGTGCTGCCTTTCTTCTAAGGGCCTTGTCTCAGAGTTATGTCATTCTGTACACGGTACCTCAGGAAGTCAGGGCAGCCAAGACCCAGCTCTTCTGACTCTGCACCTACATCCCTCTGTGCCTTCAGGACACTTAGGTGACATTCATCTGGCTGTCACCACAGGCTTCCTGTGGGTTAGCCAGACTCTTCGCTGCTTCCTCACTTCAGGGCTTTGGTTGTGGCCATGACAGCTTTCCCTAACCTCAGGTTGCCCTCTAGGGACTTGAAACTGTCTCTTCAGGCTTAAATGCTATGGCAGAACCTTTCAGGGGTAGAGAACAGAGTATCCACTAACATTTCTGGAATATTCCACATCTAGCTCTTGGGTGGGTATTAACAGTCCCAGTATACGGATGAGGAAATGAAGGCTTCAGGTGGTGCAGGGAGCTGTGAAGCTGGGTTCTCTCTGCCATCTGCCTCCTTCCACCGTCCTACCCTGTCACACAAGGAGAGCACTAAGATCTCCATTACAATGTGCATGTGGCAGAGAGGTGGCCTATGCTACAATTTAAGACTTCAGAATGGAGTTCTACTGGTTTGGTTTTGAAAATGGAAGTTTTCGGGTGATTGCTAACTTTGTAGTGCTGTCACTCACAGCTCATTTTATTCTGTTTAATCGGCTCTCTGCTTCCCCAGTTAAGAAATAGAGGCAAAACTGCTCTTAGGTCACACGGTCATGAAGTGAGGTCTTAACCTCCAGGCTCCTTCCAGGCCACAGGCCTGCCCCAATCTCTCCTCCCCTTCTCTGCAGAAAGAAGTCCAGTCTCTCAGAACAGACGAATGCTGTGACAAAACATAGGTGGAAAGCAGCTCTGCGATGACAGGGATCACCCTGGGAACCAGTAAAACCCTTTGGCTAGGGTACCCCAAGAGACTCTGCTATACCCAGAGACCAAGCCTTATGTCACCCTAGGACTTGGGCCCAACAGGAAAAAGGAGTCACTTTGTCTCCAAGCCCCCATTCTTCTTTTTATTTCTTCTACTCTGTTCCCACTGTTCCAGCCTAGTCCAAGACTCTGGCTTCCTCCCACCTGACTACGGTTGTTTCTTGTGAGTCTTCTATAGCACATCCTCAGCCTCTCCTTTCACAGGCCCTGAGGGCAGCAGAGGCAGCATAGCAGAGTAGTTAAGAGCTTATGTTTACCTCTCCTGTAATTTCAATTCCATCCAGTCTCCAACCACTACTGATTTTTTCTGATCACCCTTTGTAGCCCAATTCCAAATGAAACCTATAATTTGTAACCCTCCAACTGTTTCACTATCCCTCATTCTCTCCCGTACTCAGCTCAGATTCCATGAGGCATCATTCTTATCACTTCTTGCATATACTTTCTTTTCTTTCCTATTTTTTTGAGACAGGGTCTCAGCTCTGTCACCCAGGCTGGAGGGCAGTGCAGCAATCTCAACTCACTGCAGCCTCAACCTCCCCACTCAGGTGATCCTCCCACCTCAGCCTCCCGAGTAGCTGGGACTACAGGCACGTGCCACCACATCTGGCTAATTTTTTGTATTTTCTGTAGAGATGGGGTTTCATCACAATGCCAGGGCTGGTCTTAAACTCCTGGGCTCAAGCGATCCACCTGCCTCAGCCTCCCTTAAGTACTGCAATTATAGGTGTGAGCCACTGTGCCCAGCGGACTTTCTTCTTTTCATCAACTGATTTTACCTGGCTAAACTTGAACCTAATTAGATCCAACTCCCCATCTGCTCTGTTCCTGCACCTGAGCAACTGAATATGGCTGAACAAAAATACAACATGTTGATGGTCTCACTTAAAACCTACAATCACAACCTCAGTGGGCCCTGGGACCATCCACCCAGCAACCCTATTACACCTGTCAGGCCCACCACCTACTCCTCCCTCTTCTACAGGACTATTTCACACTGAAATATTTACTGGGTGGGTCACTGATCTCAGGTTCCTACCACTAGAAATATGAGAAAAAGTACACAGATCTCACAGGGCTTTTGTAAGGATTGAGTAATATGCATATTACTGTGCATATGCATCTGTGCTTAGCACAGATCTAGACACAGAGAAAGTGCTCAGAGAATGTTACCTCTATTTTCATTTCCCCAAAGCAGGGCTCTACTTAATTCTGCTCTGACTGAGGATCTATCATGAAACAATTATCCCGTTTATGGAGGAGCAAACAAAGGCTTAGAGAAGATTAGTAATCTTTCTGAAGTCACATGACTTATGAACAAAGTTGGGATTTGAACCCAGAACTGTCTGAACTCCAGAACCCACAGCCTTAGCATCCATGCTCTGCTGCTTTATGGCCCCAAGGCCAACCTTCTGAATCCAGCTTAAGGTTTTAAATTCTGAAGTTCTATTTCTGAGTCAACCCACTCACCCTTCTTGTACCTCCTTCTCCTGGGAGAGAATACAGAAGAGTGGGTTTAGGTCACCGCGCCTTAAACATGCCCCATGCCCTTTGCTAGCTAGTCTTTGTAGGCCTCCTCAGCTTAGACTACCACTCCCCTGCACCTGCCCCAAACTCACCAACTCTCCTATACGAGGCTTGTCTCCTCAGTGAAGCACCGCAGATGTCCAGAGATTCCTTCTTTCTCTGAACTCCTCCAGTACCAGACTGGCCCACCCTGCTTTATGCTTCCTCACAAAGGCTGCGGCTTCTGCCCCTCTCCCACTCAGTGTCTCATAAAGAACAGGTAGGAGCTCAGGCCGGGCACGGTGGCTCACGCCTGTAATCACAGCACTTTGGGAGGCCGAGGCAGGCAGATCACAAGGTCAGGAGATCGAGACCATCCTGGCTAACACAGTGAAACCCCATCTCTACTAAAAATACAAAAAATTAGCCGGGCATGATAGCATGCGCCTGTAGTCCCAGCTACTCGGGAGGCTGAGGCAGGAGAATGGCGCGAACCTGAGAGGCGGAGGTTGCAGTGAGCCGAGATCGCGCCACTGCACTCCAGCCTAGGCGACAGTGAGACTCCGCCTCAAAAAAAAAACAATAAAAACCAGGTAGGAGCCCAATGGATGACCTCATTGATCAAAGTCAGAAGGGAGACACTGGGTTGGAGACTGGAAACTCTATGGTTTCCATCAGGGAATAGGTTAGGGGTGGGGTGGGGTCCATTTCCCATCCACTGTGGCAAACCAGTCCCTTACTACACCAGCAGGCCAGGCCTTACCTGCTGGGCAAGCTTTGTGGCTGTGGCTGGTGCTGAGTGTTAGCAAAGACAGGAGGATGTGTGTGTGAAGTGTACAGGTGGTGGGGGGACTGGAGGGGGGGTTCTTAGTGATAATCAGCCGTCCCTGAAGTGGTATTTTGGATGTGGCAAAAAGGCTGACTGACACCAAGGCTATCCTTGTCCTTTAATTCCTGCAGTTACAGAGGTTGCTCTTTGACATAAACTCAGAGTCTCCAGTCTAAAATTCCATTACACAGATAAGAAACTGAAGCTCCATTACTCAAGCTGGGTCGCTGTAAATTCATGGGTGTTCATTATTTCTTCTTTAAACTGTAGGTATGAGTTTTGTTTATATATTTCATAATAACGAAGGCTTGGGGAAGCTGAATGACTTTCCTAAGGTTACACAGGAAGAAGACCCTTAACATCAATGTCACTGGGATTCCCAAGCCAGGGTAAGGTTAAATTGTCCAAAAAGATAGAAATTGGCACAGTGTGCTAGTTAAGGGCATGGGCTTGGAGTCAGACAGCCCTGGGTCTGAATCTGGGCCTCCTGGCCATGTGAACTTGGGCAAGTTACCTAATATTTTTGGGCCTCACTTTTTTTCATTTGTAAAATGAGGACAATAATACTGAGAAATTAGGTGCCATATAACATATTTAGCATGGGATCTGGCATCAAACTTGTTTTGTTGACTCTTAAGATGCCAACAATTGAAGATGCATTCTTATTTCAGAGATGTTGTGCAACTTAGAATGAAATATGTTAGCAAATAGTCAATATATAGCAGCTGTCATCATTATCAGAAACGAAAAAAAATCTGCTCATAGTATCCTAACAAGGGACAAGGAGACAAATCTGCCTCAGGAGGTGGCCCTGACCGCACACAACCCTCTGGGCTTGGACCTCCAGACCTACCTTTCTTTCCATTGTTGGAGGGTGTAGACTTCCCACTATCCGAGTTCAGCTCAAACACCCGTAAGTCTGTGGGCGCCTCCTCCCTCAGAGTCTCTACTCTGGCTGGAGGCCTGGGCTCTGGGCCGCCGGTGTGGCCAGCAGGCGTTAGGGGCTTGGAGTGAATAGGGGGTGAGGGTCCAGTCTCACCCACATCCACAGCCAGGCCCTGTTCCTCCAAGGATGCCTCTAGCAGCTTTTGGGACAGGTCCTTGGGTAGCACTCGTGCCTCAGGTGCAGTGGCCGGGTTGGCGATCTGTGTCACGAGGGAGATGCTCTCACTGCTCTCTGATGGAGTCACCTCTGCTGGGGGCTCAACTGAAGTCACCAGATTCTCTTCACAGGGGCTCTGGGGGCCAGGTTCTCCTTCAGGGAATGTAGAAATTTTGGCCACAGGAACCTTTGCCTCTTTTGGAGATATGGGTGAAATGCCCATGAGCTCCTCTGTAGAGAGAGAAAGGGAGGGGCAAGAGGGAAATGTAACCTGGCCAGCCATAAGACAACCTTGGAGCTCTCAAGTTCCTGCCAAAGTGTACTCTGATCAAGACTCAAGCCGGGCATGGTGGCTCACACCTGTAATCCCACCACTTTGGGAGGATGAGGCGGGTGGATCACCTGAGGTCAGGAGTTTTTGAGACCAGCCTGGCCAACACGGTGAAACCCCATCTCTACTAAAAATACAAAAAATATTAGCTGGGTGTGGTGGCACGTGCCTGTAATCCCAGCTACTTGGGAGGCTGAGGCAGGAGAATCGCTTGAACCCGGGAGGCGGTGGTTGCAGTGGGCGGAGATTGCGCCACTGCACTCCAGCCTGGATGACAGAGTGAGACTCTGCCTCAAAACGAAAAAAAAAAGACTCAATAGTGTCATTCAGCTCACCCCTTCGCCATCACAACGCTTCTGCAGACAGTCCCTGCTAGTCAAAGTCCTGTTTAGCCCTGGGGCCTAATGCCTGGTGGGCTTCCAGCAATGCAGTCCAAGGGGCTGTTATGGATTAGAAAGCCAAGGCTCAGAAGTGAGTCAGTTTTGGGTTCAGGTTGGACTCTGCTACATCCTAGGTGTATGATTGGGCAAGCCACCTAACTTTTAACTTACTCTTAACTTACTTTTATCCTTAAGAGGGGTAATGGGGTTGTGGTAAGGACTCTGTGTAGAGCTCTTAGGGCAGCCTGGACATATGGTGTAAACAAGAAATGCGTTAATATTATATCATCCAGAAGGCTTCAACATGCTGTTCTAAGCTGAGCTACAGGTAGAAGATGCTCAGCTCCCTCCCTAACTCAGTGGTTCCCAAACCAGCCTGGGCATTAATATTACCAGGGAACTTGTTTAAAATACATGTCTGGCCGCATCTTTACAGTCTTCTTTAGAAGGTGGGGAAAGGAATCTGGATTTTCAAGAAGCTCCCCAGTGACTAAGCGGCAGCTGGTTCATGGGCTGGCAGGGGAATCTACACCAACTGACACATGTGATTTCTGTAGCTAAATCGGAATTCCACTAGCCTTGTTCAATATCCCCTTGTTAGCTCCGCCTATCCTCACACATACAATGTGCTTGTTCCCTACTCTTCCCTGATGGGCACCAAGTCTCTCCAGGCTTCAGAGAGCATGGCCCAGCCCAGAGCGTCCCGCACAGATGTGACACTTGCCCCTCACCTCTCAACGCCTCTTACCTTCCTCCTCCTCCCAGCCGGGCTCTTCAGAGATGCTCTGTTCCGCCCGCTGCTTCAGGGCGTCCCTCCGGGCCTGCTCCTGAATGTGGGGGAGCAGAAGGCCACAGGCAGTCAGGGCACCCTCTTCCTAGACCCTGGTCCTGATCCCACAACTCTTGGCACCCTGTATCCCTTTCTTCTCTCAATAAATCCAGCCTGCTTCCCCCAGGGTTGAGTGGGGACCTCCCCATGCTAGACCAGCATACCTGCTCTAACTGATGGACTTTATAGAAATACCGATGCCAGAATTCTGAATGGGAAACAGCTGCTGGAACCTGGAGGGAGGGGAAAATGGAGGTGAGACTTTGGGAGTGTTTGTGTGGGGTCTGTGTCCCCAGCCTTATCAGTCTATTCCCAGCCAGTCTGGATTTCAGACCCAGTAAGTGGCTTAGCAGTGACAGTCAGAGCACTTCCACCCCCACCAAAGTTTCAGCCAGACCCACCTTCCTAGTCCGGGTTGGCCAAGGAGTGAGAAAAGAACTCCCATCAGGCTTTGCTGGCCCTTCCATTTCTCACCATTCTCTGATTGCCAGAAGCCTGGCAAACCAGCTTCTCCCATGTGGGGTCTTGGCTCAGGACACAGCTGGTCTGGCTCTATGGAGCCTCCCAGTGCTCTCCGGGCCAGATGACTCTGCAGTGACTCTGAACATGTCCCTCCCACCTCCCAACACCTCAAGCCTGGAGCTGGCTGAGGCCCTGCAGGCTGGGCCCTCACCATCTTGGTGTAGAGGGCCCGGATGGAGGGGCTGCCTACAAGGAGCTCTGAGATCTCCCCCTTCTTCTCCTCCAAGCAGAACTGGGAAAGCCAGGCGTCAAACAATTCCGGGGGCCCTGCAGAGGGACAGATGCTGACGGTCAGTTGCCTTGGTCTGGGAAAAGAACACTGGGCTTACAGAACATATCTAAGGCTGGACATGGAAAATGAAGAAAGCTTGTGTATTCAAAGCCACTTAGCCAAGGGTAGGGGGTCAGGCAGGGTGAAGGGGCGGGTGCCGCACCTGAGTGATCTCCAGAAGGGGCTGCAGTCTCCATTTTCTCATATCCCTGCTGGCTTTTTAGCCCATGGCACCTGGCTGCTGAATCTCCTCATCTCTGAAACAGCTGTTCTCAGGTCTCATGACCCCAGCTGCCAAAGCCAACATCTATTTCTCTGTCTTCCCTCGTGTGACCATCTCTGACTCTGGGGGCCATTGCCTTTCTCCTGAAGCCCTCGTCTCTCCTGGTTTCTCACTCCTTTGTTATTTTCCTCCACTTCTCTGGTTGGTCCATCTGAGTCTCTGTGGGCTTCTCGTTTTCCTTTCCTTTCCATATCTCTCTGGCTTTTTATTTTTTTTCCCAAAATAATTGCCACTAAACCACAAGTTTCAACCTCATCCTCCCACTGATAATTCCTGTGTCTCTTTGCAGCCCAGGCTACTCTCTTGGCCCCAGATCCAGAGGTCCAGGTACCCCCGATACTTCCACCTGCAAACACACCGTGTGCTCATTTTCCTTCCCATCTGGTTATCTGACAGGGTTATCCAACCTGGGGGCCATCCTATCTCCTCCCTTATCCAATCACTCTGGATCACACTTCCTCAGTGTCTCCTTTTTATTTTTGAGAGATAGAGGCTTGCTCTGTCACCAGGCTGGAGTGCAGTGGCACAACCGTGGCTCACTGCAACCTTGAACTTCTGGGCCCAAGTGATCCTCCTGCCTCAACCTTCCGAATAGCTGAGGCTACGGGCACGCCATCATGCCTGGCTAACTTGTGTCTTTTATATGTACACTGTCCTCTTCATGCCAACTGACTCTTCCTAGGTTCTGGCCTTACCTCTGACACGGGATTCCTACCTAGCCTCCTAACTGGTCTTCCTGTCTTCTGTCTTTCTCTCTATTTCATTCTTCACAATGCTGCCCCAAGGGCTGCTTTACAAAATGCAAACTCTGATCACCCCAGGCCTCAAAACCTTTCATTGGCTCTCTATGGGAGGGCTTTTTAAGCTGGAGTCCAAGATGGGCTTCAAAGGGTCAAAGAATTCTCATATTGCACAAAAAGTTTGGTGGAGAGAGGGCTTGTCATTTTCAATAGATTTGTAAAGGCCTTTGTGACTAAAGAGAGGTCTAGAGCTACTACTGTGAGCCTTTTAGGCCAAAATTCCAACTGCCTGGTCTGGCACACAAAGCTCTTCACAATCTGGCTCCCACGAGCTGCTCTCACTGCCTTCACTTCCTCATACGCACCCTTTAACCCGGCGTTACTAAAAGGCGGGTGCTCCCTGCTCTCTCTGCCCACTCTCTTTGCCTGAATGCTCTTCCCGACTTCTCATAGTGAAACTAGCTGATTTCTAATTTAACCTTAAAACCCCAACTCCGTCCAGGCACGGTGGCTCATGCCTGTAATCCCTGCATTTTTGGGAGGCTGAGACGGGTGGGTCACCTGAGGTCAGGAGTTTGAGACCAGCCTGACCAACATGGTGAAACCCTGTCTCTACTAAAAATACAAAAATTAGCCAGATGTGGTGGCGGGCGCCTGTAAGCCCAGCTACTCGGGAGGCTGAGGAAAGAGAATTGCTAGAACCCGGGAGGCGGAGGTTGCAGTGAGCCGAGATCGCGCCATTGCACTCCATCCTGGGAGACAGGGTGAGACTCCATCTCAAAAACAAACAAACAAACAAACAAACAAACAAAACCCAACTCCAGCATCACTTGCTTGGTTCCCAGGCCAGGAAGGGTGCCATTCCTCTGGCTCCTGCTGCCCCGCTGCTCTGCAGAAGCAGTCATGCTGCTCTCTAGTATTTCTACTTTATTGACTGTTTCTGCTTTCCCCCTCTTAACTGCCAGTTCCTGGAGGGTTGGACTAGGTGGAGGGTTTGGCTCATTTCTGATCTCCAGTTCCCATAATGGGGTTTGCTGCATGGCAGGGGCTTAGCTAACAGGAGCTGAAGAGAAGGCAAGGGGGGCAGCAGGGCTGGGAGGGAGGCTGAGCTGAGGATGAGGGATGAGAGGGGCCAAGTCCCTGCAGGGTGGGCAGGACAGCTCAAGTTCAGGAAAGAAAAGAGAACATCCACCCACCCCACAAAGTATAAGGTACACACTAGTCTCACTCTGGTCTCCCTACATAGGGGGTGCCCGGCCTCTGCTACCTGAGACAAACAGGGTCTACAACCCAGCCCCCTTAGTCTACTTGCCCTACAAGCCCACCCGCTCAGTGCTACCCTCTCACCATCTGGTTCATTACAGTAGGTTGCTGGGTCCGACTGCAGGCTATAGAGGCGAGCCTGTAAGAAAAGGAGAAGAGGAAAACAGAAATTCTGAGATACTGGGCATAGAAAGCACCCTTTCTCTGCCAGGATACTCAGTCAACCACAATCCAGCTTCTCCCTTGTTGGCTGGGATACCCCCAGGGCATCTGTTAATTAGCACTGTGGCACAGAGAGTGGGGCACTAGGCTAGGCATCCAAAACTGGGGTTCCCAGAAAAATGGCCTTTCACCCAGTATTCTACCCCAAGAACTAAGAAAATACAGCATAAGCAGGCTACAAAATTATTTGTATAAAATGCTTTGTAGTAAGTAAAATTTGAAAAATGTTAGTGCCAATATGTTAATAAAGTCAAAATTTAGGGACAAATTTTAAAATAACACAATTTCCCTCAAATTAAAACCACTCAAGAATTTATTAATTGTATAGCCAGTCTCTACCAAGTTACGTTCCCACTAGGATCACAGGGTGGCAAACTTAGCTGGCAAAGACAAAGTCCACCTTTCTTCCTCAGTATTGCAGGAAGCATGGGCTATGTGTAAGCGGTCTGGTGATAATTCACTGTCGTTATAGCTCAAAATCTTATCAAACATTTTCACAATTCCACTCACATGTTCACTAAGTGGTGGCGCTAATGCTAGTGCTAAAACACATACTTGAAAAATCAGTACTTTTGGAACAAAAGTTCAATGTGGGCCGGGTGCGGTGGCTCACGCCTGTAATCCCAGCACTCTGGGAGGCCAAGGTAGGTGGATCTCTGGAGGTCTGGAGTTCAAAACCAGCCTGGCCAACATGGTGAAACCCCATCTCTACTAAAAATACAAAAATTAGCCGGGCATGGTGATGTGCGCCTGTAATCCCAGATACTCAGGATGCTGAGGCAGGAGAATCGCTTGAACCCAGGAGGTGGAGGTTGCAGTGAGCCGAGATTGCTCCACTGCACTCCAGTCTGGGCGACAGAGAGAGACTCCATCTCAAAAAAAAAAAAAAAAACAGAAGTCAATGTGATAAAATGCTACAAAGCCAGCCTAGGCAACATGGGGAAACCCTATTTCTACAAGCATAAAAATTAGCTGAGCGTGGTGATGTGTGCCTATAGTCCCAGCTGCTCAGGAGGCTGAGGTGGGAGGAGCACCTTAGGAGATCGAGGCTGCCATGAGCTGTGATCGCACCACTGCACTCCAGCCTGGGGGACAGAGGGAGACCCTATTTCAAAAAAAAAACAAAAAACAAAAAACAAACAAAAAAACTACGAAGAGGGCCCAACTGCCATGACATTATATTGTGAATTTAGAAGAAAACACTCCATGAAATAGAAAATACAATGTGGCCAGGCGCGGTGGCTTACGCCTGTAATCTCAGTACTTTAGGGGGCTGAGGTAGGAGGATCACTTGAGCCCAGGGGTTTGAGACCAGCCTAGGCAGAATAGGGAGACCTCATCGCTACAAAAAAAAAAAAAAAAGGCCAGGTGTGGTGGTGCACGCCTGTGGTCCCCGCTACTAGGGATACTAGGGAGGTTGAGGTGGGAGGAACACTTGAGACCAGGAAGTTGAAGCTGCAGTGAGCTGGGATCATGCCACCGCACTCCAGCCTGGGTGACAGAGTGAGACCGTCTCAAAAAAAAAAAAAAAAAAAAAAGAAGAAGAAAAGAAAATGCAGCAAAAATACGCTACTGTGGCTGTTGCTTTAAGTGCTCTGAAGACACCTCTCTCCCCTTACCTATACGTGTATTACTAGAAATTAGTCTAAATAACCCAAATGTGGAGATTATGCCTCTAAAAATGCTCTCCACAGCGTTCCTTATTATGCTTGAAAGCTGAAAGGAATCCAAATATGCAACATGAAGGAAATAATGGAATAAATAATGCTATATTCACTTGTAAGAATTTAAAGACATTAAAAATTATGGCTGGCTGGGCACAGTGGCTCACTCCTGTAATCCTAGCACTTTGGGAGACCAAGCTGGGAGTCACTTGAGCCTAGGCATTTGAGACCAGCCTGGGCAACACAGTGAGACCCCGTTTCTACCAAAATAATTTTTTTAAATTAGTTGGGTGTGGTGGTTCACGCCAGTGGTCCCAGCTACTCAGGAGACTGAGGTGGAAGGACCCTTGAGCCTGGAAAGTCGGGGCTGCAATGAGCCATGATTGTGCCACTGAGCCCCAGAGAGAGCTTGGGTGACAGAGTGAGACCCTGTCTCATTAAAAAAAAAAAAAAAGATGATTAGGAAAGATGCTATGTTTGTTGATTTTTTAAAAGTAGGTTACAAAACTGCATGTATAAAATGTCTTTTTTGTTCAGAAGAAAAAACCAAACTATCTTTACCTATGTTTATAAACAAAAACAAATGTAAGGTTATATACCAATAAGAAATCAGGGGTTCTCTTTGGGTGATGCAATTGTGAGTTTAAAAATAATTATCCTGTCCTTGCTTACTGGTATTTTCTGATTTACTATTAATAATATACCCATATTTATTTTTTGGCCTGAACATGGGCTGCTTTTGTGAGTACAGGATGGAAGTTAAAGCCCAGGTTACAGATGTTAGGCATCTGCAGGGGAGACTGTCAGTGAATACCTTGGTGCCATCATAGGGCTCAGCTGTGCCAGACGGTGTGCCCATCAGGGTGATGACATCGCAGTCGATGGTTTTGTCTGGCGAAGGGGCAAAGGTGTCTGAGATCACCCCTAGGAAGTCAGATAACCCTTTCTTCATCTTCTCTGTTGCTCCTGAGGAGCCTTCCGTCTGTATAGAGAACGGGCAGAGGAAGCAAGCGCCCCGGGAACAGGCTGCAATCTGGGGTATGGGGGTAAAACATTGGGGCAAAGGTGTACCGTGTGTTGGGGGACCAGGGAAGCGCTCACGACCCTTCACCCGTCTCTGGGGCTGCAGGAGAGGGAGGAGGCAAGGGTCCTCCATCCCCCAAGTGGGGCTGCAGAACAGGGCCATGGTAGGCCTGTGTAGATCAGAGATCTTTGATTGGCTGTTTCATCAAAATTTCAAGGTCAGTCAGGCCGGTCAAAACTTGGCCAGAGAAGGTCCATGCCATAGACACATCAACAGGGAAGAGAGCCTATGGGTAGAGTGGTGGAAAGGGTACTAGCTTCGGAGTTAGACAAAGCTGGTTTGAATCCTTGCTCTACCACTTGTTGGTCATGAGACCGAAACCCTTTCTGAACCTCAGTTTCCTTATTATAAAATGGGGTTAAGTATACATCCTTCATAGGGTTACCATGAAGATTAAAAGATAGGGTATGGACAATGCCTGGCACACAGCATACGCTTAATAAACTGCAGCATTGTAATACTGCAATTTCATCATCATCATTGCTCAGGAAGTAGAATACTTTGTACAAAAGGTTGGAAACATATGGGCAGGATTAGAACAGATAGCCTTGCCTTGCCTGGGACCAACTGAGGGTCACTATACAGACCACACTGGTCAGAATGCCTTCCAGCAGACAGGGATAGGGTGCTGAGAAAAGGGTCTAAAAACCTCATGGAAAATTTTATTTACTCTTGATTAAGCTGCTGAAGCATTTTAAACCTAGAACCTATCATAGTGCCTGGCACATATTGTTACAGGTAACAATATTTGTTGAATGAAAAAAAAAAGAATAAATGAATGAAATAAACAAGTGATATCTCTGCTATTGACTAGACTTATAGCAGTTTAGCAGGGTTACAACTTGTCATTCATGCTCATCAGTAGCTGTGATTAGCAGGTGGACGGTATTTTACAAGAGGATTCAGCAAAATAAGCTTGTCTAAAAAAATTCCAAAACTCATTTTTTGTAACATGAGTAATTAATTACAAGATAATTGATTCAGCTGGTGATCAAATTAAGAAGCTGCAATCTGTTCCAATGCTAAAGGAAAAATTGTAATATAAAAAACAGTATGCTTTACCTCACTGGAAACTTCAGAACTTTGCAGGGATATCTTTGACCACAATTTTTCCTTCTCACACTGACTTTAGAATCTAACTTCCATCTTATAAGAGGTTTCCACTGTACATTTCTGATTAATAAAAACAGTATTGGGGGAGGGGGACAAGGATTGAAAAACTACCTATGGGGTACTAGTCGGTGATGGGTTCATTAAAAGCCCAAACCTCAGCATATACACAATATGCCCATGTAACAAACCTGTGCATGTATCCCCTGAATCTAAAATTAGAAAACAACAAACAAGCCAGGCACGGTGGCTCATGCCTGTAATCCCAGCACTTTGGGAGGCCGAAGCAGGTGGATCCCTTTAGCTCAGGAGTTTGAGACCAGCCTGGGCAACAGAGTGAAACCCTATCTCTACAAAAAATACAAAAATTAGCTGGGTGTGGTGGCATGCACCTGTGGTCCCAGCTATTTGGGAGGCTGAGGTGGGGGAATCACTTGAGCCCAGGAGGCAAAGGTTGCAATGAGCTGAGATCATGCCACTGCACTCCAGCCTGGGCAAGAGAGAGAGACCCCGTCTCAAAACAATAACCACCACCACCAAAGAACAGGACCAGTAAGAAAATAAGTTGGTACAACATTTCTGGAGGGCAGTTTTGAGTAGATAGTAAAAGGCTTAACCTAACCACTCTGTGATACTTTCCACAATTTTATTATAAAGCAAATATTATGGCACTGGGTAAAGGTTTAGTAGAATGTTTACTGTAGCTCAGTGTACAATACTGGAAAAAACTGAAGTAAGAAAGCAGCAACTGGTTAAATCCACATAATGGAATACCATGCCACTTACTACACTCTAGAATAAGGTTTGCAGTTTAAGTAAAAAAATAAGGGCTGGGCGCGGTGGCTCACGCCTGTAGTCCCAGCACTTTGGGAGATTGAGGTGGGCAGATCACAAGGTCAGGAGATCGAGACCATCCTGGCTAACACGGTGCACCCCGTCTCTACTAAAAAATACAAAAAACTAGCCAGGCGTGGTGGCGGGCGCCTGTAGCCCCAGCTACTTGGGAGGCTGAGGCAGGAGAATAGCATGAACCCGGGAGGCGGAGCTTGCAGTGAGCCGAGATGGCGCCACTGCACTCCAGCCTGGGCGACAGATGGAGACTCCAACTCAAAAAAAAAAAAAAAAAAAAAATAGGTTACAAAACATGGTGTTCAATTGACCCCAGTTTTGAAAAAGAAGTGTACATAAGTGATACACCCCCAAAATATTAACAGTAGCTATCTTTGGAAGATGGAATTATGGATGTCTCTAGGTCTTTCTCTCTCTCTCTTCCTTTTCTCATTCTTTCTCTTTTCTTTCACTTGTCTGTGTTTTCTAAATTGTCAACATGAATGACTTTGCTAATGGAAAACATTTGCTAAAACAATACAGAAGTGGGAAAACTAATTATTACTTAAAATATGCAGCTTGTTTGGTTGCCAGACACAATTCTTTCAAAATGGGAGGAAAAGTAATCCACATATTTTTCCCCATATGGAAAAATAATCACTTAATGGTAGAAAGGTTGGGAGCCCAGGACAGGACAGGTTGCGAGGGGCAGTTACTTGGGAGGGTTTGGGTGGTACTCACAGCCAGCTTCTCCTTGACCACGCTGGCCGTGGCTGCGATGGTACAGGCCGTGTCATGCTGCACCACCTGGGTAAACTCCGTCAGGTCCCGCTTCATAAACTCCAAGGCTTCAGAGGACTGTGGGAAGACAGAGAGGGATGCCAGGGCCAGCTGGCCCCACCACCCCTTGTTCCTGTTCCCTGTGTTTCTTCAGTACCAGACAGACAAATGGAAATCTCCAGCGGCAGGGGAGCTTCGGCTCAGAAACAATGCTCATTTGTCCCAATTCCATGATCTGGGATTACCTGACAGCAGAGAGTGCAGGGGAATTTCCTGCTACTCTGAGCATGAGGACTGAGTCTCAGCCTAGGCACTCGCAAGCTATGTGGCCATGAGTAAGTCTCATCTAGTTCTCAGTTTTCTCCTGTAAAATGAGGTGATCTAGATCAGAGATTCTCAAGAGCAAACAGGAAAAGAGGGGGCATAGTCTGAAAACAATACTGACTTTGATGAATTGCTTTGATATGCTTTAAATCACGATATTCATACCAAGTTTCAAATAACATGAAAAAAAGGTATGTGATTTTTTTTTTTTTTTCTTGAGACAGAGTCTCGCTCTCGTTGCCCAGGCTGGAGTGCAATGGCACGATCTCGGCTCACCGCAACCTCCGCCTCCCGGGTTCAAGCGATTTTCGTGCCTCAGCCTCCCGAGTAGCTGGGATTACAGGCATGCGCCACCACGCCCAGCTAATTTTGTATTTTTAGTAGAGATGGGGTTTCTCCATGTTGGTCAGGCTGGTCTCGAACTCCCAACCTCAGGTGATCCGCCCACCTTGGCCTCCCAAAGTGTTGAGATTATAGGCGTGAGCCACCCAGCCTAAGGCATGTGATTTTTTTTATCAAAGGAAAGTGTTTCTATTTTTACTTTTTTTGTTACAGAGAAATTGAGTTGAAATATGAGGCAGTATGTGAAGTTATTTGCCTTCGGGTTTAAGAATTAGTAATTACTAATTGTATTAGTAACAGCAATAGCTTGGAAAGCTATTTTATGAGTAATTCTTAACAATTTAATATCAGTAAAAAGGCATGTGATTTTTTACATTCAACAAAGGAGGAAGCGGTCAAGAGAAAGACTAGATCAGATTCTCTTGGAGGCCTTCTTGGTTCTACCATCCCGAGGTTCTATTCATATACAAAGCTCCTTTGGGCAGAATGCATATTTGCTCCTGCTAAACCAATCTGTTTCTCAGCCTGCACCCAGACCTCACTTGAGAAAGCAGACCCTCAGCTCACTTCTAGGTCTTGCCCTGTCTTGCTTCAGACTCACCAACTCTAGGATGCTTCCTGGAGTATCTCAGTGGCCACTCCCCCTGCAAGCCCTTTCATCTTACACGGGGATAATCACCTGCATTTTTTAAAGCATGTTTTTGAGCGCTCCTGTGGTTTGTTCTTCTGGGAAGGGCCTGCCCACTTTTCATTAGCTTGGGAAGTTTCTGAATGGCACAGTCTATCAGCTACAGGCTTCTCTAGGGGTGGTAATCATGCCTCCATATCAACTCAGGACTCCTTAATTGGGGGTGGAGGAGGTCATTTACTTATTTACTTTTATTAAAATTTTAAAAAATATTTCACAGCACCATGAAATTGTGCCCTGGGTCATTTACCGATTCACTCTTTCTATCCACACTGCCACCATCTTAGTCCAGGCCAACTTATTCTTTCACCTGGATTCCTCCCAGGTTGTCTCAGCCACCTTTACTTCATTCTCCTTATGACACCCAGTGGGTGCTTTGTCTGTCAGGGCAGACCGTGCTGCTTTACACTCTTTAAGTTTACACACTATCCTAAGAGCAAATTGAAAATCCACCTTTACTTACAAAGCCTATATAACTTGGCCTCTGGCAGACTGGTATCCCCTACCACTGTGCCGTTCACTGAGCTCCAGCTGGCCTTCCTCAAGTTTCTAAAATGCCCTAGCATCTGTCCTGCCTCAGAGTATCTGAACACATTGTTTCCTCTCCCTGATACAGAGTTCTAACTCTTCAAAAAAACCAAGTCTGTAAACACGATGAAGGAACCCTCTTATCTGGAAAACTCCTGTTCATCCTCAACGTCTATGCTTCATTTCCCTAGAGGGGCTTCCTGCTGCCTCTTCAGGCTCAGCTGGCTCTCCCTGCTTTATCTCTTCTTCTTTTTTTTCTTTTTTTTTTTTTTTGAGATGGAGTTTCGCTCTGTTACCCAGGCTGGAGTGCAGTGGCGCGATCTCTGCTCACTGCAACCTCTGCCTCCCGGGTTCATGCCATTCTCCTGCCTCAGCCTCCCGAGTAGCTGGGACTACAGGCGCCCGCCACCAAGCCCAGCTAATTTTTTGTATTTTTAGTAGAGACGGGATTTCACTGTGTTAGCCAGGATGGTCTCGATCTCCTGACCTCATGATTCGCCCACCTTGGCCTCCCAATTTATCTCTTTTCTAACACTGAACATAGTTTAGACTTCAGATGACCTGTTCAATGTCTGTCTTCCTGGATAAACTGTGAGTTGTGTGAACACAGGTCCTATGTGTTTTGTTCCCTGATGGTTCCCCAGTATCTGACACAGAGCATACAGTAGGTACTCAAAAAATGTTTGCTTGTTAAATTTACATGGACCATTGAAATTTCAATTATGTAACCACTTGTGTGACTAAACAGTTGTCTTCCCGCTAGACTGTGAGCTCTGAGCAGACAAACATGAACATACGTTGCCCTCAAGCAGGTCACAGTCTACTGGGGAAAATGGTCCCATGATAGTGCTGATGTGCAAGGGCAGAGCAGTAGCTGCTGTACTATGGGGAGGTTGGGAAGATGTGGTGACCAGAAGCCTGGAATGGGCCCTTAAAGAATGAACAGGAGTTGGTTAAGAAGTATTGATGTGGGCCAGGTGCAGTGGCTGATGCCTGTAATCCCAGCACTTTGGGAAGCCGAGGCAGGAGGATTGCTTGAGCCCAGGAATTTGAGACCAGTTTGGACACTATGGCAAAACCGTCTCCACACACACACACACACACACACACACAAATACAAAAAATTAGCCAGAAGTGGTGGTACACGCCTATAGTCCCAGCTACCCAGGAGGCTGAGGTGGGAGAATCACCTGAGCCTGGGTGGTTGAGGCTGCAGTGGGCTGTGATCATGCCACTGCACTCCAGTCTGGGTAACAGAGTGAGACCCTGTCTCAAAAAAAAAAAAAAAAAAGAACAGGAGTCAGCTAAGAAGTGTTGACATGGGTTTAGTGACGTCTACAAGCATTACAGTCCTGATGGACATAAAATGTGAAGCAAGAGTGGTGAGGGATAAAGCTGGAGAGGTTGCCAAGGGCAACCAGGGAGAGCCTGGTCAGCCCTATGGATGATGGGGAGCCACCAAAGGTTTGAAGTGGGTGGGACATGAGATTTGCCTTTTCACTAAATTACTCCAGTGACTGGAATGGAGGAAAGGTCCAGAGGCGAGAAGATTAGAAGAGGAAGAAGGAAGACCAGTCAGGAGGCTGCTGCAATAATCCAGGAAAGAAAATAGAAAAATGTGAGTAAGGACAATGCTAGTAAAGATGGAGAGGATGAGACTGGTTCAAGATACAGGAGATGGAAGAAGGTGGATTTGGTGACTGAACAGGTATGTTGACTGAGGGCTAGAAAAGAATCATGGAAGCACCACAGGCTGCTAAAATAGGTGACTGCGTAGATGCAGTACTGCCAGCTAAGTGAGAAAATCCTGGAGGAGGAGCAGTCCTAGAGACAAGGTGGTAACAATGACTTTGGGCACGCAGAACTTGAGATGACTGTGGGCTGTCTAGGATAGCTGTCCAGCAATAGCTATCCTCAAACACTAAAGCTGGCCGGGCATGGTGGCTCATGCCTGTAGTCCCAGCACTTTGGGAGACCAAGGTGGGCAGACTGCTTGAGCCTAGGGGTTTGAGACCAGCCTGGGCAACATGGCGAGATCTCATCTCTACAAAAAATACAAAAATTAGTTGGGCGTGATGGTACACGCCTATAGTCCCAGCTACTTGGGGGCCTGAGGTGGGAGGATTGCTTGAATCCAGGAAGTGGAGGTTGCAGAGAACCATGTTTGCATCACTGCACTTCAGCTTGGGTGACAAAGTGAGAGCCCATCTCAAAACAAAGCAAAACACAACACTAAAGTTCAGGCAAAAGGTCTAAGAGTCGCCCTAACAGGAAAGTGGAGAAGGTGACCCAGGAAGAGTTTGGAAAGTGGACAGAGCAATGGGCTGAGGACAAGTGTCCTCAGACACTACCTGTAGGGGGCAAGCAGAGGAAGAGGAACTCATGAGACAGTTACAAAAGCAACGTCTGGAGAAGTATGTGGAGACTTAAGAATCATGTCACAAATGCCAAGAGAGTAGCGTTTCAAGAGAGGGAGTGATCACTAGCGTCAAATGCAGCAGAATGGTCCAGGAAGATAAGGGCTGAAAACCACCCACTGGATTTGGCAAGCAGTAGGTAAAGCTGACTGAGTAAAGATAAGTTTATAGGTGGTGGCTTTGAGGGTGGGGAGAGAGTTAAAGATCCTGTTTGTTCACCTGAAGTTTCAAAAAGTAGATGAGGTTGTCTCCTGGAAGTGAAAGGGATAAAGCGGCTGAATAGGGGACCCCAGGGAAGAGTTAGGTTTTGGGAAAGTTTCTGAAGTTAAGGGGAGGAGAAGCAAATTGGAGACTGAAGAGTATGTGGGCCCAGATGAGGTTGGGGAATCTGTGATGGAACCAAAAAGCATTTGGTGCCTTTCTCTTTTTAATTTCTTCTTTCTGGTAAGTATGTAGAGCAATGATATGCCTTTCTCTATCAACGTGTATGCACACGTATTTGTGTCAGTCATATTGCCCTTGACAACACACAGGAAGACAGGACAGGAGGAGGTAAGGAGCAGAGGAAAGCAGATGATAGCACCATCTCATAGCTGTGGTCTTCAGGGCAATGTGTTCTAAGGAGTGCTGAGAAGTGAGTGGTCCAGATGGAGCCAGAATGGGACATACAGATAGGAAAGCACCAAAAGACCAAGAAAAAAAATGGAAGGAAAAACGAACTGGGGGTGGTATCTAAGAGGTTTTCCCATCAGCCTCAGCACTTAATAACAGCTAATGCTTATATAGCACTTACTGTATGCTAGGTACTGTTCTTAGTGTTTTACATATATTAACATTTAACCATCACCACAATCTCATCAAGTAGGTATTGTTAGTATTCCCATTTTATAGATGAGGAACTGAGGCCTAGAGAGGTTAAAAACTTGCCCAAGAGGCCAGGCGTGGTGGCTCACACCTGTAATCCTAGCACTTTGGGAGGCCGAGGCAGGCGGATCACCTGAGGTCAGGAGTTTGAGACCAGCCTGGCCAACATGGTGAAACCCTGTCTCTATTGAAAATAGAAAAATTAGCTGGGCGTGGTGGCACATGCCTGTAATCCCAGCTACTCAGGAGGCCGAGGCAGGAGAATCACTTGAACTCAGGAGGCGGAAGTTGCAGAGCTGAGACTGAGCCACTGCACTCCAGCCTGGTAACAGAGCCAGACTTGGTCTCAAAAACAAACAAACAAAAAACAAAAAACACTTGCCCAAGTACATATAAGAGTAAGAAAGTAAAAAAAGGGAAATTACGTCTTTTCTTTCCAAAAAGGCATAAACAACTCCCACCTCCACCCCCACCCCAGCTTTTAACTGGGAATTCCAAGAATGAAGACGGAAGGTTGGCCAACTATCTATTTTTCATAAGTTATGATAAGACCAACCTTGAGACAAACACAGGAGGCCCTCATGCAACATCTGCTGAATGAATGTCAGACTTTCCTGCCAGGAAATTACCCAACAGGAAATATGCTACTATCGGGTCTCTTCTATCAAATGTTAGGGTGCAAGCCTCTCAGTCCTCATCAACAACATAAACAGCTCAGGGCATTCTCAGATTTGCTGGGCTATTGCTGAGAGGCTGTCCAGGAGTACCCAGGATAAGGGAGGAATAAAAACGCTCCCAGATGTCTGGGTGTGGTGGCTCACGCCTATAATCCCAGCACTTTGGGAAGCTGAGGCAGGTGGCTCACCTGAGGTGAGGAGTTCGAGACCAGTCTGGCCAACATGGTGAAACCCTGTCTCTACTAAAAATACAAAAATTAGCCAGGAGTAGTGGCACATGCCTGTAATCCCAGCTACTCGGGAGGCTGAGGCACAAGAATCACTTCAATCTGGGAGGCAGAGGTTGCAGCGAGCTGAGACCGCACCTGTGCACTCCAGCCTAGGTGACAGAGTGAGACTCTGTCTCAAAACAAAACAAAAATACTCCCAGAGTAGAGGACTTATTTAGGTGAGGTCAGAAGCTTCCTGGAGTTGGCCCTGAAGCAGGACTCATCCCAATTGCTTGAGGTAAATAGTAATCAACTTTTCCCACAATTCAGTTGGGCTGATTTTGACAAATAAGCATGAAATGAAACAGGAATACACATTGGCAAATTACCCACTGGCACAGCCAAATATCACTCATCCCACAGAGATTGTTCAGCAAGAAGGCCTTCCACTCTCTGGTGATTAATCTCTCTCTCTCTACTGCCCGTTGCATAGCCCCTACTTAGAACTCATCAGGCACCAGTGTGTATGGCTCATGCTCATCTCTGGCTTGGGTTCTTGCTTTTCATCCTGTCTAGGCAGGGTTGCCCTTGATGAGGTTCCTTCTCCACAGGGGCCTTCCCTGGTGAGTTACTGACTAACCAGAACAGACAAGGTGCCCCTGTACTTTCCTTTCACAGAACTTACCACAACGGTAACTAAACAACTATTTGTTTGGCTACTCGGTTAATGGCTGTCTCTCCACTAGACTGTGAGCTTTGTAAGGCCCAGGATTACATCTGTTTGGCTGAAGTCTGTATCCTCAAGACCTATCAGAGTGCTGGTTGTCGCATATACTCTAATATTTGAATGACTATACGAGTAAGTTTTTTTACTGCTAGAATCTTTTCCTTCAAGACCTGTATCAAATGCTCTCTCTTTCACGAAGAAACTGAATTTCCTGAGCTGGAATAAATTGCTCCTTCCTATGGATTCCTACAAAACGTTCGTTAACTCCAGCCTTTAAAACCATCTTTATTTCACTGTGGCTAGTATCACACTGGTTTGCGTCGAGGTCTGTCTTCCCGTGGACCGGTAGAGGCTAAAAGAAAGGCCCAGGTCAGCCTCATCCTTGAGACTTAGCGCCCGCAAAAGTTGGGCGGGGCTGGTTGGACCAGGTTGCATTGAGGCGGCGCAGGGCCCTGCTGAGGGAAGAAGGGCACGGGCCCGGCTTACCTTCTCTTTGACTGCTTGGTAGCTCTGCTGCAGCCAGCTCCGCCACCATCCCACGTCCTCCCTGTGGAAGACAGACACATCTGGCAGCACCGCGGTGCGATTCCTGCCCGCCCAAGGATCCGGTTTGTTCCCCGCTCAGATGTACCCTGCGGGCCGAGGCTTCGCAGACCGCTTGCCCACCCCCTCACAATGCGACTCCACTCTGCCCTTTCAGATCAGTCCACGCCCCCGCTGATCTCACGTTCCCCACCGGGACTCTCGCCCAGCACCCCAACCCTGGGAGAATTCAGGCCCCAACGCCTAGGAGCAAAACGACAAGCTCACCCTTCCGCCATCTTGCCTGCATGACATCACCACTATTTACTGACCTTTGACTTCCGACACGGCACCGCCCCCTCAAGGACCGCCCCCGAGGCGCTCGGCCCAATCCTCGCGCCGGCACCGCCCTCAGCCCAATCCCCTCCCTGCGCCATCATTAGGTCCCGCCTCCCTGAACTCTATCCAGTCTCTGTCCCGAGTTCGCCCTCAAACTCCGCCCCTGAACTCTCAGTTCAATCGTCATTCAGTCCTGTCCTCAGGCTCCACCAAGCTTGACTCTTTGTCACTGTCCGCAAACGTCGGGTACGGTGGCCTCTATGGACGATGATCAGCCGACAAGCTGGACTGCGGAGAGCTGGGAGCAGAGGGGAGGAGGAGAGATAGCTCGAACGTCAGGATCCCAGAGCGCAGGGTTAGGACCGCCCCCCTTTGTGAAACCAGCTGCGTAGAGGCTGCTTTGTGTCTCTTTGGGCTAATTCAATAAGCCCATATTGCGGGGCTGTGGCCCAGAGTTTGGAGGAATGTGAATAATTCAGAGGCGACTTAGATGCAGCCTTTGGAGGGCTTACGGGTTAATGGGAGACACACACATTCAGTAATCTCAACTTTCGGTGGCCCAGCTCAGAACAACGCCAGGTGGAGGTGGTCTGGAGAAATCCGGAGACCGCCTGGATTGAGTTCTACTGCGATTGGAAGGGAGATTCCACAGCCCACATACTTTGGACTTTAATTAAGGTCAGCCCCTCCACGTGTGCGGTAGATCCCATCGCCTCTTGTTTGCTTAAGGACATAGATCTAGTAATCCCCCCTTCATCTCTTTTCCCTCTGATGACTGCATTTATCCTTGTCATCATCCGTACTGCTGTTTCTCCCATCTCAAAGGCAAACAAAAACCAGCCCTCTCTATATCCCTCACCGTTTCCCTACTCCCCTTTACAGCAAAAGCGTTGCCTACTCACAGTCTGCAACTCCCCTCTCCTCCCATTCTCTCTTGAACTCACTGCAGTTAGGTTTTTGCCTCTCAGACAATCCTTTGAAATAACTTTCTTTTATTTATTTAATTTTATTTAATTTTATTTATTTTATATTTATTTGTAGCTCTGCTGCAGCCAGCTCCGCCACCATCCCACGTCCTCCCTGTGGAAGACGGACACATCTATTTTATTTATTTATTTATTTTTGGTCCTCCCTGTGGAAGACGGAAACATCTATTTTATTTATTTATTTATTTTGAGTCAGAGTCTTGCTCTGTTGCCCGGGCTGGAGTGTAGTGGTGCAATCTCAGCTCGCTGCAACCTCTGCCTCCCGGGTTCAAGCGATTCTCCTGCCTCAGCCTCCCGAGTATCTGGGATTACAGTTGTGCACCACCATGCCCGACTAATTTTTGTATGTTTAGTAGAGATGGGGTTTCACTATGTTGGCCAGGCTTGTCTCGAACTCCTGACTTCAGGTGATCTGCCCTCCTCAGCCTCCCAAAGTGCTGGGATTACAGGCATGAACCACTGCACCCAGCCTGACATAACTTTCTTAAGGTCGCCAAGAGGAATGGCCACTTTTCAGTTCTTGTTTTACATCCGCATCTTATTTGACACAGTTGACCACTTTCTTCATTTGGCTTCCAGGACATCATGCCCTCTTGACTTTCTTCCCCGTTCATTGGCATCTCAGTATTCTTTGCTGTTTTCTCACCGCCTTCTTGTTGCTGGAATGGGATATTCCCTGGGAGAAGGCTCAGCCCTTGGTGTCCTCCTCCTTTTTGATGTTTATAGTCATTCCCCAGATATTCTCATAAAGTCTCATGATTTTATTTATTATTATTTTTTAAGATGGAGTCTCACTCTATTGCCCAGGCTGGAGTGCAGTGGCATGATCTTGGCTCACTGCAACCTCTGCCTCCTGGGTTCAAATGACTCTCCTGCCTCAGCGTCCAGAATAGCTGGGATTACAGGCACCCACCACCACACCCAGCTAATTTTGTATTTTTAGTAGAGATGGGGTTTCACCATGTTGGCCGGGCTGGTCTTGAACTCCTGGCCTCAGGTGATCCACCCACCTCGGCCTCTGAAAGTGCTGGGAGTACAGGCGTGAGCCACTGCTCCTGGCCCATTTTATTTTATTTTTAAGACAGGATCTTACTCTGTCGCCATATTAGTCCATTTTCACACTGCTAATAAAGACATACCTGAGACTGGGCAATTTACAAAAGAAAGAGTTTTACTGGACTCACAGTTCCACATGGCCAGGGAGACCTCACAATGATGGAGGAAGGTGAAAGGCACATCTCACATGGTGGCAGACAAGAGAAGAGAGCTTGTGCAGGGAAACTCCCGATTTTAAAACCATCAGATCTCATGAGAACCATTCACTATTATGAGAAAAGCACGGGAAAAACCCGCCCCCACCATGATTCAGTCATCTCTCACCAGGTCCCTTCTACAACACGTGGGAATTATGGAGCTACAAGATGAGATTTGGGTGGGAACACAGAGCCAAACCATATCAGTTGCCCAGGCTGGAGTGCAGTGGCACGATCATGGCTCACTGCAGCCTTGACTTCCTGAACTCAAGCAATCCTCCTGCCTCAGTCTCCTGAGTAGCTGGGACTACAGGCATGCACCATCAAGCCCAGCTATTATTATTTTTTTAAATAGAGATGAGGTCTCCCTGTGTTGCCTTACTTTTAATTTTTCTTTAGCAGTGCTTCACTATGTTGCCCAGGCTGGTCTCAAACTCCTGGCCTCTAGTGATCCACCCACCTTGGCTTCCCAAAGTGCTGAGATTACAGGTGTGAGCCATCTCACTAATCTCATACTTTTAAATGCCATGTATATGCTGATGGCTCTCAAATTTCCTCTCCAACCCATACATTTTCTCTGAACATCAGGTTCATTTTGTCTATTTGCATGTGTAATAGGTGTATTATTTTTAACATGTCCCAAAACAAACTCTTGATTTATCCACCTCATCTTCCTGCAAACTTTCCCACATTTGTAAATGGAACCTCATTATTCCAGTTGCTCGAGCCAAAAACCTAGGAGTCATCCTTGCTTTCTCACTTTCTTTCATACTCCCAAACTAATCCCATCAGCAAATCCAGTTGGCTCTGCCTTTCAAACAAAACCAGAATCTAGTGACTTCTCACCACCTCCACTGTTATTATGTAGATACAAGCTACCATAATCAATCTCATGGTTAATTACAAGAGCCTCTTAACAAATATTTCTGCATCCACTCTTGCCTTCCTTAAGTCTAGTCTTCATTTGCCTGAAAGTAATCTTTTAAAAGACATACGTCACTGGGAATGCAACTGGTATGGAATACAATATGCCATTTCCTCAAAAAAATTAAACAGAATTACCATATGATCCAGCACTTCCACTTCTGAGTATATACCCAAAAGAATAGAAGGCAAGTACTCAAACAGATATTTGGTGGTTTTTTGTTTGTTTGCTTGTTTGTTTTGAGATGGAGTTTTGCTCTTGTCACCCAGGCTGGAGTGCAATGGCACGATCCCAGCTCACTGCAACCTCTGCCTCCCGGGTTCAAGCAGTTCTCCTGCCTTAGCCTCCCTAGTAGCTGAAACTACAGGCGCATGCCACCACGCCCAGCTAATTTTTTTTTTTTTGAGACAGAGTTTCTTTCTCGTCACCCAAGCTGGAGTGACAAGCAATCTTGGCTCACTGCAACCTCCACCTCCCAGGTTCAAGCGATTCTCCTGCCTCAGCCTCCCAAGTAGCTGGGATTACAGGTGCCCACCACCATGCTCTGCTAATTTTTGTATTTTTAGTGGAGACAGGTTTTCACCATGTTAGTCAGGCTGGTCTTGAACTCCTGACCTTGGGCGATCCACCCACCTCGTCCTCCCAAAGTGCCAGGATTACAGGTATGAGCCACCATACCCAGCCCTGGCTAATTTTTTGAGGTTGAGGCTGCAGTGAGCTGTGACCATGCCACTACATTACTGCCTGTGCAATGGAGAGACCTTGTCTTTAAAACAAAGAAAAACATGTGTGTGTGTGTGTGTATATATATATATATGTATATGTATATACATGCCAGATTACAGCCTTCCTCTGCCCAAAGTTCTGCAATGTCCTCTTATTTCACTCAGAGAAAAAGCCAATAAGTCCTCACAGTCTCCTTTAAGGCCCCGTATAGTTGATCTGACCTCACATTACTGGCCCCCTTAGTCACTCTGCTCCAGACACATTGGCTACTTTGATATTCCCTGAAAATTCCCGGGACTCTCCTGACTTGGGGCCTTTCAACTTGCTGTTCCTTTTGTTTAGACTGCACTTACCTCCAGATATTTATGTGCTTCTAACTTTCACCTCATTCAGATCTTTACTTGAATATAATCTTCTTACTCACCCTGACCACATTATTTAAAATCACAAGTTGCATAACAAGCACCCCCATTTCTCTTCTCTGACATATTGTATATTATACTTTGTTTAAAAAATTGTTTGCCTCCTTCAGACTAGAAATGCAACCTCAATGAAGGCAGGATTTTTGTCTGTCTTGTTCACTTGTCTACGGCTAGCACCTACAACAGTGTTTGGTACATAATAGACACTCAATATTTGTTCAGTGAATGAAAGAATAAATGCAAGGAGAGTGAGGACAAAGACAGGACTAATTTAGAGCAATCTGGAATAGCTAAAAAGAAAAAGGAAAAGAGAGGATGGACGTGAGGCTGTAAAGGTCATTAACATCTCGATTCTTGAGAGCCTTGAATGCAGGACTTAAAATTCATGGACAGAGGAGAGTCACCAAAGGTTTGGAATAAGGAAATGATTTGTGTTGTGAAGATGATGTGATCAAATGATTGAATGCTACTGTTAACAGATCTAACGGTGCCATTGGGGTGAGCACTTTATACAGTGTACCTTCCCAAAAGCTCAATGAGGTGGGAACTATTTTTAATCTACATTTTATAAATGAAGAAGGTGACCAGGCACGGTGACTCATGTAATCCCAGCATTTTGGGAGGCTGAGATGGAAGGATTGCTTGAGCCCAGAAGTTTGAGACCAGTATGGGCAACATAATGGCACCCTATCTCTATTATTATTATTATTATTTTGAGACAGTTTCACTGTGTCGCCCAGGCTGGAGTGCGGTGGTGCAATCTTGGCTTACTGCGACCTCAGCCTCCCAGGTTCAAGCGATTCTCCTGCCTCAACCTCCTGAGTAGCTGGGATTACAGGCGTGCACCACCACACCCAGCTAATTTTTGTATTTTTAGTAGAGACAGGGTTTCGCCATGTTGGCCTGGCTGGTCTTGAACTGCTGACCTCAGGTGATCCGCCTGCCTCAGCCTCCCAAAGTGCTGGGATTACAGGCATGAGCCACTGTGCCCGGCCTCTATTATTTTTTTTTAAATAAAAGTGAAAAAGCTAAGATTCTGAGATATGGGGTGACTTTCTCAAGGTAACACAGCTAGGAAATGGCAGAACTCGGATTTGAACCCAAGGCTGTCTAATAAAATCAAGCTTCTGTGCATTTCATGCTAGTCTTAACTTCTTCCAACCTTATGTCCTGCCTCCCCACCCAGATGATAGCTGCAGGCATCCTGTCCTTCGTTATCTTCACCTTGTCTCATTCCTCACCCCCAGGCCCAGCAGAGTGCTCGCCCATGATGTCCCTAGTGACTGTGGATTCAGTGGGACCCTTTGCTTGGGTTTCTTTGGTCTTCCTTATCTGTTCACCCCAGTACCTTGACCGTTGGCTCCTTTCACTGCCATAACCTCTGGCATCAAACATATTCATCCTTTTTTTTTTTTTTTTTTTGAGGCAGGTCTCACTCTGTCACCCCAGCTGGACTGCACTAGCATGATCATGGCTCACTGCAGCCTCAGCCTTCTAGGCTCAAGTGATCCTCCTGCCTCAGCCTCCTGAGTAGCTGGGACCACAGGCATGTGCCACCATGCCTAATTTAATTTTTTTTTTTTTTGTAGAGATGGAGTCTTGCTATGTTGCCTAGGCTGGTCTACGAACCCCTAGGATCTAGCGATCCACCTGCTTTGGCTTTCCAAAGTATTGGGATTACAGGCATAAACCACTGTGCCCGGCCAATGTCTTCATCCTTAACATTGGGATACTAATTCTGGTTGTTGTAATGACTAAAGAAAATAAATAAAACACCTAGCACATTGCAAGGCATAAAGTCCTCATGTAGGGATTATGATTGTCTTACCTCCTTACCCCTGTCCTCAGAGCCTCATACAATGCTAGGCGCTGGTAGAGGGCTAATGGACATCTGTTGAGTTAAACAGTATGTTGAAAGAACACTGGTTTGGGAGTCAGCAGAGCTAGATTTTAATACTGGTTTATGGGCAGTTGTCACTTTTTCTCTCTGAAATTCAGTTTTTTCACTGTCCTTGGGGCCTCTACAGTCTCCTGCAGCTCTTAGGCAAAGTATGAATGCAGGTAAATCCCACACCCTCAGACCCTCCTTTGACTCAAATCCCCCCTCTGACACTGCTGGACCCCTTTTGGCAGATGATTTTTTTCCTACTCCCCCTACCCACCCCATTAGAATTGGCAGGTGATTCTTATCCCAGGATCCTGGCTTTTGCTCCCAAGGAGCCCTGACACCCAGGTGCCACCAGATGGTGCTGTGGACTCATTCTTCACGGGAAGCTGGCTCCCGGGCTCCCCGGCTCCCTATCTCCCCGGCTCCTAGGAGAGGCCTTCTGGCTCCTCTGGACAGGGTGGGGTTCCTCCGTGGAAGGCTGCTAGGCCTGGGATAATCCTGGGAGGTGACTCAAGCCTTTCAGAAATTTCCAAGGCCCAAGCCCGCCCTCGGTTTGGCGTGCAGATTCCAGCATAGAGTTGGCAGGAGGACTGGCTGCGTAATTTGTAGAACCCAGTGTAAGACCAAAATGCCTAAGTTACTGATGCAGGCAGCACAGGGAATGCCTAAAAGCCCATGGACTGGTTCTAGTTCAGCCCTCTAGAGCTGATTGTTAACATTTCAGGAATTTTGGCCGGGTGTGGTGGCTCACGCCTGTAGTCTCAGCTACCTGGGAGGCTGAGGCAGCAGAATCACTTCAGCCTGAGAGGCAGAGGTTGCAGTGAGCAGGGATCGAGCCACTGCACTCCACCCTGGGTGACAGAGGGAGACCCTGTCTCAAAAAAAAAAAAAAAGAAAGAAAAAGAAAAAAAGGAATTTTAAAAGCTGGTTGTTGAACACGGACATTATTTAATTAAATTTTATAAACTTACCATTAAATAAGTTATAGAGCTGGGTGTGGTGGCTCACACCTATAATCGCAACTTTTCAGGCGGCTGAAGCAGGATGATCGCTTGAGCCCAGGAGTTCAAGGTTACAGCGAGGTATGATTACACTATTGTACTCCAGCCTGGGTGACAGAGCAAGAGCTCATTTCTAAAAAATAAATAAATAAAATAAAAACAAAGGTAATAAATAACCCAAACTCATCACTATGTAATTACTTTTATATATTTCACTATCATTTATGCTCACTTTACTTTTTTTGGCTGGGTACAGGGGACTTTATTGATGGTACATGACAAAGTGCGGTCTCATAGTCCCCTCCCATTCTTCAGGGAGCCTGGCATGGAAACAGTGTTCAGGAGGGGGAGATTCTCAGTGTGGTGGGGGACTGAGTTTGGCAGGGACTCCCCAGCAGCTGAGGGCCTCTCTTCTTCTCGTGCTGTCACTGGGGCTGGTGGTTCAGAGGGCCCTTACTCCTAGGAGGCCATGTAGACCATAAGGTATATCGTTCTGTTGCTGTAGCCAAATTCATTGTCATATCAGGAAATGAGCTTGACAAAGTGGTCTTTGAGGGCAATGCCATTCCCAGCATTGAAGGTGGAAAAGGTGGGTGTCTCTGTTAAAGTTGGAGGAGGCAACCTGGTGCTCTGTGTAGCTCAGGAGGCCCTTGAGGGTGGCCTCCGATGCCAGTTTCACCACCTTCTTGATGTCATCATATTTGGGCAGCTCTCTCCAGATGGCAGATCAGGTCTACAACCCACATGTTGGCAGTGGAGACATGGAAGGCCATGCCAGTGGGCTTTCTGTTAAGCTCAGGGATGGCCTTGCCCACAGCCTTGGTAGAGTGGGTAAATGCAGGGATGATGTCCTGGAGAGTCCTGTGGCCATCACGCCACAGTTTCCCAGAGAGGCCATCCACAGTCTTCTGGGTGGCAATATTGGCACCAACTGTGGCCATGAGTCCCTCCATGATGCCAAAGTTGTCATGGATGACCTTGGGCAGGGCAGCTAAACAATTGGCAGTACAGGAAGCGTTGCTGACAATCACAAGGTTGTTTTCATACTTCTCAAGGTTCACGGCCATCACAAACATGGGGGCATCAACAGAGAGAGCAGATATGACCCTTTTGGTTGCACCCTCTAAGTGAGCCCCAGCCTTCTCCAAGGCAGTGAAGATGCCAGTGGACTTCATAACATAATCAGCGTCAGGACCAGCCCATTTGATTTTGATGGGATTTTGTTCCTGGAAGATGGTGATGGGATTTCCATTGGTGACAAACTTCTTGTTCTTAGCCTTGATGGTGCCTTGGAACTTGTCATGGGTGGAGTCATACTAGAACATGTAGACCATGGAGTTGACCTGAATGAAGTGGTCATAGATGGTGACACTATCCACTTTGCTAGAGTTAAAAGCAGCCCTGGTAAACAGGCTTCCAATATGGTCCCATCTATTTACTCTGGCCTTCACTCACACCATGATGTCTCAAGGCTGCTGCTGGTGCTACACGAGATGTGTCTGTATGTTGTATGGCAAGAGCAGAGAGCTCATCTGTGTTCTTGAAGTAACTTACATTTATTGTATCTATATGGTGGAAATACTATATAATAGTGTACTTTTTTTTTTTTTTGAGACGGAGTTTCACTTTTGTTGCCCAGGCTGGAGGGCAGTGGCACTATCTCGGTTCACTGCAACCTCTGCCTCCCGGGTTCAAGCGATTCTTTTGCCTCCCCCTCCCGAGTAGCTGGGGTTACAGGTGCATGCCACCATGCCTGGCTAATTTTTTTGTATTTTTAGTAGAGACAGAGTTTCACCATGTTGGTCAGGCTGGTCTTGAACTCCTGACCTCAGGTGATCCACCTGCCTCGGCCTCCCAAAGTGCTGGGATTACAGGCATGAGCCAGCATGCCCGGCCTAATAGGAGATATCTCTCCTCAACTCTGCATTCAGTGATTGATGTCACATTGGCACCTTAAAATTGATGAAGGTGGGAGTGTTTAATCATTAAAATCCACAAACAATACAAATCATGCCCCTTCTTCCGCCAAGCCAATTGTTAAACTTTTACCAGAATACACGGGTCCTGATTGTACTCCTAATGTCCTATGTGATTTTGAGCAAAGCCCTGTTCTCCCCAGACTCCCATATATTTACGTATCACTTTATAATTGACAAAAGGGGAGCATCCTTTGTGTGCTAGGCACTGTTGTCTCATAGAATTCTTAGAACAACCAAAGGGGTGGAATATTGTAGCCCAAAGAGCAAAGAAGAACTTTGTCTCCAGGGTGGCTCTGTTACCAGAGTTCCCAAAAGATGGCACTGTGGACTGGCTCAGAGGAAATATAGCAAAATATGTAATATATATTATATAGATTATATATATATATATTTTGAGATGGAGTTTTGCTCTTGTTGCCCAGGCTGGAGTGCAATGGCGCGATCTAGGCTCACTGCAAACTCTGCCTCCTGGGTTCAAGCGATTCTCCTGCCTCAGCCTCCTGAGTGGCTGGGATTACTCATCACATGCATCACATGGCATGTGCCATCACACCCGGCAATATATATATATTTTAAGACAGGGTCTCACTCTGTCTCCCAGGCTGAAGTGTAGTGGCACGATCTCGGCTCAATGCAACCTCTGCCTCCTGGGCTCAAGCCACCCTCCCACTTCAGCCTCCCAAGTAGCTGGGACCACAGGCACACGCCACCATCTGGCTAATTTTTGTATTTTTATAGATACAGGGTTTTGCCATGTTGCCTAGGCTGATCTTGAACTCCTGGGCTTAAGCAGTCCACCCGCCTCAGCCTCCCAAAGTGCTAAACTTACAGGCGTGAGCCACCGCATTCAGTCAATAATAATATTCTTCTGGGCACCTCCAGCATTGTTTTTGGGACTCACACACCATAAGCCTCCTTCTTGGCTATTTCTGGGAGTGGGGAAAGATTTAGCTCCCTCTGGCTTCTGTGTAAGGGAGGTGGGAGGTGGGAAGTGGAATATTCTTACTACAACAGTGAGGGTTTTTTCCCAAAAGGGAGACTGGGCTTGGATGCAGATAGCCCGAACATCAACTGTCCTGTTCCCCATTTGCTGCCAAACACATATACTCTGTGTTTTGAACTTAGACTTGCTTCCCAATTAGCATAAAGTAGCTACCACTTCTGTAATTAAAAACACTGTTTTAATTACTCTCCAAAGAAGGCATCCAAAGCCTTGACGACTGTCCTCCGGCTCTCAGAATTCCTGCTTAGGAATCTGCAATCCATCACTGAATGGTGAAGTTAATCTCCCTATAAAACCACCTAGAGACGATAGTGGCAGAAAGGGAGAAGAAAGAGAAGCAAAAGTATTTGAAATATGTAAATATCTACATCAAGGAAAGAAATTCAAGTAGAGACTATAATCCGCCCCCCCCCCATATAAAGCAGTCTAAGGCTGATCTTGTATTTATGACTTTCCTTCTTTACTATCTATTCTAGGTTCCATCTGCCTTCAGTCAGCAACAGATGTTCAAGTTATTTAGCCACAGGAGAGACCCACCCCTTCATTCCTGAGCTATCTGTGGCCTAGAAGATCCTTTTGTATAGAATTGCAGTAGTTTTGCCGTGACTTTGATCACAGAATATTGCAGTAGTTGTAGGATCCTTAGGAAATATAGCAAAGTCTATCACTAAACCTCCCTGCCTCCACTCAGTGGTAACAACCTATTTCCGCTTGGTAACTAGAGTATAAAATTCTAGAAAATGGCCGGGCGTGGTGGCTCACGCCTGTAATCCCAGCACTTTGGGAGGCCGAGGTGGGCGGATCGCGAGGTCAGGAGATCGAGACCATCCCGGCTAAAACGGTGAAACCCCGTCTCTACTAAAAATACAAAAAAATTAGCCGGGCGTAGTGGCGGGCGCCTATAGTCCCAGCTACTTGGGAGGCTGAGGCAGGAGAATGGCGTGAACCCGGGAGGCGGAGCTTGCAGTGAGCCGAGATCCCGCCACTGCACTCCAGCCTGGGCGACAGAGCGAGACTCCGTCTCAAAAAAAAAAAAAAAAAATTCTAGAAAATATCTTGATTTTTTTTTTTTTTTTGGCCTGTCTGTTCAGTGGCAGGAGATACTCAAAAAGGTTGAGTGGCAATTTCAACTTCCAATTTGTTGAAAATTTGTGTCACGTGATGGAGGCATTTCTCTCTTAGACACTAAAAGCTTTTAACATACCTCCCCTCCCTACAGTCATAGAGTCAAGAAGCAAATAACTTATGAGTGAGTCAAAAAGTTTCACTGTGGGCTGGGCTCAGTGGCTCACACCTGTAATCGCAGCACTTTGGGAGGCTGAGGCAGATGGATCGCTTGAGGCCAGGAGTTTGAGACTAGCCTGGGCAACATGGCAAAACCTTGTCTCTAAAAAATACCAAAAAAAAGTTAGCCAGGCATAGTGGCTCACACCTGTGGTGCTAGCTGAGGCAGGAGAATCAGTTGAGCCCGGGAAGTGAAGGTTGCAGTGAGCCAAGATTGCACCACTGCACTCTACCCTGGGTGACAGAGGGAGACCCTGTCTCCAAAAAAAAAAAAAAGTCTAAGTGTGAAAGAAACCACTCCTACACACAGCTCTTGGTTTCTGAACTATGTATCTGGCTAAGGAAGAAATGGTACACTGGTTCAGAGCATATACTGCATCCTTTTAACAGTGCTGTATCTCACAGGGTGCTATCTAACAGCTGGTAGATTACCTGGACCTTCAGTAGGTTTTGCCACCACTCTAGAAGGCTGGCTGATGGAGCTCAGGTTAGTGAATCCTCTGGTGTCTGCTCACTCTCACTTCTTTTCTTGTGAAGTGAATTTCATGGTCAGAAACAATATTGTGTGGGACACTAAGACTGTGTATTAAGTCCATAGATGGAGGTTCTGAGAGAAGAATGAGAAGCAGGGAAAGGAAATTCAAACCCAGAGTAAGCACTGTCACCGGTGAGACAAATTGTTCCTTCTTCACAAGGGACATGGTCCTATGTAATTGATCTGCCACCAGATAGTTGGTTTGTTCCCTCAAGGTATGACATCACATCAAGAGTCCAGGACTGTTTGCTCCTGTAGGCAAACAGGGCATCAGTAGGTCAGTAGTGGTGGTTGCCAGGACGGCCTTGGACAGGGATGTCCCTGTTCTTGGGCCTATGCATAATTTCCACTCCTGTCACTATCGTCCTTTGTCCATGAACCCATTGAACAAGAACTGGACTGGCTGGTGGAAAAGGCCATCTAGTTAATATCCACAGAACAGATCTGCTGATTAGTGAAAGCTTCCTGCACAGCGGGGGCCCATGGTGAGCAATCATTTGGCACACCTGCTGTCTCATGATCTGTGACCATTCCAGGAAATCCACCTTTCCCAAACCTCTTTGTCATTAACTTGCAATCTTTTAAGATGCTGAGCTACTCACACTATTTGTCATTGGCTCGTGAACTGGTATAGATCCTGACCTCAGGCCATTTTTCCTACCAGGCAAAGTGGACAATGAAATGCACTGCTTACAGTTCTGCCTATTGAGGAATTTCCTTCTCCAGCATCCTTTGGGGCCATATAACCATTTTCATAAAACTGTTTCTTGCTCTTTCAGAATCTGCCATCTGAAAACCAGGCTCTCATATAATTTTTTCTTTACAGTGGAGCCTTGTCACAATCATTTACATAGTCATGAATATTCTAATGGCTGGGTCTATTTCAGCGGGTCTATCCTTGTTTCTCTCTCCCAAACTTTTTTTGTTGTTGTTGAGACAGGATCTCACTCTGTTGCCCAGGCTGGAGTGCAGAGGTGTCATCTCTGCTCACTGCAACCTCCACCTCCCAGGTTCAAGTGATTTTTGTGCTCCCACATCCTGAGTAGCTGGAATTACAGGCGTGACCACCAAGCCTGGCTAATTTTTGTGTTTTTTGGTAGACACAAAGGTTTCGCCATGTTGGCCAGGCTGGTCTAGAATTCCTGACCTCAAGTGATCTGCCTGCCTCGGCCTCCCAAAATGCTGGGATTACAGGCATGAGCCACCGTGCCCATCCTCTCCTAAACTTTTTATTCTCTCATCTTGCTTCCTTCAGTAACCATGGCCTGTGATTCAATGTTGATTCTGATTTCAAGACATCTCTGCCTCGAGACAGTGGAAAACCACATGCCTTGCTCCAACTGCCACCAAGAAGAGTTCCTTTCTCTGCTATCCTTCAGAGTGACCTTGCTCAGGCCATGACAGTCCATTTCTGGCTCATACCAGCACATTGTACAGAGCCATGCATAACAGTTCACACTCGTTTCCTCCCATGTCGCCTGGGTTGGAGTCTCTGGAGCAGTGTGCAGGAATGGGTACTGGGAGTAAGAACAGCCTGCTCATTGCACCTTCAGGGCTGTTTAGGCCACATTCTCTATGGGCCACTTTCACTTGAGAATTACTGAGTATTGGCGATCAGAAAACACCCAATTCATGATGGGCAGCTCAGGTTGCAACGTCACCTAGTGCTCTATGGTCAAGCATTCAGCCTACTAGAACTATTAGGAAAATCCTAGTAGCTACTACTAGGGCAAGGATGTCATCGAAGAGTACTTCAAATGCGATAATGAACAAATAAAACTTTGGTTCATGTTCTTTAAAAAAAAAAAAGTAGCTACTAGCTACGAGTAGCTACTACTACTAAAACTCAGGAGCTATTTCTCAAAAGAAAAATACTCAGTATGAATGAGGAACGGCTAACAGCTTTGCCTCCAAACTTTGAGGGCCTCTATGGTGATCCCTCTACCAATGTTTGCAATAGGCTCAGTATGGCATCATTTCCCTCAGACGCTTTTTTTTTTTTTTTGAGGCAGAGTTTCACTCTTAGTTGCCCAGGCTGGAGTGCAATGGCACGATCTCGGCTCACTGCACCTTCCGCCTCCCAGGTTCAAGCAATTCTCCTGCCTCAGCCCCCTGAGTAGCTGGGATTACAGGCACCCGCCACCATGCCCAGCTAATTTTGTATTTTTAATAGAGATGGGGTTTCTCCATCTTGGTCAGGCTGGTCTTGAATTCCTGACCTCAGGTGATCCATCTGCCTCGGCCTCCTAAAGTGCTGGGATTACAGGTGTAAGCCACCGCACCTGGCCTTCCCTCAGACACTTTGACTGTGGATCTGTTCAGCTGTCAGGGCCAAATTGCTGAGCCTGGACCAGTTGGAGAGGCATCCTCTCTAACTCTGTGCCTTACTCAAACCTGGAGACTGGCAAATAGTTAGAAGGAGTTGGCTGGGTGCGGTGGCTCATGCCTATAATTCCAGCACTTTGGGAAGCCACGGCGGGCTGATTGCTTGAGGCCAAGAGTTCAAGACCAGCCTGGCCAACATGGCAAAACCATGTCTTTGCTAAAAATAAAAGTAAAAAAATTATTAAAAAAAAAAAAAGAAGTAGTGTACCTAGTAATGTTTGTATGTTGCCCGCAAAATCCAAAGAGACCTATCAAGCACTGGGGTTCCTTCTTAGAGGAAGGAAGACTAAAGTGCAGCAACCTGTCCTTTGCTCTGGAGGGAATGTCCTGGTGTGTCTCAGACTGTGTGACTTCCAAAATTTTAATGAAATGGCAGGCTGCTATATTTTTGTTGGATTTATCTCCCACCCTTTTATACCCAATGTTTTCTACTTTTGGGGTTCTGTCAGCACGATGCCACCAAAATAGTGGAACAGCATGACAGCCTGTAGGATGGAATGACAAATACTTGGACTGACTCTTGACCTCTATGCCACCCTCCTTCTATTGGATGCATTGTAAAGTGAAATACCACATTTCCCAGAGTCCCTTGCAGCTAAGGTTCTGCTTGTGAACTAGGTTCCTTCAAGTAGGCACATCCATGTGAGATTTGGGAAAGCAGACATGAGGCAGAAGTCACCTTTCTGCAGAAGTGGCTGCTGGCAGGAAACGCCTGTTTTGAATACATTGAGTTGTTTGTTTTCTGCACTGAACTGACTGATACAGATGATGGCAGAGCCAAAATTTCTACAGACCAAATTGGGGCACAGAGCAGAAGTGTTGGATTTTCTTTGAGTAAAGATTATAAAGCAAATTGCTTTTTTTTTTTTTTTTTTGAGAGGGAGTCTCACTCTGTCACCCAAGCTGGAGTGGAGTGGCACACATGATCTTGGCTCACTGAAACTTCTGCCAGCCTCAGCCTCCCAAAGTGCTAGGATTACAGGTGTGAGCCACCATGCCTGGCCATAAAGCAAATTGCTGCTGCTTCTTTTTTTTTTTTTTTTTTCCATTGAGATGGAGTTTCGGTCTGTCATTCAGGCTGGAGTGCAATGGCGCGATCTTGGCTCACTGCAACCTCCACCTCCAGGGTTCAAGCAATTCCCCTGCCTCAGCCTCCCAAGTAGATGGGATTACAGGCACCCGCCACCATGCCTGGCTAATTTTTTGTATTTTTAGTAGAAACAAGGTTTCACCATGTTGGCCAGGCTGGTCTCGAACTACTGGCCTCAAATGATCCACCTGCCTTAGCCTCCCAAAGTGCTGGGATTACAAGCATGAGGCACCATGCCTGGCCACAAATTGCTTCTTATATCCTCTGTTATATTGGAGAAAAATGCATTTGCTTGATCAAATTCTGGGAGTCGTACTGATGTACTCCCCCAAAAGCCACATCTGAAATAGCAGTGGCAACTGAGGCTGCCATTTGATTCAGTTTTCAATATTCCTCCACCTTCTTGAAGACCATCTGTCTCTTTATCTAAACTGAAGACATGGATATGGATGTGACAGAAGTCACCGCCTCTGCATATCTGAGGTCTTTGATGGTGGCATTAAACTTTGCAATGCTTTCAGGATTTTTTATTTTATTTTTATTTAAAAAATTCTTTTAGTTGCTCTCAGCATACCAGAATTTTTTATTTTAATTTACATTTTGGTGGGAATGAAAAACTTTGATGAGTTCTACTTTGTTTTTCTTTTTTGAGATAGAGTCTCACTCTGTCACCCAGGCTGGAGTGCAGTGGCATGATCTCAGCTTACTGCAACCTCTGCCTCCCAGGTTCAAGCAATTCCCCTGCTTCGGCCTCCTGAGTAGCTGGGATTACAGGCGTGCACCACCATGCCCAGCTAATTTTTGTATTTTTAGTAGAGACAGGGTTTTACCATGCTGCCCATGCTGGTTTCAAATTCCTGGCCTCAAGCGATCTGCCAGCCTCAGCCTCTTAAAGTGTTGAGAGTTTACAGGCATGAGCCACTACATCCAGCTTGTTTTATTTATTTATTTAGAGGCAGAGTTTCACTCTCTCACTCAGGCTGAAGTACAGTGGTGTGATCTCAGCTCACTGCAATCTCTGCCCCTGGGTTCAAGCAATTCTCCTGCCTCAGCCTCCCGAGTAGCTTGGATTACGGGCACCTGCCACTTGGCTAATATTTGTATTTTTAGTAGAGATGGGGTTGCCCCATGTTGGCCAGGCTGGTCTCGAACTCCTGACCCCAGGTGATCTGCCTGCTTCAGCCTCCCAAAGTGCTAAGATTACAGGCATGAGCCACCACGCCCAGCCTGTTCTTCTTATAATAAAAGCTATTAACCTATTCTTATAATAAACCTATTCTATTTAACCTATGTTAAGTTATATAATAACCTATTCTTATAATAAAAGCTATTAACCTATGGTCAGTAGGCTAATGCAGGTTTCTGCCAGTATTTTAGGAAATTCCTTACAGTTATACAAACAAGGACAAAACTATCAGTTTTGGGGACTAGATCCACCCTAAAGTGGACTTTGGTCAAAACTCCATTTGTCACCTAAATCCCCATGCCTCCTGTTGTCTCTTGGTACTTAGCCTCTCAGTTGACCATCTGCCATCTGCCCTGTACTGCCAGAGCTAGACACCAGCCAACAACACTTCCCAGACTCCACTGCTAGCTGGGTCCCAGTTACATTGTGCCAATGGGAGGTGCTTGGTTATATTTGAAGGTGAGAAGAAGGGAGAAATTCTTAGGCTTTAGGAGGTGACTTACCTTTAGCAGTGGTGGCTCTTCCAGCACTGTCAGTAGTGAAAGTGGGGTTGTTGGCTTCACCCCCAGGGTGGTTTCCTGGGCTCTGGAAAATGTCACATTTTACTCTTAGCTCCTTTGGCATTTCCAACATCTTTGTAAGCAAGTCCCTGCATTATATACATTTCTGCTTGAAATATGTTGAATGTTCTCTGTTTTTCTTATCAACACTTAATCATACATTTCCATAAGCCCATACTCTGACTGCTGAAGCCCAGAGGCATTGTGGGTCTCCAGGAATCTGTGGTTAGTTGTCTGATTGTCCCCAAGAGGTTTGTGTATTTATCCGTTGGGAAAGAACAGGAAAAAATGTTCATAGTATGAACTTGTGTTGCTGTTGCTGGATCTTTCCTTAAGCATCCTATACTCTTCCTTTAATCAATGGTCTGTGCACCTGTGAATTGATTCATGTATGGGAATTGCGTGAAAGATGAAAACTGTCTATTGTGTCAAAATAGACCTCTGTTTACTGGACAAGGAGGTATTTTTGTTGTTTGTCTTGATATAAAAACTAAGTGGGAGGCCATGTGTGGTGGCTCATGCCTGTAATCCTAGCACTTTGGGAAGCCAAGGCAGGTGGATCGCTTGAGGTCAGGAGTTCAAGACCAGCCTGGCCAACAAGGTGAAACCCCATCTCTACCAAAAATACAAAAAATTAGCCAGGTGTGTTGGCACATGACTGTAATGCCAGTTACTCGGGAGGCTGAGGCAGGAGAATCGCCTGATCCCAGGAGATGGAGGTTGCAGTGAGCCAAGATTGCACCACTGCACTCAAGCCTGGGTGACAGAGCAAGACTCTGACTCAAAAAACAAAAGAAAACATTAAGTGGGAGTTGGGCACGGTGGCTCATGCCTGTAATCTCAGCACTTTGGGAGGCTGAGGTGAGTGGATTGCTTGAGCCCAGGAGCTCGAGACCAGCTTGGGCAACACAGTGAAATCCCATCTCTACAAAAAGTACAAAAATTTGCCAGGGATGATGGTGCGTGCCTGTAGTCCCAACTACTTGGGAGGCTGATATGGGAGGATCACTTGAGCTCGGGAGGTTGAGGCTGTAATGAGTGAGCCATGATTGCACCACTGCATTCCCGCCTAGGTGACAGAGTGAGACCCTGTCTCAAAAAAAATAAAAAAGTGGGAACTTGGTAGGCCGTTCATAAGCAGTTGTTTCCAAAGATTTCTGTAGGTCTCACCACTCTGTTTTCATGTCAACCCTGTTGCTTACTGGTAACCCTTCCTCCTTTGTATTTGATGGGTAACTGTTGATACAGGAGTTAAGAAGAAATTACTTAGGCAGATAGTAAGGGGATGGGAGTCCTTGGTAAGTCTTCTCTTTTTAATGAAAAGCAGCCCCAAATCATTTTCTAACAAAGAGCAGCCTGAAAGCTGGGCGCTTGCACAGGTGAATGCAGGCAGGAACTAAGGACTAGACATGTTCAAGATGATGGCTCCATCCTCCCTTTTCTGCCAGCCATGGGTACTGTAAAGGAGTGGATAAGATAGTGCTGATCAACTGGAAAGTCCATTTGCATAAGAAGATTAAGGTGAGGTGACCAGTCTTCCCTGTGCCCTATGTAAACCCATACCTGATCGAACCAATCTGTGAGCCCTACATAAATCAGACACCACGACCTCAAACTGTATATAAAACTCAGCTTATTTGCCACCAGCCAGTCCTTTTCCACTTGGTCATTTTCTGCTAGGTTCCTTCTGCTTGGAGACCCCTTCCTCTGTGCAGGAAGCTGTTTCTCTCTCTTTTCTTCTACCTATTAAACTTCTGCTCCTAAACTCCTTGTGTTTGTCTGTGTCCTAAATTTTTTGGCCCACAACAAAGAACCCAAGGGTATATACCCCAGAAAACGAAGCTGCTTCATAATGGGGGCCTGTCTGGGATACCAAAGTACAACATTCATCGAAACAGTGAGTAAAGGAGTGGACTCCAACTCTGTCTTTTCATTCTGAGGCTCTCAGTCTCCATTTTAGACCTTTCTTGAAGGACAGCCATGGTGTGGCGCTGGAAGAAGTCCTGAGGCAACTGAGGGCTTCTGGCTGGGGCTACCCCCCGGTGTTATCCAAAGGCTTCTGGACTGACCCCTGCTTCCAACCACCCCAGTGGGGTGTCGGCACCAGGATCTCCAACTTTCCTTCATAATTTCCTCCTTCCTTGACCACATTTGTCATATCTCTTATCCTCTCTGTGTATGCAGTGTGCAGGAAGTTTTACACTTCAGGGAAGTAATCTTGTTTGGCAAGATCAGGGAATGTCATAGTAACTGGGGATATAGCTCAGGGGAAGGTGTCTTTGTGATTTTCTAGGAACAGAGGGTTCCTCCCCAACAGTGAGCATGTGTCTCTGCGCTTGGTCTGGCGAGCACGGCATTTCCAGGTCTCTCTCTGTCCTTGGTCTGGAGAACATATGGCATGTCAATGTCACTCTGTCCTTGGTCTAGAGAGCACATGGCGTTTCAAGGTAAACAGCGCCACCTAGTGGAATAGGGATCCTCTCCATGAGGCACATTGTCCTTCACTGAAACACCCTAGCCTCCCAATTCTCTCCCCTTTTTGTGCCTCTCTACTAAAAACCAGGCTTCACGCTACTTCTGTAAATGGGAAAACTCTGCCTTCAACAATTAGGGGTAAAATATCCTCCAAAACCAAATTTTAGTGTCAATACTGTCCCATCAACAGTAAAAGGGCCATTCAATACCTACATTCTTTTAAGGCACCTATTCTGCCTCCAATTAGAGTGGTACTTAATTGGTAAGGGGATTTTAAGTTCAGAAGTTAACGAGAACCATTCTCTAAGGGTAAACGCTTCAGTATGGGCCATAATAGCAGGATATAGAGTTCAATTTAGCACTCCCACTCCATTAAAGGGTCCTTGCCCAACTATTACATAGCTTTTCTTGGGATCCAATTTTTGGGGAGCCAGGTAGATCACACAAATCCAGGAAGTCAAAGGGAAATCACAGGCAGAGGACTAGAGTCACTTGGGTGAGCGTGACTAGCCCCAATCGCTTAGTTCTTCTGGTTCCATGGCTGGAGGTCACGCCTGCAACCATGGGTGGCATGTTCAACAAGGTGCTGGGACCAAGGAACCACGGAGGGAAAACATCAGGGGGACACCCCCACTGTCTTCGTCTCCACCCTGGGTCACACCAAAAGGAAGGAGACTAAAAGGATGCCTTTTTCTCACTTCTCTTTCTAGATGGGTACCATCTTCAGCCTGCACTCCCCTGGAATGCATTCTGAAGCACTGGGACTCCTTTCACCCTGAAACTTTAAAGAAAAAGTGGCTCATTTTCTTTTGCACAAGGGCATGGCCTTTTTATTAGACCTTTGCAAGTGTTACAAAATTAACCCAGCCCTTTTAGCAATCACATTTGGCATGACCAAAGAGAATAATGCCCCCAAATTAGAGAAGCAACTTCTGGGGGATCCATCTGAGGATCTCCCTTATTTGGGGCCCTTTCAAGTTCCCTTCTCATTACAGGACCTTAGGCAAATAAAGAGAGACTTAGGCCAATTTTCTGACAACCCCAATAGGTATATAGAAGCTTTCCAAAATGTAACTTAGGTATTTGACCTCTCATGGAGGGGTGTTATGCTTCTCCTAAGCCAAACCCTAACCACAGCTGAGAGCCAGCCAGCTCTGTAGGCAGCAGAGAAATTTGGAGATGAGGAATATGTCTCCCATAGTAGGCCTAAAAGGAAAAGAGAAAATACGAAAGGCAAAAAAAAAAAAAACGGGAAACACCATTCCCAATAGGAAGAGAGGAAATACCTCTTGACAACCCTAACTGGAACACCCAGACTTTTCTACAGTGTTTTTCCTTCTTTCACAGTTTATTTATTTTTATTATTTGTTATTTATTTTTTTTGAGATTGAGTTTCACTCTTGTTGCCCAGGCTGGAGTGAAGTGGCGTGATCTCAGCTCACTGCAACCTCTGCCTCCTGGGTTCAAGCGATTCTTCTGTCTCAACCTCCTGAGTGGCTAGGATTACAGGCATGCACCACCACGTCCAGCTGATATTTTGTATTTTTAGTAGAGATGGGGTTTCACCATGTTGGCCAGGCTGGTCTCAAACTCCTGACCTCAGGTGATCTGCCCACCTCGACCCGCCAAAGTACTGGGATTACAGGCATGAGCCACTGTACCTGGCCTACTTTCACAGTTTAAAATGGCTCTTTCATAATGTTCTTCCAAACTGGGAAAAGTTAGTTTCTCCAAACCTTAAAATGCTTGGCTTAGAGTTGAGCTAGGGGAAGGGAACCCAGAAGCCTGACACGCTGGCAAAAGGGTAGAAGTTTTTTCTAACAGTCAAGCTTTTGGCTTTTCTCTCCCTATGCAAACCAGCGAAAGGGATAATAAGGTTCATTGTTTATATTCTCTGTAAAGTTTTAATTAATCAAAAAAAATCGTGAGGTTGGTCTTAAGCTGTAGCCATTCTGATGTGCTTTGTGTGTCTTTCCATATGGTTCTGTTAAGAGAAAGGGTACCTTAGGTTCGGATACAGACCGTGGACCTCATAAGCCTGCTGTTCAAGGCAGCCCAACAGAATGGTCAGTAATAAACTTGGCTACAGGTCTCTATCTTGTTTCATGTCCTTGGGATCATGACCCATAACCACATGGCAGTACTTTGTTTTAGTTGCCACCATTTTACATGATGGCTGTCTTCTTATGCTAAATCAGTTCCTGAGTGAGGGCCACAAAATCAGATAAGCCAGTTTGTCAACCTGGATGGTGCCAGCTGATCCATCCAGGGGAGGGTTTAAAAATGTCTTCAGCACTGATCTTTTTTTTTTTTTTTTTTAAGGTGGAGTCTCGCTCTGTCACCCAGGCTGGAGTGCAGTGGCGCCATCTCGGCTCACTGCAAGCTCTACCTCCCGGGTTCACGCCATTCTCCTACCTCAGCCTCCTGAGTAGCTGGGACTACAGGCGCCTGCCACCACGCCCGGTTAATTTTTTTTTTTGTTTGTATTTTTAGTAGAGATGGGGTTTCACCATGTTAGCCAGGATGGTCTTGATCTCCTGACCTCATGATCTGCCCGCCTCAGCCTCCCAAAGTGCCAGGATTACAGGTGTGAGCCACCGCACCCAGCCAGCACCGATCTTGAGAGCAGTTTAGGGAGAGTCAAAATCTTGTAGGCTCCAGCTGTGTGACTTCTAGGCCATGGTTTTTAATCTTGTGGCTAGTTTCCTGGTCTGGTACCCAGGCAAGAAGGAAGTAAATCTTAAGAAGGGGCTGTCATCATCTTTATTTTAGACTATAAACTCTAAACCAGGCTCCTCCCAAAGTTGGTTTGGTCTACGCCCAGGGATAAGCAAGGAAAGCTTGGGGGCTGGAAACAAAATGGAGTTGGTTGGGTTGGATCTCTTTCACTATCGTGGTCACAATTTTGAAATGACAGTTTCAAAAACCGCCTATCACCCCTTTAAAAATACCTTGTACACATGCACTCATGGTTAAGTCATAACCTAATTAAGGCTTGTCGATTTCACCTGTGAGGTTACTTTTTGTAAATTTCAAAAGCCAAAAATCTTAACTGCTTGAGGTGGCTAATGTCAAGTTACAAGGGATTTAAAAGGATTTTGTTAAAGAGTACTCAGGTTAATTAAAAGTGGATATTCAAGTTATAGGTATATTTTAATGGCCTTTATGTTTTTCTCTTTTTGGATCTTGTTTTTCTGGAAAAAGGTTTTTTCCTTCTCAGTTGACTGAATTATTAGTCTACATTTTTTATCTTGCCACTCGTAATGCACAATGAGAGGCTCTAAGATAACTTCTGGTAGCATGGGATTCCTTGGGAAAACCAGAGGAGGCACCACAGACCCTGTTTTGGGAGAAAAACCTCGTTTTCCCCATGAAACCCCAGGAACTAGAAGCAGATATTTCTCTCTCAAAATCAAAGGCTTTATTTTTGCATTATGTTTTGCATTATGTTATCTGACAGTTTTGAATTTTGGGAGTATCAAATTACATTAGGAGAGAGGTTTGGTGTGTAATAACTAGGTAGCAAATACACTTTAAGGGATGGCTAATAGTAGTTATAAATCAGAGAAGCATGCTCTTGGTCACCTGAAAGATACAGAAACATTCCCCCTATCCCCACAACGAGAGATGAGACTCCCATGGGAGATGGGCTAATTACAAAATAAGTTGATTGGCTTTGGGTTGCTTTGCAATGAAATGCACAGTAGAAGCACTGCACTGTCTTCTCCCATAGTATCTCTCCTATTTGGGGGATCCAATATCAAATGACACCCTTAATTTTGAGGATCTGTCTTTGCCTTCAGCCGTGCCTGCTTATTATGCCCTAGAAATGCATGCCTTCCTGGCCCTGTTCCTCCAAGGGCTCCACCCTGAAACCAATAATTTAATTAAGAAACCGGCAAATAAAAAATCTAACAAGTGCTGAATCTTGTGTCTGTGTCGCTATATATGTTTTGTGTGTAATGTCTATAAAAAGAGCTCTAATTGATTGGCTGAAAGAAAAATAAGGGCTTAAATCAAATATTTTTTAGTTCACGTGACTTTAGTCTTTAAGAAATTAGTCATAAGGATTATTGGTAAAATGCAAATAGGTGGTCTAATACATACAACTTAGATACTAGGTTTGCTAAATGTTCCAAGGTTGTATACTGCCTGCTTTGCAGATGGGTAAGGCCTGGGACATGTGGAGTTAGATGCTGGAAAGAGTCAGACCTTATCTGCACTTCTGTCTGGGTCCTAGGCTCCACACTTGGTACATAATTAAAATTGCTTACTTACCAGGTTTTTCACCAAAAGTAAAAGTTGCTAAGAGTTAACAGTGCAGCATGTATTTGAGATCACTAAACAGTTTTACATGCAAGGTGTATAAAAACAGTAAAATGTGTTTTTTAGTAAAGATTATAAGAAAGCATGGAAATGTAAATTTTGCCCTGGTATGAGGGATTATGTTAAATTTGATAAGAGAGCTAGAGGTTTAAGCAAGTTATAGAAAGATTGTAAAAAGTAATCTTGCAAAAAATGTATAAAAATTAACTGAATTCAAAAGGATATTATATGGTTTTTTCATAAATTGAACATTGAAATAAAAGCACAGCAAGGTTGTCTTAAGACACTAATCTGCCCTTTAGCAAAAGGGGTTATAAAGGGTTTGTAAAGATTTCACCTTGTGGTCAAATTGACCACCTCATGGTCAATAGATAGAATTGTCTATAAGGTTTCATTTAAACACATTGGGGTTAACATTAACAAACTAATGCAAGGTTAAAATTTGTCTTTAAGCAGAATTTTTATGTAATAGTAAAGGCTAATGAATGGTTTTTGCCTTCTGAGTCATCATTTTGGCAAAATAAATAATTTATGGCATTCTAGAATTCTATTTCATAACATCAAGTGTTTTAAACCTCTAACATTTAACAGGCATCCCAAAATCAAACTTCAAGTTTCAAAATTGTCTTTCCTGATGCCTGGCTTTCTGGATGGTTCACAGTTCCCCTGAATAATCCAGAGAAGAGGTAAACAGGATTATTTGACATGTTTAGTCACATGAGATTGCCAAAATGATGTCTAAGCTTCTTTTTTTTTTTTTCTTTTTTTGAGATGGTGTCTCACTCTGTCACCCAGGCTGGAGTGCAGTGGTGCAATCTCTGCTCACTGCAAGCTCTGCCTCCCGGGTTCACACCATTCTGCTGCCTCAGCCTCCCGAGTAGCTGGGACTACAGGTGCCCGCCACCATACCTGGCTAATTTTTTGTATTTTTAGTAGAGACAGGGTTTCACCGTGTTAGCCAGGATGGTCTCGATCTCCTGACCTCGTGATCTACCCACCTTGGCCTCCCAAAGTGCTGGGATTACAGGCATGAGCCCCTGCGCCTGGCGGTTTTTTTTTTTTTTTTTTTTTTGAGATGGAGTTTTGCTTTTGTTGCCCAGGCTGGAGTGCAACGGCACGATCTCAGCTCACTGCAACCTCCGCCTCCCGGGTTCAAGCCTTTCTCCTACCCTCAGCCTCCCGAGTAGCTGAGATTACAGGCATGTGCCACTGCACCTGGCTAATTTTTTGTATTTTTAATAGAGACGAGGTTTCTCCACGTTGGTCAGGCTGGTCTCGAACTCCCAACCTCAGGTTATCTGCCCACCTTGGCCTCCCAAAGTGCTGGGGTTACAGGCCTGAGCCACCATGCCCAGCCAATGTCCAATCTTCTTTAAGTTATATTTTGGTGAATTATACTAATACATGTTCCAAAATCATATGAGATTTCTAAAATTCTAATGTATGAGTATATGCTATCAATCGTAATTAAGGTTGTTATGTTAAGTTATTGTAAACCACAAATATAACTAAACTTCTTTGTCAGTCATGTTTTTAACTGTAACTACCCTGGAAATTTTGTCATTCACAGATAATTTTTGTCTTGCTTTGTTCCTTCTCAAAAGATGGGTTATAATCAAGCTATAAGACTTTAACAGGTGTTCTCAAAGGCAGGTTTTTAATAGCTTTGAAGATTGTAACATTGTAATAGAGAAAGAATGTATGGGACTCATGAATAACTGAAATGTTCACGAATATCAAGCAAAACAAGAGCTAACTAAATGGACTGCACTCAGAAAGTTAAAGCAACCTTTTTGACTTTTGCTTGAAATATTGCTGATCCTTGTTTGGTTTTTCAGAGTCAAGGAAATGTATTTTGAACGACTTATGGCCTTATATAATTGAGTAAGGCATACTCTTGTGAACAAAATTTGGAGCATGTTTCTGTCTGCCTGGTTCCTCTAGAATTTGGAAACTATCTGCACGTATTCTTAACTTATGACAATATAGTTGTTTGCATCGGTGCGATAAGAATCCATTTTTCTTTTGCAACAGGACACAATTGGAAAACCTGGTTATTTTACCAAGGCTTTGACTGGAAGGGTATGCTTTCCTTTAAGGAGTCAATCTTGACTTGCTGAGCTGATAAAAGCCCCATGGGGAGAACAAGGCCTCATACCTTGTCTGCACAGTTCCCACACAGGGTTCTTAACCTGTGGTCAGTAAAGAATGTCACTTTCTAACAGGTCCAGGAGCTCCAAGTTTATCTTGGGACCTTATGAGAAGAGGATCACCCAACTCACAGGTATTTGAGGATACAAACCCATGGCTGGGCTCAGCTTTAAAAGGTCTTATCTGAGATTCCTTGTGGAACAGAGTTCCATCAAAACCAGTCCAAAAGGCTTATGTTGAAATAACTATTCTTGCTGCACTTTATGCAAATAACCAGGCCAAGTATAAAACTAAAGTTTATTCTATGAATAACACAGTCCTATGATAATTTGTTTTTACCAAAAATGAGGACTAGAGAGAGAAATTATGCTCCCAAGCTTATCACATATTTGTCATTAAATCCTAGTCTAATTGTTTTTAAGCTTTTTGCCTATGTTTTAGACTAACCCTGCTTATTCCTGTGGATCAAGTGGTGATCTTCTGCAGCTTGGAAGAAGCAGAAAGGGATGGGTAATGTGAATATTTGGATCAATACGCTGGTTCTGGGCAATTATCCTGCAAATTCTGCCAGGTAATGAAAGTGAGTAGGGTCCCATAACCCAGAGGTTTCTTTGTTTGGGAAAATAAAACCAAGGAACTTCATAGACCCCCAAAGTGAAATTCTGTATGTTGGTAAGTAAAATTTTAGATGGAAATAATCTAGTACATCACCTTTGCAGAAATTGCTATAGTCATTCTACTAACTGCAGTAGAGCTATACACAGTAGCACCTTCTAACTGAAATATTGGACAGAGAGTTTCCATCGTTGTAGTATTTTGTTTAATTATTATCCTTATAACAGGGATAATAGTTACCAACAAAAAGGAAGCATGAAAGTTTTACTATCACCGAGTCTGCTAGGACTTTTTATTGGGTTTAGTGATACATCACACCCTTTAGCTCCTACAATATCAGCCATGGCCCATTTGTACAAAAAGACTAATTCTTGGGTCTGTCCTGAGCAATTTGCTCAGTTCAATAACGCTAAGGAAACTGCACTATAGTAGCAATGGTCCCCAACCTACTATTTTTAAATTGCACTGACATGGAATTGCACTGACATGAGAATATCCTCATGATGACTCTTGAATTGGAAAAACTGGCTATCAGCTTCCCAGTTTGCACAACTAATCAAGAAATAATGTGGGGTCACTGGCACAAATGATGAGGCATCTCTGGGAAGTTTAACTTCCTATCTGTCCAATCTCTTGCCCCACATCATCTGGGGACATCCCTAACCTAGGTCCTTTTTAGAAAGTGCACTATCTTGGAAGCCAGAGCTGCAGCCAGGTCAAGCTGGACTGGTGATATGGAGCCCCCGTACCAGTAAACCCACAAGCAGGTCCATGAGATCCAGTCTCACATGGGATGCCTGGAGATGGCAGACAAGCAGTTTTCACACTTAGTAGAAAATGAAATCCAAGCAAGCACAGACCAGATATTCAGGGGTCTAGAACATCTGGAGATTTTGTCTAGCAAGGAGCCCCCTAACAAAAGGCAGAATGCCAAACTTCAGGTTGACCGGTTAAAGTATGATGTTCAGCACCTGCAGACTGCTCTCAGAAACTTCCAGCATTGACACTATACAAGGGAGCAGCAGGAGAGACAGCAAGAAGAGCTTTTCAAAACTTCACCACTAACAATTCTCAATTGCAATCCTCTGACAATGTTGAAGATTCGTATCTGTTTAAATTGCCGGCATTGCCGGGCGCAGTGGCTCACGCTTGTAATCCCAGCACTTTGGGAGGCCGAGGCGGGCAGATCACCTGAGGTCAGGAGTTCGAGACCAGCCTGACCAACATGGAGAAACCCCATCTCTACTAAAAATACAAAATTAGCTGGGCATGGTGATGCATGCCTGTAATCCCAGCTACTCGGGAGGCTGAGGCAGGAGAATCGCTTGAACCTGGGAGGCAGAGGTTGCGGTGAGCCGAGATTGCGCCATTGCACTCCAGCCTGGGCAACAAGAGCATAACTCCATCTCAGAAAAAAAAAAAAAATTGCCAGGATTAAAATATCTAGACATTGGAACAACACAAATCCCATTACAACAATTGAAAATATCCTCATGATGACTCTTAAATTGGAAAAACTAGCTATCAGCTTCCCAGTTTGCACAATTAATCAAGAAATAATGTGGGGTCACTGGCACAAATGATGAGGCATCTCTAGGAAGTTTAACTTCCTATCTGTCCAATCTCTTGAACAGAAATGCCAGTTAGTTACTTCGTTTTGTTTGTTTGTTTGTTTTTTGAGACAGAGTCTCACTCTGCTGCCCAGGCTGGAGTGCAGTGGCACGATCTCGGCTCACTGCAACCTCTGCCTCCCAGGTTCCAGCAATTCACCTGCCTCAGCCTCCCGAGTAGCTAGGATTACAGGTGCCCACATCTACACCTGGCTAATTTTTGTAGTATTAGTAGAGATGGGGTTTCACCATGTTGGCCAGGCTAGTCTTGAACTCCTGACCTCAGGTGATCTACCTGCCTTGGCCTCCCAACATACTGGGATTACTGTCATGAGCCACTGTGCCCAGCCAGTTAATTACTTTGAATGTGTCTCTAAAACCTGAGTTGGGGCCTTCTGTAGGACTGGAGATGGTTCAACCTTCTCAGGTGGCTCTGATGGCTGAGCTGGTATCTCCCATTGCAGTAGAGGACTGACCTCTTCAGTGGACTTTGGAGGACCACCTGAGGCTTCCTGCTGGCTTGTAGATGGTTCAACCTCCTTAGGGGGCTCTGGTGGCTCAGCTGGGAACTCTTGCAGGACTGGAGAAGGTTCTACTTCCTTAGGGGGATCTGGAGTCTGAGCTGTGGCCTCTTGCTGGGCTGGAGATTCAATCCGTTCAAGAGAATCCAGAGGTGGGGAAGGGGTATAAGGCTGGGTTAGAGAAAAGTCAGCCTGCTCAGTGGGAATTGGAGGGTTGTCCTGCTGGAATGGAGAAGGTTCAACCTCGATAGTGACTGCTATAGGTATGGTAAGCTCCATATCCACATTTTTAACTGTGGTATTAGTTGTGAGGTCAGCCGAGGAAAAGGACAAGGAGACCCAAAGTCAGGCGGGCAAGTTTTTATTGTCCTGCTGGGCTGCTCCTTGACTAGCAGAGGAGACAGCCCTGCTTACAGGCTGCAACAGGGCTTTACAGGGCAAGGAACTGGGTCGGGGTATGTGAACTGAGTTGGGAGCAGGTGTTCTGCCTGCTTCCTGGAGATGTTTTTGCCAGCTTTGTTAAGCAAGGTTAGCAGACATGTTAACCGCGTCCTGTAACTGTTTGCCAGTTTAGCTGAAATCTTCTGGACAAACAGTTACTGGAGGGGTCAGTGAAAGGGGGTTTGTCTTTTGCCCTGAGGTGGCTGTGTGGAGAGCGCAAGGGACTGTATTGTAAGGCCTGTGGGAAGGAAAGAGAACAGTCTGGTCGGGGTGACCCTAGCATTAGTCAAAGTTGAATTACTTCTGAATATTGAAGACAGATCTAGAGTTGAAAATACCATCTCATCATTCAATGAACTTAAAGTCTGAGGAGAGCTGAGCTGGAGGCTGAGTTGTGGGCTTTTGATGGACTGGAGGAAGTTCATCATTTTCAGGGGTATTTAGCTGCTAAATTATAATCTCTTGCTGGTCTTTCAAATGTTGAAACTGCTCAGGGGACATTAAGGACTGAGCTGGGACCCCCTGTTGTGTTAAAATTTCAACCTGATTAGTGAACTCTGGAGTCATGGAAACCATGTGATCCGCAGGTTTAACAGTGACATTTGCAATGTTGGAGGCTGAACTTGATCATGACTTAGAGGAGAAACTATCACCTCATGATGCTCTGGACATTGAGCTACAACTTCATTAGGGGGCTCTGAAGGCTGGGATGGGGCTTCTTGATGGGTTGGAGAAGACTCAACCTCCTCAGGGATCTGTGGATGCTCAGCTGCAGCCTCCTGCTGGGTTGGAAAGGGTTTCTCATCCTTAATAGTTTCTGGAGATTGAAGTCTACCGTTTAACTGGTAAAGGTCCAGCCTCTTCTGATGACTCTGGAGGCAGAGATGGGCCCCCATGCTGGGTGGCGGAAGGTTCTGCATCATTAATTGGCCCTGAGAGCTGAGCTGTAGCCTCCTGGTGGATTAGAGAAGTTTCCACCTCTTCAGTAGGCTACGTTGCTATGGTGAGCTGCATATCTGGAGACTTAACAGTGACACTGGGCAAATCTGAATGCTGAGCTTGAGGTAAAACTGTTAATTCATGATGTTTGGAGGCTGAGCTGGGATCTCCTCCTGGGCGGGAGAAGGTTCAACCTCTCCAGAAGACTCAGAAGGCTGAGCTGGCTGCTCCTGCTCTCTGGAGAAGGTTCAGGCTCCACAGGAGGACCTGGAGGCTCAGCTGGGGCCTCCTTTTGGGTTGCAGAAGGTTCTACCTCCTCTGGAGACTGGGTTGGGGCCTGCTGCTGGGCTGGAGAAGATTCAGTCTCCTTGGTAGGCTCTGAGGTTATAATAAGCTCTGCATCCACAGGTTTAACTGTAACAGTGGGCAAGTTATAATGAGCTTGATCCTCACCAAGAGGGTGAAGTGTCACCTCATGATTCGGTGGAGTTTGAGCTGCACTCTCCACAGAGGACTCTGGAGGCTGAGCTGGGGCCTCCTGCTGGGTCTGAGAAAGTTCACCTCCCCAGGAAATTCAGAATGCTGAGCTGGCTTCTCCTGCTCACTGGGGGAAAGTTCAGCCTCCACAGGAGGACCTGGAGGCTCAGCTGGGGTCCCTTGGTGGGTTGCAGAAGGTTTCGTCTCCTCAGGGTGCTCTGGTGTCTGAGCTGGGTCCTCTAATTGGGTTGAGGAAGAGTCCACCTCCTCAGGGTGCTCTGGAGGCTGAGCTGCGGCCTGTTCCTGGCTTGACGTAAGTTCCTTACCTGGCTCTGGAGTTACTGTAAGCTCCACATCCACAGGTTTGACTGTGACACTGGGCAAGTGTGAGTGCTGAGCTTCACTCCAACTTTTTTTTTTTTCTTTTTGAGACGGAGTCTTGCTCTGTTGCCCAGGCTGGAGTGCAGTGGCGTGATCTCAGCTCACTGCAACCTCTGCCTCCCGGGTTCAAGCAATTCTCCTGCCTCAGACTCCTAAGTAGCTGGGATTACAGGCGCCTGCCGCCACGCCTGGCTAATTTTGTATTTTTAGTAGAGATGGGGTTTCACCATACTGGCCAGGCTGGTCTCTTGGCCAGGTTGGTCTCGAACTCCTGACCTTGTGATCTGCCCACCTCAGCCTCCCATGCTGGGATTACGGGCAGGAGCCATCGCGCCTAGCTGCTTCACTCCAACTTCTAAATAGAACATTTACCTCATGATGTATTGATGGCTGAGCTACAATCTCTTCGGAGGCAGGTAGCTGCTATGCTGGGGCCTCCTGCTCTGTTGAAGTAGAATAGACCCTCTCAAGGGACTGTGAAGGCAGAGCTGGGGCCTCCTGCTGGGTTGAAGAAGGTTCTACCTCCCCAGGGAGCTGTGGAAGCTGCTCTGGGGCTTCTTGCTGGAGTGAAGAGGACTGGATCTCTTCAAGGTCTCTGGATTTTGAGTTTCGGGCTCTAGGTGAAATTGAAAAAGTCCAACTTGCTCAGGGGGCCCTGGAGGCTCGTCTGAGTTCACCTGGAGTTCTGGGGACAGGGTGCCTGGATACAGTATATCCATACTTCCATCTAAATATCCTGCAAAGTTTGTTTCTGACGCTGAGGTTTTTATACAAATCGGTGTGGAGTTCCAGCCACAACCTTAGCAAGCCTCCGATGCTAAGCTAGACCTTTCTTCAGGTTCTTGGGCCAAACAATAAGCTTCGTTGCTTGTGAATTCTATCCAGAGGTAGAACAAGTATTTCATATGCCTGATGATCTGCAGCCTGATCTAGATTTGCAGTTTTAACCTTACTTTTGAGGCAAAGAGTCCGAGCTAGGGCCTGGTTCTGATCCCAGTCCAGCATTGGGACCACCTCTGGGAGCCTTTCTTGCCGAGTCAGCTTGTCATTCAGATCCTGGTGTGCAGCAACGAACTGCTCTGGCCACGGGGGCAGCTCTCCAGCTGTATCCGTGTCCAGGAATGGAACCAAAGTCTTGGTGAAAGTCTCAGTCGATTCCTGAGGCAGAGCTGACATCTGGGAGGAAGCAGAGGACCCCAGGTATTCAAAGGCCCCGGGTCTGCGTGGTGGGGGGAGGGTAAGCGCATGGGGGCGATTCGGGTGGGAGATCAGAGGAGCGGGAAAACAAGGGCTCATCGGCCACAGGGCATCGGAGATCAGCTGCAGCGGGTCCTGGACCCACTCCAGAGGCTGAGCCGCCTGGACGAGTAGCCACAATAGTTGCTACGTGAGGAGGGGGTCGTGGGAGCCAGAGGCACAGCCGGGACGTGACATGCGCTGGCGCCGCGCACAGAGCTGGAGCCATTCTGGCAGCCCCAAGACGCTAGCGCCCCTAGCAACCGTGGGCACCGCCCCCTCCTTTATAAGCAAATTTTATTAGGTGAGGTCTAGATCCGCTCCGCGTCACCAGGGCGATCTCATCCCACAATCCTGCCCAAGCCTCCCTTCTCGCCCCGCCCCGCAGGAACACTCCTCCCCTCCCCTAAGCGAGGAAGGATTTGGGCAGCAGACCTTGGTGGTCCCAAGACTCCAGCAGCCTATTGTGGTGGTGGTGGTGGTGGTGGTGGTGGTGGTGGTGTAGGGTTGGGTGGGGTGGGGTGCAGGCGCGGCAGAGCTTCCCAAGGAAGTCACGGGACCTCACCTCGGGATATTCAGAGGTGCTAGTCCAGTTCTGGCAGCCTGAATTCTTTCTCCTCCAAGCTGAAATCCGAGAGATAATCTTCCTCCTCTTGGCCAATACGGCTTCCAGGGAAAACAACTGACCTGCAAAATCTGCGCCAGTTAGGGTGGCAGGCAGAACACACATTATGGTCATTTATTCCAAAATGTTGCCATTTTCGCTAAACTTTCGATACCCTTTGTTGCATGTTTGATAATTAATTCACCGCCCTATTAGGTACGGGCTGCCAGGCAACAAGCGAGGACTGCAAATTTTCTGTAGGACAGGTTTTGGGGTGTGGGCAATTCAGTCTGAGAGAGAAGGCCTTAATGCGAGTGAACAGCCCTTTGCACTAGCCTGGGAGGAGGCCAAAATGTCATCCTGCCTTGACTTAACACAGCCTTTACCCTAGAAGCTACAGCGCCACTCTCAGAGGTCTACCCTATGTGCACACATGGAGAAGACGCTTAGGTTGTTAAAGTCAGCATGTTAAATAATTTCCTGAAATGCGACTATAACGAGAACTCAGCTGGCTTCACCCACAGCCATTCTTACCTATTTTATTACTCATTGTCTGGCACAATCACAAAGTGCAGGTGATACTGACACCTACTTTTTAGGGTTTTTTGATGATTTAATTTGATAATGAATGTACACTGCTTTGCAAACAGTGAGCTTTCAATAAAAGGTACCTATTGTAATTCTCAAAAAAAAAGTGCACTATCTTGAATACGCTGAGCAAAGAGACCTATCATTTCCATGCCCTCATGTAGAGGTTTAACTGAAAGAGAAGATTGGGAGGGCACACACATGACAATCTCATCTTAGAAGGACCATGGATGGGGAATTCCATAACCAGAGGCCTCTTCCGGTTTGCTGGTATTCCTCTCCTTGAAAGGTCAGCATTTAATGTTTCCATTATGATGCAACGAGGATGGAAGGCAACATTAGGAGCTGTGGAAGCACAACAATCCATAGACTCTTTAGCCATCGACTGGCCCTCGATGTCCTTACAGCAAAGGTGGGGTACCTGTGCAGTCTTAAATGAAACATGCTGCTTCTGGATAAACACCTTTAGTCAAGTAGAAGAAAACTTACAGATGCTTAAAGATCAAGTAAAAATCATTGACAGGTCAAGAGAAAATGCAGGTTCCAGCCCTGGATGGCTACAATCCCTCTTTAATGAATTCCAGTCTTCTTTGTGGAACTGGTTAGCTCCATTATTAAGCCCTCTCTTGCTCATGTGACCTTGTCTGCTCAATATTATAACTCAAATTGTTTCCTCTTGCCTAGAAGCAATCAAACTCCAAATGCTGCTGCAGACTGAACTATGCATGAGCACGCCTTTCTTCCAAGGACCCTTAGATAGACCTCAGGAGGAGTCCTAGCTGCTGTTCCCCACACAACGCCCCTTTTCAGAAGGAAGTAGCCAGAAAGAGTCATTGCCCAACACTCCCTAACAGCAGTTAGGGTTACCACTCCAGAGCGGGGAATGATACAGGAGTTAAGAAGAAATTACTTAGGCAGATAGTAAGGGTATGGGAGTCCTCGGTAAGGCTTTTCTTTTTAATGAAAAGCAGCCCCAAATCATTAAATCACTTTCTTTCTTTTTTTTTTTTTTTTTTTTTTTTTTTGAGACAGAGTCTTGCTCTGTGGCCCAGGCTAGAGTGCAGTGGTGCAATCTCAGCTCACTGCAACCTCTGCCTCCCAGCTTCAAGTGATTCTCATTCCTCAGCCTCCTGAGTAGCTGGGACTACAGGTGTGTGCCACCACGCCCGGCTAATTTTTGTAATTTTAGTAGAGTCGGGGTTTCACCATGTTGGCCAGGCTGGTCTCGAACTCCTGACCTCAAGTGATCTGCTGGCCTCAGCCTCCCAAAGTGCTGGGATTATAGGTATAAGCCACTGTGCCCGGCCCTCCAAATCATTTTCTAACAAAGAGCAGCCTGCAAGCTGGGAGCTTGCATGGGTGAATGCTGGCAGGAAAGAACTAAGGACTAGACATGTTTAAGATGGCAGCTCCATCTTCCCTTCTCTGCCAGCCACGTGTATTGTAAAGGAGCAGACATGATGGTGCCAATCAACTGGAAAGCCCATTTGCATAGTAAGATTAAGATGAGGCAACCAGTCTTCCCTGTATACTATGTAAATGTCATACCTTATTGAACCAATTAAGCACTACATAAATCAGACACCACCTCCTCAAACTGGACTATAAAACTCAGTGCATTCACCGACAGCCAGTCCTTTTCCACTCGGTCCTTTCCGCTTGGAGACACCTTCCTCCATGGAGGAAGCTGTTTCTCTTTCTCTTCTCTTCTACCTATTAAACCTGCACTCCTAAACTTGTGTGTGTCCGTGTCCTAAATTTTCCTGGCACACAACAATGAACCCCAGCATATATACACCAGATGATGTAGCTGCTTCACTGTCACCACATGGCCTCTAACAACCCAGAATCCTCTCATCCTCCTTGAGGTCAGAGCCATTTCAATGGTGAACCCAACCACAACTATTCTGGGCTTAGAGAGGATGGTCAGGAAAGTGCTTTTTAATGATTTTGGCACTTCCTTCATCAATTGTCCTCTAGCTTTGGTAATGAAGGTGAATTCTGTGCCTTTTCAAGGAATATAATTATTGGGTTGCTCAGCAAGATACATATATAGATTCAGTAAATCATTCTTGCCTCCTGAGGTCTTTAAATTTCTTCCTCTAATTTATGTCAAGAGACTTCCACTGTTGTACAAATTAATGATGGGCCAGAATCATATCCAGGTTTGCATAAACTAACACTTCGAATTTCTACAATAATGGTTGGCAGCTGTCAGTGGGAGAGCATCGGATGCAGAATCGGCCAGTAAGTACACTCGAATCGATAAATTCATTTTGATCTAAAATTATATTCAGATTTGCCTTAGTTGAGAACCTTCCAAATCCACCTCCATAAATAGTCCCCTGCCCTCTCATTAAATAAAGTAGTAAATTCCTGTAATTTTTTTATTTGGGAAGACCTATTCTGCCCTATATTTGTCTACTTTTCAACCCCTAGGACATGCTAGGTGTGGACTTTAGTTCTGGCTAAGGGGGAAAAAGAGACCTGTTTTCTCCAGCAATTAGGATAATTTTCCCAATTAAAGGAGGATCAAATTCTTCAGCAAATTCTACAGGCAAAGGAGAAGGGAACACTTTCTTTCTTTCTTTCTTTTATTTTTTATTTTTGAGATGGAGTCTTTCTCTGTTGCCCAGGCTGGAGTGCAGTGGCACCATCTCAGCTCACTGCAAGCTCTGCCTCCCAGGTTCATGCCATTCTCCTGCCTCAGCCTCCCAAGTAGCTGGGACTATAGGTGCCTGCCACCACACCCTACTAATTTTTTGTATTTTTAGTAGAGACGGGGTTTCACTGTGTTAGCCAGGATGGTCTCGATCTCCTGACCTCAGGTGATCCACCCACCTTGGCCTCCCAAAGTGCTGGGATTACAGGCATGAACCACCACACCCGGCTGGGAACACTTTCTTAGGGCTCAGTAGACAACTCTCAGTAGACAACTCTCTCATTGCATCTCTACTCTCAGTAGACAATTCTCACTAAGAAATCTAACCTAGTCTTGGCTGGGCACAGTGGCTCACATCTGTAATCCCAGGACTTTGAGAGGCTGAGGTGGGTAGATTGCTTGAGCTCAGGACTACAAGACAAGCCTGGGCAACATGGCAAAACCTTGTCTCTACAAGAAATATAAAAATTAGCTAGATGTGGTGGTACACACCTGAAGCCCCAGCTACTGGGGAGGCTGAAGTAGGAGAATCGCTTGAGCCCAGGAGGTCCAGGCTGCACTGAGCCATGATTGGGCCACTGCACTCCAGCCTGGGCAACACAGTAAGACCCTGTCTAAATAAATAAAAATAAAATAAAATAAATAAATAAACAAATTCCAAGTGCCAGAACATTGTGGCTGAGGGCAATTTTCAGAGCCTCTTGTAAAGCAGTATTGATGTCCACAACTCCTGCAGCAATGCCTTCCTCGGCCGTGGTGGTGGGTTACAGGTGAAGCCAAATCTTGAATGCACACAAGCCTCTGCCTCTGCGTCACTACACAGCAGCAGAGAAAGAGTTTTCTAGGCTTTTTTTAAAAATTGAAGTCAAAGTCATGCAACATACAATTAACTATTTTAAAGTGTACAATTCAGTGGCATTTAGTGTATTCACAATGTTGTACACCAGCAACTCTCCTTAGTTTCAACTTTTTTTTTTTTTTTTTTTTTTGAGACAGAGTCTTGCTCTGTCACCCAGGCTGGAGTGCAGTGGTGAAATCTCAGCTTACTCCAACATCCACTTCCCAGGTTCAAGCAATTCTCCTGCCTTGGCCTCCCAGGTAATGGGGATTACAGGTACCTGCCACCATGCCCAGCTAATTTTTACAGGTGCCCAGTAGAGATGGGGTTTTACCATGTTATTCAGGCTGATCTCAAACTCTTGACCTCAGGTGATCTGCCCTCCTCAGTCCCCCTAAGGGCTGGCATTACAGGCGTGAGCCACTGTGCCTGGCCCATTTCAACATTTTTTACTACTCTAGAAAAACATCCCATCCCCATTAAGTAATTATTGCTCATTTCCCCCTCCCCCATGCCTTGTTAACTGCTAATCATCTTTCTGTCTCTATGGATTTGCCTATTCGGGATATATCATGTGTGATGTTAATTTTATGTGTCAACTTGACTGGATCAGGGGATTCCCAGACATCTGGTTAGACATTATTTCTGGGTGTGTCTTTAAGGGTATTTCCAGATGAGATTAGCATTTGAATCTCTGGACTCAGTCAAGCAGCTTGCCTTCCGCAGTGTGGGTAGGCATAATCTAATTTGTTGAGGGCCTAAATAGAACAAAACTCAGAGCATGGAAGAAGTCAGTGTCAGGCCTCTGAGCCCAAGCTAAGCCATCATATCCCCTGTGACCTGCACGTACATATCCAGATGGCTGGTTCCTTGCCTTAACTGGTGATATTCCACCACAAAAGAAGTGAAAATGGCCAGTCCTTGCCTTAAGTGATGACATTACCTTGTGAAAGTCCTTTTCCTGGCTCATCCTGGCTCAAAAACTCCCCCACTGAGCACCTTGCGACCCCCACTCCTGCCCGCCAGAGAACAAACCCCCTTTGACTGTAATTTTCCTTTGTCTACCCAAATCCTATAAAACGGCCCCACCCTTATCTCCCTTCACTGACTCTCTTTTCGGACTCAGCCCACCTGCACCCAGGTGAAATAAACAGCCATGTTGCTCACACAAAGCTTGTTTGGTATTCTCTTCACACGGACGCACATGAAATTTGGTGCCGTGACTTGGATTGGGGGACCTCCCTTGGGAGATCAATCGACTGTCCTCCTGCTCTTTGCTCCGTGAGAAAGGTCCACTTACGACCTCAAGTCCTCAGACCAACCAGCCCAAGAAACATCTCACCAATTTCAAATCCGGTAAGCAGCCTCTTTTTACTCTCTTCTCCAACCTCCCTCACTATCCCTCAACCTCTTTCTCCTTTCAAACTTGGCGCCACACTTCAATCTCTCCCTTCTCTTAATTTCAATTCCTTTCATTTTCTGGTAGAGACAAAGGAGACATGTTTTATCCGTGGACCTAAAACTCCGGTGCCGGTCACAGACTAGGTAAGGCAGCCTTCCCTTGGTGTATAATCATTGCAGGGATGCTCTCTGATTATTCACCCAGGTTTCAGAGGTGTCAGACCACGGAGGGATGCCTGCCTTGGTCCTTCACCCTTAGCTGCAAGTCCCGCTTTTCTGGGGGAGGGGCAAGTACCCCAACCCCTTCTCTCCATGTCTCTACCCCTTCTCTGCCTTTCTGGGGGGCAAGAAACCCCCAACCCCTTCTCCTTCACCCTTAGCAGCAAGTCCCACTTTTCTAGGGGAGGGGCAAGTACCCCAACCTCGTATCTCTGCGCCCTGATCCCTTATTTCCACACTCCAACCTCTTACATCTCTGTGCCCTGATCCCTTATTTCCATGCCCCGACCTCCTATCTCTGTGCCTCAACCCCTTTCCCACTTTTCTGGAAGGTAAGAACCCCCGAACCGCTTCCCTCCATGTCTCTACTCTCCCTTTTCTTTAAACTTGCCTCCTTCATTATAGGCAACCTTCCACCCTCCATTCCTCCTTCTTCTCCCTTAGAGCCTGTGTTCTTAAGAACATAAAACCTCTTCAACTCTCACCTGACCTAAAACCTAAATGCCTTATTTTCTTCTACAATGCTGCTTGACCCCAATACAAATTCGACAGTGGTTCCAAATAGCCAGAAAATGGCACTTTCAATTTTTCCATACTGCAAGATCTAAATAATTCTTGTCATAAAATGGGCAAACGGTCTGAGGTGCCTGACGTCCAGGCATTCTTTTACACATCCATTCCTCCCTAGTCTCTGTGTCCAGTGCAACTTGTCCCAAATCTTCCTTCTTTCCGTCCCACCTGTCCCCTCAGTCCCAACCCCAAGTGTCGCTGAGTCTTTCTAATCTTCCTTTTCTACAGACCCATCTGACCTCTCCCCTCCTCCCCAGGCTGCTTCTCGCCAGGCCAAGCTAGGTCCCAATTCTTCCTCAGCCTCCGCTCCTCCACCCTATAATCTTTTTATCACCTCCCCTCTTCACACCTGGTCCAGTTTACATTTTCATTCCGTGAGTAGCCCTCCCCCACCTGCCCAGCAATTTCCTCTTAAAAAGGTGCCTGAAGCTAAAGGCATAGTCAAGGTTAATGCTCCTTTTTCTTTATCAGACCTCTCCCAAATCAGTGAGCATTTAGGCTCTTTCATCAAATATGAAAAACCCAGCCCAGCTCATGGCTCGTTCAGCAGCAACCCTGAGACGCTTTACAGCCCTAGACCCTAAAAGGTCAAAAGGCCGTCTTATTCTCAATATACATTTTATTACCCAATCTGCTCCTGACATTAAATAAAACTCCAAAAATTAAATTTCAGCCCTCAAACCCCATAACAGGACTTAATTAACCTCACCTTCAAGGTGTACAATAATAGAGTAGAGGCAGCCAAGTAGCAATGTATTTCTGAGTTGCAATTCCTTGCCTCCACTGTGAGACAAACCCCAGCCACATCTCCAGCACACAAGAACTTCCAAACACCTGAACTGCAGCAGCCAGGCGTTCCTCCAGAACCTCCTCCCCCAAGAGCTTGGTACACGTGCTGGAAATCTGGCCTCTGGGCCAAGGAATGCCCACAACCCGGGATTCCTCCTAAGCCATGTCCCATCTCTGTGGGACCCCACTGAAAATCGGACTGTTCAACTCACCTGGCAGCCGCTCCCAGAGCCCCTGGAACTCTGGCCCAAGGCTCTCTGACTGACTCCTTCCCAGATCTTCTCGGCTTAGCAGCTGAAGACTGACACTGCCCGATCGCCTCAGAAGCCTACAGGACCATCACACATGCTCTAGGTAACTCTCACAGTGGAAGGTAAGTCCGTCCCCTTCTTAATACGGAGGCTACTCACTCCACATTACCTTCTTTTCAAGGGCCTGTTTCCCTTGCTTCCATAACTGTTGTGCATATTGACGGCCAGGCTTCTAAACCTCTTAAAACTCCCCAACTCTGGTGCCAACTTAGACAATACTCTTTTAAGCACTCCTTTTTAGTTATCCCCACCTGCCCAGTTCCCTTATTAGGCCGAGACACTTTAACTAAATTATCTGCTTCCCTGACTGTTCCTAGGCTACAGCCACACCTCACTGTTGCCTTTTCCCCCAGTTCAAAGCCTCCTTCACATCCTCCCCTTGTATCTCCCCACCTTAACCCACAAGTATAAGACACCTCTGCTCCCTCCTTAGCGACCGATCATGCACCCCTTACCATCCCATTAAAACCTAATCACTCTTACCCCACTCAATGCCAATATCCCATCCCACAGCATGCTTTGAAAGGATTAAAGCCTGTTATCACTTGCCTGCTACAGCATGGCCTTTTAAACCCTATAAACTCTTCTTACCATTCCCCCATTTTACCTGTCCTAAAACCAGACAAGGCTTACAGGTTAGTTCAGAATCTGCCCCTTATCAACCAAATTGTCTTGCCTATCCACCCCGTGGTGCCAAACCCATATACTCTCCTATCCTCAATACCTCCCTCTACTACCCATTATTCTGTTCTGGATCTCAAACATGCTTTCTTTACTATTCCTTTGCACCTTCATCCCAGCCTCAATTCGCTTTCAGTTAGACTAACCCTGACACCCATTAGGCTCAGCAAATTACCTGGGCTGTACTGCCGCAAGGCTTCACAGACAGCCCCCATTACTTCAGTCAAGCCCAAATTTCATCCTCATCTGTTACCTATCTCGGCATAATTCTCATAAAAACACACGTGCTCTCCCTGCTGATTGTGTCTGATTCATCTCCCAAATCTCAATCCCTTACAAAACAACAACTCCTTTCCTTCCTAGGCATGGTTAGTGGGGTCAGAATTCTTACACAAGAGCCAGGACCTCTCCCTATAGCCTTTCTGTCCAAACAACTTGACCTTACTGTTTTAGCCTAGCCCTCATGTCTGTGCGCAGCGGCTGCTGCTGCTTTAATACTTTTAGAGGCCCTAAAAATCACAAACTATGCTCAACTCACTCTCTACATTTCTCATAACTTCCAAAATCTATTTTCTTCCTCATACCTGACGCATATACTTTCTGCTCCCCGGCTCCTTCAGCTGTACTCACTCTTTGTTAAGTCCCACAATTACCATTGTTCCTGGCCCGGACTTCAATTCGGCCTCCCACGTTATTCTGGATACCAGACCTGACCTTCATGACTGTATCTCTCTGATCCACCTGACATTCACCCCATTTCCCCATATTTCCTTCTTTCCTGTTCCTCACCCTGATCATGCTTGATTTATTGATGGCAGTTCCACCAGGCCTAATCGCCACACACCAGCAAAGGCAGGCTATGCTATAGTATAAGCCACTAGCCCGCCTCTTAGAACCTCTCATTTTCTTTCCATCATGGAAATCTATCCTCAAGAAAATAACTTCTCAGTGTTCCATCTGCTGTTCTACTACTCCTCAGGGATTATTCAGGCCCCCTCCCTTCCCTACACATCAAGCGCGAGGATTTGCCCCCACCCAGGACTGGCAAATTAGCTTTACTCAACATGCCCCAAGTCAGATAACTAAAATACCTCTTAGTCTAGGTAGACACTTTCACTGGATAGGTACAGGCCTTTCCTACAGGGTTTGAGAAGACACCGCAGTCATTTCTTCCCTTCTGTCAGACATAATTCCTCAGTTTAGCCTTCCCACCTCTATACAGTCTGACAACAGACCAGCCTTTATTAGTCAAATCAGCCAAGCAGTTTTTCATGCTCTTGGTATTCAGTGAAACCTTTATATCCCTTACGGTCCTCCATCTTCAGGAAAAGTAGAACAGACTAAAGGTCTTTTAAAAACACACCTCACCAAGCTCAGCCACCAACTTAAAAAGGACTGGACAATACTTTTACCACTTTCCCTTCTCAGAAGTCAGACCTGTCCTCAGAATGCTACAGGGTACAGCCCATTTGAGCTCCTGTATAGACGCTCCTTTTTATTAGGCCCCAGTCTCATTCCAGACACCAGACCAACTTAGACTGTGCCCCCCAAAAAAACTTGTCATCCCTACTATCTTCTGTCTAGTCATACTCCTATTCTCCATTCTCAACTACTTATAAATGCCCTACTCTTGTTTACACTGCTGGTTTACACTGTTTCTCCAAGCCATCACAGCTGATATCTCCTGGTGCTATCCTCAAACTGCCACTCTTAACTCTTGAAGTAAATAAATAATCTTTGCTGACAGGACTATGCTGAATCTCCTTAGGCACTCTAATTAGATGTCCTCGGTCCTCCCAATTCTTAGACCTTTAATACCTGTTTTTCTTCTTCTCTTATTCCGTTTAGTTTTTCAATTCATACAAAACCGTATCCAAGCCATCACTAATAATTCTAAATGACAAATGTTTCTTCTAACAGTCTCACAATATCACCCCTTACCACAAAATCTTCCTTCAGCTTAATCTCTCCCACTCTAGGTTCCCACACCACCCCTAATCCCGCTCGAAGCAGCCCTGAGAAACATCGCCCATTATCTCTCCATACCACCCCCAAAAATTTTCACCGTCCCAACACTTTACCACTATTTCATTTTATTTTTCTTATTAATATAAGAAGACAGGAATGTCAGGCCTCTGAGCCCAAGCTAAGCCATCATATCCCCTGTGACCTGCACGTACACATCCAGATGGCTGGTTCATGATATTCCACCACAAAAGAAGTGAAAATGGCCAGTCCTTGCCTTAAGTGATGACATTACCTTGTGAAAGTCCCTTTCCTGGCTCATCCTGGCTCAAAAAGCTCCCCCACTGAGCACCTTGCGACCCCCACTCCTGCCTGCCAGAGAACAAACCCCCTTTGACTGTAATTTTCCTTTATCTACCCAAATCCTATAAAACGGCCCCACCCTTATCTCCCTTCACTGACTCTCTTTTCGGACTCAGCCCACCTGCACCCAGGTGAAATAAACAGCCATGTTGCTCACACAAAGCTTGGTTGGTGGTCTCTTCACAGAGACATGCATGAAAGTCAGGGCTTCTTTTCTTTTCTTTTGTTTTTTTGAGACAGATAGGGTCTTGCTCTGTTACCCATGCTGGAGTGCAGCAGCACAATGATAGTGTAAACCAAAAATAAAATTCTAAACCCACAACTGACAGGTGAGCCCTCTTCTTGGCCAAGGGCATTCCAAAGTTAACCTGAAAAACTAGTTCAGGCCATGATGAGAAGTGGGGGTCCAACATGCTTCAGTATATCCTCCTCCCTTTTGGAATTCAGGCACAGCTGGCCAGATTAACATCAATGCAGAGACCTTAAGACTGGCAGAACAGGCTAGTTAAATCTGATGAGAAACATTCACAATCTATTCTCTCTGAAGCCTGCTACCTGGAGGCTTCATCTGCATGATAAAACTCTGGTCTTCACAACCCCTTATCTTAACCCAGACATTCCTTTCCATTGATTCCAGGTCTTTAGGTAAACTCTTTCAACCAATTGCTAATTCGAATATTTTTGGAGCCTCAGGACCAACAGAATAGGATTAAAAAAAAAAAAGAAAATTTTTGAATCCACCTATGACCTAGAAGTCCTTTTACCACCCCACCTCCAGTTGTCCCATCTTTCTGGACCAAACCAGAAAGTTTACATCTTACATGTATTGATTGGTGTCTTACGTCTTCCTAAGATGTATAAAACCAAGCTGTAGCCCAACCACCTTGGGCACATGTTTTCAGGATCTCCTGGGGGTGTCTCATGGGCACGGGCCATTAGTCACTCATATTTGGCTCAGAATAAATCTCTTCAAATATTTTACAGAGTTCAACTCTTTTCATTGACAAGAGTTCACTGCAACCTTGAACTCACTGCCTGAGCCTTCCAAGTAGCTGGGACTACAGGTGTGCACCACCTTGCTGAGCTAATTTTTAAATTTTTTGTAGAGAAGGGGTCTTGCTATATTGCCCAGGCTAGTCTCCAACTCTTGACCTCAAACAATCCTTCCATCTTGGCCCCCTGAAGTCCTGGTACTACAGGCATGAACCACTGTTCGCAGCCCACAGCTTCTTTTCTGTCTTACTGCTTGAGCTGGGACATCTTTTTTTTTTTTTTTTTTTTGAGACAGAGTTTCGCTTTTGTTGCCCAGGCTGGAGTGCAATGGCGCCATCTCGGCTCAACACAACCCTCGCCTCCTAGGTTCAAGCAATTCTCCTGCCTCAGCCTCCCAACTAGCTGGGATTACAGGCATGCACCACCACGCCTGGCTAATTTTGTATTTTTAGGAGAGATGGGATTTCTCCATGTTGGTCAGGCTGGTCTCGAACTCCCGACCTCAGGTGATCCGCCTGCCTCAGCCTCCCAAAGTGCTGGGATTACAGGCGTGTGCCACCATGCCCGGTGAGCTGGGACATCTTATTTTATGCTACACTTAAATTGGGATTTATACCTTCATCTCCTCTGGTTCTACTGCCTTTGACTTGAATTACACCACTGATTTTCTGTGTCTCCAGCTTACAGATGGCAGATCATGGGTTTCTAAGCCTTTATGATTCCATTATAACAACCTGACAGGTTCTTCCTGCCTGCTGCACAAATGAAGACTACACCATTGCAGTGGAGAAAGAGTTTAATTAATGCCAGGCTGGTCATGTCGTGCAAGAGATGGAGTTATTACTCAAATCAATATCATCTAAAACTCATAGGTTAGGGATTTTTCAAAGGCAGTTTGGGGGAAGAGGGAGGGGTGGCTAGGAAATGGGTGCTTGCTGCTGATTGGTTGGGGGTGTAATTATAGGGGTGTGGGAAATCATCCTCCTGCATGCCAAATTGCTTCTGGGTAGGGCTACAGGAGCCATCAGCAGATGGGTCCAGGTGGAACTAGGTGTCAGACATGCAAAAAACCTGAAAAGATATCTCACAATGCCAATCTTGGGTTCTACAATAGTGATGTTATTTATAGGAGTAACTGGGAAAGTTGTATATCTTGTGACTCCTGAAATAATGGCTAGCAATCATTTATGTCTACACCTTAGCAGAATTCAGGCTCCTCTCTTCCCCCTAACCTGGTGGTCTCTCATTAGATTTACAAAGGTGGCTGAGTTTTGGGGAAAGGCTATTATCATTTACATTATAACCTAAATGTCTCCCAAAGCAAGGCTAAAGGTAAGAGGGGGATTGGCTAGAGTAAATCAGGTCTTCCCACTGTCATCATTTTCTCACTGACATAATTTTTGCAAAGGTGGTTTCACCATGAGGAATTTCTCATAATAAATCAATTTCTCTCTCTCCTTTTGGTTCTGTTTTTTAGAGAATCTCAACTAATAAATTACATAAAAGAAATCATACAAAATGTGACCTTTTGGCTGGTCATGGTAGCTTACACCTATAATAACAGCACTTTCAGAGGCTGAGGCAGGAGGCTCACTTGAGCTCAAGAGTTTGAGACCAGCCTGGGCAATACAGTGAGACCTCAACACTATTTAATTAATTAATTAATTATTTTTGAGACAAGGTCTCACTCTGTCACCCAGGCTTGAGTGCAGTGGTGTGATCACGGCTCACTGCAGTCTTGACCTCCCAGGCTCAAATGATCTTTCCACCTCTGTCTCCCAAGTAACTGGGACTACAGGTGCATGCTACTGCACCTGGCTACTTTTTGTATTTCTTATAGAGACAGGGTTTTACCATGTTGCCCATGCTGGTCTTGAACTCCTCAGCTCAAGCAATCCACCCACCTTGGCCTCCTAAAGTGGTGGGATTACAGGCATGAGCCACTGTGCCCAGCCTATTTTAATTTTTTCTTTGAAGACAAAAAATACAGGCTGGGCATGGTAGCTCACGCCTGTAATCCCAGCACTTTGGGAGGCTGAGGTGGGTGGATCACCTGAAATCAAGAGTTCGAGACCAGCCTGGCCAACATGGTGAAACCCCATCTCTACTAAAAATACAAAAATTAGCTGGACATGGTGGTAGGTGCCTGTAATCTCAGTTACTCGGGAGGCTGAGACAGGAGAATCGCTTGAACCCGGGAGGCAGAGGTTGCAGTGAGTCAAGATGGCACCACTGCACTCCAGCTGGGGCAACAGAGTGAAACTCCATCTCAAAAAAAAAAAAAAAAAGACATTTAATAGGGACTTACGAACAGAAGCCACGTCTGTCTTGGGCAGCAGTGAGATGAGATAATGGTTACCTGTGCCATTACCCCCCAAACCCAGGGCTTATTTACCATAGGGAAAGGGCATATGTGATTCAGAAGGGATGTGTAGGACAATTGCTTATAGGCAGATCTCATGGAGAGTACAAGAACATGAAGGTTATTTTGACCTAAGGGCAGGATTTATGGGAAGAATGTAATCTTACACAAGGAACGAGAAACTAAAAATCTTAGAGGCTTTCCTGGAACTGAGGTTAATCAGAAGTCAACATGGTAGACTAACATCCAGAATAGAATCGCTTTGTCCTCTTCCCTTGCCAATACTTGTTATTATCTGTTTGTTTTTGTTTTTGTTTTTGTTTGAGACAGACTCTCACTCTGTCACCCAGGATGGAGTGCACTGGAGCGATCTCGGTTCTCTGCAACCTCCGCCTCCTAGGCTCAAGTGATCCTCCCACCTCAGCCTCTTGAGTAGCTGGGATCACAGGCACGTGCCACCACACTCGGCTAATTTTTGTATTTTTTGTAGAGACAGGGTTTCGCCATGTTGCCCAGGTTGGTCTTGAACTGCGCTCAAGCAATCCGCCTGCCTCGGCCTCCCAAAGTGTTGGGATTACAGGCATGAATCATCATGCCCGATCTGTTTTTCTGATGAAGGTCATCCTGTTGGGTGTGAAGGTGTGAAGTGGTATCTCATTATGGTTTTGATTTACATTTTCTTTCTTTTTTTTTTTTTTTGAGACGGAGTCTTGCTCTGTCGCCAGGCTGGAGTGCAGTGGCACGATCTCGGGTCACTGCAACCTCTGCCTCCTGGATTCAAGCGATTCTCCTGCCTCAGCTTCCTGAGTAGCTGGGACCACAGGCATGCACCACCATGCCCAGCTAATGTTTGTATTTTTAGTGGAGGCAGGGTTTCACTATGTTGGTCAGTATGGTCTCGATCTCTTGACCTTGTGATCTGCCCGCCTTGTCCTCCCAAAGTGCTGGGATTACAGACATGAGCCACCGTGCCCAGCCTACATTTTCTCAGTTACCAATGATGTTGAGCATCGTTTCATGTGTGTATTGGACGTTTATGCTTCTTCTTTTGAGAAATGTCTATCAAGTCTTTTGCCCATTTTAAAACGAGATTTTTCATCTTTTTGTTTGTTATAAATAAAGTTTCGGTGCCACAAAATAAATAGCACTTGAGTATAAAATGTTCTTTTTAATTCTCAGCAAGGCAAGTTACTTTTATAGAAGGGTGCACCCTTACAGATAAAGCAATGGTGAGCACACACTTGGACAAGGGAGGGAAAGGAGTTTTTATCCCTGACGCACATGGCCCCTGCCGCTGTGTCATTCCCCTATTGGCTAGGGTTAGACTGCACAGGCTAAATTAATTCCGATTGGCTAATTTAAAGCGAGTGACCAGTGAGTGGCTTGGCGGGAAAATGGTTTTGCAGGGTGGCTAATGAGTCAGGGTGGAGCAGGTAGCAGGTAATCGGAATGAGTCAGTGTGGAGCAGGTAATCGAAAAAGGTTGCTCTATGAGGAAATTAAGTTTAAAAGTAGAAGGTGGCTGGGCGCGGTGGCTCACACCTGTAATCCCAGCCTTTTGGGAGGCCCAGGCGGGCAGATCACGAGGTCAGGAGATCGAGACCATCCTGGCTAACACGGTGAAACCCTGTCTCTACTAAAAATACAAAAAAGTTAGCTGGACACGGTGGCAGGCGCCTGCAGTCCTAGCTACTTGGGAGGCTCAGGCAGGAGAATCGCTTGATCCCGGGAGGCGGAGGTTGCAGTGAGCCAAGATCCGCCACTGCACTCCAGCCTGGGTGACAGAGCGAGACTCTGTCTCAAAAAAAAAAAAAAAAAAAAGTAGAAGGCAAAGAATTGAACATACTGACATATTGATTCTTTGAAAAGAAATTTAGAACTCATATCTAACAACCCCTTCTTTTGCATTTCCTTACAGCTCTTTCTTTTAGAACTCTTTTTTACCATGTCTTGGTTTAGTTGCTTTGCTTGATTTTCCAAAAGAAGAAACTTCTCTGGGTAAGGTGGAGGATAGCTAAGGGAGGTTTTAGTAAGTGCCATTTTTACGAACTCTGCACCAACCCACAGATGCATGGTGTGACACAGCACCTGACAAGAAAAAGTACACCCATTACGGCTGTGAGGGAAGTAAGAATTGAGGCTATTATTCTTTTCCATTTACTGAGCCACTTTTCTAGCCATCCTGTAAAGGGGTCATTTACCCCTGAGTTGTTGGCTAACTCATTGGATAGAGCAGTCAGATCTTGCAATGCCTTTGTTATGCTTCCGTCAGGGGTGGTGGTGTTTGGGATGAAGGTACAACACTGAGTTTTAATCATGACACAAACTCCTCCTCTTTCTGTTAATATCATGTCTAAGGCTATCCTATTTTCCCAAGCCATCTGGCTAGTAGCCCCTAATTGCTCAGCTATTCCTTTAACAGCATCTCCACTGTAGTTAATAAATCGCTATTGGTTGTAGTAGATGTAGTTTCTCCAATCTACATTTTTATTCATTGCCGCCCACCAAAATATTGACTCAAATCCTGCAGCTATTTGATTTCAGGCTTTAAACTGATTTGGTATTCCCTGTTGGACTCCAGTTGCGTTTAAATAGATGTGAGAGTCGAAAGACCCATAAGGGGCTTCTCTCGCTTTATGATGTCTTATTTTTCCTTCCTCTGGTTGATGAAATGTCAGGGTGAAAGGGATAGCCAATTGGACTAAAGCACTCCAGTTATTTGGCAGAGTGTCCAGTAAAGGTCCACCACAATACCACCACACATCTGCTTGGAGATGAACAAGGGCTAACTGATAAGCTCTTGAAAATTCTTAACTTCACTGCATCCCTTCAGGTCTCCAAGGAATGCTAAGTTTCCTTCCTGTTGTGAGAGACACGAAGTGAACTTAGTGTTGGGAGACGAAAGCTGGATGGCACTCGGGGGCTGACCTGCAAGGTGCTGGACTTTGGGATATAGCAGAGAGAGAGTGTGGCACAACTTATTACTCCAAGCTGTAGAATCCTGGAAAAGAGCCACCATGAAGCCCACGCCCAGTCGACTGGAGGACCTAGTGGAAAGGGGACAATCTGGGCCTCTGGCCTGCCGTGCGCACAAGCATAACAATTGCTTTTCTTTAACATATGGATGGAATATTTGATCCATTCCAACCAGGCATTTGCATCTTGGTATCCTGTCTTAATTGCCGAAGTTTAAGTCTTTAACTTCTACAATAGCTATCTTGGTCTTGTCATTAGATGGAGGAGGAGCAATTGTTCCGTTTGTGAGAGGTTTTGGAAGAAGGCTTAGAGGAAGGTGCAGGTGACGGGGGATCAAAGAAATGCATTTCAAAGAATCCAATAGGGTCTGTCCCTGAAACCTTAGCCCCCATATACCATAAAACCGGCTTAAAGAAGAGTACTGGCTTATAAAAGGGGAAGAACTTTGAGGGTTTGAGATAATAACCTGTATAGGATTGCACTGGTTTAGCTGACATTTGGGGGTGGGGGGTGGGTGCTATCCCTCTAGTAGAATGAAGGTATGGTTTTAGGAAATTACAAAAACCAGTTGGAGCAGTCCATCCTTGCTCTTTAGTGGTCCACAGAATGTTTGACCAATTACGGCATAAAAGCTCTACATCGAGGAGCAAGACTCATGATTGAAAACTGGGGTCTTTATTGAAATCTCCCCAGATTAAATGGTCCCAATTCACTAATGCCCAGTCTGAGCAGAGTCAGGAGGGACAGAGGTACTTTTCTGAAGTAGAGAGCTGTCTTTGACTTGGCAAGTCCCCAAAGGGTATGACAAGGCAAGCATTAAATGCAATAGTTTGAGGTGAAATTGACTTGGTTATGTTAATAACTAGATGGTCAGCAATAGAGCGAGGAAAGAAGAAAGAGTAATAGAATAGATGAAAAGAGTTAAATTTTTATTAGCTTTAGTTTGGTAGGGTTTTCCCTTGGGACTATGGCCCATGACTCTGGAGGGGGCGGCGCTTTCTTGACTTGGGTGTGATGAGTCCATCCCCTTTTCACTGAAGGAACAGCAGTCTGGGTGGTTAGCAGCATAAGGTAGAGTCCTTCCCAGGCTGGCTTGAGTTTTCCTTCTTTTCACCCTTTGATGAGAACATGATTCTCAGGCTGGTGCTGGTTTACCAGAAATTTTAGGGGCGGTACCTGTGCTAAAAGACTTTTAGTTTTGAGGGAAAGGAAAATGGAAGATAAACCAAGTATATAATTTCTAAGAAACTGATCTTTTGTTTTAAATGTGGGGACATCAGCAGTGGACTTTATCGTCCTTGGTGCCTTCTTACTGAGAAATTTCTTTTAGCACCTATTTTTATTAGTTTTTAGACCAAAGAAAGCCAAACACCACTTTATATTTGACAGTGCTTCCTGTATGATTTTTATACTAGATAAGCTAAATTTCACCTTTATATTAGTGTGTTATTTATGTTAAACTCAATGTTAATAAAACCTTATAGACATATTTATTCAATTTTAACGTCTGACCATAAGGTAAGATTTTTATAGGCTCTTTTAAATCTTTTATAATTTTTGTTAAAGAACAGGTTAGTGCTTTAAGAAAAACCTGTTGTGCTTTTATTTTAATGTCCAGTTCACAGAAAAACTGGATGACACTCCCTTAACTTTAGCCAATATATTTACACACAGAATTTCCTTTACAATTAACATTTTAAAACTTGCTTAAACCTGTAAAACAATTTTTTTAACCTTTTAAAGTAGGTAAAAATTCACATTTTTATGCCTCCTTATAATCCTTTTACCAAAAGTATATTTTAGTTTACTTGTACAACTTGCACATAAACTGTTTCTTCGATAGTTTTACATTCAGGAGGCCTAATTACTTCTAAATTATACAACATTTCTTGCATAAATTCCCTTTTATAACTTTTTTCTTTTACGACTTCACAATCTTCGACATGCCTCAACCTTCTGACTTGTTGCAAACATTCCTTTTTTTTAAACAACCAATTAATTTACTTTAGGATAAGAATTTACCATATAACATTCTTTTTATATAAATTCTTCCCCTCCTTTTTTTTTTTTTTTTTTAATTTTCTCCAAAGCAAACTTCCTTCATGTCTGTGGACTAGACTGCCTAAGGCCACAATATTAGAAGTTAGGATAATAAATGTTACACTGTTAACTTTTAGCAAATTTTACTTTTGTTGAAAACCTTGTAAGTTTGGGATTTCAATTATCCTTTGCTATTAATAAGAACTTATTTAGTCTAAATTAACTTAGAATTGGTATAGACGGTTCCTTCCTTGGTTCTGTAAGTGCTTTAAGGCTTGGCTGAGTGCAAACAGCTCCCAGGTTTGAGCAGACCAACTATTAGGCAATTTTCCCAACTCTGCTTCTACAAGAGTTTCCCTATCAATTACTGAATACCCATTGTGGTTTTTTTCCCTCAATCACCTGGGAGGAACCATCTATCATCCTGTCCTGACGGGAGTTCCTCCTAGGTCTGGTAGGGCCTTTGTATGGTAATTAATTAAGATTTAGATACCCGGTTAGGAAACCTGCTGGGTTAAGGGAATTATCAGTGGTTAATGTTAAATCATCTTTTTCTAACAGAATAGCCCCATACTTTAAGATTTTTGAGTTAGTAAGCTACCTTTTTGCTATTTTTTTTTTTTTTGACTTAGGTTAGTTCTGAACTGGTGAGGTGTGCTCACAATGAGATTTCCTCTAAAAGTTATTTTTGTACTTTCTTCTGCTAGCAAAGCAGTTGCCTCTACAGACTGAATGCACTGGGTTAAGGATTTTTATTTTTATTTATTTATTATTAGTTTTTGAGACAGAGTCTTGCTCTGTTGCCCAGGCTGGAGTACAGTGGCGTGATCTCGGCTCACTGCAAACTCCGCCTCCCGGGTTCATGCCATTCTCCTGCCTCAGCCTCCCAAGTAGCTGGGACTACAGGCGCCCGTCACCATGCCCAGCTAATTTTTTGTATATATTTTTTGAGACGGAGTCTCGCTCTGTTGCCAGGCTGTGGTGCAGTGGCACGATCTTGGCTCACTGCAACTTCTGCCTCCCGGGTTCAAGCGATTCTCCTGCCTCAGCCTCCCAAGCAGCTGGGACTACAGGCGCCCGCCACCATGCCCAGATAATTTTAGTAGATATGGGGTTTCACCGTGTTAGCCAGGATCTAATGATCTCTTGACCTGGTGATCCGCCCGCCTCAGCCTCCCAAAGTGCTGGGATTACAGGCTTGAGCCACCAAAGCCCAGCCAAGGATTTTTGATAGGAAGGCTAAAGGTTGTCAGTGGCCTTAGTGCTTTCCCGCTACACCTTTGTTATCACTGAAAACAAGGTTATATTGGAGTGTTATAGGGTCATGGAGAAGACCTTTGATTATCAATTATAGGTTTTAAACTTAGCCTGGCTTTTAAAGGAATAGGGTACACTGTTTTCTCTTTACTACTTTTATCTCTTTTTTTCTCTCTTTCTCTCTCTTTGACTCCCTCTTTGTCTCTTTATCTCTCCCTCTCTCTGCCCCTCTCTTTTTCTCTCTTTCCTCTCTGCTGGTCTTTCCCTGCCTCTGCCAGCCACTTATGCTGCTGTTCTCCCCCCTCCTTCCCCTTCCCCTAGGGGAGGCACCAGTGGGAGTGGAGCTACTTTTTCTTCCCCCGAGAAGAAAGAAAAGGGGGGGGTTGTGTGAGGTTCAACCCCACCCCCCCGCCATAGGCATTTCTCACCTCTTTTTTGAGGTTCAACCCCCCCATGGGGATTTCTCACCTCTTTCTGGGGTTCAATCCCCACTCATGGGGATTTCTAACCTCTTTTTAACCTCCGAGACATCCGACTAAGGAATACTTCACCGCCCCCCACGGCTTTCTTTCCCTAGTCCTGACTAAGGAATGCTTTACCGCCCCTGCACTTTCTCTCTCCTTGGTATGTCCTAACCAAGGAATGCTTTACCGCCCCGCGGCTTTTTCCTTAGTCCCGACCACCAAGGAAATACTTTACTGGCTCCTGCGGCTTCTCCTTCCTTGGTCTGTGTGGGCGACAAGTCACCCAGGTGCCAAGGCAAGAGACCGAAGGCACGAACTGTTTCAGTATAATAAAATAAATAATTAGAATAAGAATAGTTATATTAGAAATAGAATATAGACATGATTATATATGAATATTATTAATCATTAGTTTGTAGCATTACTCTTTTATTAATAACTTCTGTTCTACAATTATAATTTAGGAAAACCAGGCCATACAGAGTTAGGAGCTGAAGGGACACCGTGAGAAGTGACCGGAAGGCAGGAGTGTGAGCCCTCTGTCATGCCTGGACAGGGCCACTAGAGGGCTCCTTGGTCTAGTGGTAACGCCAGTGCCTGAGAAGGCACCCGTTACTTAGCAGACCTTGGTCTAGCGGTAGCACCAAAGCCTGGGAAGGCACCCGTTACTTAGCAGACTGGGAAAGGGAGTCTCCCTTTCTCTGGGGGAGTTAGAGAACACTCTTCTCCACCACTTCTTGTGGAAAGCCTGACATCAGTTAAGCCCGCCTGCAGCCATCTGGAGGCCTAAACGTCTCCCTGTGATGCTGTGCTTCAGCGGTCACTCTCCTGGTCCACTTTCATGTTCCACTCTGTACACCTGACTCGCCTTCTAGATAGCAGTAGCAGAATTAGTGAAAGTATTAAAGTCTTTGATCTTTCTGAGAAATGCATAGAAGAAATGATGACGTAAGCTGTCCCCTCTCTCTCTCCGCCTCAGCTACCAAATAGGGAAGGGCCCCCTGTCCAGTGGACATGTGACTTGCATGACCTTACCTATCTTTGGAGATGACTCACACTCCTAACCCTGCCCCCTTGCCTTGTATACAATAAATAGCAGTGCGGCCAGGCATTCAAGGCCACTACCAGTCTCTGCGTCTTGGTGGTAGTGGCCCCCAGGCCCAGCTGTCTTTCTCTCTCTTTTGTCTTGTGTCTTTATTTCTATGATCTCTTGTCTCTGCACACGAAGAGAAAACCCAAAGGCCCTCCCAGGCTGGACCCTACAGAGTCATCGCTGCAGTATGTGAGGCTCCTTTACGCTAGGTTGCTGGCCATTTTGTTTTTCCATGTTGCTGAGAGCTCGGCTTATTCCTTGCACTGGGTGGGTCTTGATTTCTCACCCCTGAGGCCACCACTAGGGGGCGGGGCATGCCTCCTCAGGAGAGAGAACCAGAGACCATCCCTGGAGGGGAATGTAATCCCGGATGAGCCCCCAAATTCTTGTAAATAAAGTTTTGGTGCCGCAAAAGATACAGCACTCAAATATAAAATTTTCTTTTTAATTCTCAGCAAGGCAAGGTACTTCTATAGAAGGGTGCACCCTTACAGATGGAGCAATGGTGAGTGCACACTTGGACAAGGGAGGGGAAAGGGTTTTTATCCCTGAAGCATGTGGCCCCTGCTGCTGTGTCGTTCCCCTATTGGCTAGGGTTAGACAGCACAGGCTAAACTAATTCCGACTGGCTAATTTAAAGAGAATTACTGGGTGAGTGGTTTGGCAGGAAAAATGGTTATGCAGGGTGGCAAATGAGTCAGGGCGGAGCAGGTAGCAGGTAATCGGAATGAGTCAGGGTAGAGCAGGTAATTGGAATGAGTCAGGGTGGAGCAGGTAATCGAAAAACTTTCCTTTATGAGGAAGTTAAGTTTAAAAGTAGAAGGCAAAGAATTGAACATACGGACATATTGATTCTTCGAAAATAAATTTAGAACTCATATCTAACATGTTGTTGAGTTTAAGAGTCTTTTTGTTTGTTTGTTTGTTTTTGAGACAGGATCTTGCTCTGTCACCCAGGCTGGAGTGGAATGGTGCAATCATAGCTCACTGCAGCCTCCAATTCCTGGGCTCAAGTGATTCTCCCCCCTCAGCCTCCCGAGTAGGTGGGACTATGGGGATGTGTCATCACGCTCAGCTAATTTTTAAATTTTTTCTAGAGATGGGGTCTTGCTATGTGTCCCAGGCTGGTCTTGAAATCTTGGCCTGGCCGGGCATGGTGGCTCACGTCTGTAATCCCAGCACTTTGGGAGGCCAAGGTGGGCAGATCATGAGGTCAGGAGTTCGAGACCAGCCTGGCCAACATGGTGAAACCCCACTACTAAAAATACAAAAATTAGCCAGGCATGGTGGCAGGCACCTGTAATCCCAGCTACTCAGGAGGCTGAGGCGGAAGAATTGCTTGAACCTGGGAGGCGAAGGTTGCAGTGAGTGGAGATCGTGCCATTGCACTCCAACCTGGGCGACAAGAGCAAGACTCTGCCTCAAAAAAAAAAAAGAAAAAGAAAAGAAAAGAAAAAAAGAAATATTGGCCTTAAGCCATCCTCCTGCCTCAGCCTCCCAAAGTGTTGGGATTATAGGCGTGAGCCACAATGCCTGGCCAGTTGTAAGAGTTCTTTATATATTCTGCAACCTTATCAGATATATGATTTGCAAATATTTTCTCCGTTTCTGTAGGTTATCTTTTCTCATTCTTGATAAAACAAAATTGTAAGTTGTTAAAGTCCAATTACCAATTATCAATTGATAATTACCAATTTTTATTTTGTTGCTTGTGTTTTTGGTGACAAATCTAAGAATTCATTGCTAAATCCAAAGTAATGAAGATTTACCCCGAGGTTTTCTTCTTTTTCTGTTTTCTTCTTTCTTCCCCTCTTCCTCCTCCTACTCCTCCTCTTCTTTCTCTGACTCCTTCTTCTTCTCTTTCTTCTTCTTTTTTCAATTAGAGACATAGTCTCACCATGTTGCCCAGGCTGGTCTTGAACTCCTGGGCTCAAGTCATCCTCTCACCTAGGCCCCCCAAAGTCCTGGGATTACATGAGTGGTGTTGTAAACTGCTATAAACATTCATGTGCCAGTTACTCTGTGGATATATAATTTGTTTTAATATATGGAGTCTTACTCTGTCACCCAGGCTGGAGTGCAGTGGAGCATTCTCGGCTCACTGCAACCTCCCTCCCCGGTTCAAGCAATTCTCCTGCCTCAGACTCCCGAGTAGCTGGGATTACAGGCGCACGCCACCCCACCTGGCTATTTTTTGTTTGTTTGTTTGTTTGTTTGTTTTTTGAGACAAGGTCTCACTCTGTAGCCCAGGCTGGAATGCAGTGGTGTGAACTTGATCACTGCAGCCTTGGACTCTTGGGTTCAAGTGATTCTCCTGCCTCAGCCTCTCAAGTAGCTGGAATTACAGGTTCCTGCCACTGTGCCCAAATAATTTTTGTTTTTTTACTAGAGATGGGGTTTCACCATGTTGGTCAGGCTGGTCTCAAACTCCTGACCTCAGGTGATCCACCGACCTCAGCCTCCCAAAGTGCTGGGATTACAGACATGAACCACCAAGCCTGGCCATATATTTTCATTTCTCTTGGGTATATACCTAAGAGTAGAATTGCTGGCTGATATGCTAATCCTATGTTTAAGGTTTTGAGGGATCCACCAAACTTCAATAACGTGAAGGTTATTTTGACCTAAGGGAAGGATTTATGGGAAGAATGTAATCGTACACAAGGAACAATAAACTAAAAATGTTAGAGGCTTTCCTGGAATTGAGGTTTTTCACAGTGGCCACCTATGTTTTCTTCTAAGAGTTTATAGTTTTAGCTCATATTTAGGCTAGTAATCCATTATGAGTACATTTTTTGCATATGGAATGAGGTAGGGATCCAGCTTCATTCTTCTGCATGTGGTTTCCAGTTGTGCCAGGACCATTTGTTGAAGAGACTGTTCTTTCCCCGTTGGTCTTGACTCTTTTGTTGGAATTCATTGGTCATAGATGTTTGGGTTTGTTTCTGGACGCTAAATTCGATTCTATTAATCTCTATGTCTATCCTTATATCAGTTACACACTGTTTTGTTTGTCTCTAATTGGATAGGTATTTATTTATTTATTTATTTATTTATTTTGTGAGATGGAGTTTCACTCTTGTTGCCCAGGCTGGAGTGCAGTGGTGCGATCTCGGCTCACCACAACTTCCGCCTCCTGGGTTCAAGCGATTCTCCTGCCTCAGCCTCCTGTGTAGCATGTCCATGTCCTGCCACGCCCGGCTAATTTTTGTATGTTTAGTAGAGACAGGATTTCACCATGTTGGCCAGGCTTGTCTTGAACTTCTGACCTCAGATGATCTGTCCGCCTCAGCCTCCCAGAGTGCTGGGATTACAGGCGTGAGCCACTGCACCCGCTGGATAGGTTATTAGTGATGGCAGCAAAGGAGCACCCTTGAAGGAGTTAAAACTTGGCACCTATAAAAAAAGCACCCTTCACTTGGCAGCACTTGGGAATGAGCTCACCTATTGTTTCAAGGAGACTTAAGGAGGTGGCCATGGAGAGGGGTTGATGGGCAGAGCTCAGAGATCAGCAATACCGGCAACAATTCTCAGGCTTTAAAACTATGTCTAGGCGGGTGCGGTGGCTCACTCCTGTAATCCCAGCACTTTGGGAGGCCGAGGCGGGCGGATCACGAGGTCAGGAGATCAAGACCATCCTGGCTAACACAGTGAAACCCCGTCTCTACTAAAAATACAAAAAATTAGCTGAGCGAGGTGGCGGTCGCCTGTAGTCCAAGCTACTCGGGAGGCTGAGGCAAGAGAATGGCGTGAATCCCAGGGGGCGGAGCCTGCAGTGAGCCGAGATCGTGCCAATGCACTCCAGCCTGGGCGACAGCGAGACTCTGTCTCAAAAAAAAAAAAAACTATGTCTAGAGGAGAGTTTGGGCTGTAACTTCTTCGATACAGAAGCATATTTATTAGAAGCAAAGAGGCTAGAAGCCTACTGAGTTTTTTTGTTTGTTTGTTTTTTAGAGATGAATCTCACCATGTTGCTCAGGCTAGCCTCTAACTCCTGGCTTTAGGTGATCCTCTGGCCTCAGCCTCCCAAGTATCTGGGTCTACAGGTGCATGCCACTGTGCCCGACTTCAAAACCTACTAAATTTCTGAGCGAACATATTGCAACACAACACTGTGAGCCTGGCTGGTAAAAGTCTGTGAACTTTCAACCTTTAAGGTCATTCCTGTGTCCCCGGAATCCACATCAGCAAGAAGTGGGCTGTGATTGATGGTCTATCAGTTAGGATCCAATATGACTTCAATTATTTTAAGAAAGAATTTAATATACATTTTATTTTATTATTATTATTTTTGAGACAGAGTCTTGCCCTGTCGCCCAGGCTGGAGTGCAGTGGCGCAATCTCTGCTCACTGCAACCTCTGTCTCCTGGGTGCAAGTGAGTCTCATGTCTCAGCCTCCCAAGTAGCTGGGATTACAGGTGTGGGCCACTATCCTTGGCTAATTTTTGTATTTTTAGTAAAGATGGGGTTTCACCATGTTGGCCAGGCTGGTCTCAAACTCCTGACCTCAGGTGATCCGCCTGCCTCGGCTTCCGAAAGTGCTGGGATTACAGGCGTGAGCCACTGTGCCTGGCTAACATAAATATATATATATATGTGTGTGTATTTTTTTTTTGAGACGGAGTCTCACTCTGTCGCCCAGGTTGGAGTGCAATGGCACAGTGGAGCGATCTCGGCTCACTGCAACCTCCGCCTCCTGGGTTCAAGTGATTCCCCTGCCTGAGCCTCCCGAGTAGCTGGGATTACAGGTGCCTGCCACCATGCCCGGCTAATTTTTTGTATTTTTAGTAGACACAGGGTTTCATCATATTAGCCAGGATGGTCTCGATCTCCTGGCCTCGTGATCTACCCGCCTCAGCCTCTCAAAGTGCTGGGATTACAGGCATGAGCCACCGCGCCCGGCCCTATAAATATTTTTAAAGCACGTATTAGAGAACCAAAGGCAAAAAGGGAAATTAAAGTATCATAAAGAGAATCATAAAAAAGAAGTAGCTGCCACCCTTATATCTGGGAATCATAGGGAAAAGGGTGAAATTATTCCAATTTAGAAGTTAGAACTAAAATTGCCAGGTAAAATAGAGGACACTCCTTTAAGTCAGAATTTCAGAAAAACTATGAATACTTTATTTTTATTTTTTATTTTTTTATTTTTTGAAATGGAGTTTTGCTCTTGTTGCTCAGGCTGGAATGCAATGGCACAATCTTGGTTTACTGCAACCTCCGCCTCCTGGGTTTAAGCGATTCTCCTGCCTCCCGAGTAGCCGTGATCACAGGCATGCGCCACCATGCCTGGCTAATTTTGTATTTTTAGTAGAGATGAGTTTCACCATGTTGGTCAGTCTAGTCTTAAACTCCTAACCTAAGGTGATCCACCTGCCTCAGCCTCCCAAAGTACTGGGATTACAGGCGTGAGCCACCGTGCCCAGCCAACTATGAATAATTTTAGTCTATACACCATGTGAGATTTGGAACATATTTATACTTTAAAATTATTTATTGTTTATCTACAATTCAAATTTAACTGATGCTCTGTGTTCTTCTTTGCTAAGTCTGGCAACCCTAGCTGGAACCCTGACATCTGAGGCGAGGAGGCTGCTTGGCAGTGACAGGTGTCTTTGAGGGGACCACAGTGAAGCTGATGATTCTGTGAATGGTAGAAAAGTACAAACAAATCAACTGCTTATACTGGAATAAACTGCAGCTACCAGGTGAAAAATCATTGCTGAGGGGATGCTGACGGGTATAAGAAGTTGACAGGAGCTTCTAGCTTTGCAGTTTCCCTCTGGTGTACTCCACTTGCAGCTGGAAAAAAAGAATGGAGGTTTTCAGTTTCAGCTCTGGCATTAGAAAGCAGAGCATAGACAGTGGGTTTAAAGCCAAGAGTCAACAGATTAGTAATCAGCACAGCTGGGCAGCTGCCAAGAACATTGTCTCCAATGCCCCCTCCCCCCAGAGGTAGACATAGAGAACAATGGACTAGGGAGATCCTTCCAGAGAATCCATCCAGGGGCTGGCTAATTGGTTGATCAAGAACTAACAACTGGCAGGGCATGGTGGTTCATGCCTGTAATCACAACAATTTGGAGGCCAAAGTGGGAGGATTGCTTTAGCCCAGGAGCTTGAGACCAGCCTAGGCAATATAGCAAGACCTCATCTCTACAAAAAATTTAAAAATTAGCTGAGCCCGGTGATGCACACCTGTAGTCCCACCTACTTGGGAGGCTGAGGAGGGAGGATCCCTTTAGCCAGGCAGGTGGAGGCTGTGGTGAGCCTTGATGCTCACTGCACTCCAGCCTTGGTGACAGAGCAAGACCCTGTCTCAAACAAACAAACAAAAATAATATCTGCTTTTTGAATGATAGGTTTTTTTTTTTTTGAGACTGAGTCTCGCTCTGTCGCCCAGGCTGGAGTGCAGTGGCACTATCTCGGCTCACTGCAAGCTCTGCCTCCCGGGTTCACGCCATTCTCCTGTCTCAGCCTCCTGAGTAGCTGGGACTACAGGCACCCGCCACCATGCCCGGCTAATTTTTTGTGTTTTTAGTAGAGACGGGGTTTCACCATGTTAGCCAAGATGGTCTCAATCTCTTGACCTTGTGATCCACCTGCCTCGGCCTCCCAAAGTGCTGGGATTACAGTCATGAGCCACCGTGCCCAGCCTTTGAATGATAGGTTTTTAAAAAGTTGTAGTCATCCTTTCTTCTCTCTCATTGTATATTGGGAGTGTTGAATGATAGATAATGTCTTTATACATGTGAATTTGATGGAGAAGACCACATGTCATAACGAGACTTTAAGTATGATGCAGTAACTTTGGATGGGACTTTAGATTACCTCTCAGGGAGAAGATCAATGTGTTTTATATTTTGCAAGAAGAATGAGTGTGGATGTTGAGTAGTCAAAAAGTGGACTGTGGCAGAGACTGAGTAATTACCATCCTATACAAATTCTTCCAGAGAAGAGAAAAAGTGAGAACTCTCCAGTGCATTGCATGAAGTTGGCATAACTGACGTAGGAGGCAGGACTGGACTCCAGAGCTGGGGCTCAGACTCTGGACCAAATTGAGGACTAGCTAAAACAGGTCTGGGGTGGAAACAGCTTTCCATAAAACATGCCTACCAGTATGCCATGTCAGTTTACCGTTGCCATGGCAACACCCAGACTTTACCACCCCTTTCCATGGCAATGACTCTGATAACCAGGAAGTTGCCACCTTTTTCCTAGAAATTTCTGCACAAACTGCCCCTTATTATATTATATGCAAAGATCATATTTACATATAATTAAAAGTAAAAATATGAGTGCAGACCTGCCTCTGAGCTGCTATTCTGGGCACACTGCCTACGGGGTAGCCCTGCTCTGCAAGGAGTGGTACCTCTGCTGCCGCTGTGCACTGCTGCTTCAATAAAAGTTGCTCCAAGACTTTTTAAAAGCACCTTTTGGTTTCATGGTTATGATACAGGACAGGGCTCACCTGTGCTGCATCATAACCATGAAACCAAACCTGGTAAGAATATGACAAGAATAAAAATGAAGGGTCAATCTCAATCATGGATATCAATACAAAAATCCTAAACAAAATATTATCAAATTGCATCTTCTATGAGAAAACACCAAATGGCGGATGACCCTGGTGCAGCGGGTGGGCCCAGAAGCCACAGGGTCCCTGGAATGGGAAACAGCAGCAACTTTCGGGAGAGGCTTCGCTAGTGACATTGAGGCCAGGGTGGCCAGGGTGGGGCCCAGCTGTGGAGTATGCTGAAGCAAGGCCAAGGCCAAGGAGTGGATGCCATTACTTATAGAAAGGGAAACATTTTGGTTATGGAACATCTCCATCTTATATCCAGTTAATTACACAGTTTATTATATGACTATCCTCCATTTTCTTGCTAGCCAAGTTCCTCATAAATCTGTAAATTCCAGGATTATGTATAGTAAGCAACCTAGGCAGGCCAGGTATATCCGGTTAAGAATGTTTCATAAATAAGGATTTTCTGTTATTTTTCGGCCAGTAAATTCTATTCATGTGTTTACCAATGGTATGAGTTAGTAGCATGTTTCTAAGATTTGACCAGGATCATTTCTTTTTCCCCAGACCCCAGGAAAGAGAGGGAATGGGTTGCAGCCCTGCTGTTAAGTCTTTCTGTCCCATAATGGAACTTTCTTTATCTCATAAAGGATATTTACAATAAATGTACTTTGTATATGAAAAGTTTTCTGTAACAAAAAGTACTATCAAACAACAACCAAATTGAGGCAATCACACCAGAGGACCATTCCTGTGCCTGCCATCCTGTCCAAATGTCCATCTATAACATTTTCTATAAAGTCAGGGCTTCAATTGGGAGTAAAATACAGATTGAGAGGGTGTTTGGAATTGACTCAAGAGGCAGTGGCCACTGTACCTAATCCAGGGGAAAATGCATACACCTAAGAATAAATGTGAGTGCCCTACATTGGCAGGGACAACCCAGAGTTGCCCTTGGGTTAAATGGAATTTTTTCTTTGAGACAGGCCTCACTCTGTCACCCAGGCTGGAGTTCAGTGGCACAATCAGAGCTCACTGCAGTCTCAACCCCCCATGCTCAAGCAATCCTCCCACCTCAGCCTCCTAAGTAGCTGGGACAACAGGCATGTGCCACCATGCCTGGCTAATTTTTTATTTTTTGTAGAGACAGGGTCTCACTATGTTGCCCAGGCTAGTGTTGAATTCCTGGGTTCAAGTGATCCTCCCACCTCAGCCTCCCGAGTAGCTGGGACTACAGACACATGCCACCATGCCCAGCCTAAACTAATATTAATAAGAAACCCTGTCTGGGTGTGGTGGCACGTGCCTTATAGTCCCGGCTACTCAAGAGGCTGAGACAGGAGGATCACTTGAGCCCAGGAGTTCTGGGCTGTAATGCACTATGCTGATTGGGTGTCTGCATTAAGTTCAGTATCAATATGGTGATCTTCTGGGAGCAGGGGGCCACCAGGTTGCCTAAGGAGCGGTGAATTGGCCCAGGTTGGAAACAGAGCAGGTCAAAACTCCTGTGCTGATCGGTAGTGGGATCATGCCTGTGAATAGCTACTGTGCTCCCACCTGGGCAACATAGTGAGACCTCTATCTCTAAAAGCAAACAAACAAACAAACACTGACTTCCATTGAGGTGCAACATATTTTGTGGTGACCACTTCATGATTCCTCCCAGGAGAGGAGAGATGGTGGCCCAGAACCTGGAGATGCAGAGGGGATGGTTTTGCCTTTGGTATCGGTTATAGGCAAGGACATTATAGCACCTTGTTGGATGAAGGCAGGTGGAGCCCACATCTGTTGCAACACAAGTTATCCACACTCTACCATATTGCTCCTGACAAACCAGATGCCTCCTGACCACGTGGGCAGCTTCTATTCTTGCATCTTTTTGGGAAGTGCCCAGCTGCTCCTGACTCTATTATTCAAGTATCACACACATCCACTCTCAGTGGAAACTTAGGGAACCCCTGAGAAGAGGTGAATTGTGTGTAGTTCCTCAAGTGGCTCTCTATTGTTCTGAGTACTTCTCACTAGGAGTAAATTGTGAAGATTTCATGGACATTTATCACTTCCCTAATAGTACTCTTATAATTTCTTATGCCTGTCTTTACTTTAATCTCTTAATCCCGTTATCTTCATAAGCTGAGAATGTACGTCACCTCAGGACCACTATTGTACAATTTGATTGTAAAACGTGTGTTTGAACAATATGAAATCAGTGCACCATGAAAAAGAACAGAATAACAGCAGTTTTCAGGGAACAAGGGAAGATAACCATAAGGTCTGACTGCCTGTGGGGTTGGGCAGAATAGAGCCATATTTTTCTTCTTGCAGAGAGCCTATAAATGGACATGCAAATAGGAGAGGTATCGCTGAATTCTTTTCCCAGCAAGGAATACCCTGGGGAAGGAATGCATTCCTGGGGGGAGGTCTATAAATGGCCGCTCTGGGAGTGTCTGTCTTATGTGGTTGAGGTAAGGACTGAAATACGCCCTAATCTCCTGAGTACCCTGAGGCTTACTAGGACTAGGAAATTCCAGCATGGTAAATTTTGCTCAGACTCGTTCTCTGCTCTCGAACCCTGTTTTCTGTTAAGATGTTTATCAAGACAATACATGCTACAGTGGGACATAGACCCTCATTAGTAATTCTAATTTTGTCTTTGCCTTGTGATCTTTATTGCCCTTTGAAGCATGGGATCTTTGTGACCTACTCCGTGTTCATACGCCCCCCTCCCTTTTTAAATCCCTAATAAAAACTTGCTGGTTTTGTGGCTCAGGGAACATCACAGACCTACTGATAGGTGATGTTACCCCTGGAGGCCCAGCTGTAAAATTCCTCTCTTTGTACTCTTTCTCTTTATTTCTCAGATGAGCCGACACTTAGGGAAAATAGAAAGAACCTACGTTGAAATATTGGGGGCGGGTTCCCGCAATACTCATTTCTCTCTGTATTAGTCTGTTCTCACGCTGCTAATAAAGACATACCCAAGACTGGGTAATTTTAAAGAAGAGGTTTAGTGAACTTACAGTTCCACATGACTGGGGAGGCCTCATAATCGTGGTGGAAGGTGAAGGAGGAGCAAAGGCATGTCTTACATGCTGGGAGGCAAGAGGGTCTGTGCAGGGGAACTGCCCTTTATAAAACCATCAGATCTCCTGAGACTTATTCACTATCATGAGAACAGCACCCTGCTCCCATGATTCAATTACCTCCCACTGGGTTCCTCTCACAACACATGGGGGTTATGGGAGCTACAATTCAACATGAAATTTGGGTGAGGACACACAGCCAAATCATATCACTCTCCTGCTATGTTTTCATACAAAGCATTGCCATGAATGGGCCCATGCTCCCCATCCTACTCAAGCACAGCTCTTGGCTCTGTGCATATATTAGTGGGAGGACAGTTGTGGTTTGGTGAGAAATAAGTCAATAGCATCCTATCCTGGGTCAAGTACTTGTACCATTAGGAACTTGGAGCCTGCTGGCATCATAACACTGTTGCTTTACCTAGTTAGAGCAAGTGCTTCTACAGGGCACTGTCAGGCCAGAACATGTCCTGGTGTTAGGGGTAGGGAGCTTGGTTTTTGCTTTTTAATTTTTATTTATTTATTTTTTTTTGAGACAGGATCTCACTCTGTCACCAAGGCTGGAGTGCAGTGGCATGATCCCAGCTTACTGCAACCTCTGTCTCCCAGGTTCAAGCAATTCTCCTGCCTCAGCCTCCTGAGTAGCTGGGATTACAGACATGCACCACCACACCTGGCTTTTTTTTTTTTTTTTTTTTTTGTATTTTTAGTAGAGATGGGGTTTCACCCTGTTGGCCAGGGTGGCCTCGAACTCCCGACCTCAAGTGAACTGCCTGCCTCAGCCTCTCAAAGTACTAGGATTACAGGTGTGAGCCATTGCACCCAGCCTGATTTTTGCTTTCTTATAGTGCAAAAGTCACCCTGTGGGTATTCACAATTTGTCCCTAACCACTAGAGGTTTTCATGAACGTATCCTTTGTAGCATTCCAGAAGGTCAACTTCTTGACAGAAGCTGTCTCCCAACATCAGTCAGTACTCAAAAATGTGTCAGTTACCAGAGAAGGGGTTATACCCTGATACTTCAATCAATTACTCTGGCATTGTAGAAACTAATAAACAGCTCCAAATATTCTATGATATCTTAAATCAAAACAATTAAGGAAGAGGCAAGGGAAACAAATAGTGCCTGCTGCGATGCTTTCTCATTTCCCTTTGGGAAGATAGGGTTGCTTGTTTTCCAGGAAGTCATCCCTTAGGAATTTTTTTTTTTTTTTTGACAGAGTCTTGCTTTGTCACCCAGGCTGGAGTGCAGTGGTGCCATCTCAGCTCACTGTAACCTCCACCTCCCAGGCTCAAGTTGATTCTCATGCTTCAGCCTCCCAAGTAGCTGGGATTACAGTCGTATGCTACCACACCCAGCTAATTTTTGTATTTTTATTTTTATTTACTTATTATTTTGAGATGGAGTCTTGCTCTGTTGCCCAGGGTGGAGTGCAGTGGCAGCATCTCTGCTCACTGTAACCTCTGCCTCCTGGGTTCAAGCGATTCTCGTGCCTCAGCCTCCCGAATAGCTGGGACTACAAGTGCGTGCTACCATGCCTGGCTAATTTTTTTGTATTTTTATTAGAGAGGCGTTTCATGTTGGCCAGGCTGGTCTCAAACTCCTGACCTCAGGTGATCCACCTTCCTTGGTCTCCCAAAGTGCTGGGATTGCAAGCGTGAGCCACTGCGCCTAGCCTAATTTTTGTATTTTTAGTGGGGGGTGGTTTTGCGATGTTGGTCAGGCTAGTCTCGAACTACTGACCTCAGGTGATCCACCTGCCTCGTTCTCCTAGTGCTGGGATTATAGGCGTAAGCCACTGCACCCAGCCAGCAATTTTTAATTCTCTATTTTTTGCTCTGGAGGTCCTAAGTTTTAGATTCAGTGACACATTGCTGTGCCATTCATGCTGCTGGGTACTGTCGATTAGCAGTCAGCATCCATTCCCATCTCCTTCTAGTGTCCCTTCCTATGCTGCAGAATCTGGAGAGTTAAAATGTCATGGCCAGGATTTGGAAATGAAGTGGAGGCCACCCGCCTGCTGCTTGCTGCTGAAGTGTGGCAGCAAAGGTATGAGGTGTGTCTGCAGCAGGGTTGCAGGGTCCAGTCACTAGCCATGTAGGGGTCGAGAGCCTGTTTCAGGGGCAGCAATAGTGATGGTGACTTCCAATCCCTTAATCACAGCCACAACAGTGTGTTGTTGAGCTTAACAGGTACAGTGGTGATGTCCTGATTTCTTACCTTCCTGATTGCAGCAAAAATGGGTAGCTACCCTGTTGGGACAGTTTGGAGTCATCCCTGCAGAGTCATTCTCTAGCCTCCCTGATAATTTGTATTACTTAATTCCTTATATGAATTCTTTTCTGTTTAAACTAGCCAGGTTGCTTTTTGCTTAAACTAGCCAGGTTGGTTTTAACTGAACCTTGAAAAATATACTGAAGTTCAGAGCATCTAACACTAAAGGTTGTGCTGGTCTTGGTGGCGAGAGTAAGTCCCACAGCAGACCACAACAGATCTAGAGATCATAAGGCCTCTAACATTTCCTATGCCTAGTTGTCAGGGGCATGTCCTATGCAGGCCACCCCAAAAAGCCCTTTTACGTTAGCAGTCTGGAATGTTACTAGGTCATCCAGTACAGGTTGCGTGTGCCATAGTCATAAAATTTGGGACCTGAAACTTGGAGCCTGGATGCAGGAGATGTGGAATGAATACTAGGGTGAGTTCCAGGTACAGTCATAATTAAGGTGAAGGCATCAGTGACATGACTTCCCAGGTAAGAAGATACAAAAGGCTGAGCCCAGAGAAGCTTGGTGCTCCTCACTTCTGATGCTTTCTCTGCTGCTATGATGATCAAAAGTCCTCAGCACCTGAGCTGGCCTTTGGGAACCAGGTGGCAAGGACAGCCACACTAACAGGAAAGATGTAACTGCTGCTGTCCCTCTCTGGGTATCCAGCTTTACAAGAAATAGGTAAACTACTTTTCTTTGATAGATAGTATAGTGGTGTTTGGCTGACATTTTACCTTCTAAAATTATTAAGTTATCTTTAGAGTGAACTGCAATTACATTTTTGACAAGCTCTAAAATATATCCTAAACAAACCCCTCCATCTCTACCACCTCTACCCTATCCCCAGTTATCAGCATCTATCAGCAGGGGAGAGATCATATCTTATCTCTTCCCTGCTTAAGATCCTTCGAAGGTGTCCCTTCACATTCATAAGAAAAAATCCAAACTCCTTAAGGTGGCCTACAAATTCCTACATAATCTGGCCTTTGCTTCTCTATCCATTCATATTTCCTGTCGCTTGGACTGGCTACATAATTTGTGGGGCCCAATGCAAAATGAAAATGCAGAGCTCCTTGTTCAAAAACTACTAAGAATTTTAAGAGGGCAATGGCAGAGCATTAAACCAGGCATCAGCCCTTTCCTTTTTTTTAATTTTTAAAATATTTATTTAGATTTTCTTTTTGTTAGTAATTAAATCTTTCTTCTTCTTCTTCTTCTCCTCCTCCTCCTTCTCCTTCCTCTCCTTCCTCTTCCTCTTCTTCTTCTTCCCTCTTCCCTCTCTCCTCCTCCTCGTCCTCCTCCTCCTTGAAACAGTGCAGTGGCACAATCTCAGCTCACTGCAACCTCCACTTTCCATGTTCAAGTGATTCTCATGCCTCAGCCTCCCGAGTAGCTGGGATTACAGGTATGTGTCACCATGCCCAGCTAATTTTTGTATTTTTAGTAGACACTGGGTTTTGCCATGTTGGCCAGGCTGGTCTCAAGTGATCCGCCCGCCTCAGCCTCCCAAAGTGCTGGGATTACAGGTGTAAGCCACCGCACCTGGCTCTTTTTTTGTTTTGTTTTGTTAAGTATAAAACCTCACCTGGAAGCACCAGCCCTTTCTGAGTGTGCGGGCCTGTGCCACTGCGTGGGTTGCACGTCCATTAAGCTGGTCTACCTGCCATCCACTTCCTCAACCCAATGGCATTCTCCTGTTTCTTAGATATGTACCAACCGGTTTTCTGTTTTATCTTAGCATGGCTCACTACTCCTCATTAGGGTCTCTCAGCGAAGGGGGTAGCCTTTTTTTTTTTTTTTTTTTTTTTTGAGACAGAGTCTTGCTCTGCTGCCCAGGCTGGAGTGCAGTGGCCAGATCTCCACTCACTGCAATCTCTTTGGTTCAAGCATTCTCCTGCCTCAGCCTCCCAAGTAGCTGGGATTACTGGCCCACGCCCGGCTAATTTTTGTATTTTTAGTAGAGATGGGGTTTCACCATGTTGGCCAGGCTGGTCTCGGACTCCTGACCTCAGGTGATCCACCCGCCACCACTCCAGCCTGGGCAACAGAGTCTGAGACTCCGTCTCAAAAAAAAAAAAAAAAAAAAAAAAAAAGTCATACTGGCATAGAGTGAACCCCTAATCCAATATGACTGGTATCCTTATAAAAATACTTTTTTTTTGGAGACGGAGTCTCTCTCTGTCGCCCCAGGCTGGAGTGCAGTGGCGCGATCTCGACTCACTGCAACCAAAAGGAGACATTTTGACATGGAGACATATACAGGGAATATGCCCTGTGAACATGAAGATGGCCATATGCAAGCCCAGGAGAGAAGCCTGGAAGAGACCGTTTCCTCACAGCGCTCAGAAGGAAAGAACCCTGCCAACATCTTGCTTTCAGATGCCCCCAGGATTGTCAGACAATAAGATCTGTTATTGACGCCACCGGGTTGGTGATACTTAGGTACAGCAGCCCTAGCAAACGAATACACCCCCATGAGAACTAAGCTCCCTGAGAGCGGTAAGCTGCCTTGTCTTGCTCACAGCTGACAAGAACACGCCTGTACGGTCACTTAGCACCTAGTACTGCCATTTAACCGTTTCACTAGTATGTATGAACCGGAGAGCCTGTCAAGGGAAGAGCTGAATCTTTTATCTTTTGTAACGACTACCCAGTGAAAGAAACCGCGGGTATGCAATAAAAACCTGTTGAATCGATTAAACCATTTCCCTTATTTCCAGATTTTTGCGGAAAGCGCCAGTAGGTGAAATATGTGCGGACTGATGAGTCAAAGCTCTTATTCCCTGGACTGCATTAATACCCACGACGTGCTTTTCGCTCTCCAGACAAAGAGACCGGTACTTGGCAGGTCCCTCAAGTGGGACTCAAAAGACCGAACCGAGCTGCAGCCTTTCGCTAGCACTGGTCCTCGCCCCTTTTGGCATCTTGGTACTTGTAGTTTTGTCCACTCTATCTTTACCCGAAAAGCCAGCGCTGAGACCACAACTCCCATCACCCTGCGAGCACCAGCGCCTTCAGAGCGCATCCTCCGAGGGGCACCAGCGCCATTGACCACCCTGCTGGCCGAAGGGCCCGCCTTCCCGAGGCCAGGCGCTCCCGCGATTGGCCAGCCGCCCCGCCTCTCATCGGAGGGCGCCAGGTGAATGAAAGGGGGGCGTGTCGGTGCGCGGTGCTCCGTGGCTGCGCTGCTGGAACCCGCTGGAAGGTGAGCGCGAAGAAGCGGGTTGGCGCTGCCGCTTTCGTTGGTTTGGGGAGGATTCCTAGCACCCGGGAGGCTGGCTGGAGATTGGGGTTAGCGGGCAGGGTTGCCCCCACTCAGTCATCCTCCTTCGGACCGCTTGGCCCTGGCAACTCCTGGGACCTCCGCCCCGCGAGCCCTTCTAGCGTGGGGAGGGGCAGGCGCGGCCGTGGGGCCCCAGCTTCCCTGTCATTGGGTGTCCTCCGCGTCGTCCAGCCGGGGGTCGCGGCGCCGACTACTTCCACGGTGAATGGTGCCCAGGCGTGGGGGGCTCGGCCACACTGGAGAAGTGCCAGCGGCAGCGATGGCCACTTTGTCCGCGGGAGGCCATGGGAGGGGCTAGGCCTTGGGGTCCCACCCTCGGGGGCCGTGCCCTGTAGCTGGTTCTGGTGGCCTCTCTGCAGGTCGTCTGATGCTGGACGGGGGAGGGTCTGTCTTGCGAGCAGTTTAGATGCAGTTGACCCTGAAATTCTTCGTATGGAAATGGAAACTTCTCCAGTGTCCTTCTCCTCCGATCCATGCCTAAAAGAAAGGAGTGACTTCCCCAACCTGTCGCATCGTGTCCTGGAGGGTTTGAGGAGGCCGGTTAGCATAGTGGTTAAGGATGTCAACCCGGGAGTCAGTCGGATCTCTGTTCTATTACTAACTTGGTGATGTTATCTGCATCTTTGAATCTCAGTTCCTCCTCTGAAAAAGAGGATGTAGTTAGAGTATCTGTCGTACTGGATTATTGTGAGGTGAAAACTAATGTGCTTGTAAAAGCCAGGCATGGTGGCGCGCACCTGTAGTCCCTGCTACTCGGGAAGCTAAGGTTGGGAGGATCTCTTGAGCCCAGGAGTTCCAGGCTGCATTGAGGTAGGATCGTGCACTCCAACCTGGGCAACCGAGCAAGACCGTGCCTTTTAAAAATTTTAATTTAAAAAGTAAAATGAATATGCTTGTACTTTGTACAGTGTTTTATAAGGAATAGTGCTTAATATTTACTAAAATTGAGGAGCAGGTTTTTGTTATTCTCAGGTTGGTGGGACTGGAGGAGTCTTGTCAGAAAGGGTCGGAGGTGGAATTCAAGGCTGCTTTTGGCCTCTGAACAGAGACAGTTGTGTGATCTGGCTAGGACTCCCTCAAGGGTATATGAGAGTTTGTATTGCAGGTAGTTGTGTTGGCATCTGCTGTCTCCTGGAGGACAGGCACTATACTTGGTTCATTTTTCTATTCCTGGCATCTTCCTTGTGTCAGGCATTGTATGTAGCCGGTAACCGTTGAATTGAGTTGGAACCGTGGGATGGTTGGGAGGTTCCCTGCCAGAGTGCGGATAAATGTGCTTCTGAGAGCAGTCTGCCCTAAGAGCTGCTCTTCTGGGATAAGTGGTGATCCTCAGCACTTCCCGGGGCAGCAGAGCACTTCAGGCAAATGGGGGTGATATAAATAAATATTTACACAATATATACCAAGTACAGGATTGGGGAAAATTTTGAAGAAAATACTATACGGATAGACTTTTGCAACGTCAGGAAGTAGAATAAAAATAATTGCAATAGAATAAAAAATAATTTCAGTAAGAAAGCCAAAAGAAATTGGTTTTAGGTGCTATTTCTGGAAAGGAGGCTTTTCCAGTGAAAGACGGAAGTGCCCTGGGAAGAGCCCCTATAGATCAGACCATACTACAAGTTAAGAAGTGTTGTGCGTACTTACATATTTATCTACCTGGCTTACCAACTCCTTACCCCTCTGCCCTGCCTCCTTTTTTTCTTAGTTAACAAAGAAAAAAGCCAAGGCAGAAGGATCACTTGAGTCCAGGAGTTCAAGACCATTGAGACCAGCCAGGGCAACATAGTGAGACCCCATCTCTACAAAAAAATGTTTTCAGAATTAGCTGAGTGTGGTGCTGCATGCCTGTAGTCACAGCTACTTGGGAGGCTGAGGTAGGAGGATTGCTTGAGCCTGGGAGGTCGAGGCGGCAGTGAACTGTGATCATGGACTGCACTCCAGCCTGGGTAACAAAGTAAGACCCCGTCTCAAAAGAAAAGAAAAGCAATACATGCACATAGTAAAACATTCTATCAGAAAGGTTTAAAATGAAAGGCGAAAGTCCCTCCACACACTTGTTTTTTTTTTTTTTTTTGAGATGGAGTCTCGCACTATCGCCCAGGCTGGAGTGCAGTGGCACAATCTCTGCTCACTGCAGCCTCCGCCTCCACCGCCTCCTGGGTTCAAGTGATTCTCCTGCCTCAGCCTCCCGAGTAGCTGGGATTACAGGTGCCCGCCACCATGCCCAGCTAATTTTTTTGTATTTTTAGTAGAGACGGGGTTTCACTACGTTGGCCAGGCTGGTCTCGAACTCCTGACCCCAGGTGATCTACCCACCTTGGCCTCCCAAAGTGCTGGGATTACAAGTGTGAGCCACCACACCCGGCCCCAAGTGGATTTTAAACTTGGTTTATAGTTTATCTACTAAGCAGTTAAGAAATGAATATTCCTTTTTTGCTTAACAAATCTATTTTGTCCAAAGCACTCTGCCAGATACTGTAAGGGATATAAAATTGAATAAGACATGGCTCATGCTTTCAAAGGGCTTGTAGTTCATTGACAGAGAAGGGCCAGGACATAAATAATAAACAGGAGTTAACCAAGGGTAGTGGAATCAGTCAGTTAGGAGTCTCCCAGTTGCATGAAATAGAAAACCCAACTCAGAGGCCAGGTGTGGTGTCTCACACCTGTAACCCCAGCACTTTAGGAGGCTGAGGGGGGCAGATCACTTGAGGCCAGGAGTTCGAGACCAGCCTGGGCAACATGGCAAAACCCTGTCTCTACCAAAAGTACAAAAAAAATTAGCCTGGCGTGGGGGTGGGTACCTGTAGTCCCAGCTACTCGGGAGGCTGAGGTAGGATGATTACTTTAGCCAGGGAGGCGGAGGTCAGAGTGGGCCGAGATCACACCACTGCACTGCAGCCTGGGTGACAGAGTGAGACCCCATCCCCCATCTCAAAAAATAATAATAATAATATTTAAAAAAGAAAACCCAACTCAGACCAGCTAAACCAAAAAGGAACTTAATTGGCTTCTGGCACTGCTTGAGTTGGGGCTCCAATGTTGTCCCCAGGCTCCATCAGCCTGAGCTGGGCTGTCATCTTTGTTAGGCTGACTTCCCTGGTGGTATGGCAGCAACATCCCTCACATCCTGCATCCCACAGAGCAAAGAGTGCTCTTTTTTGAAATTCCAGCAAATGTTTCATTGCTTTTCATTGGCTCTGAAAACTACATGGCCATCTCCGAGCCAATCACTGTGGTCACAGGGTGGGATGCCTTAATTTTATTAGCCTACATTATAGCTTACACACCTGGTGCTTGAGGATGGCACCAGCTTTATGCAAAGCATGTTGGCCAAGAATGGGGGAAGGATGCTTCCATCAAAGCCGAAAAAAGGCACTAGAACCAAAAGAATGGGGAATGCATGCTGGCTAGCCCAAGAATCCACCAAATACTTCAGTATAATGATGATAAAGGGAGACCAGTCTTGTTCGTGACCAGCCTGGGTAACACAGTGAAACCCCATCTCTACTAAAATACAAAAAATTAGCTGGGTGTGGTGGCATACACCTGTAATCCCAGCTACTTGGGAGGCTGAGGCAGGAGAATCGCTTGAATATGGAAGGCGGAGGTTGCAGTGAGCCGAGATCGCGCCATTGCACTCCAGCCTGGGCGAGAGAGGGAGAATCTGTCTCAAAAAAAAAAAAAGACCAGTCTCAAAGTTTTGAATTGGGACACTGGAGGCTGGGTGTGGTGGCTTATGCTTGTAATCTCAGGACTTTGAGGGGTGGAGGCAGGAGGATCGCTTGAGGCAAAGAGCTTGAGACCAGCCTAGGAAACATACCAAGACTGCCATCTCTACAAAAAAAAATTTTTTTTTAATTGGCCAGGCGCAGTGGTATGCACCTGTAGTCCTAGGTCTTGGGAGGCTGAAGCAGGAGGGTTGCTTGAGCCCAGGAGTTTGAAGGTGTAGTGAGCTATGATCACACCATTTGCACTCTGGCTTGGGCGACAGACCCAAGACCCTTCCTCTAAAAAAGAAAACCAGTTTCAGATTGATACACTAAACACTCAAGTATAATTTTTTTTTTTTTTTTTGAGACAGAATCTCACTCTGTCGCCCAGGCTGGAGTGTAGTGGCGCAGTCTCAGCTCACTGCAACCTCCGCCTCCTGGGTTCAAGCAATTCTCCTTCCTCAGCCTCCTGAGTAGCTGGGACTCAGGTACCCGCCACCACGCCTGGCTAATTTTTAGTAGAGATGGTAGTTTTAGTAGAGATGGGGTTTTGCCATGTTGGCCAGGCCGGTCTCAAACTCCAGACCTCAGCTGATCTGCCCGCCTCAGCCTCCCAAAGTGCTAGGATTACAGGTGTGAGCCACCGTGCCTGGCCTCAAGTATAATTCTTAGATGTGGATATTTTCTATAGTTTGAGCCTTGAAGAAAGTAGAATGTAGTACATTAGAGCATTGGCTCTGGAGGCCAATAGACCTGATTTTGAGTCCCAGATCTGTTACAACTGGGTCATCTCCTACCCTCAATTTCCTTATCAGAACAAGGGAGACAATATTAATATTTACTTACAAGGTTTTTATAAAAATTCATTGAAAGAATTCATGTAAAACAGTAAGCACTGTGCTCACATGCAATTAGCTATAGTTATTTTTTTCCATAAATTAACCCAGTTGGATAACCTCTTATTTTTATTAGATCCAAAGCAGACCATATTATTATTATTATTTTGAGACAGAATCTTGCTCTGTCACCCAGGTTGGAGTGCAGTGGCACAATCTTGTTTCACGCAGCTTACATCTCCTGGGTTCAAGCGATTCTCCCACCTCAGCTTCCCTAGTAGCTGGGATTACAGGCCCGGCTAAGTTTTGTATTTTTAGCAGAGAAGGGGTTTCACCATGTTGGGCAGGCTGGTCTCAAACTCCTGATTTCAAGTAATCTGCCTGCCTTGTCCTCCCAAAGTGCTGGGAAGCCCATATCCTAAAGACACTATTGCACCACTGGTTTTGGAAAAGTTGTTTAAAATTTTTAAAAGAAATCTTATTGGCCGGGCGTGGTGGCTCACGCCTGTAATCCCAGCGCTTTGGGAGGCCGAGGCGGGCGGATCACGAGGTCAGAAGATCCAGACCATCCTGGCTAACACGGTGAAACCCCGCCTCTACTAAATATACAAAAAATTTGCCGGGCGTGGTGGCAGGCACCTGTAGTCCCAGCTACTCGGGAGGCTGAGGCAGGAGGATGGCGTGAACCCAGGAGGCGGAGGTTGCAGTGAGCCGAGATTGCGCCACTTCACTCCAGCCTGGGCAACAGAGCAAGACGCTGACTCAAAAAAAAAAAAAAAAAAAAAAAAAAAGAAATCTTGTTTGTAAAGGTTGGGATTTGTGAATTAACTTAAGAAAAATCTTGGCAGAGATACAGGTTTGCTCTGGAGCAGCAGCAGCTGGCGGAGCAATGGAGATGCAATCCTATTATGCCAAGCTTTTGGGGGAGCTGAATGAACAGAGAAAGAGGGACTTTTTCTGTGACTGCAGCATCATTGTGGAAGGGCGGATCTTCAAGGCCCACAGGAACATTTTGTTTGCTAACAGCGGCTACTTCCGAGCCCTGCTCATTCACTATATCCAGGACAGCGGGCGGCATAGCACCGCCTCCTTGGACATTGTCACCTCTGATGCCTTCTCCATCATCTTAGATTTCCTCTATTCTGGGAAGTTGGATTTGTGTGGGGAGAATGTGATTGAAGTGATGTCGGCTGCCAGCTACCTGCAGATGAATGACGTGGTGAACTTCTGCAAGACATACATTAGGTCATCCCTCGACATTTGCCGAAAGATGGAGAAGGAGGCTGCTGTGGCTGCAGCAGTGGCGGCGGCAGCGGCGGCGGCTGCAGCGGCGGCAGCAGCGGCGGCTCATCAGGTTGACAGTGAAAGCCCCAGTTCAGGCCGGGAGGGGACCTCCTGTGGTACCAAGAGCTTGGTCTCCTCTCCAGCCGAGGGAGAAAAGAGCGTGGAGTGCCTGAGAGAGTCCCCTTGCGGTGACTGCGGAGACTGCCACCCCTTGGAACTGGTGGTGAGAGACAGCCTTGGCGGTGGCTCGGCTGACAGCAACCTCTCTACTCCACCCAAACGGATAGAGCCCAAGGTGGAATTTGATGCTGATGAAGTGGAGGTGGACGTTGGTGAACAGCTGCAGCAGTATGCTGCCCCGCTGAACCTGGCCCACGTGGAGGAGGCCTTGCCAAGCGGCCAGGCGGTTGACTTGGCTTACAGCAACTACCACGTGAAGCAGTTCCTGGAGGCGCTCTTGCGCAACAGCGCTGCCCCGAGCAAGGATGATGCAGACCATCACTTTTCTAGGAGTTTGGAAGGAAGACCAGAAGGTGCAGGAGTAGCCATGAGTTCCATGATGGATGTCCAGGCTGACTGGTATGGAGAGGACTCAGGTGAGCTCCCTTAGCATTCATCAGCCCTGCCAGTGATTGAGTACACACTGTCTGTGCCTTGTGTTCTCCCATCATCATGATCATTATCACCATCATCATTGTCACTACCAACATTATCAGTACCATCATCACCAGTACCATCATCATTACCATCATCACCAGTATCGTCATCATTACCATCATCACTACCATCATCACCAGTACCATCATTACCATCATCACCAGTACCATCATCATCATTACCATCATCTCCAGTATCACCATCATCAGTACCATCATCATCACTATCATCATCACCAGTACTATTCATTACCATCATCACCAGTACCATCATCATCATTACCATCATCTCCAGTATCACCATCATCATTACCATCATCATCAGTACCATCATCATCACTACCATCATCACCAGTACCATCATCATTACCATCATCACCAGTACCATCATCATCACTACCATCATCACCAGTATCACCATCTCATTATGATCATCATCAGTCACCATTATTGCCACCACCACCACCACCAATATGCATTAATTGAGCACCTGCTATATGCAGGGCATTATTTCTTCATGTATGTTTGTGTTTTACCTCTACAACTGGAATGTAAGTGTGTTGGGGGCAGTTTGGAGACATGGGAGGAACCCACTCTCTTCCACTAACCGGCAGTGGGACCTTGGTTAAATCATTGAATCTCTTTGAGTCTGTTTTGTCATCTGTAAAACGGGAATAATCATCCCTGCCCTGCCTCTCTCACAGGTTTGTTGTGGGGACCAAATGAGAGAGTTTTCAGAACTTTTTCTCACATATCATCTTAGATTTCCTCTATGCTGGGAGGTCAGTTTTGTGTGGGGAGAATGAGATTGAAGTGATGTCCAGAGATATATGCTCCAGAGATTTATACTTCTCTGTGTCAGCCAAGGTGCTTGTCAGAGACTAGGCACCCAGCCTGGCATGCTTGATGATGCCATCTACTTGAGACTATTTGATTGATTGATTGATTGATTGATTGAGACAGGGTCTCGCTCTGTCACCCAGGCTGGAGTGCAACGGTGTGATCTCGGCTCACTGCAACCTCTGCCTCCCAGGTTCAAGTGATTCTTCTGCCTCAGCCTCCCGAGTAGCTGGGATTACCGTAGGCGCATACCGCCACGCCCAGCTAGTTTTTGTATTTTCAGTAGAGACAGGGTTTCACCATGTTGGCCACGCTAGTCTCAAACTCCTGACCTCAAGTGATCCTCCTGCCTTGGCCTCCCAAAGTGCCAGGATTATAGGCGTGAGCCACTGTGCCCGGCTGACTTGAGACTATTTTAGAGCCAGTATTTGACATCATGTGAGCTAATTTTTTACATCCTTTGGTGGGCTTTTGCGTTTTAAGAGAACCTGCTTGTTTCTTTGAACAGTTATGAGAGTTGAGTTAATATGGCTAACTCCTCTTAACAGGTGAGGTAATTGTGTTATAAGGTGTCTTGTAGGAGACAAAAATAAACTTGGCTGCCAACTTACTGATGAAACGTGGCTTCCAAACCTTAAGCCAAGGCTGGGCGCGGCGGCACGCGCCTGTAATCCCAGTTACTCAGGAGGCTGAGGCAGGAGAATAGCTTGAACCTAGGAGGCGGAGCTTGCAGTGAGCCGAGATCGTGCCACCACACTCCAGCCTGGGTGACAGAGCGAGACTACTTCTCAAAAAAAAAAAGAAAGAAAGAAAGAAAAGAAAAGGAAAAAAATACCAGAACCTCAAGCCAAGAAATTCATGAATTGCAGTCTAGTAGTGAAATATTGAGTAGTGAAAGTCTTTTCCTTTTTTTAGCTTCTGATTCTCTGAAGTGAAAGTCTTTTAAATAAAGGGAGATCAGCTATTTTTATTCATTACTAAATGGCTGTCTTGAGACTTTTTTTTTTTTTTTTTTGAGACAGGGTCTTACTCTGTTGCCCAGACTAGAGTGCAGTGGCATAATCACAGCTCACTGCAGCCTCGACCTCCCGAGCTCAAGTGATCCTCCCACTTCAGCATCCCAAGTAGCTGTGATTACGGGCATACACCACCACACCCAGCTAATTTTTTGTATGTTTGATTTATAATAGAGACAAGGTCTCCCTATGTTGCTCAGTTTGGTCTCAAACTCCTGGGATCAAGCAATCCTCTCACCTCAGCCTCTCAAAGTGCCAGGATTACAGGTGTGAGCCATTGTGCCTGGCCTGTCTTGAAACTTTCTAATTTCTGGGTTTATTTTATTTTAATTTTTTTGAGGCAGAGTCTCACTCTGTTGCCCAGGCTGGAGTGCAGTGGTGCGATCTCAGCTCACTGCAACCTCTGCCACCTGGGTTCAAGCGAGTCTCCTGCCTCAGCCTCCCGAGTAGCTGGGATTACAGGCACGTGCCACCATGCCTGGCTAGTTTTTGTAGTTTTAGTAGAGATGAGGTTTCACCATGTTGGCCAGGCTGGACTCGAACTACTGACCTCAGGTGATCCCCCTGCCTCGGCCTCTCAAAGTGCTAGGATTACAAGGATGAGCCACTATGCCCGGCTTCAAATTTCATTTTTTTAAAAAGCAAGAGCACTCAGTGTGTCTGATTAAAACAAGACTTGAAAAACTTGAAAATGGCCAGGTGCAGTGGCTCACACCTATAATCCCAGCATTTTGAGAGGCCAAGGAGGGAGGATTGCTTGAGCCCAGGAGTTTGAGACCAGCCCGGGCAAGATGGCAAAACCCCATCTCTACAAAAAAAAAAAAAAAAAAAAAAAAAAAAAAAAAAAAAAATTGAAAAATTAGCCAGGCGTCATTGCATGTACCCATAGTCCCAGCTACTCAGGAGGCTGAGGTGGGAGGATCACCTGAGCCTGGGAGGTCGAGGCTGCGGTGAGCTGTGATTGTGCTTCCAGCCTCGATGACAGAGTGAGACCTTGTCTCAAAAAAAAAAGGAAAAAGAAAAAAAAAAGAAACACTTGAAAATGCTGTTTCTGGTTCTGAGACACTGGCTTCACCAGCATTGGGAAGATAGTGGCTGCTTCCATGAACACACCGTGGGAACTTGTTCAAATTCTCATTGCTGTGTGTATAATGGCATTTCACAGACTGATCACCCTTTCACATCCACAAGTCTCTCATGGTGTCCCATGCCTTTGGCAGAGGAAATATGGAGAAACTGTTACCTAGAAGGGTTTAGTGAGTTTCGTAAGAATGTAAGTAGTAAGTGGCCCAGCTAAAACCAGAAAACTGGAGTGGCTTCTTTCATTCATTAAACAAACAGTGAAAGCAACACAAGTAGGTAGCGGATTTCAGTGCAATGATTTTTTTCTTTGAACCCCTCTGCATGTAAGCACAAGAAGTATCAGGAAATAGGCATTTGGCTCTGTGCCACTTATAATATATTCAGGTCCTGTCCTTATTGGTCTGGAAAGTCAGAGTTCTTGCTATAAGGTGTTGTGGTGTGGCAAGGCAGCTGCCCTGGCCCCTGGCCATGCCCTGTTGTCTACCATGTTTTTATTTCATTCATACGGCTCCAGGGTATAGTTTTTCCAAGTGCTAAGGCACAGAGTAGGATTGATTTGTTTGGTTATTCATTTATTTGTTCAAATATTTGAGTACCTTTTGTGTGAAGGCATAAAGATAAGTCAGACATGGATGCAGCCCTCAAAGAACTGATAGTGTTGTATAGGAGATAAGACACAAATGTGGGCCGGGCTCAGTCGCTCATGCCTATAATCACAGCACTTTGGGAGGCCGAGGCAGGTGGATCACTTGAGGTCAGGAGTTCAAGACCAGCCTGGCCAACATGGTGAAACCCGGTCTCTACTAAAAATACAGAAACAAATTAGCCAGGCGTGGTGGCGAGTGCCTGTGATCCCAGCTACTCGGGAGGCTGAGGCAGGAGAATTGCTTGAACCCGGAAGGCGGAGGTTGCAGTGAGCCAAGATCACACCACTGCACTCCAGCCTGGGCAACAAAGCGAGACTGTCTCAAAAAACAAAACAAAACAAAAGACACAAATGTAAATGACGTCACATGCTAGAAAGGTACTAGGGTTGAAAGACACTCAGAGGTATGAGTTCATGGTAGTCCAGAAGGAGAACTGGCTTCCTACTGGGAGATCAGGGAGGCATCCTGAAAGTGCCATCTGAAGGTAAGAAGAGGGGACAGGGAAAAATTGACTGGAATCAGATCATGGAAAACCTTAAATGCAAAGAGGGGAGGTTTTTTTTTTTTTTTTTTTTAGACAGAGTCTCACTCTGTTGCCCAGGCTGGAGTACGGTGGTGCCATCTCGGCTGACTGCAACCTCCGCCTCCCAGGTTCAAGTGATTTTCCTGCCTCAGCCTCCCAAGTAGCTGGAATTACCGGCGGGCATCACCATGCCCAGCTAATTTTTGTATTTTTCGTAGCAACAGGGTTTCACTATGTTGATCAGGCTGGTCTCAAACTCCTGACCTTAAGTGATCCACCCGCCTCAGCCTCCTAAAGTGCTGGGATTACAGGTGTGAGCTGCTGTGCCTGGCCAGGTTTGTTTTGTTTTGTTTTGTTTTGTTTTGTTTTGAGACAGGGTCTCACGCTGTCACCCAGGCTGGAGTGCAGTGGCACGATCACAGCTCACTGCAGCCTCGACCTCCTGGGCTCAAGTGGTCCTCCTGCCTCAGCCTCTCAAAGTGCTGGGATTATAAGCATGAGCCACCATGCCTGGTCATAGGGGGGTTTTTGGTAGTTTCTTTTAAATTTTTATTCCCACCTGGATGCTCTGCACAAGCCTCAATCCCTGTAAAATCCGAACTGAACTCCCCTTTCCTCATGTACCTGCTTTTCCTTCTGTTAATTTCACTCCTCCTCAGTGTGTCTCCTCTCCACCTCCACAACTACTGCCTTAGCTCCTGTCATCTCTCATCCAGACTCATGGTCCCCTCCCACCTGGACTTCCTGCCTTTAATATTGACTCTCTTAAGTCTTTTCCCTGAATTGTGCCCAGAGGGATCTTTTAAATCTGGCCATGAAAGTTTGACCACGTACCTTCCTTGCTTAAAATCCTAGCTGGCTGGGAGTGGTGGCTCAGGCCTGTAGTCCCAGCTACTCGGGAGACTGAGGCAGAAGAATCACTTGAACCCTGGAGTTGGAGGTTGCAGTGAGCCGAGGTCGCACCACTGCACTCCAGCCTGGGCAACAGAGCGAGACTCTGTCTCAAAAAAAAAAAAAAAAAATCCAAGCTGCTTACAGGTAAAGTCCAAGTTTCTCAGCATGTTAGCTCCATGAGGGGCAGGGACTTTGGTCTATTCTGTTCACTGTTGTATCCCCAGGACCCTAGAACAGAGCCTGACACATAGTGAGTGCTCAGTATAAATTTGCTGAATGAATGAATGAATGTGACCATCACAATCTAGTTCTTGTCCCTTCCTTGCCCTCATTCCTAACCCCCACTTCATACTTCATATTCTCATTTACCTCTATGCCTAAGTACGTGTTCTTCCTCTGCCCAAGATACCTTTCTCTGTCTTGAAGTCCTGGTGAACTCCTGTTCATCTTTTAAAACCTTGCTCAAAGTTAACCTCTTCTGTGAAATCTTCTCTGAACTCCTAGGGAAAATCATCACTTTTTATTTATATTTCTTCATCACTTTGAACTTTGCATGTGGGCATCATATTGTATGAATATGTTTACATATCTTTCCTGCTAGACTTAACTTCTTGAGGGAGGAAACAGGTGTCTTACAATGGCCTGTCATGTAATAGGATTCAGGTGAACTGTGGTATTGGAGTGAGATCAGGAAAGGGGAAGAAAGTGTTGAGACAATCCATACTTTTCTGATGGAGAAACAGTTAACAGTTATTTTTCCCAAGGACTTATGCTGGGCCTATTTTATTTTATGTTTTTGTAGATAATCAGGAAGAAGTGTGTGGTACAAAGCTAAGGTGATGGAGATAAATAACAAGGAAGTTCCACAGTGCCAGAGGAGTGAGCAGGGTGATGAGTTATGAGCTGCTACTTTGATCCTAGGAAACAGGTCGTCATTCCTGGCTGGGTGCTGTGGCTCACACCTGTAATCCTGGCACTTTGGGACCATGAGGCATGGAGGATCCCTTAAGCCTAGGAGTTCAATACCAGCCTGGACAACATAGTGAGACTCTGTCTCTACAAAAAAAAAAAAAAAATTGTTAAATTAGCTGCCCATGGCCGGGCATGGTGGCTCACACCTGTGATCCCAGCACTGTGGGAGGCCCAGGTGGGTGGATCACCTGGGGTCAGGAGTTTGAGATCAGCCTGACCAACATGGTGAAACCTCGGTCTCTACTAAAAATATAAAATTAGCCAGGCATGGTGGTACTCGCCTGTAATCCCAGCTACTTGGGAGGCTGAGACAGGAGATTCACTTGAACCTGGGAGACGGAGGTTGCAGTGAGCCGAGACTGTGCCATTGTACTCCAGCCTGCACAACAAAAGCAAAACTCCGTCTCAAAAAAAAAAAAATTAGCTGCACATGGTGGCACACGCCTGTAGTCCCAGCTACTTGGGGAGCTGAGGTGGGAGGATCACCTGAGCCTGGGAGGTAGAGGCTGCAGTGAGCCATGATCATGCCACTGCACTCCTGCCTGGGTGACAGAGACCCTGTGTCAAAAACGAAAAACAGGCCAGGCATGGTGGCTCACGCCTATAATCCCAGCACTTTGGGAGGCTGAAGCGGGTGGATCACTTGAGGTCAGGAGTTCAAGATCATCCTGGCCAACATGGTGAAATCCTGTCTCTACTAAAAATACAAAAATTAGCCAGGCATGGTGGTGTGCACCTGTAATCCGAGCTGCTCTGGAAGCTGAGGCAGGAGAATCACCTGAACCCAGGAGGCGGAGGTTGCAGTGAGCCAAGATCGTGCCACTGTACTCCAGCCTGGGTGACAGAGTGAGACTCCATCTCAGGAAAAAAAAATAATAATAGTAATAATTCCTATTTTACTTGTATCAGTACCAGTGTGAGCAGTCAGAGATTTAATAATCTCACATATGTGAGCAGTGATGAGCTTTTGAGCTGCTGCTTTTATCCTGGGAAACAGATATCGGAGTCACTATAGAGTATGCAAAATGTTAGGCATTATTAGGATGGGAACTTGATACCAAAGAGAGTTTCCACCCTTACATAAAGGATGTTGGACTTTCACATTCAGTTTAGTGTGCCATACTTTTCATAGCACCTCAGGAAAGACAGAGCCAGTTAGGTATCCCAAGCCAGCCCCAGAGAAAAGAGTTACTCCAGTGTTGACAGAGACCACAAGAGCCTGGACTGCTTACCTGGTAAAAAAAATTCTGAAGAGATTACGATGATGACAAACATGGCTGACATTTGCAAGTTCTTACTATGTGCCACGTGCTATGCTTTATGTGTTACTTTATTTCATTCTTACCACAATCCTGTGAGGTGGGAACTGTTATCATACCTGTTTTACAGATGAGGAAAGTGAGGCACAGAGAAGCTAAGTGAGATGTCCAGGGCCACACAGCTGATCAGTGCTAGAGCCAGGACTTGAACCAGGTTTCTGTACCTAGAAAGCTTGAGTCACTAGTGCCTTCATAGGTGATATGATATGATATGATATGATATGACCAAAGTCTATAAATATTGAAGGGCATGGATAGAGAGAACAAATCTCGGGCCGGGCATGGTGGCTCATGCCTGTAATCCCAGCACTTTGGGAGGCTGAGGCAGCCGGATCACCTGAGGTCAGGAGTTGAGACCTGCCTGGCCAACATGGTGAAACCCCGCCTTTACTAAAATACAAAAATTAACTGGGCATGGTGGTGGGTGGCTGTAATCCCAGCTACTCCGAAGGCTGAGGCAGGAGAATCACTTGCACCCAGGAGGTGGAGGTTGCAGTGAGCCAAGATCGTGTCACTGCACTCCAGCCTGGGTTATAGAGTGAGACTCCATCTCAAAAAATAAAAAAATAAAAAAATAAAAATGAAGGAGAAATCTCGGAATATAGTTGACCCTCTGTGTCCATAACTTCTGCATCCGTGGTTCCGTGGATTCAACCAACCACATATGGAAAATACAGTATTCACAGGATCCGCAGGGCTGACTTTGGGACTTGAGCATCCTTGGATTTTGGTATCCAAGGAGTATCCTGGAACCAATTCCCAGTGGGTACCAAGGGATGACTATAGCAGTAAGTGTAACTCACAGAACTTGAATGGAACAGTTTCTATACATGTGAGTGATAATCACATTGTCACCTTAATGGTTATATGAGCAAGGTGAGGGAATAAATTGGAAAAAGATTTAAGTGAATTCCTGGATATTTGATGATTTCAGATATATAGAGTTAATATAAATTCCAAACAATTTAGGGTCTTCATCAAAGCAAGCCTCTTCTATGTATACTTAGAAAATATTCTTAGGAACTACTGTCCAAGAAAGCATGAATTCTGGTCTAGAAATCTGATCCATCATAACAGCGTTTTCCAAGTTCTGAAGGTAGTGAGATCAATTCAGAGGGTTGTATTAGTCAGCTCAGGCTGCCACAACAGAGTGCCCCAGACTGGGAAGCTTAAACAACAGAAATGTATCCTCATAGTTCTAGAGGCTCCAGCAGAGTTGGGTTCTGGTGAGGCCTCTTCCTGATTTGCAGATGGCAGCCTTCCCACTGTGTCCTCACATAGCCTTTCCTCTGTGTGTGCTGGGGGTGGGGGTGAGAGGAATGGTGGGGGGTATGCAGGGAGAAGGAGAGAGAGATCAGTCGATCTCTGGTGTCTCTTCCTCTTCTTATAAGGAAACCAGTCCTATCATTAGGGCCCCACCTTATAAACTCATTTAACCTTAATTACCTTCTTAAGGGCTTTATCTCCAAATACAGACTTCAAGGTATGAATTTTAGGGGGACACAATTAAGTCCATAACAGAGTCTCACCCAGCAGTCTTAAAATGAAACCAAACAGAATAAACACTATCAGGGTGAGTATTGTTTTGGGAAACTTTTCCAGTTATCCACATAAGGCACGTGTGTTCTGAGGTTGCAGTGCAAGCTGAGTTTCTGTCAGTCACACAGAAGTGTGGAAGCTGGTGCCTTATAGCATTCCCGACATTATAAGAAGTCCACTTTACTTTATCCTGGGGCTGACTGGGAGCCAGACTGAGTTGGAATTGCAGACGATGTCTTGCTGTTGGCTGGTGGCGGAGTTGGTGTCCTCCTCTTCTATCTGGGCTGGTGGAATTCCCCAGCTCTGGATCCCATCCACCGGCGGGTAGCCAGGGTTGGTCACTGCATACAGCACAGCTAAATGAAAGCATTTGGTTCCCCAGGTGATGTGCTGGTGGTCCCCATCAAGCTCCACAAGTGTCCTTTCTGCCCTTACACTGCCAAACAGAAGGGCATCCTCAAGCGGCACATCCGTTCACACACAGGCGAGCGGCCCTACCCCTGTGAGACCTGCGGCAAGAGGTTCACTCGACAAGAGCACCTGCGGAGCCACGCACTGAGTGTAAGTGTTCGAGCTGGCCATGCCCTTGTGGCAAGAGCTATTCATGATATCATCTAATGGAAGGGTGAAGCCAGCCTGTCTTTCATTTCTCTGTCTACTGGGGTATTTTCAGATAATTTCCACGTATGTTTTTACTACTAAATTAAAGCTCAGGTGGTGGCACTTACAGAAAGTTAAAACTTTATATGTTAGAGTTAAGTTTTAACTTCAAGTTAGACTAGTTTTCTAAGGGGAAGAGCCAAGAAAGTTTAGATCCTGATAAGAGGTGATTATTGTAATGTAGAGAACAACAGGGCTCAGACAGGATTGTGGATCTCTTCCTACCAGTGTGATACCAAAGGTAAGCTGCATCCTCAGTTTCCCACCGAGCCCCAGCACCTAGGGGTAAGGGAAGGGTATACTGCCATGTATAGAGCTACCTGTGGGCAGCAGACAAAAAGGGCTCCAGCCCAAGGAGACCCTCCCCTCTAACAAGCTGCCCCCTAGCATTGTCTCCATGTGAGCTGGTGATTCCAACCCGCTGAAAACCATTCAGGCCACTTAGAAAGATGTTATATTTATTTATTTATTTAAACTTTTAGGTTCAGGGGTAAACGAGAAGGTTTGTTACATGGGTAAACTCATGTCACAGGGGTTTGTTGTACAGATTATTTCATCACCCAGGAATTAGTTCTCTTTGCTCCTCTCCCACCTCCCACCCTCCGGTAGACCCCAGTGTCTGCCGTTTCCTTCTTTGTGTTCATAAGTTCTCATCATTTAGCTCCCACTTATAAGTGAGAACATGTTGTATTTGGTTTTCTGTTCCTATGTTAGTTTGCTGAGGATAATAGCCTCCAGCTCTATCCATGTTCCCACAAAACACATGATCTCATTCTTTTTAATGGCTGCAGATGTTGCATTTTATGATCATCTTTTTTTGTTTTGTTTTGTTTGAGACAGAGTCTCACTCTGTCACCCAGGCTGCAGAGATCACAGCTCACTGCAGCCTTGACCTCCCAAGGCACAGGTGATTCTCTCACCTGAGCCCCTACGCAGGTAGCTGGAACTACAGGCACACACCACCATGCCCAGCTAACGTGTTTTTTTGTTGTTGTTGTTTTTTGTTTTTTTGTAGAGACAGGGTTTTTCCAGGTTGCCCAGGCTGGTCTTGAACTCCTGGGCTCAAGCGATCTGCCTGCCTCAGCCTCCCAAAGTGCTGGGATTATAGGCATGAGCCACCATGTGCAGTTATGATTGTCTTTGAGCAAGACAATCAGTGTTTGGGAAATCTAACATACAAATAGTTTGATCTTCAATGGACGCTCTTAAGAATACGAAAACTGGCCGGGCGCAGGGGCTCACACCTGTAATCCCAGCACTTTGGGAGGCTGAGGTGGGCAGATCACAAGATCAAGAGATGGAGACCATCCTGGCCAACATGGTGAAACCCTGTCTCTACTAAAAATACAAAAATTAGCCAGCTGTGGTGGTGTGCATCTGTAGTCCCAGCTACTCAGGAGGCTCAGGCAGGAGAACTGCTTGAACCCGGGAGGTGGAGGTTGCAGTGAGCCAAGATCACACCACTGCACTCCAGCCTGGTAACAGAGTGAGACTCCGTGTCAAAAAAAAAAAAAAAAAAAAAAAGAATACGAAAACCCTCAGAATGGGAGAAAATATTTGCAAGGGATATATCTGATAAGTGTCTAGTATGCAGAATAAAGAACTTTTATAATGCAATAGTAAAAGGATGAATAACTCAATTAAACCTGGGCAAAGGATTTGAATAGATATTTCTCAGGAAAAGATAGACAAATGGCCAATAAGCACATGAAAAGATGCTCAACATCATTACTCATAGGGTAAATGCAAATCAAAGTGAGATGCCACTTCCCACCCACTAGGACTGCGCTAATTGTGGGTGGCTCTCCTGCATCAGCCTCTCCCCGTCTCTGCCTCTTGCTTGCACCCAGAGCTCTCTAGAAGAGAGGCTGTGATTGGTTCACAGAGCCCCTATCGGCTGGAGTTCCTGAAAAGTGTACACATTAAAAAGATAGTTCCTAGGCCCAGCACGGTGGCTCACACCTGTAATCCCAGCACTTTGGGAGGCTGGGGTGGATGGATCATCGGATCATCCGAGGTCAGGAGTTTGAGGTCAGCCTGGCCAGTGTGGCGAAACCCCTTATCTACTAAAAATCCAAAAAAAAAAAAAAAAAAAAAAAAAAAAAAATTAGCCAGGCTTGGTGGCACGCGCCTGTAGTCCCAGCTCCTCAGGAGACTGAGGCAGGAGAATTGCTTGAACCTGGGAGGCGGAGGTTGCAGTGAGCCGAGATCGGGCCACTGCTCTCCAGCTTGGGCAACAGAGCAAGACGGCGTCTCAAAAAAAACAAAACAAAAACAACAACAAAAAAACATAGTTCCCAAAGCAGCTGCTGGCACATCTGAGGAATGTAGCTGTCTACCCTAGCAAATCTGCCTTCCTAATAATTAAACAATCCAAGAGGTGGGGGGATGGGGGAAGGACAGCATTAGGAGAAATACCTAATGTGAATGACGAGTTAATGGGTGCAGCACACCAACATGGCATGTGTATACATATGTAACAAACCTGCATGTTGTGCACATGTACCCTAGAACTTAAAGTATACTTTAATAAAAATAAAAATAAATAAAATGTCAATTACCAAAGGTGTCCAATGAGAGGGAAAAAAAAAACCATGTCAAAAATCCTAATGAGAGTCAGATGCAGTGGCACACACCTATATTCCCAGCTACTTGGGAAACTGAGGCAGGGGGATCACTCGAGCCCAGGAGTTCAAGTCCAGCTTGGGCAACATAGCAAGATAGCAAGACCCCATCTCTAAAAAAAAAAATCCTGGCCAACTATGGTGGCTCACGCTTGAAATCTCAACACCTTACGAGGCCAAGGTGGAAGGATCACTTTAGGCCAGGAGTTCAAGACCAGTCTGGGCAACATAGTGAGACTCCACCTCTACAAGAAATAAAAAATTAGCCAGGCATGATGATATGTGGGCGCCTGTGGTCCCAGCTGCTTGGGAGGCTGGAGGGGGAGGATCGCTTGAGCCCAGGAGTTCAGGGCTTTAGTAAGCTATTATCATGTCACTGCACTCCAGCCTGGGTGACAGAGAAAGACCCTGTCTCTGGAAAAAAAAAAAAAAAATCCCAATCAGTTCACTTTCATTTGAGTGCTTTTTGTATGCCAAGCACTAGGGATATAGTAAGGAATGGGACAGACTCTGTCCCTGCCCTCTTAGAGCTTCCACTCTAGTGACTTTTATGAACAATTTGTGAGAAGTACAACAAAGGAAGAAGTATGGGTGAGAATCGCTAGGTGGAGGCCCTAACTGGCCTAGAGCATCAGGAAAGACCTCCTTCCAAGGTGTTCATAAGGGGTGAAGGGTTGATGATGGGCAGAAGGGAATGTCCCACATGTGTCCGGTGGCTCCGGGGTAGAAAGAACCTTGGTAAGATGAAGACTCATATGGTTTGGATCTCTGTCCCCACTCAAATCTCATGTTGAAATGTAATCCCTAATGCTGGAAGTGGGGCCTGGTGGGAGGTGGTTGCATCATGGGGGCAGTTTCTCATGGTTTAACGCCATCCCTACTTGGTGCTGTCATCGTGATAGTGAGTTTTCATGAGATCTGGTTGTTTGAAAATATGTGTTACCTCCCCCTTCTTTCTCTTCCCCCTGCTCTGGCCATGTGAAGTGCCGGCTCCCCCTTTGTCTTCTGCCACAATTGTAAGTTTCCTGAGGCCTCCCTAGAAGCCAAGCAGATGCCAGCATCATGCTTCCTGTACAGCCTGTGGAACTGTGAGCCAATTAAACCTCTTTTCTTTATAAATTACCCAGTCTCAGGTATTTCTTTATAGCAGTGCAAGAACAGACTAATACAAAGACTGTGGCAGAGAATGCAGGTGGAGTGCTGAAAAAGGAATCGGGAGGATCAGGCAGGGGCCAGATCACACGGGGCCTTGTGGAAAACACTCATCTCCTTTTCTGTGACATCTACTGTGTCTGCTTGTGATTACAGGTCCACAGATCCAACCGTCCAATCATCTGCAAGGGCTGCAGGAGAACATTCACGAGTCACCTGTCCCAGGGGCTGCGGCGCTTCGGGCTGTGTGACAGCTGCACCTGCGTTACAGACACACCCGATGATGATGATGATTTGATGCCCATCAACCTTAGCTTGGTGGAGGCTTCATCTGAAAGCCAAGAAAAGAGCGACACAGACAATGACTGGCCAATCTATGTGGAGTCGGGTGAGGAAAATGACCCTGCTGGAGATGATTCTGATGACAAACCACAAATTCAGCCTAACTTATCAGACCGAGAGACACTTACGTAGCAATAAATTGGTGGGGAAGAGGAGGTTTTAAAACTTGTTAGTGCTCGTTCTGTTGTTGAAAGATACCATTTGTCCAATTTTGTGGAACCCTGAGAGGAACATTTTTTCACTGTTATTATATGTGCATTTTTATTAGACTATCTGATAGAGGTTGGATTTTGTGACTCAAAGGACAGATAACCTTTTTGTGTGGTGCCCTTGGTTTCTGAGGGCTTTGCTGGCCACTCCTTAATTCTGAGTGAGTCAAAGCAGGCCCTGAGGTCTCCTGTTTTTCTTGCTGTGTGTCCAAACTCTGGTTAGGAGAAAGATAAGAAAATCTCCAGGCTTGTTTTTATATTGATTCAGTCCTCTGCATTCCTTTGTTATCATCCTCTTTCTCTAAAAACCATTAAGTTTTGGGATCAAGTTTACCTTTGCCAAGCCTTTCCTAATGAATTCCACATTAAATTTTCTGGCAAAGTATTAAAGAGAAACCTTCATTGATATAAAGCAGGCAGGGCGGTCTGGCTACATGATCATAAAAGGTACTCCCTAAATCTAGAACAATTTTAAAGGCTTGGAATACTTATGGGCAGACGAACATGGGAATGATCTGAAAGGCTCATTATGGCATCCTGACTTGCCCAGTTGAATTAAATTTTAAGTTAGCCCTGAGAAGGGAGGCTATGACCCCAGGTCTGGATGGTTTCCCTGTCTGGTTTGGCATTTGACGATTCTACACATACAACCTGTTCTGTTATCATAAAACAACTCATTTGGGCAAAACTCAAAATGCTCCCCTACTTTTTCCAGCAATTTCCAAAAGCTGGAGCTGTGTAACTTGGAAATGTAGCTGCCTCTGGCATTCTTTTACTTAGTTTATGCTGATGTAGGGCAGGTGAGCCCAAAAATTGGGGCTTAGCCCAGAGGAGTTCTTGGCTTCACCCAGGAAAGAATTCAAGGGCAAGCCAGTGGTGTTAGACAGCAGCTTGTATTGAAGCAGCAGTGCCCAACAGCAGCTAAGGGGCCGCTCCTCGTGGAGCAGGGCTACACCATAGGCAGTGTGCCCAGAGTAGTAGCTCAGAGGCAGGTCGGCACTTATATTTATACCCACTTTTAGTTACATGCAAATTAAGGGGCAGATTATGCAGCAATATTTAGGAAAATGGTGGTAACTTCCAAGCCGCTGGGTGGTTGCCATGATAAGGGGCAGTGACTTCCAGGTGTTGCCATGGCAATGGTAATTGACATGGCACAGTGATAAGTGTTTCTTATGGAAATCTGCTTCCTGCACCACCCTCCCACCACCGCCCTGTTTTAGCTAGTCCTCAATTTGGTCCATGTCCGAGTCCGGCCTTTGGAGTTGAGTCCTGCCTTCTACCTCCTTGCCTAGAACTTTAATTGGAGGGAAAGTATAAGCCCATAATGCCAAGTAACATTTCTAAAATGTTCATCTTTTAAAAGATCTTCATGAGGGAAAGGGAAGGTTAGTAGCAGAACAGGTTTTTAAAAGCAGTCTACCTTTCGCCCACTTTCCAGCCACACAATTATTGTAACAAAAGAGGCTGAACTCTTTAAAGGGCTAAAGGGCAGGCAGTGTTAGGAATTCGGAATGTAATTGAAGGCAATTTCCATAATTTTGTCTTATGTTAAAATATCCAAAATGGATTTTAAAAGAAATCTTCTTGTCTTCCTTTAAGTGTAGTTGTCTTTCAAAAGGTGGTAAAAGTCACTTTTATTTCTACCTCTTGAACAACAAAAAAGTCAAAAACATTATAAATTGGCTTGTAAATGTTAGCCAAAGCATTAGACAGGTGTTTAAGTCGTACTTCTCAATAGTAGTTAAAACTGGAACAGTGCAACTCAAACTCTGGCCCACAGAGAGGCCCTGTTCTGTAAACTGTTTTCTACCAGTCTGCTACAAGGAAAGTCAGAAATTAAGAATACACATATAGAAATGTTGATAACACTTTGACATTGCTGTGACTCATGGCTTTGTCTTCTTGAGTGAGGTATGGACCAGTTCAGTTCTGGTCAGCTAGAGGGCCACATGGTGCAGAGGTTGGATACCAGCCTGTACAGCAGGACCACGTATTGGTCTGCAGTAGAATGGAAAATTTAAAACTTCTCTTATCACAGGTAGTTCGATAAATATCATTCTTGGCTGTGTGCGGTGGCTCACGCCTATAATCCCAGCACTTTGGGAGGCCAAGGCAGATGGAACACTTGAGGTCAGGAGTTCGATACCAGCCTGACCAACATGGCGAAACCCCGTCTCTAGCAAAAATACAAAAATTAGTCAGGAGTGGTGGCATGTGCCTGTAATCCCAGCTACTCAGGAGGCTGTGGCGAGAGGAACACTTGAGCCTGGAAAAGGTTGCAGTGAGCTGGAATCGTGCCACTCCACTCCAGCCTGGGCAACAGTGTGAGACCTTGTCTCAAAAAAATAATAATAAAATAAATAAATAAAAGAAAAATATTCTAGATCAAGAGTTACTCATTGAAAATTATCAGGGACCAGAGATATTTGTCTTATCTGAAATAAAAATACTAGCTGTGGCCAGGCGCAGTGGCTCACGCCTGTAATCCCAACACTTTGGGAGGCCAAGGCAGGTGGATCACCTGAGGTCGGGAGTTCAAGACCAGCCTGGCCAACATGGAGAAACCCCGTCTCTACTAAAAATACAAAATTAGCCAGGCATGGTGGCGCATGCCTGTAATTCCAGCTACTCAGGAGGCTGAAGCAGGAGAATCGCTTGAACCCAGGAGGCGGAGGTTGCTGTGAGCCGACATCACACCACTGCACTCCAGCCTGGGCAACAAGAGCGAAACTGTCTCCAAAAATGTATACATATATTTGCTGTTATTTTAAAAGAGGGATCTCAGCAAAAAGGAAACCTAAATGGATGTGTAGAAGATTTACTTGGCCAGGAACAGTGTTTGATATTTTTGCTTTCTCTGTTTAAATTATCTCTGATGTTTTAATGACTTTTCTACCTCATAGTTCAGCCTCTTTGCCTGCTTTCTCCAGTGGAGCTATGATCCTCTTCAGTGATTCCGTGACCTCTTCATATCCCTGGGTAAAACATTTTACATTAGAGATTTCACTGTAGGACAGTGATTCTCAGTTGGGGGTGATTTCGTGCCTTGCAGGTGGCTACTGGCATCTAGTGGGTAGAGGCCAGGGAAGCTGCCAAACATCCTGAAATGCACAGGACAGTCCCCACAACAATGAATTCTCCAATTCAAAATGTCAGTAATACCAATGTTGAGAAACTCTGCTGTAAGATAAAGTAGGATTTTTTAAAGGATCTTTAATGAGTGGACTTAATTTTGTGTTCTATTTTAAGCTACCTTTTACCTGCATAATATTTATTTATTTTTAATTTTATTTTATGTATTTATTTATTTATTTTGAGATGGAGTTTCATCTTTGTCACCCAGGCTGGAGTGCAATGGCGTGATCTCGGCTCACTGCAACCTCCACCTCCCAGGTTCAAGAGATTCTTCTGTCTCAGCCTCTTGAGTAGTTGGGATTATAGGCACGCGCCACCACGCCTGGCCAATTTTTGTATTTTTAGTAGAAATGGGGTTTCACCATGTTGGCCAGGCTGGTCTTGAACTCCTGACCTCAAGTGATCCGCCTGCCTCAGCCTCCCAAAGTGCTGGGATTACAGGCGTGAGCCACCGTGCCTGGCTGACCTTCATAATATTTAGTAGCCCCTTATACTCTCGCAAATTTTAGAAAATAGTGGATTAGTAAAATGAAGCGCTGAGGCCAGATGGTTCATAGCTTGCCCAAGATCTGATTTAGGTTTATAATGTGGAAACTTAGAAAATTCTGACTCATTCATACACCCAGAATCGTTACTAGGTTCTGATCATTTTGTTAATTTTTAAAGTAGCAGAATCACTGGGAAGAAAACAGAATGTGACACCTAATGTTTAAATGATTCTCTTTCTTTCGTAATATCTCAGATTGTTGCATTTCTGGTGGACTATTTGGAGTTTGTGTATAGGCACTGGCAATAACTGGATCACTGAGTTCTATCACTTTTAAAGGAGATACTTCCTCTGTCTAGACTATCAGATCATAAATTGGTCCCCTTTAGGTGGTCAGTATTTATAATCACAGTGTCTTTGAGGTTTAATTTGTGGGGTTGGTGGTATTTTTATACTAAGTAAATTTACAGTTGAGCCCAACACAGACCGTTAGTGGTTTAGTTTCTATTCTGGCACATTCCACCCAAGTTCACAAAGGGATATTTTCGTCTCATATTAGATGTATTGCATGAATGGGAACAGGACTCTTACTTGTAATGGAATTCCAAAATGGCATTCTTGGGAAGTTATTTCTCTTGGGGGATGAGGACCCCCTTCTCAAAAGTTGAGAAGGAATGTAAATAGGGCCTTACCTATAATAATTAAGAAATGACATAGTGCATCATGATTCTGATCATTTGGCAGAAAGATGCCGTTCTGATGTAAATATTTTGGTGGCCACCAGACTTTGAATATTCCTTAAGGAAGCTGCTGACCTAGTGTTCTGCAACATGTTATGGAATTGAGTATTCTGGTGGTTTGGAATACTGAGATGGGTTTTTTTTGTTATTGTTCATTGATGTCGTGACAAACCCCAGGGAGAGAAAGGCAACAGGTAGGGCTGCATGCACTGATTCTGGGAGCCGTAGGAAAGAGTGGAGTGGCCTTTGGTTAACTGAACTCAGACTGTTTTATTTGGAACTCTAGATTTTTCTTGTGTGTGTCCCTTGTGCATTAAGAGAATGATCTCTGTGAAGTCTAGTGTAATGGGGTAGGGAGGGGCAAAGGGTTGGGATGGGTGAGAAGTTCCTATTATGCTCTGTTTTGAGCATTCCCACTGTGCTTCCTGTTGTTGCTGGTCTCTTGTAGCTTGCCTTGTGTTTTCATGTGATCACACTATCTTCTAACCTGATAAAGGGACACTTTATTCAGGTGCATATGATGGGCACTGTTTTCATTGATTTCTGTTGCTTTTGTAGTTCTCTCCACTCAACAGTACTGTGTTCCACAAACCTTTCATTGTAGTGCTGGAAATTTGAATTCTTTTCTTCAAATGATGTTTCTGTAGAGAAAAACGAAAAGTGTTTTGGGGTCAGAGTAGTTTGGTTGGTTCCTAAACATGTCCTAGTTTTTGTTGTTGTTGTTGTTTTTCTTTTCTTTTTTTTTCTGAGACGGAGTCTCGCTCTGTTGCCCAGGCTGGAGTGCAGTGGCACAATCTCGGCTCACTGCAAGCTCCGCCTCCTGGGTTCATGCCATTCTCCTGCCTCAGCCTCCTGAGTAGCTGGGACTACAGGCACCCGCCACCATGCCCAGCTAATTTTTTGTATTTTTAGTAGAGACGGGGTTTCACCGTGTTAGCCAGGATAGTCTCAATATCCTGACCTTGTGATCCACCCGCCTCGGCCTCCCAAAGTGCTAGGATTACAGGCGTGAGCCACCGCGCCCGGCCTAAATATATCCTAGTTTTAAAAGGTGACAGTAACTCACATGACTGCATGATCGGATGACATGGAAACTTCATAACTGAAGGAGAACATTTAGCATCCGTCTTGACCCTCCAGGTAGATTATTTTACTACTGCCAATTCTTCATTGACAATTGTGGTTTTAGGGGGGGCAATTTTTATATCCATCATTTGATTTCTGGACCTTTGTCAGTTAATCAGTGGAGGTTAGGGCAGGGATTATGTGCTTTGATGAGGAAGGTTTAGTAGTAACAAGCTTGGGGATTTTGAAGGAAGGCATCAATTTCATATACAGGTCTTGGTGACATGTAATGGATATGGATTATCTGTCATGCATACAGTGAAGGGTATGGTCAGGATTTTTTTGGAAGTAGAAAAACATACCAAACAGTTTCACATCTTTTACCATCCATAGCCCCTGAGGAGCATCTACTGCCATCAGAAAAACATGCAAATAATACTGCAGTGCCCTCCAAGGGTCTTAGGCCCAACTGAAGGTTTAGAAACATTCAAATTTATAAACTGCCACACTTGGCATCAGATTCACTTAAAAGGATATAGAATGGGAAGCACTGCTTACTAGCAAGGCAGAACCAGTTGCTCTTCTCTGAAAGTCTCTGCAGCTGTCTGTGTGGCATAGTGCAGGTGCAAGGAGACAGATCTACATGGGGCAAGTATGGAAGCTTCCCCGGCTTAAGAGCCCCTTGTCCCACAGGAACAAGTATCTCTTATAACAGCTTCATAGACATGGCCTCCAGTGTCCCTATAAAAGACATGCCTGTTCCAAGCGTCACTGTACTTAGGGATGCCCAGAGCTGAGGCTTCCTATCAGGCATTTATAGTTCTCCCAGTCCAGATGCAGTTTACCAATTGGGCATCATGTCTACCATATGTAACATTGCCTAGCAGTTGACATATGAATTTTTATTAGGTTGCCAGGGGAACAGAGCTAGAAAGTTAACAAAGGTAAAATTCTCATGCAGAAGGGAAAGAGGCTTTGTTAATACTTTGCCAAACACTATGCTAAGCAATTGCATAACAGATATTACACCTAATTCCTATAGAATATAGCCAGAGGAATTTCCTAGTAAAATATAACCCACCCTAACTCATTTTTCCTTTCTTGAATAGTGTTGTTGGTGCTTAGTTGCTTGTGATTAATAGACAGTTTGCAAATTTTGGTAAGGTGTGTGTAAGAGTTGGCTTAACAGTCAAAATGATCCTAGCCAAAATATCATGTATCCTTTGGTGTCACTCATAATAGGTGAGTATAGTATGTCGTACTGTAGGGACATTATTGAATGGACATGTCTGAGTATTCCATCAGTCATATTTTGATGGGAGCCTTTGGCCATCTGGCAAACACCAAACACAGGCTCTTGGTAACCGTGCCTTTTTTTTTTTTTTTTTTTTTTTAAAGATGGAGTTTCACTCTTGTTGCCAGGCTGGAGTGCAGTGGTGCAATCTCGGCTCACCACAACCTCCGCCTCCTGGATTGAAGCGATTCTCCTGTCTCAGCCTCCTGAGTAGCTGGGATTACAGGCGCCCGCCACCACGCCCGGCTAATTTTTGTATTTTTAGTAGAGATAGGGTTTCACCATGTTGGTCAGGCTGATCTCGGCCTGACCTCAGGCAATCCGCCTCTGCCTCCCAAAGTGCTGGGATTACAGGCGTGAGTCACTGCGTCCGGCCTGCTCTTGGAAACCGTGCCTCTTATTCCTGTGTCATGTGGTGCTACTCTTGCCTGCTTCTGTTGCTCCCAGCAGATCAATGAGTGAAGATGGCTGGTTACTCATTCAGTAGTTATCAAACAATTATTTATGGAGTCTTTACTGTATGTCAAGCACGAAGGGTACTTCAGTGAACCAGCACCATCCCTGCCCTCAAGGATCCTGCAGTGTGTAATCACAGAGACTGGCAGTTATAACACGGCATGTTGGGTGTGACAACAGGGACAAGCACAGGGTACTCTGAGAACGCGTGGGTCGGGTACCTAGCCAGTCATAGAGCCTCAGAGACGCTTTCTGTCTAAGCTACTCTTCCTATCCAGTAAACTTCCAGCTTTGGCATACTATATTTATAAGCAGTTTAAACAGTTGCTGAAATTTATTGCCTTTTCTCAAACATGGTGGCTTTGGTCACTAACAGTGTTTAAATTATGTGTTTTATTCAGTTATGCAAAAATATATACTATACATAGAATATCAGAATGTTGTAGTCTTTAGGAAATATGCATCAGGTTTGTTTTTTTTGTTTTTTTGACAGACTCTCACTCTGTCGCCAGGCTGGAGTGCAGTGGCGCGATCTTGGCTCACTGCAACCTCCGTATCCCAGGTTCAAGTGATTCCCCTGCCTCAGCCTCCCGAGTAGCTGGCACTACAGGCGTGTGCCACCACGCCCAGCTAATTTTTTGTATTTTATAAGAGATGGCGTGTCACCATGTTGACCAGGATGGTCTTGATCTCCTGACCTCGTGATCTGCCTGCCTCAGCCTCCCAAAGTGCTGGGATTACAGGCGTGAGCCACTGTGCCTGACTGGGTGGTTTTCTTTTTTAAAAAATAATATGGTTTTCTGGCCGGGAGCAGTGGCTCATGCCTGTAATCCCAGCACTTTGGGAGGTCAACGGGGGTGGATCACCTGAGGTCAGGAGTTAAAGACCAGCCTGGCCAACATGGTGAAACTCCGTCTCTACTAAAAATACAAAACAGGAGAATCGCTTGAACTCGGGAGGTAGAGGTTGCAGTGAGCTGAGATAATGCCACTGCACTCCAGCCTGGGCGACGGAGTGAGACTCCATCTCAAAAAAATAAAAAATAATAATAATATGGTTTTCTTATTTAAAAAATAATATAGTATGTAAATTATTTTTCAAGTAAAAATGAAATGACAACAACAGATAACTTCCCATTATGTTGATCCAGTGTACTGTGACAGATGGGGAGGAGCCCCACTGCATCTGGAGTGGGTCTTGGCTGGCCATGTGAACTAATTAATACCCCAGAAATCAGGATACATGCCAGGCGTCGGGGCTTACGCCTGTAATCCCAGCATTTTGGGAGGCTAAGGTGGGTGGATCCCTTGAGGTCAGGAGTTTGAGACCAGCCTGACCAACATGGTGAAACCCCATCTCTACTAAAAATATACAAAATTAGCCTGTAATTCCAGCTACTTGGGAAGCTGAGGAAGGAGAATTGCTTGAGCCCAGGAGGTGGAGGTTGCAGTGAGCTGAGATCACACCACTGCACTTCAGCCTGGGCAACGAGAGCAAAACTCCATCTCAAAAAAAAAAAAAAAAAAAAAAAAGAAATCAGGATACATATAGGACAGAACCATTAAATCAAGAGATTTGAAAGTTAGAAGGGACAGGAGAGATAGTCTAGTCCAACTCCATGTGACAGATGAAATGACGTTTCTAGTTCTCACACAGCTGGTTAGGATCAGAAACCAGGTCCTGCCAGGCCAGTCCTGATAATAGACAGACATGTTTGGGCAGGCAGAAAAGACCATTCATAGATAACATTTGTTTCCCTGGGTATCCATCAGACCAGAGGCACAGGAGAGGAAAATGCTGTTTTGGCCTCATATGATAAAGTATGCATTGTGTGATTATGGTCTGCATTCTTGCAATGCTTAGACAGGGAGGGGGAAATCACATTTTGAGCATGGGGGAGTTAATTTCTTTGTCCTGTAATACCACACATATCTAAAACATAAACCACCATGGAACACACTCACACTCACATACACACAAAAGGCAAATTAAAATATTTATTGTCCACTTAATATGTGTTCTGTGTTTGATTGTAATGTATTCATTTTACTTATAAAAAATTTCAAAAGTAAAAATATATATATTATTAACTTGAAGTGATTTTTTCCAACCTCGCTGATTTTTTTCCTTCTTTCTTTTTTGAGACAGAGTTCCACTCTGTCACCCAGGCTGGAGTGCAGTGGTGCAATCTCGGCCCACTGCAATCTCCGCCTCCAGAGTTCAAAGAGTTCTCATGCCTCAGCCTCCTGAGTAGCTGGGATTACAGAGGTATGCCACCATGCCCGGCTAATTTTTGTATTTTTAGAAGAGATGGGGTTTCATTTTGGTCAGGCTGGTCTCGAACTCCTAACCTCAGGTGATACACCCGCCTCAGCCTTCCAAAGTGCTGAGATTACAGGTGTGAGCCACCATGTCCGGCCTCTAACTGATTTTTGAAATATAAATTGGGTGTGATTCAGGGAATGTAACAAGAACAATCTTATTTGAAACAGAAAACCACATATTTTTAAGTCAGCAGCCCACATGATAAGATGGTATTGAGTAAAAATGTATTCTTAGGTATTTCTTGACTCAGTGGATTTTAATCAGTCTACTGCAAAAGCTAGTTTTATTTAAAGGGCTGCAATTATATATAAGAATTATTAGAAAAACAGATTAGCCACTTAATCTAAAAATACCTAGATGCAGTATTCCTGGTTTTTAATGAAATATTTATCTAGTTTGGGATTAAAATTAACTTAGGGCCATCAAAAATGCAAATTATCTTTAATTTGGTTAAATCAACCTGGGAGTAAATGGAAATAATCTCAAGCTAAATTTTTGTTTTGATTTATATACAGTCAGATTGAAACACCCTAGTTACAAGTTTAGAATAGGAGTGGCCTCAACAAAGGAAAAAGTCCTTTGTTCCTCTGTTGCTCATTTTGTCCTCGGAAACAAATACAATTTAACTATTTTCTGTACCGTCCCAAATTTGAAGCTGACCTGAATTTGGTACCTATAAATTTAAAATGGCTAAGGTTAAAATAGTTAAAACAGTTTCTTTAGAATGAGTTGTTAGCTGGGTGTGGTAGTGTACACCTGTAGTCCCAGCTACTCCAAAGGCTGAGGCAGGAGGATTGCTTGAGCCCAGAAGTTCAAAGCTGCAGTGAACTAGGATCATGTCACCACACTCCAGCGTGGGCAACAGAATGAGACCCTGTCTCAAAAAAAAAGGTTTTTTTTTAATTGAATGAATGCAATAAGGAATTGAGGATCGTCTCACATTAATGAGTGAATAACCCTTCATAATTTTAGTTACTGTTTTTCTCAGGGCAATTATTTTATATAAAATTCTAATGGAGAATTTTATGGACAAGATTTTAGTTAAGGAAAAAAATAACCCCACAAAATAAAGAGAACTATTAGAGCTCTAAACAGAAGAAGCTTCCATCAAACCGTTTTTCCCACTTTTTTGTCCCACGGTCTTAGGACCAACAATTTAGTAATACGAGACAATTTCTGGCAGACTATCCCAAGCTGGGACATTTTAGATTCTGTGAAAGAAGACTGACTACTGTCTGATGAATGGGTAATTGATGATGCAATGTATGAAAAAAGTAAGGCAGACAACTCAAAAATCACAGGAAGTGCAGCCATTCTACGTGCCGAGCTCTACAGTTACACACTGTCCAACAGCTCTCGGAAGAAAAACAGAAACTGACTTTATCTTTGCCTGCCAAGTTTGCAAATGGATTAGTTCATTACAAAGGCACTTGTCAAAACATATTTATTAAAAAGAGGAGCCAGAGTTGGAAATCATCTTGACCATTAAAAAAATAGCAACTGATACCTTGTTTAACAAGTAAGACAGTTTCTGCTTTTTGGAATTGAATTGGTTTTTAAGTGGTAATGTACCAGGTCTGTTTATATAGGTCAGTGTTGCCCAGGTTGTATTGTTTTGCTGTTTTTACTTTTTTATATATAAAGAACTAAAATTACGAGAGAATAAATTCGTGGATATAATCTAAATCTGATTTCTCCTTTCAGTTGTTTGGCATTCCATTTTTTATATAAATCTTTAAGACATATGTGCATATTTTTATTTTAAAAATTATTTCTGCTTAAACAACAGTTTCAAATATTTCTCTTTTGAAGACAAAATTGGTTTAGTTTCAGCAATGTATTGATATAATTTTACATTTTTTTAAATGTTGAGGCTGGGTTTATTTAAGATTAGCTGGGCTCGCTGCCTGCTCTTAAGAAAAACATGTATAGCCTATAAATTTTTAAAGGATTCCCATAATAATATAGAACTGCTAACACTAAATATGTTTCCATCTGTTTAAAGACTCATTAACTTCATTTAGTAATAGGAAAAAAAGCTACTAGGTAGAACAGGGGTTAGGCTAAATCCTGCTTGCTGCCTGTTTTTTTGGTAAATAAAGTTATATTGGAAGACAGGCACATCCATTCCTTTTTGTCATTGTTTATGCCATCAATGACAAAGGTGAGTGGTTGCTACAGACACCTTTATCCACAAAGCCTAACATATTTACTATCTGGCCCTTCACAGAGAATTGCCTACCTATGATGTTGGGTGGGACAGGAGATCTTTTATTCCTTATGTAGGGATGATGGAGGTAGAATAAGTCCCTACTTTGGACCAATCTGTGAGCATCACTAGGATTTAAACATGTCTGGTATGTATGAAGGTCAGTGGAGCGGGCACCGCTGATCTGTATGAAGTTTTTTTAGAGAAGTCACTAGAAGGATCTGGCCAGGAGAAAGATGGTCACTTGGCTCAGCTCCAAGGAAGTATGCCTAAGCCTTCCGTTTGAGAGCTACATGCAGAAACTGAGCATGATCTATAATCTTGGTGAGATGCTAGGAGTTCAAACTGTACTGCTTTTTTTTTTTTTATTTAAATACTGCTGCAATGCTTTAAACACCTGATGCCAGGTAGGAGGGCAGGGGCATTGCCCTGCACTTCCGCAATACTGCATGTCCTCAGGGTGTTCTCAGTACAGGTGTGGCCCAGGCAGGAGCAAGAGAGGTTGAGTCCCTGCTGGATGGGCTCTAAGGGTTAACACTAGAGGCAGCTGGGATTTCAGTTTTCCTGACACCTACAATTCAGCACCAAACCTCACAGAGGGAATCCAGATAACCTGTCTTGGTTAGGGCACATTTGGCTTCAAAGAACAGACACTCAAACAAGCTTAAAGCAATGATTCGTAAAGTGTGGTCTCGGAACCAGCAGGATCGGCATCATCTAGGGAGATTCTGATGCAAACTAAAGTTTGAGAATAGGCTGGACACAGTGGCTCACGCCTGAATCCCAGCACTTTGGGAAGGCCGAGGCAGGCTGATCACATGAGCTCACCAGTTCAAGACCAGCCTGGACAACATGGTGAAACCCAGCCTCTACAAAAAATACAAAAATTAGCTGGGTGTGGTGGCATGTGCCTGTAGTCACAGCTACTCTGGAGGCTGAGGTGGGAGGCTCACTTGAGCCCAAGAAATCGAGGCTGCAGTGAGCCATGATTGCACCACCACACTCTAGCCTGGACAACAAAGTGAGACCCTGTCTCAAAAACTAAAAACAAGGCCGGGCATGGTGGCTCACGCCTGTAATCCCAGCACTTTGGGAGGCCGAGGCAGGTGGATCACCTGAGATCAGGAGTTCCAGACCAGCCTGGCTAACCTGGTGAAACCTCGTCTCTATTAAAAATACAAAAAAATTAGCTGAGCGTGGTGGCGGGAGCCTGTAATCCCAGGTACTTGGGAGGCTGAGGCAGGAGAATCACTTGAACCCAGGAGGCAGAGGTTGCAGTGAGCCGGGATTGTGCCATTGTACTCCAGCCTGGACAACAGAGCGAGACTCAGTCTCACAAAAAAGAAATAAAAATAAAAAAGTTTTGAGAATAGTTTTTATTTTTTATTTTATTTTTTTGAGACAGGATCTCGCTCTGTCACCCAGGCTGGAGTGCAGTGGCATGATCTTGGCTCACTGCAACCTCTGCCTCCTGGGTTCAAGTGATTCTCCTGCCTCAGCCTCCTGCATAGCTGGGATTACAGGCGCCTGCCACCATGCCCGGCTGATTTTTGTATTTTTAGTAGAGACAGGGTTTTGCCAAGTTGGCCAGGATGGTTTCGAACTCCTGGCCGCAAGCGATCCACCTGCTTTGGCCATACAAACTGCTGGGATTACAGGCATAAGCCACCACGCCCGACCGAGAATAGTTTTAAGAGGATTTGTTTCTAATTAAAGTGAGTGACTTTACGATCATTCTGGGAGAGGAAATCAGCAGATCACCTGGAATTGGAAAGCAGGGCTGAGGCTGCTCCTGGTCAGTCATGTGCCTTGCCCATGTTTCCTGTACACTTCTCTTTGTGCCTGTGTGGGGTCCCCGGCTACTCTCAGAAGACCACCTTTCTCCTGCCCATTCCTCAGCTCAAAAGTGCTGCCCAGCCCTGACCTAACCACTGTCCTGTCCTTCAGTCCAAATCTTCCAAAGGAAAACACCTCAGTTTCTGCCCAGCAAAAGATCGGTTCCCTCAGATCACATGGCACCCCTTGGGTCAGGAAGCATGAGGCTCTGACTAAGGATGAGTGGTGGTCATGGGGACAGGTCCCCTGAGAAGGGGCCCTGGAGAGGGGCAGGAAAGTTGACCTACATGTCTCCTAAATAAATAAAATCATGGCTGGCAGGAAATTTGAGAGGAATGCACATGATATACTTCCAGGAGCTCCCAGAATTAATGGGGGAAAAAACTGCAGGTGGCTGTAGAGTTTTCCATTAGAAGGAGAGTAAAGTGTATTTAGTTATTTGAAAACAGGTGTTCAAACTGAAACTTGTACACAAAGGTTCATAGCAGCTCTGTTCACAATAGCCTAAAGGTGGAAATACCCAAATGTTCATCAACTAATGAACAAAAATGTCACACACACACATGCGCGCACACACACAGGTGGAATATTATTCATCCATTAAAAGGAAGTTCTGATGCCTGCTACAACATGGAGGAACCTTTGAAACATTGCTTCAGGTGAGAGAAGCCAGTCACAAAGGACCACATATTGTTTGATTCCATTTATACGAAATATCCTGGCCGGGCGCGGTGGCTCACGCCTGTAATCCCAACACTTTGGGAGGCCGAAGCGGGCGGATCACAAGGTCAGGAGTTCGAGACCAGCCTGGACAGCAATAGTGAAACCCCATCTCTACTAAAAATACAAAAAATTAGCCGGGCCTGGTGGCAGGCGCCTGTAATCCCAGCTACTCGGGAGGCTGAGGCAGGAGAATGGCGTGAACCCGGGAGGCGGAGCTTGCAGTGAGCCGAGATTGCGCCATTGCACTCCAACCTGGGCAACAGAGAGAGACTCCGTCAAAAAAAAAAAAAAAAAAAAAAAAGGAAGGAAGGAACGGAAGGGAGGAAGGGAGAGAAAAAGATCCTGAATAGGCAAATCCGTGGAGACAAAAAGTCCAGTGGCGGTTGGTGGAGGCTGAGGGAAGGAGGGAATGGGGAATGACTTGAGTGCTCATGGTGCCGGTGCCTTTGGGGCGATGAGAAAGTTTTGGAACTAGATAGTACTGATGGTTGCACGCCATGAATATCTTTAATGTCCCTAAGTTGCATTTTTAAATGATATTGTTATGTATTTTACAATTTTAAAATAATCTAATTATTGTTCTTGGGACGCCCGTAGGTCCCCTTGGCAGGAGGGGTGGAGGGGGAATGATTGCCGCTGCGCGCAGCGCGGGCAGAGGGCGAGAGGGCGAGAGGGCGGGAGGGCGTCGGGGCTGCCCCGGACCTGCAACCAGCCTGGTAGCGGGCGGCGGCGGCGGCGGCGTTGGGATGCGGGCCACGGGCGTGCGGCCCTCAGCCGTCTCCCGGCCGAGAGCGAGGCCGGAGGCGCCAAGCCGAGCGGGCGCCATTTGCAGCCTGGGGCGCAGCAGCTGCAGCGCTGTCTCCGAGGGGTTGGGAACGGCCAAGGAGGAGGCGCGGGCGGCGGCGGTGGGCGTTGGCGGGCACCGGCTCCCGGCCGTCCCTCCCCGCGCCCGGCCGGCCGGCCTCTCCTGCGCGCCCGGAAGGGGCTGCGGAACAATGGCCGCGCCGCTGTCGCCGCCCGGCCCGGCCCGGGGAAAGCCGGGAAGGCGCGCGGAGCCTCCTGGCGGCGGCGGCGGCGGCGGCGGGAAGGCGGCGGGGACGGCGTCGGGCGTGTCTGGAGCCGTCCGGCGCGGCGGACTCCGGGGAGGCTTGGTCTGCGCCGCGCAGAGACAGCAGCCGCCGGGGGCGGGGCGCGAGCCAGCGAATTTGCAGAACTTCCCTCAATTGGGCTTTGTCTGTCTCATCTCGACTGGATTCAGGTTCTTTATCCTAGACAGGACTGTCACAGAAGGGCTGCTGCGGTCTTCTCAACGCAGCACGTCTAGTGGCACACAATTTCAGCTTGTCAATTTGTCTCATCACTGATGATGCTCACTTTTATCTTTAAGATGCTGTCTGTAGGCTTCTCCGCTGTAAGGTCACACTCACTTGGCAGTTATAATAACAGTATTTTGTAGGGTGGTACTTTGAATTTTCATGAATCACCATTTCTCATCAAACCTTTTAAACCTTATTTTTATTTTTGGGACAAAGTCTCGCTCTGGCACCTAGGCTGGAGTGTAGTGGTGCGATCACCGTTCACTGCAGCCTCAACCTCCCGGATTCAACCAGTCCTCCCACTTCTGTCCCCCGAGTAGCTGGGACTACAGGCGTGTGCCGCCGGCTTTGGCCTCCCAAAGGGCTGGGATTACTGGTGTGAGCCACCGTACCCGGCCCATTTATTTTTTTTTTCATACATATGGACACATGGTTTCCTTTTTTTTTTTCTTTTTTAGCTGATGGGGAGTTCTACTATATTGCCCAGGCTGGTCTCGAAGTCCTGGGCTGCTGCCTTAGCCTCTGGCATAACTTGGCATTGTAGGCGCACCACTGGGCCTGGCTGTTAGGTTATAATCTGTTGCTGTCATTTATTTTATTTTATTTTTATTTTTTGAGATGGAGTCTCACTCTGTTGCCCAGGCTGGAGTGCAGTGGCACGATCTCAGCTCACTCCAACCTCCACCTCCTGGGTTCAAGGGGTTCTCCTGCCTCAGCCTCCTGAGTAGCTGGGGTTACAGACGTGCGTCACCATGCCCAGCTAATTTTTGTATTTCTAATAGAGACGGAGTTTCACCATGTTGGCCAGGCTTGTCTCGAACTCCCGACCTCAGGTTATCCATCCTCCTTGGCCTCTCAAAGTGCTGGAATTACAGGTGTGAGCCGCGGCGCCCGGCCGCTGTCATTTATTTTAATGTTCAAATTGTCCCAGGTTTGGCCAGTGAAAGCCTGTTCAAGCCAGCTTGTGTGTTCATTTGGCATGTCCCTATTGTTCTTTGAATACTTCCTTCCTTCCGGCACAAGATGTTCCAGGCTCATCTTGTACTTTCTCCCTGCCCCAGCCCTGGAATCAGATACTTCTCCAGGGACTCCTGGTTCTGTTTACTGGAGAGCAGTTATTTACAAACCAAGATCCAGATACTGGGTGTTTTCATTGTGTTTGAAGTGGTGCTGCTTTCAGGCCTTCACACTGGACATTTTCTGAGAGAGAGTGAAACTCCAATTCCAATCCAACACCATAGAATTCACTCTTCTTTTCTTCCTCTCCATGATGTTTGGTCTATTCTACTGTGAAGGTGAACACTACCACATTTATTCTTTCAAAAACAGTTTATTCCCATCCTTACAGTAAAATATTTCAGTAAAATTGAAACAAAAAGGAATAAAAATCAACCATAATCTCAGTATAAAAATAACATTTTGGGGCCGGGTGCGGTGGCTCACACCTGTAATCCCAGCACTTTGGGAGGCCGAGGCGCACGGATCACGAAGTCAGGAGATCGAGACCATCCTGGCTAACACAGTGAAACCCCATCTCTACTAAAAACACAAAAAATTAGCCAGGCGTCGTGGCAGGCGCCTGTAGTCCCAGCTACTCAGGAGGCTGAGGCAGGAGAATGGCGTGAACCTGGGAGGCGGAGGTTGCAGTGAGCTGAGATCACGCCACTGCACTCCAGCCTGGGCGACAGAGTGAGACTCCATCTCTATAAATAAATAAATAAATAGTATTTTGGTAGATTTACATTCAGCTTTTTCTTTACATATAGTTCTCTTTCTTTGAGTTATATGACATCATACTGTAAATACAATTTTGTACCCTGTTTTTTTCATTCAATTTTGCAGTAGCCCACAGGCCAAACTTGGCTCACTGCCTATTTTTGTATCCCTGTGAACTAAAATTGGTTTTTAAATTGTAAATGGCTAAAACAAAATCTAAACAGCAATAATATTTTGTGACGTGAAAATTACATGAAATTTCAGATTTGTGTCCATTTATGTTAAGTTTTATTGGAATACAGTCTATGGATCTTAGGACTTTCCCTCTGGGTTTGCTCTCCAGTGGCACCCAGCCACAAGGAGAGGCCATGTAGAGGTGCTCTGAATACAGTCCCAGTGAAGCCTAGCCCAGGCTCAACCTGTGAGTGAAGAAACCACCTTGGAGTGGCTCCTCCAGCCCCAGCAGTTCTAGCTCCTAGATGTTAGTCACCACATGAGGCCCCAGACACGGTGGAGCAGAGAAAATCCGACACTCTGTGCACTTTCAGATTTCCTGACCCGCAGAATCAGTGTTATACGGTGGCGGTGGTTTCTGCCACTGTGTTTCAGATGGGTGCTGAGCAGCAGTCGTAACTGGAACAATAACCGCTCAGTAAAGGGCCTCATGTAAGATCCTGCCACACCTGTAACCCCAGCACTTTGGGAAGCCAAGGTGGGCAGATCACTTGAGGTCAGGGGTTCAAAACCAGCCTGGCCAACATGGCAAAACCCCGTCTCTACTAAAAATACAAACATTAGCCAGGGGTCTGTAATCTCCCCCACAAAAAAAGACCCTAAAATAAATATCAACAGTAAAAAGCCATGGAAAGTGGAAGGATAATTAAGGCTAAAGATAATATAATTAGGCCAGGCACGGTGGCTCACGCCTGTAATCCCAACACTTTGGGAGGCCGAGACGGGTGGATCACGAGATCAGGAGATCGAGACCATCCTGGCTAACATGGTGAAACCCCGCCTCTACTAAAAACACAAAAAATTAGCTGGGCGTGGTGGCAGGTACCTGTAGTCCCAGCTACTTGGGAGGCTGAGGCAGGAGAATGGCGAGAACCCGGGAGGTGGAGCTTGCAGTGAGTCGAGATCGCGCCACTGCACTCCAGCCTGGGGGACAGAGTGAGACTCCGTCTCAAAAAAAAAAAAAAAGATTGTATAATTAAACATTAAACATAGTTCTGACTTTTCTAGCAAAAAGATTGTTAAATGTAATAGTTCTCATTGTATAATTATAGGAAAGATGTCTGTCAGGAGAAAGGAAGTTTTTCTGACACTAAACTCTAAGAGGAATGTATCCCTCTATCAGGGATGTTGGAAAATAGACAATTCCTTTTTTTTTTTTTTTTTGAGACAGGGTCTTACTTTGTCGCCTGGTGACAATTCCTTTATCAGCATTTTTATAGAATTCACAAGAGGTGTTTCTAACATGGGCCATCAGTAAAATCCAAGTATACAACACTAAATCATAAACATATTGTCTAAGTGTCTAAGTTTGTAGCTTTTAGGTAATCTAAACTGATTCAGGGCTGGAGCTTTAAAATCAAGAGGATGCTGGGCACAGTAGCTCACGCCTGTAATTCCAGCACTTTGGGAGGCCAACGCAGGCAGATCGCTTGAGCTCAGGAGTTCCAGATCAGCCTGAGGAACATAGTGAGACTTAGTCTCTAAAAAAAAAAATTTTTTTAATTAGCTGGGCATGGCCGGGCGCGGTGGCTCAAGCCTGTAATCCCAGCACTTTGGGAGGCCGAGGTGGGTGGATCACAAGGTCCGGAGATTGAGACCATCCTGGCTAACACGGTGAAACCCCGTCTCTACTAAAACTACAAAAAATTAGCCGGGCACAGTGGCGGGCGCCTGTGGTCCCAGCTACTTGGGAGGCTGAGGCAGGAGAATGGCGTGAACCCGGGAGGCAGAGCTTGCAGTGAGCCAAGATCATGCCACTGCACTCCAGCCTGGGTGACAGCAAGACTCCGTCTCAAAAAAAAAAAAAAAAAAAAAAAAATTAGCTGGGCATGTGATATGGTTTGGCTGTGTCCCCACCCAAATCTTGTCTTTAATTGTAGTTCCCATTGTCGTGTCATGTAGTCCCATGTGTCGTGGGAGGGACCAGATGGAGATAACTGAATCTTGGGGCCAGTTTCTTCCATCCTGTTCTCGTGATAGTGAGTTAGTTCTCACAAGATCTGATGGTTTTATGAGGAGCTTCTCCCTTTGCTGGGCACTTATTCTTCTCCCTGCCGTCATGTGAAGAAGGATGTGTTAGCTTCCCCTTCTGCCATGATTGTAAGTTTCCTGAGGCCTCCCCAGCCATGCTGAAATGTGTGTCAATTAAACCTCTTTCCTTTTTAAATTACCCAGTCTCAGGTATGTCTTTATTAGCAGCGTGAGAACAGACTAATACTACAGCATGCATGGGCAACAGAGTGATACCCTGTCTCAAAAAAAAAAAAAAAAAAAGAGCAAAAGATTTGAACTTCACCAGAGAAGATATATGGATGACAAAGATAGCACTAATGATTAGGAAAATGCAAACTGAAACAGCAGAGCAAAATAAAACCACCATACCTACTAGAAAGGCTAAAAACCAAAAACAAAACAAAACAAAAACCAACAGTAGCAAGCACTGGCAGGGATTCAAAACAATGGAACTCTCACAAATTGCTGATAGGAATGCAAAATTATACAGTTACTTTGGGAAACAGTTTGGCAATTTCTTATTTATTTATGAATGAATCAATGAATGCATGAATGAATGACAAGGTCTTACTCTGCCACCCAGGCTGGAGAGCAGTGGTGTGAACACGGCTCACTATAGCTTTGACCTCCCAGGGATTCAAGTGATCCTCCCGCTTCAGCCTCCCAAGCACCTATGACTATACGCATGCACAACCACACCCAGCTAATTTTTTATTTTTTGTAGAGGTTGGGTCGCCCTATGTTGCCCGGGCTGGTCTCAAACCGCTGCGCTCAACTGATCCTCCTGCCTCAGCCTCCCAAAGTGGTGGGATTACAGATATAAGCCACCACCTGGCCATTTCTTACAAATTTAAATGCATACTTAGCATATGACCCACACATCCCACTCCTATTTACCCAAGAGAAATGAAAACTTACATTTACACAAAAACCTAGATATGAATGTTTACAGTAGCTTTTTGCATAAATTCCCCAAAAGAAGCAATCAAAATGTTCAACTGGCAAATAAACATCCACACAATGGAATATTACTCAGCAATACAAAAGGAAAAAATATTGTTACATGCAACAACAGTATGAATCTTTAGTGCATTATGTTAACTGAGAGAAACTAGACTCAAAAGACTATCTACTGGTGGTCAAAATGGTTGCCACGGGATGGGAGAGTGTAAAGGAGGCTAACTACTAAGGTTCAGCATAAGGGAGGTTTTTTTTGGGGGGTGGGCAAGAGAATTGTTCTGTATCTTGATTGTGGTATTGGTTATACAACTCTATGCCTTTGTCAAAATTCACAGAACTGTACACCAAAAAGTGGATTTTACTGTATATAACTAATAAAAAATAAAAATTTATAGTGGCTACATTTGAAAAGAAATAAAAGACTTGATATTAAAATTAATGTAATAGTTTAGTATATTTTACTTAATGTATTTGAAATGTGGTCATTTCAACTGTAATCAATATAAGAAATTACTCATGAGCTATTTTACATTCTTTTCTTTGTACTAAGTCTTGAGAACTTGGTGTGTATTTTATGCTTATAGGACATCTTAATTTGCGCTAGCCACATTTCAAGTGCTCAGTAGTCACATGTGACTAGAGACTACCATATGGGACAGTACACGTCTAGATCATGATTGGAAAAAAAGTAAAGTGTTTCCAGTCTTGAGCAACAATCATCAAATACAGAGTAAAATTTTTCCACCAAGTAGAATATACTACTTAAGCCGGGTACGGGGGCTTATACCTGTAATCCCAGCACTTTGGGAGGCCAAGGCAGGCGGATCACCTGAGGTCAAGAGTTTGAGACCAGCCTAGTCAACATGATGAAACCCTATCTCTACCAAAAATACAAAAATTAGCTGGGCATGGTGGCAGGCGCCTGTAATCCCAGCTACTCGGGAGGCTGAGTCAGGAGAATCACTTGAACCCAGGAGGCGGAGGTTGCAGTGAGCCGAGATCTCGCCACTGCACTCCAGCCTGGGTGACAAGAGCAAGACTCCATCTCAAAAAACAAACAAAAAAGCAAGAATATACTACTTAAAATTATCAGACTTAAAAAAAAATCTGTAAACAATCATAAGGAAAAGTTATAAAAATATTAATTCAAGTGAGTCATATTCTTGCCAATGCATCCAAAACTGGCATAACCTTCAAAGGCAGCCTCACTCTCTTGCTTGCGTCTTCTGGAATACTCCCTGCAAATGCCATTCCCTTTCATGTTGCATTTGCTCTTGTTTTCTTCTGCCTTCTTTTTTTTTTTTTTTTTTAGACGGAGTTTCACTTGCTGCCCAGGCTGGAGTGGAATGGCATGATCTTGGCTCACTGCAACCTCCATCTCCCGAGTTCAAGCGATTCCTCTGCCTCAACCTCCCAAGTAGCTGTGATTACAAGCGCCCACCACCACGCCTGGCTAATTTTTGTATTTTTAGTAGAGATGGGGTTTTACCATGTTGGCCAGGCTGGTCTCAAACTCCTGATCTCAGATGATCCACCTCAGCCTCCCAAAGTGTTGAGATTACAGGCGTAAGCCACTGCACCCAGCTGTCTTCTGCCCTGTTATCTCTTCCTCACTCCATACTTCACCCTGGTGAAAATTTACTTCTTTGAGTCCAAGTCCCAGTAGGCTTCCTTTTCCTGAAATCCCTGCTTCGTAGGGCAAGAACTAGGTCTTACTCTTTGCACAGTGGGCCCGCAACGCTGTTTTCTTCTTCTTCTTCTTTTTTTTTTTTTTGAGATGGAGTCTCGCTCTGTTGCCCAGGCTGGAGTGCAGTGACACAATCTCGGCTCACTGCAACCTCTGCCTCCTGGGTTCAAGCTATTCTCCTGCCTCAGCTTCCTGAGTAGCTGGGACTACAGGTGCACACCACCACGCCCAGCTAGTTTTTTATGTTTAGTAGAGACAGGGTTTCGCCATGCTGCCCAGGGTGGTATCAAACTCCTGAGTTCAGGCAATCCACCTGCCTTGGCCTCCCCATAGTGCTAGGATTGCAGGCATGAGCTACTGTGCCCAGCCTACTGTTCTTTCTTCTGTTTACAGAGTAGCTGCAGGTGCTAGGGATACCTGGATGAATGAAATACAGCCCTGCCCCAAAGTATCTTGTGGTCTGGTGGCAATGACAGACAAATTAAAGAGGCACTTTAATAGAGACTGCTATGTGTCAAAGCACAGCTGTGGGAGGACCTAGGAGGGAACCAAACCTAGTGCTGGGGAAGCCAACATTTTCTGCACAACCTCCGAGGTAGGTCCCTCCCATTTTCCTTTAAAGGGTCACTGTGGGCCAGGCATGGTGACTCATGCCTGTAATCCCAGCACTTTGGGAGGCTGAGGAGGGTGGATCACAAGGTCAAGAGATTGAGACCATCCTGGCCAACATGGTGAAACCCTGTCTCTACTAAAAATACAAAAATTAGCTGGGCGTGGTGGCAGGCGCCTGTAGCCCCAGCTACTTGGGAGGCTGAGGCAGGAGAATCGCTTGAACCCAGGAGGCAGAGGTTGCAGTGAGCCAAGATTGCGCCACTGCACTCCAGCCTGGTGACAGAGCGAGATTCCATCTCAGAAAAAAAAAAAAAAAGGGTCACTGTGAAGTCAGCCTAGGGTGGGCCTGACTGTGAGTCCGTGCACCCACTCAGCCAAAGCCAGCGTTGACCGACAGTTTTATTTGGGGTGTACTTAAAAAGAGGTCACTAGCAGAACCATCACAGATGTTAGACACCCTCTCTTTCTCTCTTTCCCCTGTGCTAATATTGTGCTGTGAGTTGTGTCCCCGTCAGTCATGTCCCTTAGTGAACGCTCCCCAATAGGTTCCTCCTTTGGAAACTCATGCCTGTACCACTCCAAAGAAATGAGTCTCTTACAACAGCAGTCCTGGGGGGCATGGCCCTGGGTGAGCAGCCTCATCTTTCAGTCTCCTCGAGGCCTGAGTCACCTAACAACGCACACAGAGGTCAGCTGCTGCGAGCCCCAGGGGCTCCAGATTTGGAGCTTCTAATATTCTTCTGAATTTTGTTTTCAAAACCAGGAAGGAGCAATAAGGTGAGGCTGTAAGGCTAATCACACATTCTTTATTTCTAACTTTTAAGGGAAAAGGGTGTGTCTGAAGAGGAGAGAAAGTGATAGAACTGGCGGCTGACAGGAGTATTGATCCTGCTCCTCAAAAATACCTCCTCTAACAACAGAATTATTTGTTTTAAACACCTCCTCTTTTAAAACTGCAAATAAATTTGCAGAGTTAAAAGTCATTCTTAAGTTGGTGTGAAGAATTGTAGTGAATAATCAGTTGGACACCCAATAGAGTTAGGGAATGAAAGTTTTTTTTTTTTTTTTTTTTTTAGGTGAAGTTATATTCTTGTTGCCCAGGGCTGGAGTACAATGGCGCAATCTCGGCTCACTGCAACCTCCACCTCCTGGGTTCAAATGATTCTCCTACCTCAGCCTCCCAAGTAGCTGGGATTACAGGCATGCACTACCACACCCAACTAACCTCAGCCTCCCAAGTAGCTGGGATTACAGGCATGCACCACCACACCCGACTAATTTTTTGTATTTTTAGTATAGATGGGGTTTTACCATATTGGCCAGGCTGGTCTCAAACTTCTGACCTTGGGTGATCCACCCGCCTCGGCCTCCCAAAGTGCTGGGATTACAGGTGTGAGCCACCGTGCCCAGCCATAACTGATTTTTATAAAGTTTTTGTTGTTGACCAATTGGTAGGTGACAGACAAAGCTGCTCCCTAGAACAAAATTATTTTTCTCTTCTCTGAATTCTCCAAGCCTTTCAATCTGCAGTACTTATTCAACGCTTATTATTTGCCAGACCCTGCACCAGGTGTTGCACTTTTGTATCCTTTGCACTTAGCATATTTCACTTTATAACACAGATATGTAGGAATTCATAGATTTGAAAGACACCCCACAAGTAGTGCTGGCTTTTCTCTCACTGAGTGGTGAGCTCCTATCCCACCTCTGCAGAGACTGAGCCTTATTTGAGAAAAGAAGCTCATTGAAAATACTCCAGTCATCTTTGTAGCATTAGTATCTTGTAGATAAGAGGTGCTTGAAAATGTTTGTTGAATGACTAAAAGACCTCCCTATGTCCACCACAGAGCTGAGAAGAGTGATGTGGCAGACATGGACAGATGTGCCACTGAGGTTCCCCTTGATGAAAGAACTTGCTAATGGCCTCCAGCTGTTAGTGTCTGCAGCTGCATTAGCTTTCTAGAAGCCTGGCCCAAATACAGGACTCCGCTACCTTGCAGTGTTTGCTTCTGAGTTTCCCACTGGGCTGACAGAGACTTTGTCACAATTTGATTTCTTTCCTCAATCCTGCTTCCTCCCCCTTTCTGTCAAAGGTATCACTCCCATCAATACTTTTACACTCCTGACTCTATCTCAGCATCTGCTTTAGAAAAACCAACCTGCGACAAGGGACTTTAGTCTTAAACTCATTCACCATAGACTTGTATGAAAGGCCATATAATTGTGGCAATAAACAAAAACTGATTGAATGCACAAGAGGTAATAACAATAGTAAATGTTTTCTTGATGCTTTTTTTTTTTTTGAGATGGAGTCTCGCTCTGTTGCCCAGGCTAGAGTGCAGTGGCGCGATCTCGGCTCACTGCAAGCTCCGCCTCCCGGGTTCACGCCATTCTCCTGCCTCAGCCTCCCAAGTAGCTGGGACTACAGGTGCCCGCCACCACACCTGGCTAATTTTTTTGTATTTTTAGTAGAGACGGGGTTTCACCATGTTAGCCAGGATGGTCTTGATCTCCTGACGTCATGATCCACCCGCCTCAGCCTCCCAAAGTGCTGGGATTACAGGCGTGAGCCACTGTGCCTGGCTTTCTTGATGCTTTTTATGAGGTCATGTTGCTAAATGATAAATTTTAATTTTATTTTATATTATTTATTTATTTATTTATTTTTGTATTTTTAGTAGAGACGGGGTTTCACCATGTTAGCCAGGATGGTCTCGACCTCCTGACCTCGTGATCTGCCCACCTCGGCCTCCCAAAGTGCTGCGATTACACGTGTGAGCCACTGCGCCCAGCCGATACATTTTAATTTTAATGTAAAAATGCATACTAAAATGAGCCAGGTGCACTGGCACATGCCTGTAGTCCCTTCTCTACTCAGGAGGCTGAGGCAGGAGGAGCACTTGAGCCCAGGAGTTTGAGACCAGCCTAAGCAATGTAACAAGATCTGTCTCTTTTTAAAAATACTAAAATGGGCAGAAAAGGAAGTATATCTTATTAGGCCTTGATAAAAAGGTTATTCTATGTAAAATGTAGGCCAGGTGCAGTGGCTCAAACCTATAATCCCAGCACTTTGGGAGGCCAAGGTGGGTGAATCACCTGAAGTCAGGAGTTCAAGACTAGCCTGCCTGGCCATTGGCAAAACCTTGTCTCTACTAAAAATACAAAAATTAGCTGGGTGTAGTGGCATGCATCTGTAGTCCCAGCTACTCAGGAGGCTGAGGCAAGAGAATTGTTTGAACCCAGGAGGCAGAGGTTGCAGTGAGCCGAGATCATGCCACTGCACTCCAGCCTGGGCAACAGAGCAAGACTCTATTTCAAAATTAAATAAATAAAATAAATGTAAAATATAATACAAAGCTACAGTATTAAAAGCAGTATGGTACTAGCACATCAAGTGCTATTGTGTGAATGTTTGTCTTCTCTGAAGTTCATGTTGAAACTTAATACACAATGTAACAGTATTAAGAGATGGAGCCTTTAAGAGGTGATTGAGTCATGAGTGTTCTGCCCTCATAAATAGATTAATCCATTCATGGATTATGGGTTAATGGATTAAAGATTTATTGTGGGAGCAGGTTAGTTATCACAGAGTGGATTTGTTATAAAAGCCACTTGGCTCTCAGTGTGCTCCCTCACCCTCTTATGCCTTCTCACCAAAAGCCAACAAGATGCACGCCCCAGTCTTAGATTTCCCAGCCCCCAGAACTGTAACAAATAAACCTCTTTTCTTTATAAATTACCCAGTCTCTGGTATTGTTATAGCAACAGAAAACCAACTAAGACATCAGGGGATGATGAATGGAAAACAATATCATATGTAGAAAAAGACTCTTGAATATATGTAAGTTTTTTTTTTAAGAGGCAGGGTCTCACTCTGTTGCCCAGGCTGGAGTGCAGTGGCTACTTACAGGCACAATCATAATGCGCTACATCCCTGAACTCCTGGCCTCAAGTGATCCTCCTGCTTCAGTATCCCAAGTAGCTAGGACTACAGGTGTCAGCCTCCACACCTGGCTTATATGTAAATTTAATATCTGAAAAAAGTGGCTTTTTAAATCTGAAGGAAAGGATGCCTTATTAAATAAACATTATTGGGACAATTGGATAGCTATATTGGAAAAAAAAATTAGATCATATACAGCGAAATAACATTTAGATAGGTAAGAGTTCTAAACATAAAAAAGTCATTAAAATATTTAAAGAAAATAACAGATAATATAAACTTGATGTGAGAAAATATTTCCTAAGAAAAAACATAAAACCCAGAGACCACAGAAGAAAAGAATGAACTACTGTGTAGTCCAAAGTAAGGTTTACTAGGTCAAAATAAAATGTTTTGTAACATAAAAGACATTATAAACAAAGTTAAAAGATGAAAAAGATTGGAGTCATATATTTGTCAAACATATAATGGAAAAAGAATTGATATTGATAATACACAAAGAGCTCCTTAAGAAAAAGGCCGGTCGCAGTGGCTCACGCCTGTAATCCCAGCACTTTGGGAGGCCGAGGTGGGTGGATCATTTGAGGTGAGGAGTTTGAGACCAGCCTGGCCAACATGGTGAAACCCTGTCTCTACTAAATAAACAAAAATTAGTCGGGCATGGTGGCATGCACCTGTAGTCCCAGCTACTTGGGAGGCTGAGGCAGGAGAATTGCTTGAGCCCGGGAGGCGGAGGTTGCAGTGAGCAGAGATCGCGCCATTGCACACCAGCCTGAGTAACAGAGCGAGTCTCTGTCTAAAAAAAGAAAAGAAAAAACCCAAATAACAACAACAACAACAACAAAAAAGACAAAGGCTATGGACAGGAATTTACAGGAGAAGAAATGAACACCCAATACTCAATAACAGATGAGAAGATGTTCAGCCTCACTGGTGAGGGGAGGATGCAGGTCAAAACAATAGATAGTTGCTATTTTTTAACCAATCAAATTAGCAACAATTAAAATGATTCATAATATCCAGTTGATAAGGTACTAGGAAGAGGTTTTTGTTTTTGTTTGCTTGTTTGTTGTTTTGAGACAGAGCCTCACTCTGTCACCCAGGTTTGAGTGCAATGGTGCAATCTCGGCTCACAGCAACCTCTGCCTCCTGGGTTCAAGCGATTCTCCTGCCTCAGCCTCCCAAGTAGCTAGGACTACAGCCACCCGCCACCACGCCCAGATAATTTTTTGTATTTTTAGTAGAGACGAGGTTTCACCATGTTGGCCAGGCTGGTCTCAAACTCCTGACGTCAAATGATCCACCCACCTTGGCCTCCCAAAGTGCTGGGATTACAGACATGAGCCACCATGCTCAGCCTAGATCAGCCTTTAAAATGAACATGACTCCACACCTACCACAATGGCTAAAATGAATAAAACTAACAATGCCAAATTTGGAAAGAATGTATAGCAACTGGTGCTCACTTTTTTTTTTTTTTTTAAGTGTAAAATGGTACAGCCACTTTGGGGAAAAAATGTGGCAGTTTCTTTTCTTTTTTTTTTTTTTTTGTCTTTTTCTTTTTTTAATGTGGCAGTTTCTTATAAAACTAAACATATGCCTACTCTATGAACCAGCAATTCCGCTCTTAGGTTATTTACTCAAGAAAAATGAAAATGTACATGCATAAAAACACTTGTACAGAAATGTGCATAGCAGCTCTCTTCACAATAGCTAAAACCTGGAAGCAGATCAGGTGTCCATCAATAGGAGAATATATATAATCTTATATATTCGTACAGTGGCATACTCAACAATGTAAATGAATGGACTACAGCTACATGCAACAACAGGGATGACTCTTAAAAACATTATGCTGAGTAAAATAATTTTTACACAAAAGAACACATGTTTGGCCAGGTGCGGTGGCTCACACCTGCAATCCCAGCACTTTGGGAGGCTGAGGCGGGCAGATCACTTGAAGTCAGGAGTTCAAGACCGGCCTGGCCAACATAATGAAACCCCATTGCTACTAAAAATACAAAAAGCCGGGCATGGGGGTGAGTGCCTGTAATCCCAGGGAGACTGAGGTAGGAGAATTGCTTGAACCCAGGAGGTGGAAGTTGCAGTGAGCCGAGATCGCACCACTGCACTCCAGCCTGGGTAACACAGTGAGACTCTGTCTCAAAAAAAAAAAAAAAAGAAAAAAAAAATCACATGTTTTATAGTTCCATTTATATGAAGTTCTAGAACAGGTAAAACTAAACTTTGTGGAATCAAAGTTGAAGGTTTGCCTATAGGAAGTTAAGGAAAGAAATTGACCTGGTGGGGCATGAGGGAATTTGTTGGGGTGATGATAAGGTTCTGGGCTGGGTGTAGTGGCTCACATCTGTAATCCCAGCACTTTGGGAGGCCAAGGCAGGAGGACTGCTTGAAGCCAGGAGTTCAAGACCATCCTGGCCAACATGGCAAAACTCTGTCTCTACAAAAAAAAAAAAAAAATAACTAAGAGCCAGGCATGGTGGCACATGCCTGTAATCCCAGCTACTTGGGAGGCTGAGACACGAGAGTCTGTTGAACCCAGGAGGTCAAGGCTGCAGTGAGCCATGACTGTGCCATGCACTCCAGCCTGGGCAACAGAGCAAGACTCTGTCTCAATCAACCAGTAAAAGGTTCTGTGTCTTTATAGAGGTTTTGGTTACACAGGTGTATGGATTTTTAAAAACTCAGCAAAAGTTGACTTAAGATTTGTACATGTCATTGTATGTAAATTTTACCTTGAAAGAAAAAAATATGTATAAACATTGAACTTTAATTAATTATATATGAGCCTTTTTTAAGGGGGAAGTATACTGATGCCTGCAATTTGGTTTGGAATGTATCAAAAAGGAAAATGAATGGATGAATGGACAGAGTGATAGACAGATATGAGATAAAGCAAGTCTAGTAAGCTCACGCCTGTAATCTCAGCACTTTGGGAGGTTGAGGTGGGCAGATCACCTAAGGTCAGGAGTTAGAGACCAGCCTGGCCAACTTAGTGAAACCCTGTCTCTACTAAAAATACAAAAATTAGCCGGGTGTGGTGGTGGGCACCTGTAATCCCAGCTACTTGGGAGGCTGAGGCAGGAGAATCACTTGAACCTGGGAGGTGGAAGTTGCAGTGAGCTGCGATTGAGCCACTGTACTCCAGCCTGGGTGACAAAGCAAGACCGCATCTCAAAGAAAAAAAAAGGAAAAAGAAAAAACAATAAAACAGAAACATGATAGTTGTTGTGTAGCCAATACAGTAGACAAATAAATAAAATGAATTGTGGAAACACTAGCCTAATATTACATTACCAATAATTTTTGGCAAGATATTTCAGGTAAAACAACATTAGATGAAACTGACATTTAATGTGATTCCCTTTGTAAAAGTTTTCATGAAAATAAATATAGGCTGGGCACGGTAGCTCACACTTGTAATCCCAGCACTTTGGGAGGCCAAGGTGGGAGGATCACTTGCGCCCAGGAGTTCTTGTTGGAGGCGACTCTCTGAAGAGTCTATAGGCAGCACAGACCTCACTGCCACCCTGGCAACATAGTAAGACCCTATCTCTACAAAAAAAAATGTTTAAGGCCAGACACAGTGGCTCACATCTGTAATCCCAGCACTTTGGGAGGCCGAGGCAGGCAGATCACTTGAGGTCAGGAGTTCAAGACCAGCCTGGCCAACATGGTGAAACCTCATCTCTACTAAAAATACACAAAATAACTACTTGGGAGGCTGAGGCGGGAGAATCGCTTGAACCCATGAGGTGGAGGCTCCTGGGTGAGCTGAGATCATGCCATTGTACTCCAGCCTGGGTGATAGAACGAGACTCTGTCTCAAAAAATAAAAAACAGCCAGGCATGGTGGCACGCACCTGTAGCCCCAGCTACTCTGCAGGCTGAGGTGGGAAGATCACTTGAGCCCAGGTGGTTGAGGCTTCAGTGAGCCATGATCATGCCACTGCACTCCAACCTGGGTGATAGAGCAAGAACCTGTCCAAAAAAAAAAAAAGGAAAATACAGTCTTTTATCATTTAACAATGGGATACATTCTGAGAAATGCATCATTAGGTAATTTCATATTTGCATGAACATCATAGAATGTACTTACACAAACCTAGATAGTATAGCCTATTATATAACTAGGCTATATGGTATAGCCCAGGGGTCCCCAACCCCTGGGGCACAGACTGGTACCAGTCCCTAGTCTATTAGGGCTGCACAGCAGGAGGTAAGTGGCTGGCGAGCAAGCATTCCTGCCTGAGCTCTACCTCCTGTCAGATTAGCGGTGGCATTAGATTCTCATAGGAGTGGGAACCCTACTGTGAACTGCGCATGCGAGGGATCTAGGTTGTGTGCTCCTTATGAGAATCTAATGCCCAATTATCTGAGGTGGAACAGTTTCATCCCAAAACCATTTCCATCCCTGCCTTCAATGGAAAAATTGTCTTCCACAAAACTGGTCCCTGGTGCCAAAAAGGTTGGGGACCGCTGCTATAGCCTGTTGCTCCTAGACTACAAACTTGTGCAGTGTGTTACTGTATTGAAAACTGTAGGCAACTGTAACACAATGGCATGTATGTATGTATGTATTTATTTGACGGAGTCTTGCTCTGCTCAGACTGGAGTGCAGCGGTGCTATCCTGGCTCACCACAACCTCCATCTCCCCGGTTCAAGCAGTTTTCTGTCTCAAGCCTCCCAAGTACCTGGGATTACAGGCACCTGCCACCATGCCTGGTTAATTTTTTTATTTTTAGCAGAGATGGGGTTTCACCATCTTGGCCAGGCTGGTCTTGAACTCTGCACCTCAGGTGATCTGCCCGCCTCAGCCTCCCAAAGTGCTGGGATTACAGGCGTGAACCACCGCACCCGGCCAACACAATGGTATTTCTGTATTGAAACATAGAAAAGGTACAGTAAAAATGTAGTATTGGCTGGGCGTGGTGGTTCACGCCTGTAATCCCAGAACTTTGGGAGGCTGAGGTATGTGGATCACCTGAGGTCAGGAGTTTGAGACCAGCCTGGCTAACATGGTGAAACCCAATCTCTACTAAAAATACAAAAATTAGCCGGGCGTGGTGGTGCGAGCCTGTAATTCCAGCTACTCGGGAGGCTGAGGCAGGAGAATGGCTTGGACCCAGCGGGGCAGAGGTTGCAGTGAGCAGAGACTGTGCCATTGCACTCCAGCCTGGGAAACAAGACAGAAACTCCGTCCCCCCACCACCCCCCCAAAAAAAGTATCAAAAATTAACAAAAGGTACACCTATAATGGTCCACCTAATGGCACTTACTATATAAATGGAGCTTGCAGGACTGGAAGTTGCTCTAGAAGGGCCAGTGAGTGAGTGGTAACTGAATATGAAGGCCTAGGACATTACTGTAGACTTTATAAACACGGTACACTTAGGCTAAATGTATTTATTTATTTTGAGACAGAGTCTCATTCTGTCACCCAGGACGGAGTACAGTGGCACGATCTCAGCTCACTGCAACCTCCGCCTCTGGCTTCCAACAATTCTGCCTCAGCCTCCTGGGTGGCTGGGATTACAGGCACGCGCTACCATGCCCAGCTAATTTTTGTATTTTTAGTAGAGACAGGGTTTCACCATGTTGGCCAGGCTGGTCTCAAACTCCTGACCTCAGGTGATCTGCCCACCTCGGCCTCCCAAAGTGCTAAGATTACAGGCCTGAGCCACCGCGCCCAGCTGGCTAAATTTATTTTTAAAAATTTCTTTCTTCAATAGTGAATTAACTTTAGCTTGCTCTAACATTTTTACTTTATACACTTTTTAATTTTTAAAAAACTTTTACGGCCGGGCGCGGTGGCTCACGCCTGTAAACCCAGCCCTTTGGGAGGCCGAGGCGGGTGGATCACGAGGTCAGGAGATCGAGACTATCCTAACACAGTGAACCCCCGTCTCTACCAAAAATACAAAAAATTAGCCGGACGTAGTGGCGGGTGCCTGTAGTTCCAGCTACTCGGGAGGCGAGGCAGGAGATGGCGGGAACCCGGGCGGCGGAGCTTGCAGTGAGCCGAGATCGCGCCACTGCACTCCAGCCTGGGCGACAGAGTGAGACTCCGTCTCAAAAAAAAAACAAAAAACAAAAAACTTCTTAGGCCAGGTGTGGTGACTCAAGCCCGTAATTCCAACACTTTGGGAGGCTGAGGCCGGAGAATTGCATGAGCCTGGAAGTTAAGACCAGCCTAAACAACTTAGTGAGATCCCATCTCTACAAAAAATAAAAAATAAGCTGGGCATGGTAGCGCCCATAGTCCCAGCTACTCTGGAGGCTGAGTGGGGAGGATCACTTAGGCCTGGGAGTTTGAGGCTGCAGTGAGCCATGATCAAGCTACTGCATTCCAGCCTGAGTGACAGAGGGAGACCTTGTCTCAAAATAAAAAACAAAAACCAAAAAAACCCACTTGACTCTTTTGTAATAACACTTAGCTTAAAACACACATTCTACAGCGGTACAAAAATATTTTCTTTCTTTATATCCTTATTCTATAAGCATTTTCCTATTTAAAAAATTTTTTTGAAACACCATGACTGGCTAATTTTTGGGCTTTTTGTAGAGACAGGGTTTTGCCATGTTGCCCAGGCTGGTCTTGAACTCCTGAGCTGAAGCAGTTTGCCCACCTCATCCTCTCAAAGTCGCTGGGATTACAGGCGTGAGCCACCTCACCCGGCTAATTTTACTTTTTAAACTTTTTTTGTGAAAAATTAAGACACACACACACCAACACACACACACACTAGACTAGACTAGGCCTACACAAGGTCAGGATTACCAATATCACTGTTTTCTATCTATATATCTTGTCCCACTGGAAGGTCTTCAGGGGCAATAACACGCGTGGAGCTGTCATCTCCTATGATCATGGTATCTTCTTCTGGAATACCGCCTGAAGGACCTGCCTGAGGCTGTTTTACAGAAAACTTTTAAAAATATAACTAGAAGGAGTACATTCCAAAATAATGATGAAAAGTATAGTATTTAAACACACAAACCAGTAACTTTTTTTTTTTTTGAGATGGAGTCTCGCTCTGTTGCCCAGGCTAGAGTGCAGTGGCATGATCTCAGCTCACTGCAGCTTCTGTCTCCCAGGTTAAAGTGATTCTCCTGCCTCAGCCTCCCGAGTAGCTGGGATTATAGGCGCGCGCCACCATGCCCAGCTAATTTTGTATTTTTTGTAGAGATGGGGTTTCACCATGTTGGCCAGGATGGTCTTGAACTCCTGACCTCGTGATCCTTCCACCTCAGCCTCCCAAAGTGTTGGGATTACAGGGGTGAGCCACTGTGCCCAGCCCATAGTCATTTATTATCAAGTATTCTGCACTGTACATAATTATGTGTTCTAGAATTTTGTATGACTGTTAGCACAGATTTGTTTACACCAGTGTCACCGCAGTGCTAGGATGCTACCGCAGCTACAACATCACTAAGCAATAGGAAGCTTTCGGCTCCATTATATTCTTAAGAGACCACTGTTGTATATGCAGTCTATTGTTGACCAAAATGTGGTGCATGACTGCAGTTATTGTTAGATGATGTGTTTTGAAGTGTGGTATGGGAACTATAGTCACTGGAATAATAAACATATAAAGTATAAGTTTCTAATTCTGAGATGAGTAAGATGAGGGTAAGATCATTACATTTGTTAAAGAGCTGGTACAAATTCACAGGTATCTGTTCCAGCTTCTTGTTTCCTCTTTGCTTTTTTTTTTTTTTTTTTGAGAGGGTCTCACTCTGTCGCCCAGGCTGGAGTGCAATGCCATGATCTTGGCTCACTGCAACCTCTGTCTCCCAGGCTCAAGTAGTACTCCCGAGTAGCTGGGACCACAGGTGCGTACCACCACGCCTGGTTAATTTTTTGTATTTTTTGTAGAGATAGGGTTTTGCCATGTTGGTCAGGCTGGTTTCAAACTCCTGAGCTCAAGCGATCTCCTGCCTTGGCCTCCCAAAGGGCTGAGATTACAAGCGCAAGCCATCGCACCAGGCCCCTCCTCTTTGCTTTCTATTAGTCTTTTATCTCCCTGGTCACCAGCGGTTTGTCCAACCGCCTATTTTCCCCTTTTCTTCCAATGAAGAGTCCCACATCTTTCTTTATTAAATTTAAATATTTTTCTCACTTGAATATCTCAGATAACCGATGATCCTCCTAGTTAGTTACAGTTTTGGTGATGAAGACATTCATTTATTCCTCAAATGTATGCAAATTATCAATTTATCATCACTTAACTTCAAACTTAAGCTTTTTTTGCCCTGCTTTGTGCAACCAGCTGGACTCTATAAACATTTCTTCTTTCCCAGCTAGAGCAATGTTAGGCCCTGTCAATAGAGGGCGCCAGAGGGACACTGCAATAGCAGAGGCAGGGGCTTAGTGATTTCAGTGTAATTTTTTTTTTTTTTTTTTTTTAAAGACGGAGTCTCGCTCTGTCGCCCAGGCTCGAGCGCAGTGGCGCGATCTCGGCTCACTGCAAGCTCCGCCTCCCGGGTTCACGCCATTCTCCTGCCTCAACCTCCCAAGTAGCTGGGACTACAGCTCTCACGCCAACACGCCAGGCTAATTTTTTGTATTTTTTAGTAGAGACGGGGTTTCACCGTGTTAGCCAGGATGGTCTCGATTTCCTGACATGTGATCCGCCCACCTCGGCCTCCCACAGTGCTGGGATTACAGGCGTGAGCCACTGCGCCAGGCCAAGTTTTTTTTTGTTTTTTTGTTTTTGAGACAGAGTTTCACTCTCGTTGCCTAGGCTGGAGTGCAATAGCGTGGTCTCAGCTCACTGCAACCTCTGCCTCCGGGGTTCAAGCAATTCTTCTGTCTCAGCCCGCCACCATGCCTGGCTAATTTTTGTATTTTTAGTACAGGCGGGGTTTCACCACGTTGGCCAGGCTGGTCTCGAACTCCTGACCTCAGGCAATCCACCCGCCTCAGCCTCCCAAAGTGCGAGGATTACAGGCTTGAGCCACCGTGCCCGGCTTCAGTGCAACTTTCTTCTTCATCCTACAGTACAGCTCCATGGGGAATGGTGCCCACCCTGCAGTGAGTTTGCTGGCACCCTGGTGGGTGGCCACAGATCTTCCAGCCCACACCTGTGGCACCTCAATGAACTTCACCATCCAGCAGGCGGCAGACATATCCTCTCTGAAGAGGTCTAAATCCCAGTCTTTGGTGGGGCATGGGAAAGGAAGTCCTCTTGCAAGTTTCTTCTTTCCTTGAGTACTCTCCTTCAACCTTAAAGGTAATAGCTGGTCCTGTTGTCTTTGCCATTTGCTACATTTGCTATTCCTGTTTGTTTATTTATGTATTTAAGAGAGGGTCTCACTCTGTCCCCCAGGCTGGAGTGCAGTAGTGCAATCATGGCTCATGGCAGCCTCAACCTCCCAGGCTCAGGTGATCCTCCTGCCTCAGCCTCCTGAGTAGCTGGGATGATAGGCATGCACCACCATGCCTGGCTAATTTGTTGGCCAGGCTGGTCTCAAACTCCTGGGCTCAAGTGATCCTCCCACATCGGCCTCCCAAAGTGCTGGGATTACAGGCATGAGCCACCATGCCTGGCTGTATTCCTGTTTTCTTTGGAGCCCTGTTTCCATTTTAGTAGATAATTACCTGTGCTAGTCAATTTTGTGTGTCAACTTGGAGGGTGTTTTGATGAGATTAACATTTAAATCTGTGAGCTTTGGGTAAAGCAGATTGCCTTCCATAACATGGGTGGGATTCATCCAATCAGCTCAAGTCCCAAATAGAACACAAAGAGCAACCTTCCTGAGGGGATTCTCCAGCAGACTCTGTGGACTGGAACTGCACTGTCAGCTCTCCTATGTCTCCAGCCTGCCCACACTGCAGATTTGGATTTGTGAGCCTCCATAATCCCATGAGCCAATTCCTTATAAGAAATCTCTCTTGGCTGGGTGTGGTGGCTCATGCCTGTAATCCCAGCACTTTGGGAGGTAGAGGTGGGCAGATCACCTGAGGTCAGGAATTCGAGACCAGCCTGGCCAACATGTGAAACCCTGTCTCTACTAAAAATACAAAAATTAGCTGGGCATGGTGGCAGGCGCCTGTAATCCCAGCTACTTGGGAGGCTGAGGCAGGAGAATCACTTGAACCTGGGAGGTGGAGGTTGCAGTGAGCCAAGACTGCACCATTGCACTCCAGCCTGGGTGACAAGAGTGAAACTCCGTCTCAAAAAACAAACAAAACAAAACAAAACAAAAAACGTCTCCCCACCTTTTACTAGTTAATAATTCTTTTTTTCTAGGCCGGGCACAGTGGCTCACGCCTGTAATCCCAGCACTTTGGGAGGCTGAAGCGGGCAGATCACGAGGTCAAGAGATCGAGACCATCCAACATGGTGAAACTCTGTCTCTACCAAAAATACAAAAATTAGCTGGGCTTGGTGGTGTGCACCTGTAGTCCCAGCTACTCGGGAGGCTGAGGCAGGAGAATCGCTTGAACCCCAGAGGCGGAGGTTGCAGTGAGCTGAGATCGTGTCGCTGCACTCCAGCCTGGTGACTGAGCGAGACGCCGTCTGAAAAAAATAAAAATGAAAATAATAATTCTTTTTTTCTTCCCCCCACTCCCCCTGCCCCGAGACAGAGTCTCACTTTGTCGCCCAGGCTGGAGTGTAGTGGCATGATCTTGGCTCACTGCAACCTCCGCTTCCTGGGTTCAAGCAATTCTCTGTCTCAGCCTCCCAAGTAGCTGGGACTATAGCCATGTGCTACCATGCCTGGCTAATTTTTGTATCTTTGGTAGAGACAGGGTTTCACCATGTTGGCCAGGCTGGTCTCGAACTCCTGACCTCTCAGGTGATCCACCTGCCTCAGCCTCCCAAAGTGCTGGGATTACAGGCGTGAGCGACCACACCTGGCTTCTTTTTTTCTTTTTTCTTTTTTATTGAGACAGAGTCTTGTTGCCCAGGCTGGAGTGCAGTGGCATGATCTTGGCTCACTGCAACTGCCACCTCCTGGGTTTAATTGATAATCCCACCTCAGCCTCCCGAGTAGTTGGGATTACAGGTGTCCACCACCACACCTGGATAATTTAGTATAATTCTTTATATTAAAGTTTCTATGTTCAAATTCGTGGCATGGTTTATGTCTCTGGGCTGTACACTACTGACATCAGCAGTGGACCTGACACAGGGCACATACATGTAAGTGACTTCAGCAAACTAACAGGAAATGGCTGTCCTCCATAGTTGAAGAAATGGACAGAGGAAAAGTCAAGAACATTTTTCATAAGAACAGTAATGGAGATGTTTGTTTAGGGCCCTCCAGAAGCAGAGCGGAGGGATGCCATAAGGCTTCCCAGGAGAGTTGATGTCTGAACTGAATATTGAAGGAAAAATAGGAGTTTTCCTGGCCAGGCTCGGTGGCTCATGCCTGTAATCCCAGCACTTTGGGCTTCTGAGGCAGGTGGATCACCTGAGGTCCAGAGTTCCAGACCAGCCTGGCCAACATGGTAAACCCTGTCTCTACTAAAAATACAAAAATTAGCCAGGTGTGGTGGCGCATGCCTGTAATCCCAGCTACTCAGGAGGCCGAGGCACAAGACTTGCTTGAACCTGGGAGGCAAAGGTTGCTGTGAGCCGAGATCGCGCCACTGCACTCCAGCCTGGGCAACAGAGCGAGACTCCATCTCAAAAAAAAAAAAAAAGAAAAAGAAAAAAAAAAGCATACAAATATACAGTTAGAAAAAATAAGACCTAGTATGTTTTTTGTTTTTGTTGTTGTTGTTGTTTTGAGACGGAGTCTCGCTCTGTCACCCAGGCTGGAGTGCAGTGGCACGATCTTAGGTCACTGCAACCTCTGCCTCCCAGGTTCAAGCAATTCTCCTGCCTCAGCCTCCTGAGTAGCTGGGATTACAGGTGCGTGCCACCATGTGCACCTAATTTTTGTATTTTTAGTAGAGGTGGGGTTTTGCCATGTTGGCCAGGCTGGTCTCAAACTCCTGACCTCAGGTGACCCACATACCTCAACCTCCCAAAGTGCTAGGATTACAGGTGTGAGCTACCGCATGCGGTTTTTTTTTTTTTTTTTTTTTTTTGGGACAGTCTCGCTCTGTTGCCCAGGCTGGAGTGCAGTGGTGCGATCTTGGCTCACTGCAACCTCTGCCTCCCAGGTTCAAGCGATTCTCCTGCCTCAGCCTCCTGAGTAGCCGGGATTACAGGCATGCACCACCACACCAGCTAATTTTTTTGTATTTTTAGTAGAGACAGGTTGGCCAGTCTGGTCTCGAATTCCTGACCTCAGGTGATCCGCCTGCCTCAGCCTCCCAAAGTGTTGGGATTACAGGCGTGAGCTACCGTGCCCAGCCAACTCTGTCTCTTTAAAAAACAAAACAAAAAGACATACTAGGGCCAGGTGTGGTGGCAGGCACCTGTAATCCCAGCTACTTAGCAGGCTGAGGCAGAAGAATCACTTGAACCCAGGAGGCGGAGGTTGCAGTGAGCCAAGATAGTGCCATTGCACTCCAGCCTGGGTGACAAGAGCGAAACTCCGTCTAAAAAAAAAATAAAATAAATAAAGATAAATATTTAAGGGGATGGACATCCCAATTATTCTGATTCAATCTTTACATATTACATGAATATATCAGATTATCATACGCACCCCAAAAATATGTACATCTATTACGTATCAATAAAAAAATAATAAAAGGGAAAAAAACAGAGCCAAGAAGAGGCTCCAATTAAACTTAGAGAGGGAGAGGGAGTAAAGTCCAGGCTGCCAGCACTGACAGAGTAAAGTCAGGGCAGCACCGAGTCCTGCTGGAAGAATGGGGAAAGTGTGAGCAGGTGCGCATTCACTGTCAGCCTCTCTTCCAAATACCCAAGGCTAAGGAATTACAAGCCAAGAGACTGCCTCATCCCAATGCTACTTCCTCCGAGGAGTTTAAAGGTGAAAGCTCAGAAGGGCCACCTGACCACAGTGAGGGCAAACAGGAGTGAGCCAGAGTGGTTTTGTGGTGCCTGGTGCTCCCTGCTCTGGGGCTACTCCCTCTCTCTCCTTAAATTCATCTTGACTACATTAGTCATCTTTGCTGAGGTAACAACCAACCTCAAAATCTCTTTAGCTTACAACAGAGGCCAGCAAATGTTTTCTGTAAAAGGTGAAACAGTAAATATCTTGGGCTCTGTGGGATGGACATATCGTCTCTGCTGCAACTACTCAGCTCTGCAGTTATAGCGTGAAAGCAGCCACAGACAATATATAAATGAATGAGAATGGCTGTGTTCCAATAAAACTTTATTTATGAATACTAACAATTTGAATTTCATATAGTTTTAATATCTCAAGATATTCTTCTTCTTTTGATTACTTTTCCACCCTTCGAAAATGAAAAAAAAAAAAAAAAAAAGCCAGGTGTGGTGGCTCATGCCTGTAATCCAAAATTTTGGGAGGCCTAGGCTGGAGGATCGCTTGAGCTCAGGACTTTGAGACTAGTCTGGGCAACATGGCAAAACCCCATGTCTACAAAAAAATTTAAAAAATTAGCTGGGCTTGGTGGCATGCACCTATATTCTCAGCTACTTGAGAGGCTGACGTGGGAAGACCGCTTGAGCCCAGCAGGTCGAGGCTGCAGTGAGCAGTGATTGCACGACTGCACTCCAGCCTGGGCAGTGGAGCGAGACCCTGTCTCACACACACACAAAAAGCAAACAAACATATAAAAAACAATTCTTAGCTTACAGATCTTACAAAAACAGAGAGTAGACTTGGTTCAGCCCATGGACTGTAATTTGGCAACCCTTGCTTTACAAAAACCATCTATTTCTTGCTCACGTTACATGTTGGTGACTACAGGGCAGCTTCCGTGCTCACCCCATGACCCAGGCTGAGCTGCAAGAGCAGCCCCTACTTGGGTCATACTGTTTTTGCAGCAGAGAGGAAGAACAAGATTGCTGGTGAAAATGCATCATGCCTCTTAAAGCTCCTGTTCAGAGCTGGCACGCTGTCACTGCTTACATTCCACTGGCCCAAGCAGGTCCCAAGGCCAAGCCAGACACTGGAGCAGGGAACTGCACTCTGCCTACAGAGAGTCATTGAAAGTCACATAGCAATGGGTGGAAATGTATAATCCTCTTGGGATGAAGGAGGGAACATTTGGAAAGACTAATAAGACTAATACAGTATACCATCATGAATAACACCTTCTCCCAACACACATTAGGACAATACTAGTCAAAATGTGGTCCAAGGAATGATGTACCTAGTCTACGGTGAGTACAGAAAGCGAGAGCAAGCATTTTAAAAGTTTTACAGCAATTTGATATTGCTGCAATAAATAGGCCCACAAGAGATTGGGAACAAAAATAATCTGGTTCTTTACCACAGAAACGCCGCATTAGCGAGAGAGTAGCCAATACTCCAGAGAACATGACTTTACAGGACAGAATACAACCACCATGAGAAAAAGGGTAAGCTGGCCAGGCACGGTGGCTCACGCTTGTAAACCCAACATTTTGGGAGGCCGAGGTGGGAGGATCACTTGAGGCCAGGAGTACAAGACCAGCCTGGGTAACAAAACAAGACCCTGTCTCCACAAAAAATAAAAATAGGCCAGGTAATGTGTCTCATGCCTATAATCCCAGCACTTTGGGAGGCTGAGGCGGGAGGATGGCTTGAGCTCAGGAGTTAGACAGCAGCCTGGGCAACAACATGAGACCTTGTCTCTATTTAAAAAAAAAAAAAAAAAAAAAAGGCTAGGCGTGGTGGCTCACGCCTGTAATCCCAGCACTTTGGGAGGTCGAAGTGGGCAGATTATGAGGTCAGGAGATCGAGACCATCCTGGCTAACATGGTGAAACCCGTCTCTACTAAAAATACAAAAGTTAGCCGGGCGTCTTGGTGGGCGCCTGTAGTCCCAGCTACTCAGGAGGCTGAGGCAGGAGAATGGCGTGAACCTGGGAGGCGGAGCTGGCAGTGAGCCGAGATAGCGCCACTGCACTCCAGCTGAGGTGACAGAGCGAGACTCCATCTCAAAAAAAAAAAAAAAAAATTATCCAGGAGTGGTGGTGCATGCCTGTGGTCCCAGCTACACAGGGGGCTGAGGCAGTAGGATCACTTGAGCCTGGGAGGTCAAGGCTGCAGTGAGCCATAATCACGCTACTGCACTCCAGCCCAGATGACAGAGCTAGACCCTGTCAAAAAAAAAAAAAAAAAAAAAGGGTAAGCTAAATTACATGTACATATACACACAGTATATAGTGTAGTATATTATTATTATATACATAGATATATAATCTAAGAATTATTAGAATAGAGGGATCAAAAATTTAAAATAAGAATGATATACTTAGCCAGGTGCGATGGCTCACACCTGTAATTCCAGCACTTTGGGATGCTGAGGCGAGCAGATCACCTGAGGTCAGGAGTTTCAGACTAGCCTGGCCAATATGGTGAAACCTCATCTCTACTAAAAATACAAAAATTAGCCGTGTGTGGTGGCGGGCACCTGTAATCCCAGCTACCTGGGAGGATGAGGCAGGAGAATCGCTTGAACCCAGGAAGTGGAGGTTGCAGTGAACTGAGATCAAACCACTGCACTCCAGCCTGGGCGACAGAGCGAAGCCACTGTCTCAAAAAAAAAAAAGAGATATACTTAGAGAAGAGATTATGTTGACAATCTGAGGCAATAACGAGAAATCGTAAAGAAGAACCAAGAATAAATATTAGAATTGAATAGTTGAAAGAAAGAACAAAGAGATAGAATAATGGCAGGATGGATATAGTTGAATAAAAAGTTAGTAAATTTCAAGATTATATTTAGGACCTTTCCCAGAAGATAGTAGGAAAAGACAAAGAACTAGAGAATATAAAAATAAATCCCAGCTGGGTGCAGTGGCTTACGTCTGTAATCCCAGAACTTTCAGAGGCCAAGGCAGGCAGATCTCTTGAGCCCAGGAGTTTGAGACCAGCCTGGGCAACATGGTGAAACCCCATTTCTACAATAAAATACAAAAATTAGCCGGGCATGATGACATGTGCCTGTAGTACTAGTTACTTAGGAGGCTGAGGTGGGAGGATCACTTGAGCCCAGGAGGTTGAGGCTGCAGTGAGCTATGATCATGCCACTGCACTCTGGCCTGGGCAACAGAGGAAAACCCCATCTCAAAATAAAACAAAACAAAAAAGTGCCCTTAGACTGCCAAACGGGATAGTTAAGAAAAAATCTACACGTAGGCACATTACAATAAAATGTAAGAATAGCAAATACAAAATGTAAGAACGTCAAAGACGGCCAGGCGTCGTGGCTCACGCCTGTAATCTCAACACTTTGGGAGGCCAAGGCGGGTGGATCATCAGAGGTCAGGAGTTCATGACCAACCTGGCCAACATGGCGAAACCCTGTCTCTACTAAAAAATACAAAAATTAGCTGGGCACGGTGGCAGGCGCCTGTAATCCCAGCTACTCAGGAGACTGAGGCAGGAGAATCGCTTGTACCTGGGAGGCAGAGGTTGCACTGAGCCGAGATTGCGCCATTGCACTCCAGCCTGGGAGACAGAGCAAGACTCCAGCCTGGGAGACAGAGCAAGACTCCGTCTCGAAAAAAAAAAAAAAAAGAACGTCAAAGACAAAGAGAACAACCTACAGGCTCATATAGAAATAGCAAATTGATACCACACTACTCAATAGCAACACTGGATGCAAGATAAAAATAGAGCCATATGGTTTTTCTGTTTTGTTTTTGGTTTTGGCAGAATACTTCTATAGTAGAGCAATATGTTTTAAAGTATCAAAGAGCACATTGAATCTAGAAATTTTTTTTTGTTTTTGAATCTAGAGTTTTATATCCATTCAAATTGTTATTCAAATGTTAAAGCATAATAAAAATATTCTCCAGCATACAATGCCTTGGAAACTTTGTTACACAAAGACAAACATTGAAAACAACCTTGAAGAGAGTACTCAAGATGAGAAACACATCCAGGAGATGCTGCAAGGGAGGAAAAATAAGTGTTCAAATACTTTGGTAAAGTTTGTCCTTGTCCGTATTTGCTATTTTTTTCTTTTTTCTTTTTCTTTTTTTTTTTTTGAGACGGAGTCTTGCTTTGTCCCCCAGGGTGGGGTGCAGTGGCATGATCTCGGCTCACTGCAACCTTCGCCTCCCGGGTTCATGCAATTCTCGTGCCTCAGCCTCCCAAGTAGCTGGGATTGCAGGCACATGACACCACGCCCGGCTAATTTTTGTATTTTTGGTAGAGGCAGGGTTTCGCCATGTTGGCCAGGCTGGTCTCGAACTCCTGGCCTCAAGTGATCGGCCCACCTCGGCCTCCCGAAGTGCTGGGATTACAGGAGTGAGCCACCATGCCCAGCCCGTCTTTGTTGTTAAATAAAAAGGTTTGTATTAAAGAAAATAAAAGGGGCCAGGAGTGTTGGCTCATGCCTATAATCCCAGCACTTTCGGAGGCCGAGGTGGGCGGATCACTTGAGGTCAGGAGTTTGAGACCATCCTGGCCAACATAGTAAAACCCCGTCTCTACTAAACATACAAAAATTAGCGGGGCATGGAGGCTGGGCACCTGTAATCCCAGCTACTCGGGAGGCTGAGGCAGGAGAATCGCCTGAACCCAGGAAATGGAGGTTGCAGTGCACCAAGATTGTGCCACTGTACTCCAGCCTGAGTAACAGAGCAAGACTCTGTCTCAAAAAAAAAAAAAAAAGAAAAAAAGGAAAAATACATTCATAATAAGTAATACCTATACCTATATTGGAGGGGATGGAGAAGAGACATGAAGATATGCAGTATATTTCTTTTTTTTTTTTTTTTTTGAGATGGAGTTTCGTTCTTGTTGCCCAGGCTGGAGTGCAATGACGCGATCTCGTCTCACAGCAACCTTTACCTCCCAGATTCAAGCAATTCTCCTGCCTCAGCCTCCCAAGTAGCTGAGATTACAGGCATGCACCACCACACCTGGCTAATTTTTGTATTTCTAGTAGAGATAGGGTTTTACCATGTTGGCCAGGCTGGTCTTGAACTCCTGACCTCAGGTGATCCACCCACCTTGGCCTCCCAAAGTGCTGGGATTACAGGTGTGAACCACTGTGCACAGCCTTAAGTATATTCTTATTAAGGGGAAGAAATAAATATCAATGCATTTTTTATATCCAGAAAGGCAAAAACCATGAGTATAAGTAATAAAGGCAACTACAATGAGCAAAATATAAATGTATAGCAGAAGAAAATCTAGCCAGTGGACTACAAGGAAGAACAACATAAAAGCAATAAAACATTAACCAATATAAAATACAAAAGAGGCCAGGCACGGTGGCTCACGCCTGTAATCCCAGCACTTTGGGAGGCCAAGGCGGGTGGATCACGAGGTCAGGAAATCGAGACCATCCTGGCTAACATGGTGAAACCCCGTCTCTACTAAAAATACAAAAAATTAGCCAGGCGTGGTGGCGGGTGCCTGTAGTCCCAGCTACTCGGGAGGCTGAGGCAGGAGAATGGCGGGAACCTGGGAGGCGGAGCTTGCAGTGAGCTGAGACAGCACCACTGCACTCTGGCCTGGGTGAAAGAGCAAGACTCCGTCTCAAAAAAGAAAAAAAAAAAAACACAAAAGAACAGGTCAGAAGTAAATTTAAAATTAATTGTAAATACAATAATACAATTGGGTTAAATTTAAAACTAAAAAGCAGAGCCTCTCAGAACAGATTTTTTTTTTTTTTGAGACGGAGTCTCACTCTGTCACCCAGGCTAGAAGGCAGTGGCACAATCTTGGCTCACTGCCACCTCCGCCACCCCAGGTTCAAGCAATTCTCCTGCCTCAGCCTCCCAAGTAGCTGGGATTATAGGCGCCTGCCACCACACCCGACTAATTTTTGTATTTTTAGTAGAGACGGGGTTTCACCATCTTGGCCAGGCTGGTCTTGAACTCCTGACCTTGTGATCCACCTGCCTCGGCCTCCCAAAGTGCTGGGATTATAGGTGTGAGCTACTGCACCGGCCAGATTTTTTTTTTTTTTTTAACTCTGTTGCCCAGGCTGAAGTGCAGTGGTGCAGTCATGGCTCACTGTGGCCTTGACTTCCTGGGCTCAAGCAATCCTCCAACCTCAGCCTTCCAAGTAGCTGGGATCACAGGCATGCACCACCAAACCCAGCTGATTTTTTAATTTTTTTGTAGAGACAGTCTCCCTATGTTGCCCAGGCGGGTCTTGAACTCCTAGGCTCAAGCAATCCTCCTGCTTCAGCCTCCCAGAGTGTTGGGATTACAGGCGTGAACCACTGTGCCCAGCTTAGAACAGATTTTTTAAAATTCCAACAATATGATTTATCAAAAGATATATTTAAAACAAAAAGAAATAGAAAAGATGAAAACAGAAGGATAAAAAATATATAACAGGTAAATATAAAAAAGAATCCAGGCCAGGCACAATGGTTCACACCTGTAATCCCAGCACTTTGGGAGGCCAGGGCAGGAGGATCACTTGAGGCTAGGAGTTCAAGATCAGCCTAGGCATCATAGTGAGACCCTCTATATGAAAAAAAAAACAAGGCCGGGTGCAGTGGCTCCAACCTGTAATCCCAGTGCTTTGGGAGGCAAAGGTGGGTGGAACAACTGAGGACAGGAGTTCAAGACCAGCCTGGCCAACATGGTGAAACCCTGTCTCTATTAAAAATACAAAAATTAGCTGGGCTTGGTGGCGTGTGCCTGTAATCCCAGGTACTTGGGAGGCTGAGGCCGGAAAATCACTTGAACCTGGGAGGCAGAGGTTGCAGTGAGCTGAGATCACGCCATTGCACTCCAGCCTGGGCAACAAGAGCGAAACTCTGTCTCGAATAAATAAAGTAAAATAAAATAGACATTAATACTCAAAATGGGGGGAAACATAGGCACAAAAGAAGCACTGGTCCATAGCAATTCTGAAATCCAACTGGGCAAGTGTTGGAAATCCTTGATTAAGATCCAGGGCCTGGGCCAGGTGCTGTGGCTCACGCCTGTAATCCCAGCACTTTGGGAGGCCGAGGCGGGTGGATCACCTGAGGTCGGGAGTTGGAGACCAGCCTGACCAACATGGAGAAACCCCGTCTCTACCAAAAATACAAAATTAGTCGGGCGTGGTGGCACATGCCTGTAATCCCAGCTACTCGGGAGGCTGAGGCAGGACAATCGCTTGAATCCCTGCGCCATTGCACTCAAGCCTGGGCAACAAGAGCAAAACTCTGTCTCAAAACAAAAACAAAAACAAAAACAAAAAAACACAAGGGCCCGGGAATAATTATGCCTGACTTTTGGTTCTACCTTCTGGGCTCTTATTTCTGCCCTCTGAATCACCCTTCCTTTTGCATGAAAGGTGGCCCATATTTTGGATCACCTGAGGCGGGAGTTTGAGACCAGCCTGACCAACATGGAGAAACTCCGTCTCTACTAAAAATACAAAAACAAAACAAAAAAAACCGGGCATGGTGGTGGGTGTCTGTAATCCCAGCTACTCAGGAGGCTGAGGCAGGAGAATAGCTTGAACCCAGGAGGCAGAGGTTGCGATGAGCCGAGATCGCGCCATTGCACTCCAGCCTGGGCAACAAGAGCAAAACCGTGTCTCAAATTAAAAAAAAAAAAAGAAAGGTGGCTCATATTTACAGTTGTGCAGTTTTCACAGATTGTATCCTGCCAGAATTTTTGGGGTCCATTTTCTATCATTTTGTACTGCCTCTGGCCATTTCAGTCCAACATGACAGTGCTCCTCTGAACACTTTATTGTTATTTCATTTATTTATTTGTTTGTTTGTTTGAGACAGGGTCTCACTCTGTCACCCAAGCTGGCATGCAGTGGTGTGATCACGGTTTACTGCAGCTTTGACCTCCTGCCTCAGCCTCTGGAGTAGCTGGGACCACAGGTGCATGCTACCATGCCTGGCTAATTGTTCTTTATTTTTTATTTTTTGTAGAGATGGGGTCTCACTGTGTTGCTCAGGCTGGTCTCAACCTCTTGGGCTCAAATGATCCTCCTGCCTTGGCCTCCCAAAGTGCTGGGATTACAGGCAGGAGCCACCATGCCTAGTTCTGAACATTCTCTTTGAAACACAGTAGGTGTCTTGTGAATCTTCTTGGGGTTCACTCCATTAGACAAAAGACACCCCCAAAAATCTCTTCAAGATAAGCTCTTCTCTACCTTGGGCCTCTGCTGAGGAACAGCCCTTAAGCTTGCCTGGGCTCAAGTCTCAAGCCTCCTGAGTAGCTGGGACTACAGGCATGAGCCACCAGGTCCCGTTAATTTTGTTTGTTTTTGTAGAGACAGGGCCTCACTATGTTGCTCAGGCTAGTCTCGAACTCCTGGCCTCAAGCAATCTGCCTGCCTTGGCCTCCCAAAGTACTGAGATTGCAGGCGTGAGCCACTGTGCCCAGCCCCCTTAAGCTTCTTAGAAGCTCTACTGTTTGATTGAGATGATCTATAAGTCACATGCTTACATTCTTTATCTTTATTTTTATTTATTTATTTACTTAAAATTTTAAATTTTTCTGTGGAGACGAGGTCTCACTATGTTGCCTAGGCTGGTCTCAAACTCCCAGACTCAAGCAATCCTCCTGCCTCGGCCTCCCAAAGTGTGGAATTACAGGTGTGAGTCACCGCGCCCAGTCTCTTAAATTCTTCAGAGAACTTTTTGTCTAACTGAATGGTATTCTAAAGTACCATCTATGATCTTTCTGAAAACTTAACAAAGGATCTTACAGCCACATTCTTGAGTTCATCTTTAGACTTGTTTTGCTGACATTACTCTAAATTTAAACTTTGCTCAGAAGTCATTTCTTAATCATATCATCATTTGCCACCTTAAGAGCCTGGGAATTTTCCAAGCCAGAAAACTTTGGCTTCCTTTTGTCTAACAGTCCTTCCTTTAGCTTATCTCTCTCCTCTCACATTTTACTACAAGCAGCAAGGAGAAACCACCTGTTTCCTTCAACACTCTGGGGGGAAGCTTTATAGCTAGATCACCAAGTTCAACTTCCTTAGCTAGATCACCAAGTTCAAATATTTTCTACTTTTCACCTTATTGCAGACAACTGTGTTGCTTCCCCCCGACTCCCAACCAATACCTATCAAGGACTCCCTTTGCTTCAGATTTCCATAAGATTTGTAGATTTTTCTGTAAGCCCTCACTTGCATCTTCCTCAAAGACCATTAGAAGTTGTCTTTTTTTTTTTTAAACGGAGTCTCACTCTGTCACCAAGGCTGGAGTGCAATGGCGCAATCTCAGCTCCCTGCAACCTCTGCCTCCTGGGTTCAAGTGATTCTCCGGCCTCAGCCTCCCAAGTACCTGGGATTACAGGCATCTGCCACCATGCCCGGCTAATTTTTGTATTTTTGGTAGAGATGGGGTTTCACCATGTTGGCCAGGCCGGTCTGGAACTCCTGACCTCGAGTGATCCACCCACCTTGGCCTCCCAAAGTGCTGGGATTACAGGCATGAGCCACTGCACCCGGTATAAGTTGTCTATTTTTTTAGAAGATTCTTCAAGCTTTCACTAACACCTCAAAGCCCTTCCACCCACTGTCTAGTTCTAAAGTCACATTTTCAGGTTTCTGTTATGGCAACACTTCTAGGTACCACAATCTGTATAAGTGATCTATTGCTGTATAATAAATTACTGGCCCGGCTTGGTGGCTCACACCTGTAATCCCAGCACTTCAGGAGGCTGGGGTGGGAGGATCGTTTGAGCCCAGGAGTTTGGGACAAGCCTGGGCAACATAGGGAGATCCCCATCTCTACATAAAATTAAAAAATTAGGCATTGTGGTGTGCACCTGTAGTCCCAGCTACTTGGGAGGCTGAGGCAAGAAGATTGCTTGAGCCTAGGAGGTCAAGGCTGCGGTGAGCCGTGTTCATGCCATTGCACTCCAGCCTGAGCGACAGCTATCTCAAACAAACAAACAAAAATTCTTTTACACATATCCCCTTCTAGCTACCACCATCTCTCTTTGCCTGTAATAATTCTAAAACATGACCCCAAATTCTGTGACATTCTTTCCATTAGAGATAGCAACTATGTCCCCCTTCTGCTTGAATCTTAGTAGGCTGGGACAACTTCCATAGATAGGCAGAAAAAGTCATGCAGCTCCCTCCTACCTGTCTTGGACACACTCTGTCAGAACCCAGCTGCCATGATGCAGGAAGCCCCAGCCCCACAGAGAGGTCATGGGTAGGTGCTCTAGATGACAAATCTCAGCTGAGCCAACCTTCAAGTGATCCCAGCCCAGGTGCCAAACCTTTAAGCGAAGAAACCTGCAGATGATTCCAGTTCCCAGTAGTTCAAGTTACCCCCAGTCATTTAAGTCTTCCCAGCTAAGGCTCCAGACAACAGGAAAAAAAAAAACAAGCCACCCCTGCTGTGACCTGACCCACAGAATCCAGGAGCATAATAAAATAGCTTCAGTTTTCTACTACTAAGTAAGTTTGGTTTGGTTTATTACACAGTAAAAATAACTGGAACATCCCCTTTATAAACCAGTTTCTGAGAGGAATTGTCTGTTCTCATCATCTCTATTCCTTCATCCTCCACTTATTCCTCTAATCTGGAAATCCACCCCATCTTTTAAGCCTAATCATGTTCTCTAAAGTCAATGATCTCCAACTTGTTAAATGTAATGGACATTTTCTTTTAGATTTGTTCTCTTAGCAATATTTAGCACTACTGCCCAATTCTTCCTTTTTTCCTTATTTTTATAGCTGGGTTCTCGCTCTGTCACCCAGGCTGGAGTAGTAGTGATGCCATCATGGCTCACTGCAGCCTAAAGCTCTTGGACTCAAGCGATCTTCCCACCTCAGCCTCCTAAGTAGCTAAGCCTACAGGCACAAACAACCAAGCCCAGCTAATTTATTTTATTTTTTTTGTAGAGATCGGGTCTCATTATGTTGCCCAGGCTAGTCTGGAACTCCTGGCCTTAAGCCAACCTCCTGCCTCAGCCTCCCAAAGTGCTGGCATTACAGGTATGAGCCGCTGTGTCTGGACTCTTCTTTTAGTTTTTATGCCATCACATTATCCCAGGTCTCTTCCTTCCTCTCCAGTCTTCTCACACTCATTTGCAATTTCAGCTTCCTCTAACCACCCACTAGATGAGGAAGTAGCTCAATGTTTGGTCCTAAGCCTTCTTTGCTTCTCATTTTATATTCTCTCTCTATGCATATCCATGGTTTTAATTCCCATCCCACCTATATGACTTTGATGATGAAATTTCTTTTTTCTTTTCTTTTTTTTTTTTTTTTCAGACGGAGTCTCACTCTGTTGCCCAGGCCGGAGTACAGTGGCATGATCTCAGCTCTCTGCAACCTCCACCTCCTGGGTTCAAGTAGGAATTTTTTTTTAATTTAAAAATTTTAAAAATCCTGCCCTTCTAGTCCTCTCTCTCTCAGTGAACAGAACCACCATCTGTCCAGTTCCAAAAGGCTGGGAGTTGTCTTTGACTCCTCCTTCTCCCTCATTTCTCAGAGTCAAACTATTATCTCTAATATTTAACTCTCCACCTCACTTGATCTCCCCACTTCTATCTACCTCCACTCTAGTTCAAGATTCTACCATCTCTTAGCTGGGCCACTGTGATCCACTCTTCCTTCCCTCTAATTTATCTTCCACAGTCATCTTTTCAAAATGCTTACCTCATCATAGCACACACACCCCATGCAGCTTAAAACACATTAATGGCTCCCAAAGTTCTTAACCTGGCCCGACAAGGCCCTGATGGTCTGACCCCTGCCTCCCTCTCCCATCTTATCTCTTGTCTCTCTCCCTCACGTTGCACTCCAGTCTCATCAGCCTTTCAGGCTATATTCCCATCTACCAAGCACCATTTTGCTCCTTCTATCTGGAATGCTCCTGACCACTCACACGCTTGCCTGTTAATTCCTACTCCAGATTTCCAGTCAAGATAACCTCCTCAAGGAAGTCCTCCTTACACAAACCCTCTCCCTCATGAGACGGGTCCCCACTTCATCAATATTCTCATCACACGACATACCTTTCCTTCAGACTTATCCAATTTTCAAATTATACATTTATTTGATTACCATCTGTCTCCCCCACTAGACTGCAAATCCCATAAAAGCAGGGACTTGGTGAATTTTTTGCTCACCACTGCATTCCAAGAGCCTAGAGCAAAAACTTTACCCTTAGCAGGCACTGTTAAAATTGGAATGGGACCAGGTGCGGTAGCTCATGCCTGTAATCCCAGCACTTTGGGAGGCCAATGAGGCTGGATCACGAAGTCAGGAGTTCAAGACCAGCCTGGCAACCTGGTGAAACCCTGTCCCTACTAAAAATACAAAAATTAGCCAGGCGTGGTGGCGGGCACCTGTAATCCCAGCTACTCTGGAGGCTGAGGCAGAGAATTGCTTGAACCTGGGAGGCGGAGGTTGCAGTGAGCCGAGATTGCATCATTGCACTCCAGCCTGGGTGACAGAGCAAGACTCCGTCTCCAAAAAAAAAAAAAAAAAAAAAAAAAAAAAGGAATGGATTATCTTCCTCAAGATTTGAACTGAATAGGTGGAAACAGGGATGGGGGTTGGGTGGGGTGGGAGACAGAGTTTAAGAGACTAGCACTGGTTAATGGTGGAGCTCTAGCATACAGAAACGTGCTCCCAAAGCTAGGAGAATGAAGGTGAGGGACAAAACTCTCATTACCTCTTCCTTGCAACAAAGAGGTTATTTTTGTTTGTTGTTTTTGTTTTTGTTTTTGAAATGGAGTCTTGCTCCGTCACCCAGGCTGGAGTGCAGTGGCACGATCTTGGCTCACTGCAAACTCCACCTCCTGTGTTCAAGCCATTCTCCTGGTTCAGCTGCCCCAGTAGCTGGGATTACAGGCGCGCACCACCATGCCCAGCTAATTTTTGTATTTTAAGTAGAGATGGGGTTTCACCATGTTGGCCAGGCTGGTCTCAACCTCCTGACCTCGTGATCCGCCCACCTCGGCCTCCCAAAGTGCTGAGATTATAGGTGTGAGCCACCACACCCGGCCTCAACAAAGAGTTTATCACCAACCTGATGTGCTCTCTTGAGGAATATGTTTGTGGAACTCTTTTGCATGTTTTAATTAACTAAGGCTAAAATAAAACCTTTGGCTAAAACCATGTCCAGGTCTTTCTGGGGGAATTCTCAATGGGGGCGCTAGCAGAGTAATCTGAGTACATCCAACACACCAGACACCTAATGGTTTTCAAATATGTTTCTACTTACCTGTTCAGAAGGTGAGGAAATGCAACTAAATAGCAAAGCACCTCTGCAGTGACACAGAAGTGACATTGAGACAATTGTGAATATCTTGTATCCTCAAAATGCATAGCTAATTATTCCTGAAATCAAAGTTACAAACTGTCCAATATGAATGATTTTGAACAGGAGAGGAATCCATTAAAAGCTAAACGCAAGTTTTGATAATTTGAACCTTTTCCCTCCAGTTTTACTATAACACAGTACTTTTCAGTACCTGACCCCAGCATAAGGAACTAGAAAACTAATTTATAGAAGTAATGCTTCTACAGTAACAGTGAAAATCCATTGATTTACTATTTTAGCAAATGTATAACCTGATATCTGTACTCTAAATATTAGAGACGTAAATTTGTCAGAGGAAGCTTGGTGTACGATGAATGCTTGCATTGGAAAAGACGCAACTTGCTATTTTTACTAATTTTATATTTCTCTGGACTTAACTAAGAATTATGTTCTCTTATCTCAGCCTCTCTGGGTTTTCCTATTCAAATGAAATGCTTCTGACCTGTACAGGTTTAGAAAAGGTTATCCTCAACTAAAATAACTGCTTCAGTACAAGGGAAAATTCTGTGGAAATCTTTTGCATTTGACGTTGCTAAACTTAAGTACAATAATGTCACATGTACTTATACAGTAATTGTGGGCACGCCTAAGTCCCTCCCTCTTTCCTAAACCAAATCCCCAGATCCTAGAAATCCAGCCCTTCTGCCCTCCGGAGGCGCCTTTCCCAACGTAAAGTACAATTTTAAATTTCAGCTCCTGACTAAAATCATGATCCGCAGTCAACTGCTAGAGAATCTGGGCACCCCGGTGTCTCTGGAGCGTGCAGCGAGTGTGGGCAAGGGCAGGGGGAGTGGGCGAAGCTGCTGGTTGGTGCCTGAAATCTGTGCGTTGCCCCTTTAATTGTGTCCCCAGCCCTCGGGCGTTTCTGTCCAACGCCCACGTCAGCAAATACCTTTTGTTTCTCTCACGTTGGGGCTACTTGTTTTAGGGCGCAAAGGAACGGCCTCGAAAGGGGGTCCTTCCCCAGCCGAGAACCAGGAATCTTCCCTCGGCCCGCGCGCGCGACCGGCCGGTGCGCCGCGGCCCGCGGTAAGTGGCTGCACGCGGCGCCGGCGGAGGGCGGGCGGGCGTCGGGGCTGCCCGGGACCCGCCGCGAGCCTGGCCGCGGGCTCTGACGGCCCGGGCGGCGGCAGTGCTGGGATGCGGGCCCCGGGCGCGCCTCCCCCAGACGTCCCCGGGCCGGGAGCGCGGCGGGAGGCGCCCGGGAGGGGCTGCGGGACAATGGCCGCGCCGTCGCCGCCCGCGCCCGCCTCGCCGCCCGGCCCGGCCCGGGGAAAGGCGGGAAGGCGCGCGGAGCCTCCTGGAGGCGGCGGCGGGAAGGCGGCGGGGACGGCGCCGGGCGTGTCTGGAGCCGTCGGGCGCCGCGGACTCTGGAGGGGCTCGGGCTGCGCGGAGCAAAGACGGGCGGCCGCCGCGGGGGCGCGCGGGGAGGGCAGGGCAGGGCCGGGGCCGGAGTCTCTGCGGGCGCGGCCAGGGGCGCTGCCGGGGAACCTGGCTCCCAGGGCAGTAGCCCGAGTTTCTCGGTGCAGCCTCCATCCTTGGTTTTATGTCAAGATGCGACATCTGGGCTTAGAACCGAGGGCGAACTCACCGCGCCTAACCAATGTTGAGCTCCCAACTATTTGCTTCTGGACGGAACCTTACATGCTCATCTCTACCCATGCGGACCGCCTCTTTTGTGAGTTAGTCAGCGGCTTGTTCCCTTCCCCTTCAGATGCGCTTATGTATCCCCGATTGTTCCAATGGCCCTACTCCACATCATTCTAAGACGCGTTTGGAAGCGGTAGATTCACACACACCTGGTGGGCTTCTAACCACACACGTCAATATCACCTCTATGCTTGATAAACCTTTATAGTTGCACAACTTTAAATGGAGTGCTTTCACCTATATGAATTATTTCACTTAATTTCACATAAAACAACCACCTAGTCAGGCTGACGGTAATTCCACTTTGCAGATGAGGGAACACGTATGAAGCATGGCGTTTCACCTCTAGGCTAGGGTGACCATAGCCGCCCAGGGCCTCCTGTTCCCGCCCTGCCTTCCCTCCTAAGGCACCTCCAGAGGAGTCTTTAGAAGGGCCAGTCTTAACACAGCGCTTCCCTGCTCTAAAAACCTTAACTGATCTTTTTCAGGAAAGCCTCCAAAATCCTCAACAAGCTTCTGCTCCAGTCTTATCTCCTCCATGCCTCAGGTATGGATGCGTTTGTAGACTGGAGCAAGAGCCCCTCACTGATAAGCAGGGATCAGATGTCTTTATTCCTGGGAACCTCTCTGGCCACACAAGTGGCAACTGGGAAGTGAGAATCTGGCTTAGGGCCCTTGATCAAATGGGTGTCTGGGTGGATTGTGCTCTAAAATGTCAGCAGGAGGCATAATGAGTAGGGACTCCAGGAAGGAGGCCACACCACTAACCCTTATCTCCTAGCCCTGAAATCACCAGCTTCGCTGTTGATAATGATTTGGGGCCATCAAAAACTTTGTAAGATAGAGTAATTTAATTCATCGTATGTCATTTAAATCTAATTTTTAGATAAAACTGTGTAATAGACTTAACTCAGTGACACAATGATATGTTAATCATATTTAAAGATTTGATGTGTTTGATTCCCTTGAATGAAGCTTTTGCCACTTTTCTGCTCAAAATTGGTCAGTGGCTCCCCATCTTACGCAGTTTAAAAGCCAAAAGCTCCATAATAGTCTATGCAGCCTTACAAGCACCTGGTCTCACCATGTCCTACTTCTCTCATGATCTGCTTTCCCTTTCTGACTCCATATCCCATTGCTTCCCCCATGCCTCCTTGCCTGCTCACCTCAGGGCCTTTGCACTTGCCGTTCCCTTTGCCTGAAATGCTCTTCCCCCAGACACCCACATGACTCTCTTACTTCCTTTGGACTTTACCCAAATGCCATCTTCTCAATGAGGCTTTCCTCAACTATAGTTTTGATTCTCTTAAGTGTTTTTATTAATTCTAAATCTTTTCTGTCTCAGGCCATTTGTGCAGCTATAAAAATACTTTGGGACTGGGTAATTATAAAGAACAAATTTATTTCTCACACTTCTGGAGGCTGAGAAGTTTAGGCAGTTTGGTGTCTAGTGAGGGCTGCTCTTTGCTTCCAAGATGGCACCGTGTTGCTGCATCCTCTGGATGGGAGGACTGCTGTGTCCTCACGTGGCAGAAGGAATGGAAGGGCAGAAGAGGCTAAACTCACTCCCTCAGGTGCTTTTATAAGGGCACTAATTCCATCCATGAGGGCAGAGTCTTCGTGGCCCAATCACCTCCTAAAGATGATACCGTTGCAATCGGGATGAAGTTTCAACATGAATTTTGGAGGGGACACAAATGTTCAAACCATAGCTCTTAAATGTTTTTAATACAGACGATCACTGACTTACAATGGCTTGACTTACGATTTTTTGACTTTACAGTGCGTTTAATGGGGTATTAAATGCATTTTAAACTTACAATGTTTTCAACTTAAAATAGGTTTATTGGAATGTAACCCCATCGTCAGTTGAAGAGCATCTGTACTTAATTCTAAATCTTCCAAAGCTGAAGGATCATTTATCCATCAAGGAATACAGTTACCACTCTAGTTAGCTGAAGTTCTTTATGACTCAGGAACGTTTGCTAAGCAGGCTAACAAGATTAGTTTTGCTGACCCTGGTGGGACACATTAAATTTTAGATTAATGACTATATATCTTAAAAGAGTTGATCTTCCCAGCCGAGTGTGGTGGCTCACACCTATAATTCCAACACTTTGGGAGGCCAAGGCCTCGGGGGTCGGGGGGGCGGGGTGTGGATCACGAGGTCAGGAGTTCGAGACCAGCCTGGACAAGAAGGTGAAACCCCATCTTCTTTACTAAAAATACAAAAATTAGCACACAGTGGCAGGCACCTGTAATCACAACTACTCGGGAGGCTGAAGCAGGAGAATCACTTGAACCTGGGAGGCAGAGGTTGCAGTAAACCGAGATTGCGCCACTGCACTCTAGCCTGGGCGACAGAGCAAGACTCCGTCTCAAAAAAAGAGAGTTGATCTTCTCAACGACAACCTTAGTTCAAGTTACACTCGCTACTTAAATCTTCAGTCTACTCATAGAAATACATGTCATTGGCTTCTATTCCAAAGACTTTCGAACTTAATGGTTCCTAAAATGTGTAATTGTCTTTCCCAACCACCTTTTTAAAGATCATTGAACTTGATGGAAATCTTGAATTCTGTTATATTCTTGGGACTATTATAATATTTAACTCTTACAGATATTTAAAATGTTTCCATTTGGATTTTGGATGTCCCATATAAATTGATCTAACTTGCTGTTTCAACGTATAAAGTCACTCTACTGAAAGAAGAAAATCTGAAATGCATTACCGATTTCCATGACCTAATCACATAATTCTGAAAATAACTTAAACCTTTTTTGATGACTCAAGAGTACTACTATGAATGCATGTTATGTTAAAATCCTTTCAATGTGAATATCAGGTTGTAACTGACCCCAGTGTATAGGACAATTCCTATTTTTTTTTTAGATATAACTTTTTTTGAGACGGAGTTTCACTCTTGTTGCCCAGGCTGGAGTGCAATGGTGTGATCTGGGCTCACTGCAACCTCCGCCTCCCAGGGTCAAGCAATTCTCCTACCTCAGCCTCTCAAGCAGCTGGGATTACAGGCACCTGCCACCATGCCCGGCTAATTTTTTGTATTTTTAGTAGAGACGGGGTTTCACCATGTTGGTCAGGCTGGTCTCAAACTCCTGACCTCAGGTGATCCACCCGCCTCAGCTTCCCAAAGTGCTGGGATTACAGGTGTGAGCCACTGCGCCTGGCCTGAGATATAACTCTTACGCCATAAAATTTACCCATTTTAAAGTGTACAATTCAGTTTTTTGATATGGTCACAAAATTGTGCAACCATCATGACCCTCTTAACTCCAGAACATTTTCATCATTTGCATAAAGAAACCCCATGCCTGTTAACAGTCACTCCTATTCCCATGTCTCCCTAGCTCCTGATAACCCCTCATCTACTTCCTATGTGGATCTACCCATTCTGGGCATTTCATGTGAATAAAATCATAAATAAAATATGTATTTTTTATGACTAGTTTCTGTAACTTAGCATCAGGTTTTTTGTTTTTTAGACAAAGTCTCGTTCTGTCACCCAGGCTGGAGTGCAATGGCGCGATCTCGGCTCACTGCAAGCTCCGCCTCCTGGGTTCACGCCATTCTCCTGCCTCAGCCTCCCGAGTAGCTGGGATTACAGGCACCTGCCACCATGCCCGGCTAATTTTTTGTATTTTTAGTAGAGACAGGGTTTCACCGTGTTCGCCAGGATGGTCTCGGTCTCCTGACCTCATGATCCGCCCGCCTCGGCCTCCCAAGGTGCTGGGATTACAGGCATGAGCCACCACACCCAGACTTGTTTGTTTTTTAGAGACAGGATCTCACTGTCACCCATACTGGATTGTGGTGGCGTAATCCTGGCTCACTACATCCTTGACCTCCTGGGCTCAACCAGTCCTCTGCCTCAGTCTCCCAAGTAGCTGGGACTACAGGCTCACGCCACCGTTCCCAGCCAGCATGAGGTTTTTAAGGTTCACCCATGTTGTAGTATATACAGTCATATGTCACTTAATGATGGGGATATGTTCTGAGAAATGTGTTGTTAGGTGATTTTTGTTGTTGTGTGAACATCATAGAATGTACTTACACAAACCTGGCTGATATAGCCTACTACACGCCTAGGCTGTATGGTATAGCCTATGGCTCCTAGGCTACAATCCTGTATAGCATAATACTATAGGCATTTGTAAAACAATGGTAAGTATTTGTGTATCTAAACATATCTAAACACAGGAAAGCTGGGCACAGTGGCTCACGCCTGTAATCCCAGCACTTTGGGAGCCCAAGGTGGGTGGATCACCGAGGTCAGGAGTTCAAGACAAGCCTGGCCAACATGGCAAAACCCCGTCTCCACTAAAAGTACAAAAATTAGCCAGGCATGGCGGTGGGTGCCTGTAATCCCGGCTACTCAGGAGGCTGAGGCAGGAGAACTGCTTTAACCCAGGAGGCGAAGGTTGCAGTGACCTGAGATGGTGCTACTGCACTCCAGCCTGGGGGATAGAGCAAGACTTTGTCTACAAAAATAAATAAACAAATAAATAAACACAGGAAAGGTACAATAAAAATATGGTATTATAATCTTATGGGACCACCGTCGTATATGTAGTCAGTTGTTGACCAAAATGTTATGCGGCGCGTGACCATATCAGTACTTCATTCTTTTTATGGCCGAGTTACATTCCATTGTATGGGTATACCACATTTTGTTTACCCACCTGTCCGTCAGTGGACATTTGGATTGTTTCCACCTCTTAGCTGTTGCAAATAATGCTATTATAAACATTCGTGTATCAGTTTCTGTGTAGACGTATGTGTTCATTACTCTTGAATATATACCTAGGAGTGAAATTGCTGGGTCATATGATAACTCCATGTTTAATCATTTGAGGAACTCCCAGACTGTTTTCCAAAGTCGCTGTACCATTTTATATTTCCACCAGCAGTGTGTGAAGGTTCTTACTTATCTATACTCTGGCCAACACTTAGTATTTTCATGTTTTTTAAAAAATTATTATATCTCTGGAAAAACATGGAAAAAAAAGAAAATATAGAAAAAGAAGAAGAAAAAAATTTTAAAAAATTATTGTAGCAAACTATCCTAGTGGGTGTGAGGTAGTATCTCATTGTGATTTTGATTTGCATTTCTCTAATGATTAATGATGCTAAACATCTCTTCATGTGCTTATTTCTATTTGTCTTATTTAATCTTATTTATTTTAGCGATTATCTTATTTAATCCTCTTAACAGACTTCCTTAGAGCCTCTAAACAGTCAATAACCTCATTTTACAAAAAGGAAACGAATGCTTAGAGTTAAGTAACTTGACAAAGTCACACAGCTAATGATTGGTAGACCTATAATCCTGTGTTTCTTCTTTTTAAAATCCTTCAGAAGTGCCTCAGAACCCCCAAAACTGGAGGGGCTTCCAAGATCTAGCTCTTACATACTTTTCTAGTTTCATCTTCTGCCATCCTTCTGTAGGCCCACAGTCTCTAGCTATAGCAAACTTCTTACCATCCCCTAGGAGGCCATGCTGTTTAATACGCTGTTTTTGCCTTCCCATTTGGTGCTCTCTCTGGCTAGAACGCCTTTTGCCCTCTTTCTCATGTATAAACTTCTTTTCATCCTTCAAGACCCAACCTAAACGTTGAGCCTTTTGGAAATGTTTCTCAATACTACCAGGTACAATCATTTGCTTTCTTTGTTTTACAGTTCCCTTCTACTATGAGTATTTTCTTCATTGTATTGTCACTTTGTCTAGAAGTCTCTTCTCTTCCTGTCTCTTCTCTGACTCTCTCTCTCTCCTACTAGACAGTGAGCTGCTTGAAAGTGAGCACTGACCTTTGACATTTCATCACCTCTATATTCTCAGGACCAGGTATAGTCTGGTATAGAGTAGTTGCTCAATAAATATGTCTTGAATAAAATGCGTTTCACCTGCCAATTTGAGTATCTGCCCTTCTCATAAAAATAGAGTAAAAGGGCCACATACAGTGGCTCACACGTGTAATCCCAGCACTTTGGGAGGCCAAGGCGGGCAGATCACTTGAGGCCAGGAGTTTGAGACCAGCCTGGCCAACATGGCGAAACCCTGTCTCTGTTAAAAATATAATAATTAGCCAGGTGTGGTGGTGCGTGCCTGTAATCCCAGCTACTCAGGAGGCTGAGGCATGAGAATCACTTGAACCCAGGAGTGGCAGGTTGCAGTGAGCCAAGATCATGCCACTGCACTCCAGCCTGGGTAACAGAGTGAGACTCTGTCTCAAAAAAAAAAATAAATAAATAAATAAAAGATTTTTCTGTTAAAATATAGAAAGAGCCAGACATGGTGGTACACTGTTATAGTCCCACCTATGTGGGAGACTGAAGCAGGATCACTTGAGCCCCGGAGGCCAAGGCTGCAGTGAGCCAAGATCGTACCACTGCACTCCAGGCTGGTGGGACCTTGTCTCAAGAATTTAAAAAAGGAAAATATACTTCTGTGGAGTTCAGAACAATGTAAAATTAATGATTGTATCAAAAGATGAAGTTGTTTTCTTTCGGCTGTTTTTCTGACCCTTCAGAAAACCTCCATTGCTTTGAATCCTGTGGCTCTCAGCAGCATGTGAAACACGGAGGGCATAGCGGATGCCTTATATCACCTTCAGTTCCCTCTGTCTCCCTGGCGCTGTTGGACTAGGTCCAACATAAAATTCTTACAGTTCCAGAATATCTGGGGGAAGTTTTTTGTTTTTGTTTTTGAGACAGGGTCTTGCCCTGTTGCCCAGGCTGGAGTGCAGTGGCACAATCACAGCTCACTGCAGCCTCAGCCTCTCAGGCTCAAGTGATCCTCCCACCTCAGCCTACTGAGTAGCTGGGACCACAGGCATATACTACCACACACCTGGCTAATTTTTTAATTATTTGTAGAGATGAGGTCTCGCCATGTTGCCCAGGCTGGTCTCGAACTCCTGGGCTCAAGTGATCCTCCTGCCTGGGCCTTCCAAAGTGCTAGGATTATAGATATGAGCTACCATGCCCGGCTGGGGGAAGTTTTATTCCAAAATCTGCAATGTATTTTTCATCACCAGAAGATACCTCAGCAAACCAAACTAAGCCATAATTTTATCCATGACTTTTTAAATATATACATTAGAGTAGTATTCTAAGTATAAACAAATTTTCTTTTCTTTCTTTTTTTTTTTTTTTAGTAGAGATGGAGTCTTGCCCTGTTGCCCAGGCTAGAGTGCAGTGGCATGAGCATTGCTCACTGCAGCCTCGAACTCCTGGGCTCAAGGGATCTTCCCTCCTGCCTTAGCCTCCTGAGTAGCTGGGACTACAGGTTCGAGCCACTGTACTCAGCAACATTAAAACATAAACTTTTAGGTTGCAAATCTTATTTTAGGTTATAGATCTCATTCTCAGGCCACTGCACTCCAGCCTGAGTGACAGAGCAAGTCTGTATCTCAAAAAAAAAAAAAAAAAGAAAGAAAAAAAGGCAAAAATGGTTTCTCAAGAATAATTTGGCACACACTTGTATTCAGAAGGCTGAGGTGGGAGGATCACCTGAGCCCGGGGAGGTCAAGGCTGCAGTGAGCTGTGATCTCACCACTGCACTCCAGCCTGAGCAACAGAGAAAGATTCTGTCTAAAACAAAAAACAAACAAAGCAAAAAAAAAAAAAAAAAAAAAAAGACCAGGCGCAGTGGCTCACACTTGTAATCCCAGCACTTTGGGAGGCCGAGGCAGGTGGATCATGAGGTCAGGAGTTCGAGACCAGCCTGGTCAAAACAGTGAAACCCCCATCTCTACTAAAAATGCAAGAATTAGCTGGGCATGGTGGCCGGCACCTGTAATCCCAGCTACTTAGGAGGCTGAGACAGTAGAATCACTTGAACCCGGGAGGTAGAGGTTGCAGTGAGCCGAGATTGCACCACTGCACTCCAGCTTGGGCGACAGAGCTAGACTCCGTCTCAAATTAAAAAAAAAAAAAAAAAAAAAAAAAGAATAATCCTTCCTTAAGGTGAGGTCTGCAATTGACTAGTTGGAGTCGAGGGTTGCTATTCCCAGGTACACATGTAGTTTTGAAATGATCGCTCTCACTCTCTCTAGGTACATGAATATGATGAAACCAGTCAAAAAACATTTTTTTTTTCTGTATCCACATTTTTTGTTTTTGTTTTTGTTTTTGTTTTGAGACAGAGTCTCACTCAGCCGCCCAGGCTGGAGTGGAGTGGTGCAATCTCGGCTCACTGCAACCACCGTCTCCAGGGTTCAAGCGATTCTCCCGTCTCAGCCTCCTAAGTAGCTGGGATTACAGGCACCCGCCATCATGCCCGGCTAATTTTTGTATTTTAGTAGAGATGGGGTTTTGCCATGTTGGCCAGGCTGGTCTTGAACTCCTGACCTCAGGTGATAAACCCGCCTCAGCTTCCCAAAGTGCTAGGATTACAGGCGTGAGCCTCCTTTCTGTATCCCCATTTGTATAAGACAAGAAAATGTGTGGCAATAAAACTCTAAAATGTTTACATTTTGTACTCATTGAAAGCAGTGTTTTTAAATGTTTAGATAATTAATAATAATAATAATAGCTGACATTTATCAAGGGCTTGTTATAAGCCAGGCACTGTTATAAGCACGTTTCTTGGATTAGCTTCTAATATTCTCCATCTCGCAGCTCTGTAAGCTATAGGTATTATTATTGTCCCTGTATTAGTCCATGCTCTCATTGATAAAAAGAAATACCTGGCCGGGGCCAGGCACCGTGGCTCATGCCTGTAATCCCAGCACTTTGGGAGGCTGAGGCAGGCCGATCATGAGGTCAGGAGTTTGAGACCAGCCTAGCCAATATGGTGAAACTTCATCTCTACTGAAAATACAAAAATTAGCCGGGTATGGTGGCCCGCACCTGTAGTCCTAGCTACTCCAGAGGCAGAGACAGAATCGCTTGAACCCGGGAGGCAGAGGTTGCCATGAGCCGAGATCACGTCACTGCACTGCAACCTGGAGGGCAGAGTCAGACTCTGTCTCAAAACAAAACAAAACAAAACACCTCGCTGGGTGCTGTGGCTCATGCCTGTAATCCCAGCACTTTGGGAGGCCGAGGCGGGCGGATCACCTGAGGTCAGTAGTTCGAGACCAGCCTGGTCAACATGGTGAAACCCTGTCTCTACTAAAAATATAAAAATTAGCCACGCATGGTGGGATGTTCCTGTAATCCCGGCTACTTGGGGGGCTGAGGCAGGAGAATCGCTTGAACCCAAGAGGTAGAGGTTGCGGTGAGCCAAGATCACACCGTTGCACTCCAGCCTGGGCAACGAGTAAAACTCCGTCTCAAAAAAAAAAAAAAAGACTGCCCAACAGGCCCCCCAGGGAGGGAATCAGGAGGCTGCCAATGACATTGCTAGTGTAATTTAAGGGTCGACTAACTGCTATAGGCCATGCGCAGTGTAATCCAGCACTTTGAGAGGCCAAAGTGGGAGGATCCCCTTGAGCCTAGGAGTTCGAGTTTACGGTGAGCTGGGAGTGCACCACTGCACTTCAGCACTTCATCCTGGATGACAGAGTGAGACCCTGCCTCTGAAAATAAATAAAAGGAAACAACCCTGCTACCCCTGAACTTCCCCTGAACTCCTACCAAATAGTGACTCCTGTCTTCACCATGTTTGTCTTTTGACAATCATGAAGCTTTTGACACTGGAATGCTGCTATGAGAAAAAAATACAATGTTTCCATAAATGTGCTTGCCAGCATTAACAGCCAAAACAGAAGAAAGATGGTTCCCACCTCATTTCTGCCTTCCGGATCTCACAGAACATCTCATTGATAGGCCACATTTCACATGGGGAAACTGAATTGTAAAGGAGTCTGGGAAATGTACTTTTTAGTTTCCAGAAGGAAGTTAGGAAAGGATGTTGATGCCGGTCGTGGTGGCTCATGCCTGTAATCTTAGCACTTTGGGAGGCCGAGGTGGGCGGATCTCTTGAGCCCAGGAGTTCAAGACCAGCCTGGGCAATATATCGAGACCCTTTAAAAAAAGGATCCTGAGTGTCCATCCACAGATCAACTCTAATATCTGCTAGAGTGGAACTTGGTGTCATCTGAAAAAAATAGCATTCCATCAGCATGTAAAAATTGTTTAGGGCACAGACCATGCTCAGAAATCAGTTCTTTTGGCCAGGTGCAGTGGCTCACACCTGTAATCCCAACACTTTGGGAGGCCAAGGTGGTGGGTGGATTGCTTGAGTCCAGGAGTTCGAGACCACCCTGGGCAACGTGGTGAGACCCCATCTCTACAAAAAATACAAAAAAAATAGCCAGGTGTGGTGGTACACGTCTGTGGTCCCAGCTCCTCGGAAGGCTGATGTGCAAGCATCAGCTCCCTTGAACCTGGGAGGCAGAGGTTGCAGTGAGCCAAGATCGTGCCACTGTACTCCAGCCTAGGTGAGAATGAGACCCTGTAGCAAAAACAAAAAGAAAAAGGAAAAAGAGATCAGTTCTCTTAAAAAGCCACAAATTAGGCCAGGCGTGTTGGGTCACGCCTGTAATCCCAGCACTTTGGGAGGCCGAGGCAGGCGGATCACAAGGTCAGGAGTTCGAGACCAGCTTGGCCAATATGGTGAAACCCCGCCTCTACTAAAAATACAAAAATTAGGCGGGTGTGGTGGCAGGCTCCTGCAGTCCCAGCTACTTGGGAGGCTGAGGCAGGAGAATCGCTTGAACCCGGGAGGCGGAGGTTGCAGTGAGCCAAGATCGCGCCATTGCACTCCAGCCGGGGCAACAGGAGCGAGACTCCGTCTCAAAAAAAAAAAAAAAAAGCCACAAATTACCACCGTACACACCCAGTACGCTGGACAGTAGTTAATATGCCCTTAAGTGGCAGTGTTGAAGCAGTGAAGCAATCCAAGTAAATGCCATTCTCTGAATGCCCTTCTAACTCATTAGGGCTAGGTGACAGATGAGCTTTTAGTGTGGCAACGGGTTGTTCTCAAAAATTATTAATTTTGGGCCAGGCACAGTGGCTCATGCCTATTATTCCAACAAGGTGGGAGGATCACTTGAGCCTAGGATTTCAAGACCAGCCTGGGCAACATGGAAAAACCCTGTCTCTACAAAAATACAAAATTTAGCCTGGTAAACCTCTAGTCTCAGCTACTCAGAAGGCTAAGGCTGGAGGATCACTTGAGCCTGAGAGGTCAGGGCCATAATGAGCCATGGTCACACCACTGCATTCCAGCCTGAGTGACAGAGTGAGACTCTCTCTCAAAAAAAAAAGTGCTGGGTATGGTGGCTCATGCCTGTAATCCCAGCAATTTGGGAGGCTGAGGCGGGTGGTTCACCTGAGGTTGGGAGTTTGAGACCGCCTGACTAACATGGAGAAATACCATCTCTACTAAAAATACAAAATGAGCCGGGTGTGGTGGTGCATACCTGTAATCCCGCTACTCGGCAGGCTGAGGCAGGATCACTTGAACCCGGGAGGCAGAGTTTGTGGTGAGCCAAGATCATACCATTGCACTTCAGCCTGGGCAACAAGAGCGAAACTCCATCTAAAAAAAAATAAAAAGTTATTTCAGTTTGTTTTCGTATTTATTTATTTAGAGATAGGTCTCACTATGTTCCCTACGCTGGTCTGGAATTCCTGGCTTCAGGTGACCTTCTTGCTTCTGCCTCCTGAAATGCTGGGATTACAGGCATGAGCCACTGGGCCCAGCTCCTCTTCTTTATACTTACCTGTACTTTCTTTTTTTTTCAAGATATGTTGAATTTTTAAAGCTATTCTGTTCAGTTTTCTTCTAAAACACATTGATGACATTTGGAGGAAAAGAGCAATAGGACTTACTATCTTGGTATCATCTGCTGGCCTGCCTTTGAATAGTGTTGTCTTAAGTTTATTTTCTTGTCAAAGTTAAAAAGTATGTTTGGTCCAGGGACAGTGGCTCATGCCTATAATTTCAGCACTTTTGGAGGCCGAAGTGGGGGGATCGCTTGAGCCCGGGAGTTTGAGACCAGCCTGGGCAACATGACGAAACCTCATCTTTCTAAAAAATACAAAAATTAGCCAAGCTTGGTGGTGGGTACTTGTAGTCCCAACTACTTGGTAGACTGAAGAGGGAGAATCACTTAAGCCTGGGAGATCAAGGCTGCAGTGAGCCGTGATTGTGCCACTGCACTCTAGCCTGAGTGACAAAGTGAGACTGTCTCAAAAAATAAACCAAATGGCCAGGCGTGGTGGCTCACGCCTGTAATCTCAGCACTTTGGGAGGCCCAGGCAGGAAGATTGCCTGAGGTCGGTCAGGATTTCGAGACCAGTCTGGCCAACACGGAAAAACTCCGTCTCTACTAAAAATACAAAAATATTAGCCAGGCGTGATGGTGTGTGCCGGTAATCCCAGCTACTCGGGAGGCTGAGGCAGGGGAATTGCTCAAACCAGGGAGGCGGAGGTTGCAGTGAGCCGAGATCACGCCATTTCACTCCAGCCTGGGCGACAGAGTGAGACTCCATCTCAAAAACACCAAAACGAAACGAAAAAAAGGATTGCTTTTGATTTGCCATAATATATTTTAATATTGGAAATCTCTTATAAACTTTAATATTAAGATTGAGGTTAAAAAGTTATATATATAAAACATAAAAATATGTATATAAAATGTATATATGTCTTTAAAAAGAGTTCCAAGCCAATTTGAAGCCAAATGATCATTCTATTATTAATAATATTAATGATTTATTTATATTGTATATTATATTTTAAATCATATATTACATATTTGTTCTATATTATATATTAATATTAATTATTAATGATTTTCTATTAACTATTATTAACTATTACTAATAATAATTTGTGCCAGATCATCTATTTTTACATGTTAAAAATTGTATCTGACAGAGGCTCTTATATAATTTTTTTTTTTTTGAGACGAAGTCTTGCTCTGTCACCCAGGCTGGCATGCAGTGGCACAGTCTCAGCTCACTGCAGCCTCCGCCTCCCGAGTTCAAGCAATTCTCCCTCCTCAGCCTCCTGAGTAGCTGGGATTACAGGCACCTGCCACCATGCCCAGCTAATTTTTGTATACTTAATAGAGATGGGGTTTCACCATATTGGCCAGGCTGGTCTCAAACTCCTGACCTCAGGTTATCTGCCCGCGTTGGCCTCCCAGAGTGTTGGGATTACAGGTGTGAGCTACTGTGCCTGGCCCTTATATAGTTTATTTAAATAAATATTATGTACCTTAGCAGATCTTTCTGCCTCTTATGACAAAAGTACATTATAAATATCTGTTTTCTCTCTCTACAGGACAATCCTCCAAACACAGACTGTTTGACTTAGAATCTTCCCTTTTTTACTCCATTCAAGAGCAGCATTCATAAATTTCCAGGTATGACAAATTTTAATTCTTCATCTACCTCACTTAAATGCATAGATAAAAAGTAGAATTCTGGGGCCGGGCGCGGTGGCTCACGCCTATAATCCCAGCACTTTGGGAGGTCAAGGCAGACAGATCACCTGAGGTCGGGAGTTCGAGACCAACCTGACCAAGATGGAGAAACCCTGTCTCTACTGAAAATACAAAATTAGCCAGGCATGGTGGCACATGCCTGTAATCCCAGCTACTTGGGAGGCTGAGGCAGGAGAATTGCTTGAACCCGGGAGGTGGAGGTTGCGGTGAACCAAGATGGCACCATTGCACTCCAGCCTGGGCAACAAGAGCGAAACTCTGTCTCAAAAAAAAAAAAAAAAAAAGGTAGAATTTTGGGCCGGGTACGGTGGCTCACGCCTGTAATCCCAGCACTTTGGGAGGCCAAGGCAGGAGGATCACCTGAAGTCTGGAGTTTGAGACCAATCTGGCCAACATGGCAAAACCCCATCTCTATTAAAAATACAAAAATTAGCCGGGCGTGGTGCTGGGCGCCTATAATCCCAGGTGCTTGTGAGGCTGAGACAGGAGAATCACTTCAATCCGGGCAGCGGACGTTGCAGTGAGCCAAGATCACACCAGTGCACTCCAGCCTGGGCAACAGAGCAAGACTGTCTCCAAAAAAAAAAAAAAAAAAAAGGGTAAAATTTTGTAGTTGTAGATTTTATATATCAGAGAATGGATTTATTTCTTGGAAATTCACTGTCTAAGATGTTCAGCGTTCTGATTTTTTTGGTCTCCCTGTTCACTGATTGCTAATTTTTTTTAATGACATCTTTATTTTGAATACTCTCTTAAGGAGGTGTAGTGTATCCTTATGAATGTGGGCCGAATTTCTTTTTTTAACACCCAGCATACATATTTGAACTACATTTTAATCTTTTATTTATTTATTTATTTATTTATTTATTTATTTATTTATTTATTTATTTATTTTTGAGATGTAGTCTGGCTCTGTCGGCCAGACTGGAGTGCAGAGGCAACCTCCACCTCCCAGGTTCAAGCAGTTCTGCCTCAGCCTCCAGAGTAACTGGGATTACAGGCACCTGCCACCAAGCCTGGCTAATTTATGTATTTTTAGTAGAGACTGGGTTTCACCATGTTGGTCAGGCTGGTCTCGAACTCCTGACCTCAGGTGATCCACCCACCTTGGCCTCCCAAAGCGCTGGGATTACAGGCCTGAGCCACCGCACCCGGCTTTATCTTTTTTTTAAACTGGGATCCAGGCAATTGTATGGAACTACATTTTTTAATTCACTGCCTCTCTTGTGTATGTATTTCTCCCATTCTAACTTAATCACATACTCGTATTATTAAGAACTGGAGATTATCTAGATCAGTCCTTTTAATTTGCAGAGAAGGATGTTAAGCCTAGAAACATGAGTTACTTGCCCATGGACATAATGCTAATTTAGTGGTAGAACCAGTGTCAGAATTCTGACCTCCCACAGCTGCATCGTGCAGCCTTGGCGTCACTGTCTGGGTTAAAGCCCTTTTCTGTAAAATGGGGATAATAATACCATCTCCCAGCTAGGTGTAGTGGCTCACGCCTGTAATCCCAGCACTTTGGGAGGCCGAGGCGGGCAGATCACAAGGTCAGGAGATCGAGACCATCCTGGCTAACACGGTGAAAACCTGTCTCTACTAGAAATAGAAAAAATTAGCCGGGCGTGGTGGCAGGCGCCTGTAGTCCCAGCTACATGGGAGGCTGAGGCAGGAGAATGGCGTGAACCCGGGAGACGGAGCTTGCAGTGAGCTGAGACGGTGCCACTGCACTCCAGCCTGGGCGACAGAGCGACACTCTGTCTCAAAAATAATAATAATAATACCATCTCCCCAATAGGTTGCATATGAGGATTAAATGAGACAATGCAGGTAGCTGCTTTATTACTGCCTGTTGGCCCTTTAACCCCTGTACTGCATCTGTCTTGAAATTCTCCACCCTTGGCTAATGTGTCACAAAGCTCTCTTCATTCTCCCTGTAATTTCTTGTCTGTAACACTGGCATCTTTTCCCCATCCTGCCGCACAATCATGGGCAATCCTCCAGGTTCCCCTCTCAGCCCATGCTTCCTCTGAGCCCCTTCATTTCTGCTAACAGCCTAATTGCTATTTGCAGATTCTCTTACTCCTCTATCTTCAACTCTGAGTGTCCCTGTGAACTTCAGACCAGCATTTCTAGTGGCCTCCTGTCCATATCTACCTGATTTCCCATTCCTCTGAAATCCAACATACATAAAACCAAAGTTGTTGCTTTTCTTCTAAACCAGTTATTTCTCTGGACTCTGGACTTCCCAATTTCTTGTTTCAAATTTAAAAAAAAATTTAATTTTAATTTAATTTTTTTTTTTTGAGACACTTGTCTGTGTGCCCAGGCTGGAGTGCAGTGGAGCAATCACTGCTCACTGCAGCCTCAACCTCCTGGGCTCAAGTGACGCTCCCACCTCAGCCTCCCAAGTAGCTGGGACTACAGGCACATGCAATTTTTTATTTTTATTTATTTATTTTTTTCTGAGACAGAGTCTCACTCTGTCCCCCAGGCTGGAGTGCAGTAACGTGATCTCAGCTCACTGCAACCTCCACCTCCCGGGTTCAAGCGATTCTCCTGCCTCAGCCTCCTGAGTAGCTAGGATTACAGGCGTGCGCCACTGTGGCTAATTGTTATATTTTTAGTAGAGACAGGGTTTCACCATGTTGGCCAGGCTGGTCTCGAACTCCTGACCTCGTGATCCACTCACCTCAGCCTCCCAAAGTGCTAGGATGACAGGTGTGATCTACCATGCCCGGCCACAATTTTTTATTTTTTAGAGACAGGGTCTTGCTCTGTTGCCCAGGCTGACGTGCAGTGGTATTACCATAGCTCACTGCAGCCTCCAACTCCTGGGCCTAAGCAATCCACTGTCTGTGCCTCCCAAGTAGCTGGGACCACAGGCATGCACCATCATGCCCAGCCAATTTTTAAAAATCTATTCTGCCATCCTGGTCTCAAACTTAATTTAAGAAAAAGCAAGGTATAGGGCCGGGCACAGTGGCTCACGCCTGTAATCCCAGCACTTTGGGAGGCCGAGGCAAGGTAGATCATGAGGTCAAGATATCAAGACAGTTCCAGCCAACATAGTGAAACCCTGTCTGTACTAAAAATACAGAAATTAGCCGGGCGTGGTGGCGGGCACCTCTAGTCCCAGCTACTCGGGAGGCTGAGGCAGAAGAATCATTTGAACCTGGGAGGCGGAGGTTGCAGTGAGCCGAGATTGTGCCATTGCACTTCAGTCTGGGGACAGAGCAAGACTCTGTCTCAACAAAAAAAACAAAAAAGAAAAAGCAAGGTATAGACCAATATATATAATACAAGGGAACTTAACTTTCTTAATTTTCCGTGTCAGTAGAGTGTTTTCTTATTTTTGAATCATACGCATTCAAGGGTGAAAGGGAAGGGGAAAAGACCAGTTGCGGTGGCTCACACCTGTAATCCCATCACTTTGGGAGTCCAAGGCAGGTGGATCACTTGAGGTCAGGAGTTCGAGAACAGCCTGGCCAACATAGTGAAACCCCGTCTCTACTAAAAATACAAAAATTAACCGGGCGTGATGGTGTGCGCCTGTAGTCCCAGCTACTTGGGAAGCTGAGGCAGGAGAATCACTTGAACCTGGGAGGCAGAGGTTGCAGTGAGCCAAGGTCATGCCATTGCACTCCAGCCTGGGCAACAGAGCCAGACTCCCATCTCAAAAAGATGATGTGAGAACTATATAAATAATTTGTGTTTCTCTGGGATTTTGTTTTTGTTTGTTTTTGTTTTGCCTTGGATTCTAGGGCAAATAATGCTAAATGTAAATGTATAGAAACCATCTCATTAACATTTAATTTAAATAAACATTAAATAACATTTAATTTAAATAAAATGTTGCTTGGTCTGTCCCTGAGGCTAAAGGGCTAAAGGGCAGTGGCATAATCCGAACTCGCTGCAGCCTCCAACTCCTGGGCTCAAGTGATCCTCCCACCTCAGCCCCCAAGTAGCTGGGACTACAGGCCCATGCCACCATACCCAGCTAGTTTTTATATTTTTTTTTGTAGAGATGAGGTTTCACCATGTTGCCCAGGCTAGTCTCAAACTCCTGAGCTCAAACATCTACCTGCTTCAGCCTCCCAAAGTGCTGGGATTATAGGTGTAAGCCACCGCGCCTGGTCCATTTTACCAAACTCTTATCATCAGTTATTAAAATCTTTCAAATGCCACCCTCTGTTGATGATTTCTAAATCTTTATCTCCAGCCTAGATTTCCTGAGCGTATATCCAGACATCCATAATATACTGACTTCATGCTCAGTGAGCAACATTTTGATGACTGACTTTCCACATCACTTCCTCATAAGGAAAGGAGAATATGTTGGTCAGTGGAAAACAAATATCTGTCCCTTTGATGTTTACATATTTCATCATAATTTGTAAAATGGCCTTGTGTCTTTCTTGTATATATGGTATATCTGACATATCACATACACATATATAACATATATAGACCTATATATAAACTCTGTGAGCTTGATTAAAGACAGAGGATGGGGGAAAAGGAGGGAAGTAGGGAAGTAGGAAGGCATTTGCCTCTAAGAAACAGATCATCTTTTTGTGGAACAAAATTACGTTTCTGATCAGTTTCTGAAAATCAAACCTTAAACAAGAGGTAACAGTGTAAATGCTACCAATCATTTATCTTAGCATCTAGCCACCTGGCCATTTTCTCTTTTTTTCTTCCTGTCTCACCCCTCCCTCCTTCTTATCTACAGTAGTTAGCTACTTAGAGAAAAATTTAGATCTTCTCATCACACAGTACACCAAATACTTTCTAGAAGAGCTAAGTATTAAACACACACACACACACACACACACACACACACACACAAATGGAAGTAAATTATTCATCAAACATCTGGAGGTGGGAAGATATCCTGAGAGTAGACCACATTGAAAAGAAATCATGTAGGGAGCTTTCAACATGTGCCATTCATTTACTTATTCGTTTGTTAGTCTCCAAGTCTGAAGGATATAGATATGGAGGCAGAGAAAGGAAAGGTTTGGCCTGGGATGGTTCCTGGGTCCTGGATTAGGCACTGGAGGAAAATAGTGGTACTAATTCCCAAGAAAGGAGACACAGATGAAGGAGTACATTTCAGCGGTTAAGAAAAGGCTGCAATAAGAAGTTTGGAATTCAGTAAGTTTGAGGTTATCTTCTGTATCTAACTGGTGATTGATGACAATGATGATAAGAATTATAACAGCGGTTCATATATTATTGAGCAGCTACAATGTCCCAGGCGCCTGCAGAGTTCTTGACATTTACAATGTTGCGTTGAATCTACAATTCCTTGAAGTAGGTACTGTACTCTTATAAACCCCCATTTATAGGTTAGGAAATGGATGTGTAAACCACAGCAGAGCCGGGGTTTAGATTCACTTTGATGGCATAGCCCATGTGTTTACCCACTGTTATTTATGCTGCTTCCAAGTCCTGCTGATTTTACCTCTGGCTTATCTCTGTCTACTTCTTTCTTTTTTTGAGATGGTGTCTGGCTCTGCCACCCAGGCTGGAGTGCAATGGCGTGATCTCAGCTCACTGCAACCTCTGCTTCCCGGGTTCAAGCCTTTTTCGTGCCTCAGCCTCCCTAGTAGCTGGAATTACAGGCACCCGCCACCACACCTGGCTAATTTTTCTATTTTTAGTAGAGATGGGATTTCACCAAGTTGGCCAGGCTGGTCTCAAACTCCTGACCTCCAGTGAGCCACCTGCCTTGGCCTTGTCTGCTTATTTTCATCACCACTACTGTGGTTTAAATGTTGGTCCCCTTCAAAACTCATGTTGGAACTTAATCCTCAAGGTGACAGTATTTTTTTGTTTTGTTTTGTTTTTTGAGACAGAGTCTTACTGTGTCACCCAGGCTGGAGTGCAGTGGCATGATCACGGCTCGCTGCAGCCTCAACCTCCCCAAGCTCAGGTGATCCTCCTACCGCACCCTCCTGAGTACCTGGGACTACAGGTACATGCCACCATGCCTGGGTAATTTTTGTATTTTTTGTAGTAATGGGGTTTCGCCATGTTGCCCAGGCTGGTCTCCAACTCCAGGGCTCAAGCGATTTGCCTGCCTTGGCCTCTCAAAGTCCTGGGATTACAAGCATGAGCCACTATGCGTGGCACAATGTGGCAGTACTGAGAGGTGGGGCCATTAAGAGGTGATTGGGTTATGAAGGATTAATGGGTTATCATGGGAGGAACTAGTGGTTTTATAAGAAGAGGAAGGGAGATATGAGCACGCTCAGCCCCCTTGCCACCTGTACTAGTCCGTTCTTGCATTGCTATAAAGAAATACCTGAGACTGGGTAATTTATAAAGAATAGAGGTTTAATTGGCTCACAGTTCTGCAGGCTGTACAGGAAGCATAGTAGCTTCTGCTTCTGGGGAGGCCTCAGGAAGCTTCCAGTTACGGTGGAAGACATAGGAGGAGCAGGCATCTTCACATGGCTGGAGTGGGCGGAAGAGAGGTGCCACACATTTTCACACAACCAGATCTCATGAGAACTCACTCACTATACAGTATCAAGGGGGGATGGTGCTAAACCATCATGAGAACTCTGCCCCAATGGTCCAATCGCCTCACATTAGGCCCCACATCCAACACTGGGGATTACAATTCGACATGAGATTTGGCCAGGGACACAGATTCAAACTATATCACTACTGATCCTTCTGCACTGTCCCAGGACTCCACAAAGAGTCTCCACCAGCAAGAAAGCCCTCGCCAAGTGTGGACCCTTGACCTGGGATGTCTCAGCCTTCAGAACTGTAATACATAAATTTCATTTATTTGTCTTCTTTTCCTTTCTCTTCTTCCTGATTTTTTTCTGCTTTTTTTCCTTTTCTTTATAAATTACCCAGTTTCAGCGTTTTTTGTTGTTGTTGTTGTTATAAGTAACAGAAAACAGACTCATACCACCATACCACTACCTACAACTACTTCCGTTCTTTCTTTTTTCTTTTCTTTTCTTTCTTTTTTTTTTTTTTTTTTTTTTTTGAGATGTAGTCTCACTCTCACCCAGGCTGGAGAAGTTCAGTGGTGCAACTTCAGTTCATTGCAGCCTCTGCCTACCAAGTTCAAGCAATTCTCCCACCTCAGCCTCCTGAGTAGCTAAGATTACAGTAGGTACATGCCACTATGCCTGGCTAATTTTTCTATTTTTAGTAGAGACAGGGTTTCACCATGTTGTCCAGGCTGGTCTCAAACTCCTGACCTCAAGTGATCTGCCCACCTTGGCCTCCCAAAGTGCTGGGATTACAGGCATGAGCCACCATGCCCAGCCCAACCTCTTCCATTTCTACCCCTACCATTTTGTCTAGATTACAACTGCCTCCTGCCTGGTCTCACTGCCAATGATGTTCTTACTGCTCTCTGATTTGATCAAATACTAAATCGCCTCTCTCCTTTGCATAGAACCCCTTAATGTCCCCCACCCCCACCCCAATGCTTACAGGGTCTAATCCAAACTCTTTAATGAAGCAAATAAGGTGCTCCACCCATTTCTCACCATCTCTTTTGCACCCTGTGCTCCAGCCATATTGAACAACTTACTTCCTATTTTGTGATTATACCAGTCTGTGCCTTGGCTCAAACTATATCTTCTGCCTAGAATGCTTTTCCTCTTCTTTTTTTCTGAGTGAAAACCTACTTGCCTTTCAAGCATCTACCCTAGCATCACATCACCTACGAAGCAACGTACGTTGATTCTTCTCCCACAGTTCTGGAGGCTAAACTCTGAAATCAACGTGTTGACAGCGCCATGCTGCCTCTGAAGGTTGTAGGGCAGAGTCCTTCCTTGCCTCTTCCTAGCTTCTGGTGGGTGCCAGCAATCCTTGGCATTCCTTCTGTTGTAGCTCCATCATTCCAGCCTCTGCTTCTGTCTTCACGTGGTGCTCTTCCTTCTGTGTTTGTGGTTTTGTTTTTGTTTTTGTTTTTGTTTTTTTGAGACCAGCCTGTTGCCTAGGTTGGTCTTGAACTCCTGGCCTCAAGCAGTCTGCCCTTCCTTGGCCTCCCAAAGTGCTAGGATTACAGGTGTGAGCCACCTCACCCAGCCCCTGTATGTGTCTTCTCAGTGTCCTCCTTTCTCCAGATCTCTCCTTATAATGATACCACCCTAATCCAGGATGACCTCATCTTAACTTGATTATATCTGCAAAGACCCTATTTGCAAATTAAGGTCTCCAGTGTAGGTACCAGGTTTAAGACTTCAGCATATAATTTTGGGGGGCACAACTCAATCCCATGTCTCACATGCGGGAGCAGGAGCAAGAGAGAGAGTGGAAGGAGGTGGTACATACTTTTTTATTTTTTATTTATTTTTATTTGAGACACAGTCTCAGTTTGCCATCCAGGCTAGAGTGCAGTGATGTGATCATGGCTCACTGCAGCCTCGAACTCCTGGGCTCACACGAATCTCCTGCCTCAGCCTCCAAACTATAGGAGGCCACCACACCCAGCCAATTTTTTAATTTTTGTTTGTTTTTTTTTTTTTTTGTAGAAACGGGGTCTCACTATGTTGCTCAGGCTGGTCTTGAACTCCTGGGCTCAAACAATCCTTCTACCTCAGTCTCCTAAAGTGTTGGGAGTATAGGCATGAGCCACCCTGCCCAGCCCCTGAGCTATTTTTTAAAATTATTTTTTGAGATGGAGTTTTGCTCTTGTTGCCTTGCCCAGGCTGGGGTGCCATGGTGTGATCTCAGCTCACCACAACCTCCGCCTCCTGGGTTCAAGCAATTCTCCTGCCTCAGCCTCCCGAGTAGCTGGGATTACAAGGATGCGCCACCACGCCTGGCTAATTTTGTATTTTTAGTAGAGATGGGGTTTCTCCATGTTGGTCAGGCTGGTCTCAAACTCCTGACCTCAGGTGATCCGCCTGCCTCGGCCTCCTAAAGTGCTGGGATTATAGGCCTGAGCCACCGCGTCCGGCTTTTTTTTTTTTTTTTTTTTTTGATGAGACGAGTCTTCGCTCTGTCACCCAGGCTGGAGTGCAGTGGCGTGATCTCAGCTCACTGCAATCTCCACCTCGCTGATTCAAGCGATTCTCCTGCCTTGCCTCAGCCTCCCATGTAGCTGAGATTATAGGTGCCCACCACCACACCCAGCTAATTTTTTTGTATTTTAGTAGAGACGGGGTTTCACCATGTTAGCCAGGCTGGTTTCAGACTCCTGACCTCAAGTGATCCACCCACCTCAGCTTCCCAAAGTGCTAGGATTACAGGCATGAGCCACCACTCCCAGCCTTGAGCTATTTTTAAGTACTGAAATGTTTTTATGTATAAACTGTTATTTTGGTATTATAAAATGTAAATCATTTATATTATAAGACATGTCCACAGAGTTATATACTGCATTTGGGATTTAGGTTTCATTTCAAACAAGGGTACATTTTTAAAGTAGGTATACTGAGTACCTCATTCTTTATTTCACATCCTTACAAGGTACTTTATTGTTTTAACTCTTATTTTCTGTTTCTTATAAGATTAGTTATCTTTTTCAGGGATTATTAGTTGTTTGCATTTCCCCCAGAGGCAAATCATCTACTGCCAGAGGCTCCTGATAGAATCACGTGAGAATGAGGTTGGGGGTGGGAAGACATTAAGAGAAGCAAGACCAGGCACGATGGCTCACCCTGTAATCCCAGCAGTTTGGGAGGCCAAGGCGGGAGGATCCCGTGGGCCCAGGAGTTTGAGGTTGCAGTGAGCTATGATCACACCAAGGAAAGGGAGTTAATGAGGAAAAGTTGTAAGACCTGATTCCCCACCCTACAGGATTTCTCTCCTTTTCCCCCCTAGGGCTGACACCTTCTTTTTCTTTTTCTTTCTTTTTTTTCTTTTTTTTGAAACAAGGTCTCACTTTGTCACCCAGGCTGGAGTGCAATGATGTGATCTCAGCTCAGTGCAGCCTCCGCCTCCTGGATTCAAGCAATTCTCTTGCCTTAACCTCCCAAGTAGCTGGTATTACAGGCGCCCGCCACCACACCCAGCTAATTTTTGTGTGTGTGTGTCTTTTTAGTAGAGATGGAGTTTCATCATCTTGGCCAGGCTGGTCTCGAACTCCTGACCTCGGGTGATCTGCCCACCTCAGCCTCCCAAAGTTCTGGGATCACAGGCATAAGCCACCACGCCCAGCCACCTTCTTCCTAAGGATAATTTATTTTAGACAGGCTCTTCTTCCCCAGTCACCTTACTCTCAAGCCAGAGGGGTTGAGGAAGCCCCATCATAGAACCTAGTCATCTCTTAGGTGGAATGGCCTCTGAGACAAAACATTAAAGAGGATGGGGAGTACATCTTGCTTCTTAATAATGTTATTGATACCAGAGCTGTATTTTGACATTATGCAAAATTGATACTGAGATGCCAGCAAGGTCATTTTATCTCAGTTTTGCAACAGCTAATTTGAAACCATGGGCACGGTGAGCAGACTGCATGCTGTCACTGGTCCTGAGGACATTGCAGTATTTGAATGGTGAGAAGTGACAGCACTCAGAAAGGGACACACCAGATTTCTATGGCTTCTTTACCCTAGGGTCTCAAAGGACATTACTGCTTTATTTCTCATTCCTTAGAAAATAGTGCACCAGAATAACTCATCCCTAAGAACTCAAGATGATTGGTATTTTACCATTTTTACTCCATCCCAGTGCCAAGCTTCAGTGTTTCTCTAGTGTAATTGATACATCAGAATTTTTACGTTATAAGCTGTGATAAAACCGTAATACTTTTGGGCCACTTTAAGTCTGGAGCTTTTATGATTTCACATTGAAAAAAAGTCTGGAGCTTTATTAGGTAAGTGGAAATGTAACACAGATGTCTGGGTAATGGAAGCCAATAGCCTGTTTTTAACAGAATTATTCTTTAAAAGCAGAATGAAATTCCCTCTCTAGAATTTAGGGGTATAAATTCTCTATCCTCAGCCTTTGACCTATAACCTCTTCAGGAAAAAGGATTCATCTCTCTGTCTCTAATCTTTCACCAAAATACCAAATAATTAAGCACACATGTTCAATAGCAAAATATACCTAAAACAATTAATACACAAAGTAGAACCAATAGTTTCTCTCATTTTTAGAGTATCTAAAAAAAAAAACCCAACAACTTATGCTGGCATTTTATAGTATAACTTGATTTATTTCAGGATCTCATTGTAACAAACAGGAACACATGTAGTATATCATTTAACTGCAGCAAAATTGTTTAAAAGTGTTGAAGTTGGAACAATCCTCAGAGATCATACAGTCCCACCTCCTACCAAATGCAGTCACCCAAAATCAATGACATTCCACCTCTGCTACAATGGTAGCATAGGAAGTGTTACTTTGCAAAGTGACTAATTCTGTTGTTCATCAGTTTGGCCCAGTGTTTCTCAAATTTTTCTTACCAAAACCCACAGTAAGAAATACATTTTGGCTGGGTGCAGTGGCTCATGCCTGTAATCCCAACACTTTGGGAAGCCAAGGTGAGTTGATTGCTTGAGCTCAGGAGTTTGAGACTGCCTCGGTAAGGTGGCAAAACCCCATCTTTACAAAAAAACACAAACATTAACCAGGCATGGTGGCATGTGCCTGGAGTCCCAGCCAGGAGACTGAGGTTGAAAGATTGCTTGAGCCCAGGACACTGAGGCTGCAGTGAGCCGTGATCATGCCATTGCACTCCAGGCTGGGCGACAGGGCAAGACCCTGTCCCCTCCCCCCAAAAAAAGAAAAGAAAAAAAGAAATCCGTTTTAAGGCTGGGCACAGTGGGTCATGCCTGCCCATAATCCCTGCACTTTGGGAGGCCCAGGCTGGAGGATTGCTTGAGGCTGGGAGTTAAAGATCAACCTGAGCAACATAGCAAGACCGTGTCTCTACAAAATAATTAAAAAATTAGCTGGGCGTGGTGGCATGCCCTGTAACCCCAGCTACTCAGGAGGCTGAGGTGAGAGGACCTCTTGAGCCCAGGAGTCTGAGGCTGCAGTAAGCTGTGATCACCTACTGCAGTCCAACCTGGGTGACAGATTGAGACCGTCTTTAAAAAATTTTTTTTAATTAAAAATAAATAAATAGCTGTTCTTTATGAGCTCAAATTCATTTCCCTTTAGTCCTATATTTTGGTCCATTTCCTTTTTAGTGAATATTTATTCATTCAACAAATACTGACTGAGCATCTGTATGCTGGACATTATGCACTGTGCTAGGGATGCTGAGGTGGAAAAAACAGAGACTCATACCTTTTGGAGCTTAGATTCTAGTGCTTAGTCTAGAAGCCTAGTCTGCTAGACCAATTAAGAGAATAATTCTGGCCGGGCACCGTGGCTCACGCCTGTAATCTCAGCACTTTGGGAGGCTGAGGCAGGCAGATCATGACGTCAGGAGATCGAGACCATCCTGGCTAACATGGTGAAACCCAGTCTCTACTAAAAATACAAAAAAATTAGCCAGGCGTGGTGGCGGGCACCTGTAGTCCCAGCTACTTGGGAGGCTGAAGCAGGAGAATGGCGTGAACCCAGGAGGCGGAGCTTGCAGTGAGCCAAGATCGTGCCATTGCACTCCAGCCTGGGCGACAGAGCAAGACTCCATCTCAAAAAAAAAAAAAAAAAAGAATAATTCTACAGCTGGGCGCAGTGGCTCATGCCAATAATCCCAGCACTTTGGGAGGCCAAGGTAGTTGGATCACTTGAGCCCAGAGGTTTGAGACCAGCATAGGCAAAATAGTGAGACCCTATATCTACAATAAAAAGAAAAAGAAAGAAAAAATTAGCTGGGCATGGTGGCGCATACCTCTAGTCCCAGTTACTCAGGAGGCTAAGGTGGGAGGGTCACCTGAGCCTGGGAAGTCAAGACTGCAATGAGCCGTGATAGTGCCACTGCACTCCAGCTTGGGCGACAGAGCAAGACTCTGTCTCAAAAATAATAATAAAAAATACATAATAATAAAAACAAAATAATTCTAGTTCTTCCACATAATTGCCTTTCAGTATTGGAAGACAACTATCATGTTTCTTAATCTATACCTCATATGGTGTAGTTTCTATGACAATAGCTATTGAGCCATAGTGATTAACTAAAGCTCCCCATACTAAAGATGGGGTTGTCAAGGAAACCTCTGATGAAGTGACATTTAAGCAAAGACTTGTGTAGAGTTGGGGAACAAGTTATGTGAAGATCCTTCACTCCTGGGTGAGGAATGTTGCAGACACAAGGGATGCCAGGAATGAGCTTGGCACCTTGGGAGGCATCAAAAGCAGTAAGATGAGAGCTGCAGGTAGGGGAGATCTTTCAGAGATCTGGCAGCACTTTTAGACCAGGGTAAAGACTTTGGATTTCTTTCTTAGTGAGATGGGAGCCACTGGAGGTCAAAGTATTTAACTTCATTTATTTTTGTGAAAGGGATTGTATTAGTCCATTCTCGCATTGCTATAAAGAACTCCCTAAGACTGTGTAATTTATACAGAAAAGAGGTTTAATTGGCTCACAGTTCCACAGGCTGTAAAGGAAGCATGACTGGGCAGGCCTCAGGAAACTTACAGTGATGGCAAAAGGCACAGGGGAAGCAGGCCCATCCTACATGTCTGGAGCAGGAGGAAGAGAGTGAAGGAGGAGGTGCTACACACTTTTAAACAACCAGATCTCGTAAGAACTCACAATCACAAGAACAGCAAGAGGGAAATCCGCCCGCATGATCCAGTCACATTCCACCAGGTCCTCTCTCTAACACTGGGGATTACAATTCAACATGAGATTTGGGCGGGGGACACAAATCCAAACCATATCAGGGATCTTCTCTTGTATCTGCCACCTAGCTATTTTTGTGTATTAATTTTATCATAAACTGGCTCTTTTACCAAATTCTTTTGTTTCTAGGTTTAATTGGCTTTATTAAGATGTAATTTAGGCTGGGCATGGTGGCTCACACCTGTAATCCCAGCACTTTGGGAGGCCGAGGCAGGCAGATCACAAGGTCAGGAGATCGAGACCATCCTGGCTAACACGGTGAAACCCGGTCTCTACTAAAATAGAAATATTATCCTGGTGTGATGGTGGGCGCCTGTAGTCCCAGCTACTCGGGAGGCTGAGGCAGGAGAATGGCGTGAACCCGGGAGGCGGAGCTTGCAGTGAGCCGAGATTGCGCCACTACACTCCAGCCTGGGTGATAGAGCAGGATTCTGTCTCAAAAAAAAAAAAAAAAAAAAAAAAAAAAAAAACAAAAACAAAACAAAACAAAAAAAAGATATAATTTAGCCTGGGCACAGTGGCTCACGCCTGTAATCCCAGCACTTTGGGAGGCCGAGGCAGGCAGATCATGAGGTCAGGAGTTTGAGACCAGCCTGGCTAACATGGTGAAACCCCGTCTCTACTAAAAATACAAAAAAATTAGCCAAGTGTGGTGGCACACACTTGTAATCCCAGCTATTAGGGAGGCTGAGGCAGGAGACTTGATCGAACCTGGGAGCTGGGAGGCAGAGGTTGTAGTGAGCGGAGATCATGCCACTGCACTCCAGCCTGGGCGACAGAGCAAGACTCTGTCTAGAGAAAAAATTAAGATATAATTTACATACAGTAAAATGCCCCCATTGTAAATGTACAATTTAATGTTCGACATATGTTCATATGTAATAATCACCATAAATAATACATGAAACATTTTCATTACCTACAATTTCCCTCATGCCTTTTTTTTCTTATGCCATTTTGTAGTAGAGCCTCCTGTTTCGTTCCCAGTTTCAGGCAACTGTAATCTCCCTTACGTGATTATAGATTAGTTCTGCCTATTCTTTTTTTTTTTGAGATGGAGTCTCGCTCTGTCGCCCAGGCTAGAATGCAGTGGCGTGATCTCTGCTCACTGCAAGCTCCGCCTGCCGGGTTCACGCCATTCTCCTGCCTCAGCCTCCTGAGTAGCTGGGACTGCAGGCGCCCGCCACTACGCCCGGCTAATTTTTTATGTTTTTAGTAGAGACGGGGTTTCACCATGTTAGCCAGGATGGTCTCGATCTCCTAACCTCGTGATCCGCCCGCCTCGGCCTCCCAAAGTGCTGGGATTACAGGCGTGAGCCACTGCGCCCGGCCCTGCCTATTCTTAAGATTTCATATAACTGGACTCACACAGTAGGTGTTCTTTGGTGTCTGGCTTCTTTCATTGAGCCTAATGATTTTGAGAGTCATTCACATCACTGCTTGTATCAGAAGTTTGTTGGCTCTATTGTTCAGTAGTGTTCCATGGTATGGATATACTACAATTTATTTATTCACCAGCAGACGCACATTTTATTTCCAATTTGGGGCTAATATGAACAAAGCTGCTATGAAAATTCTTGTATAAATTTTTTTGTAGTCATGTGTTTTCATTTCTCTTGTATAAATACCTAGGAGTGGAACTGCCAGGTCTTAGAGTAGGTATAACTTTATTAGAACTGCTAAATAATTTTCCAAAGTGACTGTAGCATTTTACATTTCCACCAGCAATACATGAGAGAACCAACTTCTCCACATCCTTGCCAACATTTGGTATTGTCAGTCATTTTGTCTTTAGCCATGATGGTGGGTGTGTAATGACATTTCCTCGTGGTTTTAATTGGCATTTCCCTGAAGTGACATCTTTTCATGTGCTTATTTTGTTTGTTTTCTATTATGAAGTGTCTGTTCAAATCATTTGCCCGTGGGTTTTTTGTCCTAGTGTTGAGTTCTTTATGTATTCTGGGTACAACTCTTTTGTCAGATATATATACTGCAAATATTTTATCCTGGTTTGTGGTCTGGTTTTCCTTTCCTTTTTTTTTTTTTTTTTTTTTTTTTGAGACAGAGTCTTGCTCTGTTGCCCAGGCTGGAGTGCAGTGATGCGATCTCAGCTCACTGCCAGCTCTGCCTCCCGAGTTCACGCCATTCTCCTGCCTCAGCCTCCTGAGTAGCTAGAACTACAGGCGCCCGTCACCATGCCCAGCTAATTTTTGTATTTTTAGTAGAGACGTTGTTTCACCGTGTTAGCCAGGATGGTCTCTATCTCCTGACTTCGTGATCCACCCGCCTCAGCCTCCCAAAGTGCTGGGATTACAGGCATGAGCCACCGCTCCCGGCCAGCTTTTCCTTTCCTTAATGGTATCTTTAAAAGAGCAGAATTTTGATAAAGCCATTTGTCAACTTTTTCTTATAGTTCATGCTATTTCTTTTTTTTTTTTTGTCTGTAAAAAATAGAGATAGGGTTTTGCTATGTTCCCCAGGCTACTCTTGAACTCCTGGTCTCAAGCAATCCGTCCACCTCAGCCTCCCAAAGTGCTGGGATTATAGGTGTGAGCCACTGCACTTGGTGTACTTCACACTTTTTGTGTCTTAAGAAATCTTTGTCCACCCCAAGGTCCCAAAGACTTTCTCCTTTGTTTTCTTCTGAAATTTAGCTTTTACCATGATGTTTTTCTATGAACTTTTTCTATGATCCTTGTCAAATGAAAATTTGTATGTTGTGTAAAGTAAGAATCAAGATTGTTTTTTCTTCTCTAATGGATATCCAGTTGTTCTGGCACCATTTGTTTGAAAACATGAACCTTTCCCCATTCAGTGACTGTGATATCTTTGTCAAAAGCCAATTGATAAAGTAAACCTGACTAAAAAATCAATTGATAATATATTCATGTGTCTATTTCTGGACTCTATTCCATTGATCTATGTGCCTGTCTTACTGCCAATAATACACTATCTTGGTTACCATAGTTATAGTAAGTCTTGTAATTACGTAGGTTAAGTTCCCTTTTCCTCTTCTTTTTCAAAATTGTTTTGGCTATTTTAGGTCCACTGAATTCCCTTTAAATTTTAGAAGCAGCTTGATACTTTCTACAGAGATAAATTTGCTTGGATTTTGTTGGGATTACATTAATCCTGTACGTCCACTTGAATAGAATTGACATATTAACTGTTTCTTCTAATTCATCTGCATGGCTTATCTTTCCACTTATTTAGATTGTTTATATTTCTCTCAAGTATTTTGTGGTTTTGAATACATAGAGTTTGCAAATAATTTAGTTATATTGACCCCTAAGCATTTTTGGTGCTCTTACGAATGCATTGTTTAAAATTTTTATTTTCCAACTGTTCATTGCTAACATATAGAAATAAAACTGATTTTCATATGTTGATCCTGTATCTTGTGACCTTGTTAAATTCAGTTATTTGTTCAAGAAGATTCTTTATAGGATTTTCTGTATACATAATTGTGTCATCTATAAACAATAACAGTTTTCTTTTTCCTTGTTACTCTTTATGCCTGTTATTTCTTTTTTTTTTTTTAAGACTGAGTCTCGCTCTGTCACCCAGGCTGGAGTGCAATGGTGCAATCTTGGCTCACTGCAACCTCCACCTCCCAAGTTCAAGCAATTCTCCTGCCTCAGCCTCCTGCGTAGCTGGGATTACAGGTGCCCACCACCACGCCCGGCTTATTTGTGTAATTTTAGCAGAGATGGGGCTTCACCATGTTGGTCAGGCTGGTCTCAAAGTCCTGACCTCAGGTGATCCACCCACCCCAGCCTCCCAAAGTGCTGGGATTACAGGCGTGAGCCACCACACCCGGCCTATGCCTGTTATTTCTTTAACATCTCTTACTGCACTGACCAACACCTCTAGTACAGTGTTGGATAGAAATAGTTGAGAGCACAAATCTTTGCCCTATTCCCTGCCTTAGGGGGAAAGCATTTGATCTTTCACAGTTAAGTAAGATATTAGCAGTTGGCTTTTTGTAGATGGCCTTTAGCAGCTGAGGAAGTTTCCTTCTATTTCTGTTTCACTGGAGTTTTTATTATGAATAAGTGTTGGATTTTTCAAATGTTTGTTCTGTGTCTGTTGAGATAGCCTTATTTTTTTTTGTTCTGTTAATGTAGTGGATTGTACTGATTAATTTTCAACTGTTAAACATCTTGTATTCCAGCGATAAACCTCACTTGGTATTATCCTTTCTTATATATTTGATTTACAAATATAATTTTTTTTTTTGAGACAACGTCTTGCTCTGTCACCCAGGCTGGAGTGCAATGGTGCGATCTTGGCTCACTGCAACCTCTGCCTCCTGGGTTCAAGCAATTCTCCTGCCTCAGCGTCCCAAATAGCTGGTATTACAGGCGTCCGCCACCACGCCCAGCTAATTTTTTTGTACTTTTAGTACAGATAAGGTTTTGCTATGTTGGCCAGGTTGGTCTCGAACTCCTGACTTCAGGTGATCCACCCGCCTCGGCCTCCCAAAGTGCTGGAATTACAGGTGTGAACCACTGCGCCCGGCCACAAATATAATATTAGGTTGGGGGTTTTTTTTGTTTGTTTTTTTTGAGACGGAATCTCATTCTGTCACCTGGGCTAGAGTGCAGTGGAACAATCTTGGCTCACTACAACCTCTGCCTCCCAGGTTCAAGTGATTCTCCTGTCTCAGCCTCCTGAGTAGCTGGGACTACAGGTGCACACCACCACGCCCAGCTAATTTAGGATTTTTGTGTCCATGTTTACAAGGGATATTGGTCTGTAGTTTTATTTTCTTATAATGTCTTTGGTTTAGGTATCAGAGTAATACTGGCCTCATAAAATGAGTTGAAAGTTTTTCTCCTTGTCTATTTTATGAAAGTGTTTGCATAGATGAGTATTATGTCTTTCTTAAATGTTTGATAGAATTCAACACTGAAGCCATTTGGGTCTGGAGTTTTCTTTGTGGGCAGTTTTTAAGTTATATTTTAAATTGATTTAATATAATTTAAATTTTAAGTTTGATATATGGCTATTCAGATTTTTAATTTTTTTCTTGTATTAGGTTTTTTTTTTCTTTTTTTGAGACAGAGTCTCACTCTGTTACCCAGGCTGGAGTACAGTGGCGTGATCTCACCTTACTGCAACCTCCGCCTCCTGGGTTCAGGTGATTCTCATGTCTCAGCCTCCTGAGCAGCTAGGAATATAGGCACACACCACCACACCTGGCTAATTTTTGTATTTTTAGTAGAGATGGGGTTTCGCCATGTTGGCCAGGCTAGTCTCAAAACTCCTGACCTCGGGTAATCCACCCACCTTGGCCTCCCAAAGTGCTGGGATTACAGGCATGAACCACTATGCCCGGCCTCTTATACTAATTTTGATCACTTATATCACTCAGGAAATTCATCTATTTCATTTAATTTGTTGAATGTATTAGCATAGAGTTCATAATAGTTTCTTTTTATTCTTTCAATGTTTGTAAAATCTGTAGTGATGCTTCCCTCTTTCATTCCTAATACTGGTAATTTATGTCTTCTTTTTTTTTTTCTTGGTTGATCTAGCTAAAGGTTAATCAATCTTTATTGATAATGATTAATTTATTGATACTGATACAGATAACCAGCTTTTGGTTTCATTGATTTTTCTCTATCATTTCTTTGGTTTCTATTTTGTTCATTTCCTTCCTTCTACATACATTGGGTTTAATTTGATCTCCTTTTCTCTAGTTCTCTAGATTCTTTTTTTTTTTTTTTTTTGAGACTGGGTCTCCCTCTGTCACCCAGGCTGGAGTGCAGTGGCATGATCTCAGCTAACTGCAACCTCCCCCTCCCAGGTTCAAGTGATTCTCCTGCCTCAGCCTCCTGAGTAGCTGGGATTACAGGTGCGTGCCACCACACCCGGCTAATTTTTTTTTTTTTTTTTTAGTAGAGATGGGGTTTCAGCACGTTGGTCAGGCTGGTCTCGAACTCCTGACCTCGTGATCTGCCCGCCTCGGCCTCCCAAAGTGCTGTGATTACAGGCGTGAGCCACCGCGCCTGGCCCTTCTCTAGATTCTTAAGTTGAAACTTAACTCATTAATTTTTTCAGAACTTTCTTCTTCTTTTTTTTTTTTTTAATTGAGAAAGGTCTCACTCCCATCACCCAGGCTGATGTGTGGTGGCATGATCATGGCTCACTGCAGCCTCGACTTCCTGGGCTCGGGTGATTCTCCCACCTTAGATACCCAAATAGCTGGGACTACAGGCGTAAGCCACCACATTTGGCTAATTTTTTGTATTTTTTGTAGAGACAGGGTTTCACTATGTTGCCCAGGCTGGTCTCGAACTCCTGGGCTCAAGTGATCTGCCCATCTCAGCCTCCCAAAGTGCTGGGATTACAGGCAAAAGCCACCACACCCAGCTAAAACTTTTTTTTTTTTTTTTTTTTTTTAATATAAGAATTTAAAACTATACATTTTCCTGGCCGGGCGCAGTGGCTCATGCCTGTAATCCCAGCACTTTGGGAGGCCGAGACAGGCGGATCACCTGAGGTCGGGAGTTCGAGACTAACCTGACCAACATGGTGAAACCCCATCTCTACTAAAAATCCAAAAAATTAGCCGGGTGTGGCAGCGCGTGCCTGTAATCCCAGCTATTCGGGAGGCTGAGGCAGGAGAATCGCTTGAACCCGGGAGGCGGAGGTTGCAGTGAGCTGAGATCGCACCATTGCATTCCAGCCTGGGCAACAAGAGCGAAAACTCTGTCTCAAAAAATAAAAAATAATAAATAAAATAATAAATGAACTATACGTTTTCCTCTAAACTGCTTGAACTGCAAACAACACATTTTGATTTGTGTAGAGTATTCTATAAATGTCTATTTATTTAGAAGTTTAATGTTTAATTTCCAAGTATTTCAGGATTTTCATGTGCTATTGACTTCTAGTTTGATTGTATATGGTCAAAGAACATACTCTGTGTGATTTTAATCCTTTAAATATACTAAAAACTTAGGCCAGGTGCGGTGGCTTACGCCTGTAATCCCTGAGGCTGAGGCAGGAGGATAACTTGAGGCCAGGAGTTTGAGACCAGCCTGGGCAATGTAGGCAGACCCCTGACTCTACAAAAAACTTAAAAATTAGCCAGGTGTGGTGGCATGCACCTGTGGTCCTAGTTACTTGGGAAGATGAGGCTGGAGGATTGCATGAGCCCAGAAGTTTGAGGTTATAGTGAGCTATGATTGCAGCCCTGCACTCCAGACTGAAAGACAGAGCAAGACCCTGTCTCTAAAATTAAAAAATAAAAATTTTTTAAAAAATTATAACATGTTTTATGGCTCAGGGTATGGTCTATCTTGATTAATGTTTGCTGTGTACTTAAAAAGAATGTATATTTTGCTCTTGTTGTGTAGAGTGTGCTGTAAATGTAAATTTGTCCAAGTTGGTTGATAGTATTGCTCAAGTGTTTTATTTATTTTATTATTTTGAGACAGGATCTCACTCTGTCACCCAGGCTAGAGTTGCAGTGGTGCTGACATGGTTCACTGCAGACTTGACCTCCTAAGCACAAGTGATTCTCACAACTCAGCCCCATCAGTAGCTGGGACCACAGGTGCATGCCGCCATGCCAAGCTAATTTTTATTTTGTAGAGATGGGTGTCTCTCTGTGTTGCCCAGGCTGGTCTTGAACTGCTGCCCCCAAGTAGTTCTCCCACTTTGGCCTCTCAAAGTGCTGGGATTACAGGCGTGAGCCACCATGCCTGGCCTGATAATGTCCTTTTTAAATGGAGTTCAGACTATTAACATTTAATGTAATTATCAATATAGTTGGATTTAAGTGTACTGTCTTGCTATTTGTTTCCTATTTATGCCAACTTTTTTTTAATGTCTTTTGTTCTTTTTGTTTTCTTTTCTTTCCTTTTTTTTTTTTTTTTTTTTGAGACAGTTTCGCTCTTTCCCCGAGGCTGGAGTGCAGTGGCACAATGTCAGCTCACTGCAACCTCTGCCTTCAGGTTTCAAGCGATTCTCCTGCTCCAGCCTCCTGAGTAGCTGGGATTACAGGTGCTTGCCACCACACCTGGCTAATTTTTGTATTTTTAGTAGAGATGGGGTTTCACCATGCTGGCCAGGCTGGTCTCAAACTCCTGACTTCATGATCTGCCCGCCTCAGCCTCCCAAAGTGCTGAGATTACAGGCGTGAGCCACCGCGCCCGGCCCATCTTTTGTTCTTTTGCTTTTCTTTATCCTGCCTCAGTTAAAGAATATTGAGGTGGCTCACGCCTATAATCCCAATACTTTGAGGGTCCATGGTGGGAGGATCGCTTAGGGCCGGGAGTTCAAGACCAGCCTGAGCAACACAGCAGGACCCCATCTCTGCAAAAAATTAAAAAAAAAAAAAATAGGCATGATGGTGGTCTCCTGTAGTCCCAGCTACTCGGGGGGCTGAGGTGGGAGGATCACTTGAGGCCAGGAGTTCAAGGTTACGGTAAAGCTATAATCATGCCACTGAACTCCAGCCTGGACAACAAACCCAGACCCTATCCCTGAAACAAACAAACGAAAAGAATATTGAGTACTTTTTTAGTATTCTGTTTCATCTCCACTATTGGCTTATTAACTTAATCTCTGTCTTATTTTTAGTAGTTGCTCTCAGGATTACAATATGCATTTTCCCTCATCACAATATGCATTTCACTTATTACTCATCACATATTATAGAGCTTCATATATAGCAGATTTCACAAACTACAGCCTTCAAGCCAAGCCTGAATGCCTACCTGCTTTTGTAAATAAGGTTTTATGGGAACATAGCCATGGTCATTCATTTACATATTTTTTCATCAAGTCCAAAATGTCTACATAAATATGACACATTTTGTGCTATAAGAACAGGGTTGAGTAGTTGCAATGGAGGCTACATAGCCTGCAAAGCCAAAAGTATTTACTGTGTGGCCTTTTAAGTAAAAGTTTGTCAACTTCTCATGTATATTATAAGAACCTTACAGTATATTTCTGTTTTTCCCTTTTTCTTCAAATGTTTTTTCTGTCCCCACCGTTTCTGGAACCTCAGTTACAAATATATTAGACTATTTGATATTGTTCCACATTTCACTAAAGCTCCGTTCATTTTTTTTTCTTTGAGACAGTTTCGTTCTTGTTGCCCAGGCTGCAGTGCAATGGCGCAATCTTGGCTCACTGTAACCTCCACCTCCCAAGTTCAAGCGATTCTTCTGCCTCAGCCTCCTGAGTAGCTGGAACTACAGGTGCCCACCACCATGCCTGGCTAATTTTTGTGTTTTTAATAGAGACGGGGTCTCACTATGTTGGCCAGGCTGGTCTCAAACTCCTGACCTCAGGTGATCTGCCTGCCTCGGCCTCCCAAAGTGCTGGGATTACAGGCCTGAGCCACCACGCCCAGCCTAATTTTTGTATTTTTGGTAGACACAGGGTTTCACCATGTTGGCCAGTTTGATCTCCATCTCCTGACCTCAAGTGATCTGCCCACCTTGGCCTCTCAAAGTGCTGGGATTACAGGCGTGAGCCACCATGCACAGACTCTTTTTTTTTTTTTCTTTTTTTTTTGAGATTGAGTCTCACTCTGTTATCCAGGCTGGAGTGCAGTGGCATGATCTCAGCTAACTGCAACCTCCGCCTTCCAGGTCCAAGTGATTCTCCTGGCTAAGCCTCCCTAGTAGCTGGGATTACAGGTGTGCACCATGACACCAAGCTAATTTTTTGTATTTTTTAGTAAAGACAGGGTTTCACCATGTTGGCCAGGCTGGTCTCGACTCTTGACCTCAGGTGATCTGCCCGCCTTGGCCTCCCAAAGTGCTGGGATTACAGATGTGAGCCACCATGCCTGGCCTTTGTTCATTTTTTGTCAGTCCTTTTTTGTTTTCTTTTTGAGACAGAGTCTTGCTCTGTTGCCCAGGCTGGAGTGCAGTGGCGCGATCTCAGCTCACTGCAATCTTCACCTCCCAGGTTCAAGCGATTCTCATGCCTCAACCTCCTCAGTAGCTGGGATTACAGGTGTGTTTCACTCTGTTGCCCAGGCTGGTGTTGAGCTCCTGAGCTCAGGCAATCCACCCGCCTCAGCCTTCCAAAGTGCTGGGATTACAGGCGTGAGCCACTGAGCCCTGCCGTCAGTCTTTTTTTTTTTTTTAACTTTAGTTCAGATAATTTCCACTTCATGTCTTCAAATTCATGGAGTAGTCTTCTGCAGTTTATAATCTCTTATTAAGCCCATCTAATGCATTTTTAATTTCAGATATTGTATTCTTTTTTTTTTTTTTTTTTTTTTTGAGACAGAGTCTTTCTCTGTCACCCAGGCTGGCACGATCTCAGCTCATTGTAGCCTCCACCTCCCAGGTTCAAATGATTCTCATGCCCTAGCCTCCCGAGTAACTGGGATTACAGGTGTTTGCCACCACCCCTGCTAATATTTTTGTACTTTTAGTAGAGAGGGGGTTTCACCAAGTTGTCCAGACTGGTCTCAAACTCCTGGCCTCAAGTAATCTGCCTGTTTCAGCCTCCCAAAATACTGGGATTACAGGTGTGAGCCACTTCACTTGGCCCAGATACTGTATTTTTTGATTTCTATAAATTTTTTTTTTGAAAGGGAGTGTTGCTCTATTGCCCAGTCTGGAGTGCAGTGGTGTGATCTCAGCTCACTGCAACTTCCACCTCCTGGGTTCAAGTGATTCTCCTGCCTCAGCCTCCCCAGCAGCTGGGATTACAGGTGCGTGCCACCATCCCCAGCTAATTTTTTTGTTTGTTTGTTTTTTGAGATGGAGTCTTGCTCTGTCGCCCAGGCTGGCACAACCCTAGCTTACTGCAACCTCTACCTCCCGGGTTCAAGCAGTTCTTCTGCCTCAGCCTCCCAAGTAGCTGGGATTACAGGAGCATGCCACCACTCCTGGCTAATTTTTTTTTTTTTTTTTTGTATTTTTGTAGAGATGGGATTTTGCCATGTTGGGCAGGCTGGTCTCAAACTCCTGACCTCAGGTGATCTGCCTGCCTCCGCCTCCCAAAGTGCTGGGATTACAGGCCTGAGCCACCACATCCAGCCTAATTTTTGTATTTTTAGTAGAGACGTGGTTTCACTGTGTTAGCTAGTCTGGTCTCCATCTCCTGACCTCAAGTGATCCGCCCGCCTTGGCCTCCCAAAGTGCTGAGATTACAGACGTGAGCCACCAGGCCCGGCCCTAATTTCTAGAAATTTTATTTGACTATTTTTATATCTTTCAATATGTTCATTTTTAAAAAAATCTTTGAGTATATGTATAGTTAATGCTTTTACATCCTTCTTTGCTAACTCTAGCATCTCTTTCATTTCTAGATCTGTTTCTATTGACGAATTTTTCCTTCTGATTTAAAAAAATATTTTATTTATTTATTATTTATTTATTTATGGAGACAGGCTCTCACTGTGTTATCCAGGCTGGAGTGCAGTGGCTATTTACAGGTGTGATCATAGCGCGCTACAGCCTCTAACTCCTGGACTCAAGCGATCCTGCTGCCTCAGCTTTTCAAGTAGGCGGGACTACAGCCTCATGCCATTGTGCCCAGCACTAATCTTTTTTTTATGGAATGGTGGACACTATAAATATATATTTTTGAGTGTCTGAATTTTGTTGTCTGTCTTTAATTGAATTTTGGTTTACTTGTTAATTTGTTAATGGATCAGCTTGATTTGGAGGCTTGTTTTTAAGCTTTGGGGCAGTTCTAGAGTTATCTTTACTGTTGTGTTAGGTTAGTCGTACTACTAAGATATTACTCTTCCAGGGTCTCTACTTTATGCCCTGGATGTTCAGCTTCAGCAAAGAATGTTTACTCTGGCTGGTCAAAACTTAAATATCAGCCAGGCGCACTGGCTCACACCTAAAATACCAGCACTTTGGGAGGCTGAGGCGGATGGATCACCTAAGGTTAGGAGTTCAAGACCAGCCTGACCAACATGGTGAAACCCCGTCTCTACTAAAAAATACAAAAATTAGCCGGGGCATGGTGGCAGACGCCTGTAATCTCAGCTACTCAGGAGGCTGAAGCAGGAGAATCACTTCAACCCGGGAGGCGGAGGTTGCAGTGAGCTGAGATCACACCATTGCACTCCAGCCTGGGCAACAGAGCAAGATTCCATCTCAAAAAAAAAAAAAAGAAAAGAAAAAAAACAACTTAAATATCTTCCAACTCTGTGTGAGCTCTGGGAATTTTTCTGCTCATAGAAACTCAGGACTCCTGTGAAGAGTTATTGATCTCTTTGCATAGTTGCTTCTTCTCTGGTACTTTGCCTCAAACTTCCAGGCACCTCATGTTCCTGAACACTGATCTCTGCTCCATTCAGTGTGATTTTCTCTTCCTGTATTCCAGTCCAGAAAGCCAAAGTGATAGTAGGACATACCTCACTTGGTTCCATTCTCTCAGGGATCACAGTCGCATACTCACTGATTTCATTGTCTGAAAACAATTTTTTTCATGTATTTTGTTCAGTTTTTCTAATTGTTTATAGCAGAAGGCCAAGTCTAGTACCAGTTACTCCAACATGTGAAAAGAATTTTACTTTTATAGTTTTCTGATTTTACATTTTTTACTTTATAGATATACAGTATCACCTGCAGTAATAATAACTTATTATTTCTAATATTCACACGTTGTAGTTAGTTATCTTGTCTAATTCATTGGCTAGTACTTCCAGGACAATGTTAAATAATAGTATTGATATTTTCCTGGTATTTTTCTGTAAGGGTAGATGGGACAACATTTTAAAGGGAGGCCGGGCATGGTGGCTCACACCTATAATCCCAGAACTTGAAGCTCAGGCAGGTGGATTGAAGAATCACTTGAGCCTGGGTGGTGGACGTTGCAGTGAGCCAAGATCGCACCACTGCATTCTAGCTTGGGCTACAAAGTGAGACTCCATCTCAAAAAAACAAAAACAAAAAAAATTTTTTTAAAGAGAGCATTGACTGGGCACAGTGGCTCATGCCTGTATATAATCCCAGCACTTTGGGAGGCTGAGGCAGGCAGATCACTTGAGTTCAGGAGTTCGAGACAAGCCTGGCCAACATGGTGAAACTCCGTCTCTACTAAAAATTAGCCAGGCATGGTGGCACATGCCTATAGTCCCAGCTATTAGGGAAGCTTGAGGCACGAGAATTGCTTGAACCTGGGAGGCAGAGGTTGCAGTGAACCAAGATCGCACAACTGTACTCCAGGCTGGGCAACAGAGTAAGATTCTGTCTGAAAAAAAAAAAAAGAGAATTTTCAGGGTTAATGACAATACTGGGGAAAAGGGCACTGTCCTATGGTGTTGATGGAGATACAAATTGATATAGTGTTTTCGGAAGGCCGTTTGTCAGTACCCACTTAACAACTGGACTTCTAGGAATCAAATTATGTCCTAAATGCTTGTCTTAGTCCGTTTCTGTTGCTATAACAGAATACCACAGACTGGGTAATTTATAAAGAGCAGAAGTTTATTTGGCTCACAGATCTCATGCCAGCATCTGGCAAGGATCATCGGATGGTGGAAGGCATCCCATGGCAAGGAAGCACAGGAGCAACACAGAGAGACAACAAGGGGGCCAAACTCTTAGCAGGAGCCCACTCCCATGCTAACTAACCCACTCCCAAGATAACGGCATTAATCCATGCATGAATGAGGTGTCCACACGACCTAATAACTTCTTTAATCTACCTCTTAATACTGTTACCTCTTAATACTGTTACATGAGTTTGTAGGGACATTAAAACCATAGCAATGCTCAAGGATTATATATAGATAATATATTAAATATATATAATATATAATATATATAACTATATTATATATATTTATATATATTAAATATATTATAACTATATTATAATATAGTTATATTATAAATATGTTATATTATATATTATATATAATATAATATAATATATTATATAATTGTAATATATAGATATATATTAATATAATAATACAATATTAATATATATTTATATATTATATAATAATATATAATATATAAGTATATATAATATATAAAAATATGTATTATATATATATTTTTTTTGAGATAGAGTTTCCCTCTTGTTGCCCAGGCTGGAGTGCAATGGCAAGACCTTGGCTCACTGCAACCTCCATCCCCCAGGTTCAAGCGATTCTTCTGCCTCAGCCTCCCAAGTAGCTGGGATTACAGGCGCACGCCAACATGTCTGGCTAATTTTTGTATTTTTAGTAGAGATGGGGTTTCGCCACGTTGGCCAGGCTGGTCTCAAACTCCTGACCTCAGGTGATCCACCCGCCTCGGCCTCCCAAAGTGCTAGGATTACAGGCGTGAGCCACCGTCCCCAGCCTGCAAAAGTATTTGTTGCAGCATTGTATTAGTTTGTTCTCACACTGATACGAAGAAATACCTGAGACTGGGTAATTCATAAAAGAAAGAGGTTTGATTGACTCAGTTCTGCATTGCTGGGGAGACCTCAGGAAACTTACAATCATGGCAGAAGGTGAAGGAGAAGCAGGCATCTTTACAGGGCGGCAGGATGGAGTGAGTGCCAGCAGAGGAAATGCCAGATGCTTACAACACCATCAGATCTCGTGAGACTCACTCACTGTAATGAGAATAGCATGGGCGGAGCTGCTCCTATCATTCAGTTACCTCCACCTGGTCCTACCCATGAGGATTACAATTCAAGATGAGATTTTGGGTGGGGACACAGCCAAACCATATTAAGCATTATTTATCATATCAAAAAAATGTAGTCATGACCCAACTACCTTGTTTCAAAGAGAACAGAGGAATTATTATATTTTAACTGAGAGGATATGCTAGTACAGGTTGAGTATCCCTAACCCAAAAATTCAAAATCTGAAATGCTCCAAAATCTAAAACTTTTTGAGTACTAACTTGATGCTCAAAGGAAATGCTCACTGGAGCATTTTGGATTTTGGATTTTCCAATTAGGGATGCTGAACCTAAGTATAATGGAAATATCCCAAAATCCAAAAAAATATAAAATTCAAAATGCTTCTGGTCCCAAGCATTTTGGATAAAGGATACTCAACCTGGCTGGGTGCAGTGGCTTACCCATGTAATCCCAGCACTTTGGGAGGCCAAGGTGGGCGGATCACCTGAGGTCAGGAGTTTGAGACCAGCCTGACAAACATGAAGAAACCCTGTCTCTACTAAACATACAAAAATTAGCTGGACATGGTGGCACATACCTGTAATCCCAGCTACTTGGGAGGCTGAGACAGGAGAATCGCTTGAACCCGGGAGGCGGAGGTTGCAGTGAGATCGTGCCATTGCACTCCAGCCTGGGCAACAGGAGTGAAACTCTCTCAAAAAAAAAAAAGAAGGATACTCAACCTGTAAAAGATTAGGCATTGATTTAATGCTTCTGTAGCAATATTCCCAGATGTCTTGTTCCGCACTTGTCTGACATAACCATGCATATATTATGTCTCTGTTAGCACAGTATCCCGGGTTTGTCTGTACTCCAGAAACAAGGTCATATAAGGACTCAGCAAAAGCTGGGTCTTTGGGCGCATAATGAGAATGTCCAATCCCTAGCTAAGTGACTCAGTCTTTTTTGTTTAATAATTTCTGGGAGATTTGGGATTTCGAAGCCCATTACTAGTAGAACCTGGCCTATATATTAAACATGGAAGAAACTTCATTATAGATAAAACTCCTTGAGAACTAATTCATTATAGGGTCTTCATCTGTATATATGTTCATATTTATAACTTTCATAGAGTACTGAGTAGAAGTTAATGTATTTTTTAAATAACTGCTTAGGCCAGGTGCAGTGGCTCACACCTGTAATCCCAACACTTTGGGAGACTGAGGCAGGTGGATTGCTTGAGCCCAGGAGTTTGGGACCAGCCTGGGAAACAGTGAAACCCCATCTCTACTAAAAATACAGAAAATTAGCCAGGCATGGGGGTGCAAGCCTGTAGTCCTAGCTACTCTAGAGGCTGAGGTAGGAGGATTGCTTGAACCTGGGAAGCAGAGGTTATAGTGAGCCAAGATTGTGCCACTGGCACTCCAGCCTGGGTGACAGAGTGAGACCCTGTCTCAAAAAAAAAAAAAAAAAAAGTCAGGTTAAGTGACTGAATCTGGGGTGGGAGTTCAGATGGTGAGGCATTAATATAGTCTCACTCATAGGTTAAGACTAGATTAGATTATTCCAGTAATACAAAGGTCATTCAACATCCAAGAAATCCATTAATGTAATATACCATTTTAATAGATTGTTATGGGTTAAATTTGTTCCCCCAAAATGATATGATTAAGCCCTAATCTGCAGTCTTTTATTTGGAAATAAGGCCATTGAAGATGTAATTAAATTAAGACATGGTCACTAGGGTAGGGTGGGCCCTTAATCCAGTATCACTGGTGTCCTTATGAGAAGACAGTGTGAAGATGTGAGGAGAGAATACTTTGGGTTTTTTGTTTTTGAAATGGAGTCTCACTCTGTCACCCAGGCTAGAGTGCAGTGGCGGGATCTCAGCTCACTGCAACCTCCGCCACCCAGGTTCAAGCGATTCTCCTCCCTCAACCTCCCGAGTAGCTGGAATTACAGAGGCCCGCCACCATGCCTGGCTCCTTTTCGTATTTTTAGTAAAGACAGGGTTTTACCATGTTGAGCTTACCATGGTGACCATGTTGGTCTCGAACTCTTGACCTTAAGTGATCCACCTGCCTCGGCCTCCCAAAGTGCTGGGATTACAGGTGTAAGCCACCACACCTGACCAAGGAGGAGAGAATACTTTGTAAAGATACAGAGACACACACGCAGGGAGAAGATGGCCATATGAAGACAGAGGCAGAGATTGGGGATAAGCTGCTTCAAACCAAGGAACACCTAGGGCCACCAGAAGATAGAATGAAATAAAGAAGGATTCCTCCCTTACAGGTTTCAGAAAAACCATGGTCCTGTTTGCAATTTAATTTTGGATTTCTAGCCTCCAGATTGCAAGACAATAAAATTATATTTTTTTAAGTTACCTAGTTTGTGGTACTTTGTTATGGCAGCCCTAGGAAACTAATATACAAAGACGGGAAAACGTATAAATGCAGAATAAACACTTAATACAATTTAGCACTAATTTACGATTTTTTAAGTTTTAGCAAATTGAAAACAAAAGGGCACCAATCAAACTCCTATACTAAACGTCATCATTCTTTTTTTCTTTCTTTCTTTCTTTTTTTTTTTTTTTTTTTTTGAGATAGAGTCTGTCATTGTTGCCCAGGCTGGAGTGCAGTGGCACAAACAAGGATCACTGCAGCCTTGAGCTCCTGGGCTCGAGGGGTCCTGCCACCTCAGCATCCCATGTAGCTGGAACCACAGGTGCATGCCACCATGCCCAGCTAATTTTTTTTGTTTTGTTTTGTTTGTAGAGACAGGATCTCACTTTGTTGCCTAGGCTGGTCTCAAACTCCTGGGCTCAAGTGATCCTCCCGCCTTGGCCTCCCAAAGTGCCGCGATTAGAGGTGTAAGCCACCATGCCCAGCCTAAACATCATTGTTAATAGTTAAATTTTAGCAGTGTTTCCATTCAGCAAATGACGCCTGCTGTCATAGCCTCTTTTCCACACTTTATGGGAGATCCTAGCACATGCAATAGGACAAACATAAGAAATGAGACAGAAAAATGGGACTACATGAAATAAAACTCCTTATTTGCAGACATATAATTATCTACGAAGAATGTTTCAGATTTCTTTTTTTTTTTTTTTTTTTTTTGAGAAGGGTCTTGCTCTGAGGCTCAGGCAGGAGTGCAGTGGCACCATCATGACTTACTGCAGCCTCAACCTCCTGGGCTCAAGCAATCCTCCTACCTCGGCCTCCCAAGTAGCCAAGACCACAGATATGTGCCATTTTCTTATTTTTGTAGAGACAGTCTCCCTATGTTGCCCAGGCTGCTCTTGAACTCCTGGGCTCAAGCGATTCTCCCAACTTGGCCTCCCAAAGTGCTGGGATTATAGGTGTGAGCTATAGCACCTGGACTCAGAAAATCTCTGGATAAACCATTAGAATAAGAGACTTTAGCTAATAAGAGAGGTTGCTACATACCAGATTAATATACAAATATGAATAGTATGCCTATAAACCAGTAATAATGCAATAGGAAAAAAAATGCCCATTCACTATAGCAATAAAATCCATGAGCAGTAGGAATAAATCTAACAAAAATATGTAAGATCTTAACAGAGCAAATAACATTGAAGAGTAGGAAAGACCTGAATAAATGAAGTATACCATGTTCACGGATGGTGAGACTCAACATTATAAAGATGTGAATTCTCCCCTAAATTAATCTATAAGTTCAATACAATAATGAAGCTTGTCAAACTGATGCTAATGTTTATGAGGTAGAAGGGTCGACAGCATTTTTGAAAAAAATGTTACTTGAAGCCAGCCCTGGTGGCTCAACACCTGTAATCCCAGCACTTTGGGAGGCCAAGGTGGGTGGATCACCTGAAGTCAGGAGTTCGAGACCAGACTGGCAAACATGGTGAAACCCCGTCTCTGCTAAAAATACAAAAATCAGCCGGGCGTGGTGGCGGGCTCCTATAGTCCCAGCTACTCAGGAGGCTGAGGCAGGAGAATTGCTTGAACCCAGGAGGTGGAGGTTGCGGTGAGCCAAGATCGCGCCATTGCACTCCAGCCTGGGCAACAGGAGTGAAATTCCGTCTCAAAAACAAAAACAAAAAAAAAGAACGATTTCTGGCCGGGCACGGTGGCTCATGCCTGTAATGTCAGCACTTTGGGAGGCCAAGGTGGGTGGATCACCTGAGTTTGGGAGTTTGAGACCACCCTGACCAACAGGGAGAAACCCCGTCTGTACTTAAAAAAATACAAAATTAACCGGGGTGGTGGTGCATGCCTGTAATCCCAGCTACTCAGGATGCTGAGGCAGGAGAATTGCTTGAACCCGGGAGGCAGAGGCTGTGGTGAACCGAGATCTCGCCATTGCATTCCAGCCTGGGCAGCAAGAGCGAGACTCCGTCTCAAAAAAAAGAACTATTTCCTTATGTGTTTTAACATTTTTGAATCATTCATTCAACAGCATTAATTGACTATCTGTTGTCTAAGAGCTGTTCAAGGAGCTGGAATACATAAGTAAGCAAAATAGGCAAAGTCTCTTCTCTCTTGGACTTTACATTTTAGTAGGAGAAGACAGATAATAAACAAATACATAAAGGTACAGAGAGTGAGAAGGAGTGCTTATAGATTGTTAAAGGAAAGCCTGTCTGATAAGGTGACGTTGGAACAGAAACCTATAGGAAGTGAAAATGTGAGCTCTGTTTATCTGGGGGAAGAATGTTCCAAGTAGAGAGACTGGCAAGTACAAAGGCTGTGTGGCAGGAACATACCTTGAATGTTCAGAAACAAGCAGAGGTCCTGGTAGCTAGAATGCAGTGAGTGAGGAGCAGAGCGGTGGAGATGAGGTTAGAGAAGTACTGGGATGGGGAGCATGCAGATCATATAGGGCCTTTTAGGTTATGAGAAGAACTTTGGAGTTGGATGATAAACCATTGGAAGGTTTTGTGCAGAGGAGTAATGTGATTTCACTTACGTTTTAGAAGGATCACTGTGGCTGCTGTATTCAGACTAGGCTGAAGTTGCAAGGAAGCTATTAAAATAGCCTTTAGGGTCAGGTGCGGTGGCTCACGCCTGTAATCCCAGCACTTTGGGAGGCCGAGGCGGGCGGTTGAGGTCAGGAGTTCGAGACCAGCCTGGCCAACATGGCAAAATCCGTCTCTACTAAAAATACAAAAATTAGCTGGGCGTGGTGGCAGGCGCCTGTAATCCCAGCCACTCGGGAGGCTGAGGTAGGAGAATCGCTTGAACTCTGGAGGCCGAGGTTTCAGTGAGCCGAGATCACACCACTGCACTCCAACCTGGGCAACAAGAGCGAAACTCCATCTCAGATAAATAGCCTCTAGATGATAAGTGATGGTGACTTGGATCAAGGTGGCAGCAGCAGTCTTGGAGAGAAGTGGTGGGATTTTGCTATTCTGAAGGTAAAACCAACAACATGGAGTCAAAGACGACTCAATGTCTTTGATCTAAACAGCTGGTAGAATGGAGATTACATTTCCTAAGATGGATAAGACTGTAGGAAAGGTAGATTTAGGATGGAGGTGAACAAAAAGTATGGTTTTGCACATGTTAAGATGCTGTGATTGGCTGGGCGTGGTGGCTCATGCCTGTAATCCCAGCATTTAGGGAGGCCAAGGCAGGAGGATCGTTTGAGCCCAGCAGTTTGAGACCAGGCTGGACAACATAGTGAGACTGTATCTCTATTTATTTAAAATAAATAATTTTTTAAAAAAGATGCTATGATATTATGAAATATGTGTTTGGTCCTCATCCCTCTTTCCTGGGATACAACTAAAATCCTTAGAATCTCCAAAGTGATATCTTTTTGTATGCTCGTGAATTGACTGCTGGCTGGCTGGCAGCCTCTAGGTAGCTTCAGGTTTGGGGCTGGTCACCAGAAAGATCAAGCAGGAGTAGAGAGGTAGGACTTTCAGCCCACCCCCCAGCCTCTGGGGAGGAGAGAGAGGCTAAAAGTTAATTTGATCACCAATGGCAAATGCTGTAATCAGTTATGCCTACATAATGAAGTTTCCATAAAACCCAAAAGGACTGGATTTGGAGTGCTTCCAGATAGCTGAACATGTGGAGGTTCCTGGAGGGTGGTGCACTTGGGGAGGGCGTGGAAGCTCCAAGCGCTTCCCACGTGCCTTGCCCTATGCATCTCTTCATCTGTATCCTTTGTAATATCCTTTATAACAAACCAAGAAACTTAAGTGTTTTCCTAAGTTCTGTGAGCTACTCTAGCAAATTAATCAAACTTAAGGAGGGCGTTATGGAAACCCCAGTTTATAGCTGGTTAGTCAGAAGCACACATAAAACAAGCTGGGGCCTGCATCAGAAGTTGGGGGATGCCTTATGGGACCGAGCCTTCAACCTGTGGGATCTGATGTTCTCTCCAGGTACATAGTATTGGAATTGAATTGAGTTACAGGACAACTCGCTGGTGTCGGTGCAGAGCTGATTGCTTGCTTGGTGCTTGAAACTATGAGCCTGGATGGGATCTAAATACTCCCTAGGGAATGATATAGGTAGAGAAGATGTTTGAGGCCTGAGACCCAATACATTCCAAAATTTGGAGATTAGGAAAATGGAGAAGAACCAGCAAAGGAGACTGAGAAGGAGTAGCCGGTGAGGTAGGAGAGCCATGAAGGGGTAGTGTCCTGGTGGTCAAATGAAGAAAGTGTTTTAGGATGAAGACAATGATCAACTGTGTAGGCAAAATGAAGATAAAGAAATTATCATTGGATTTGACAACATGTGAGTTACTAATAACCATAAAAATGGTTTTGGCCAGGCCCGATGGCTCACACCTATAATCCCAGCACTTTGGGAGGCCGAGGCAGGCAGATCACCTGAAGTTGAGAGTTCGAGACCAGCCTGGCCAACATGGTGAAACCCCATCTCTACCAAAAATACAAAAATTAGCTGGGTATGGTAGCATGCACCTGTAATCCTAGCTACTCAGGAGGCTGAAGCAGGAGAATCTCTTGAACCCGGGAGGCAGAGGTTGCAGTAAGCCAAGATCGCACCACTGCACTCCAGCCTGGGTGACAGAGTGAGACTCTATCTCAAAAAAAAAAGTGGTTTTGATGGATGGTGATGAAAACCTGATTGGAATGGGTTGATCAAGAGAGACAGGAGGAGACATGGAGACAGCAAATACAAATAAAACAAAGCAAAACTGTTCCAATGAATTTTGTGTAAAGGGAGTTGAAAAGAAAAATGGAATAGAGGCCAAAAGTAGATGTGAAATCAAGGGGAGGATTTTTTTGTTTTTTGTTTTTGAGACAGAGTCTTGTTGTGTCACCCAGGCTGAAGGGGAAGTTTTTGTTGGCACATGTGTTTGTTTGTTTTTGAGTTGGAGTCTTGCTCTGTCGCCTAGGCTGGAGTGCAGTGGCGCAATCTCGGCTCACTGCAACTTCTGCCTCCCAGGTTCAAGCGATTCTCCTGCCTCAGCCTCCTGAGTAGCTCGGATTACAGGCACCTGCCACCACACCCAGCTAATATTTGTATTTTTAGTAGAGATAGGGGTTCACCATGTTGCTCAGGCTGGTCTAGAACTCCTGACCTCAGGTGATCCGCCTGCCTCAGCCTCCCAAAGTGCTGGGATTACAGGTGTGAGCCACCGCGCCCAGCCTGTTTGTTTGTTTGTTTGAGGTGCAGTCTCAGTCTGTTGCCCAGGCTGGAGTGCAGTGGCGCAATCTCTGCTCACTACAGCCTCCACCTCTGGGGGTCAAGCAATTCTCCTACCTCAGCCTCCCGAGTAGCTGGGATTACAGGTAGGCACCGCCATGCCTGGCTGATTTTTTGGTATTTTTAGTAGAGACGGGGTTTCACCATGCTGGCCAGGCTGGTCTCAAACTCCTGACCTCAGGTGATCCGTCAGCCTCGGCCTCTCAAAGTGCTGGGATTACAGGTGTGAGTCACCACGCCCGGCCTCTGTTCATTTTTAAGATAGGAGATATTTGATATCATGTTTATACAATATTGGTAATTATCCACTTTATGTACAGAGGGGAATGATTTTGAGTTCAGCTTAAGCATAGTTTATTTCTGCCTGGCTTGGATTCAGAGACCCACCCTTCCTGAGCAATGTTGCATTTGCTTCTGCAAGGTGCCCTGAAGGCACCACCAGCCCAGGACCAATTTTCACGTTAATTTTTCTTTTTTTTTAACTTTATTTATTATTTATTTATTTTTATAGAGATGGGGATCTTACCATGTTGCCCAGGCTGGTCTCGAACTCCTGGGCTCAAGCGATCTGCCCACCTCAGCCTCCCAAAGTGCTGGGATTACAGGCATGAGCCACTGCGCCCTGCCCATGTTAATTTTTCAGGTTGAGATTTCCCACACCAAGCAGGTAAAGTAAATCTGGTCTCCAGAATCTCACAAGGCAAACCACTGGGCTTCAGTATCTCACCTAAGGCCTTTTTTTTCCCTACCCAGGGCCCTGCAAAGACAAACTTTTTTACCTTCTCCTTGGACATACGGTCAGAATTTTTAGTCCCTTTTCACTAAGGTTGTGGTCCTCAGAGGTTTCTAACTTCCCAGCTGTCAGTTCTAATAGATCAGAGTTTGGTACTGGTAAGGACCTAGTCCCTTAGCCATTACTGGCCCACACAGCTTGGGCTGTGCTGCCTCCGCTTAGCTGGCATCTAGGGATTTCTACATCTTTCTTGCAAGTCCAGCCACACATTTAAAAAACTTCAGCTGTATTTTATCCAGCGTCTCTAGGAATTCGTGGCAGGAAAGTTTTCACCTATCTTGCTGGAACCAGAAATTTTTCTCCTCACTCTACCTGGCTAATTCCTGCTCACCTTTGAGGTCTCAGTTTAAATGTTACTTCTAAAGAGGTATCCCTAACTTTGTCCATCTCAGTCTAAACTAGGATACTACTCATAGCCCCTTTATGCTACTCATAGCACCTTCTTTCTTTCTTAGCACTTGTCATTGTAACTTCATACAAGTCTTTGTTGAATTTAATTTAACTTTTTTTTTAATACGGAGTCTCACTTTGTCACCCAGGCTGGAGTGCAGTGGTGCAATCTCAACTCGCTGCAACCTCCACTTCCTGGGTTCAAGCAATTCTCCTGCCTCAGCCTCCCAAATAACTGGGATTACATGTGTGTGCCATGATGCCCAGCTAAACTTTTTTTTTTTTTTTTTTGTATTTTTAGTAGAAACAGGGTTTCGCCATGTTGGCCAGGCTGGTCTTGAACTCCTAACCTCAAGTGATCTGCCTGCCTCAGCCTCCCAAAGTGCTAGGATTACAGGTGTGAGCCACCACTCCCGGCCTAATTTAACTTTTTTAGAGACAGAGTCTCTCTCTGTGGCCCAGACTGGAGTACAGTGAGTGGCATGATCATGGCTCACTGCAGCCTTCACCCCCTGGGCTCAAGTGATCCTCCTGCTTCAGCCTCCCAAGGAGCTAGGACTACAGGTGTTCTCCATCACACCTGGCTAATTAAAATATATATATATATTTTGTAGAGACAGGGTCTTGCTATGTTGAACAGGCTGGTCTCACACTCCTGGGCTCAAGCTGTCCTCCTGCCTCTGACTCCCAAAGTGCTGGGATTATAGGCGTGAGCTACCACCCTGGGCTGGAGTCTTTGTTTAATGTCTGATAACACTTTTAGACTGAAAACAACATGAAGGCAAAAATCAAATGTGTTGGTTCAGCATATAGCAGAAGGCCTGATTTATTGAAGATGCTTGGCTGGATGCAGTGGCTCATGCCTGTAATCCTAGCATTTTGGGAGGCTGAGGCCAGAGGATCGCTTGAGCCTAGGAGTTCAAGACCAGCCTGGGCAACATAGACCTCATCTCTATATTTAAAAAATGAAAGAAGATGCTCAATAAATTTTGCTAATAAAACAAGTAATTTTCTAAAATCTAATAACGGTCTAGTTGTTTTTTTGTTTTTTGTTTGTTTGTTTGTTTGTTTTTTCAGACAGGGTCTCACTCTGTCGCCAGGCTGGAGTGCATGGCGCAACCTCGGCTCACTGCAACCTCTACCTCCCAGGATCAAGCGATTCTCCTGCCTCAGCTCCCGAGCAGCTGGGACTACAGGCACGCACCACCATGCCCAGCTAATTTTTGTATTTTTAGTAGAGACGGGGTTTCACCATGTTGGCCAGGATGGTCTCCATCTCTTGACCTTGTGATCTGCCCGCCTTGGCCTCCCAAAGTGCTGGGATTATAGGCGTGAGCCACCACGCCTGGCTGATAACAGTCTAGTATTAAGTGATATGTTGAAACCTATTATCTTCTGTGTCTTGGCGATTATATTCTCCAACAAGAAAGTGTTCTTAATGGAATAAAAGAGGCTTCTGATTATTATTTTAGTTGACTCACCTTAGAAAAGGATTGTTCATTTTGGGAGGCTGAGGCAGGAGGATTGCTTGAGCCCAGGAGTTGGAGACCAGCTCGGGTACGTGGTGAGACCTTATCTCTATTAAAAACAAAAAAACAAAAAAAAACAGGCATGGTGGTGCACACCTGTAGTCCCAGCTACTTGGGAGGCTGAGGTAGGAGGATCACTTGAAACCAGGAGTTCAAGGTTGCAGTGAGCTTTTTTTGTTTGTTTGTTTTTGGGGTGTTTGTTTTTTGAGATAGAGTCTTGCTCTGTGGCCCAGGCTGGAGTGCAGTGGTGTGATCTTGGCTCACTGCAACCTCCACCTCCCAGGTTCAAGCGATTTGTCTGCCTCAGCCTCCTGAGTAGCTGGGATTACAGGCACCCGCCACCACGCCCAGCTAATTTTTGTATTTTTGGTAGAGACAGGGTTTCGCCATGTTGTCCAGGCTGGCCTCGAACTCCTGACCTCAGGTGATCTCCCCCGCATTGGCCTCCCAAAGTGCTGGGATTACAGGAGTGAGCCACTGTGCCCAGCCACAGTGAGCTTTGATCACACCACTGCACTGCAGCCTGGGCCACAGAGCAAGATCCTGTCTCAAAACAAAATAAAATAATTGTAATGTAGGTTTTGGTAACCACATGTGTCTTTTCCTCTTCAGAATGGAGATCTCCTCTCATCAGTCTCACCTCCTGCAGCAACTGAACGAGCAGCGCAGGCAAGATGTATTTTGTGACTGCAGTATTCTAGTTGAAGGGAAGGTCTTCAAAGCACATCGAAATGTATTATTCGCTAGTAGCGGCTACTTTAAAATGCTTCTTTCTCAGAATTCAAAGGAGACGAGTCAGCCAACCACAGCTACATTTCAGGCTTTCTCCCCTGACACTTTTACAGTTATCTTGGACTTCGTATATTCTGGCAAACTGTCTCTTACTGGTCAGAATGTCATAGAAGTGATGTCGGCTGCTAGCTTCCTTCAGATGACTGATGTCATAAGTGTATGTAAGACTTTTATTAAATCTTCCTTAGACATTAGTGAGAAAGAAAAAGATCGCTATTTCAGTCTCTCAGATAAAGATGCCAATTCTAATGGTGTAGAACGTTCCTCTTTTTATAGTGGTGGCTGGCAAGAAGGAAGCAGTTCTCCACGTTCTCACCTAAGCCCAGAGCAAGGAACAGGTATAATAAGTGGAAAATCTTGGAATAAGTATAATTATCATCCAGCCTCCCAGAAGAATACTCAACAACCCTTGGCCAAGCATGAACCAAGGAAAGAGTCCATTAAAAAGACCAAACATTTGAGATTGTCACAGCCTTCTGAAGTTACTCATTATAAGTCAAGCAAACGAGAAGTACGAACATCTGATTCTTCCAGCCATGTTTCCCAGTCTGAAGAACAAGCACAGATTGATGCTGAAATGGACTCTACTCCTGTTGGCTATCAGTACGGTCAAGGATCTGATGTCACATCCAAAAGCTTTCCAGGTACCCAAAAAGAGCATAAGTCCCCTCATCCAGGTTCCAAACTGCTATATTAATCAGTCTACTGTCAAAACACCCTTAGTTTCAGGTGCTCTAAGCAGTTGAAGCAAGTGATTTTTTTCAAAAGTTCTATTTTTGTAATGAAATTTATTTAGTAAGGATAGGCGTGGTGGCTCACGCCTGTGATTCCAGCAGTTTGGGAGGCTGAGGCGGGCAGATCACCTGAGGTCAGGAGTTCGAGACCAGCCTGGCCAACATGGCAAAACCCCGTCTCCACTAAAAGTACAAAAAAATTAGCCGAGCATTGTGATGTGTGCCTGTAATCCCAGCTATTCAGGAGGCTGAGGCAGGAGAATCACTTGAACCCGGGAGGCGGAGGTTGCAGGGAGCTGAGATTACACCACTGCACTCCATCCTGGGCGATAGAGTGAGACTCTGTCTCAAAAAAACAAAAAAAGAAGAAATTCATTTCATAAAACGTGGATTTAAATTTTTTAATTCAAAATAATATTGAATAAATATAATGACAATCAAAATAATAAGAATACTAAGGGTCAAAACCCATGATTTTCCAAACCTGTATCTGTGGGTGGTTAGATTACTCTTAAATGTTTAAAGCTCTTTTCTAAATAGTTCAATCCCTGAGACACATATTTTCACTTTAAATAGTTTTTTTTTTTCCTGTGTACTTACTCAGAGGAGTATTTAGCTTATTAAGATACAAATACAGGCCGGGCACAGTGGCTCACGCCTGTAATCCCAGCACTTTGGGAGGCTGAGGCGGGCAGATCATGAGGTCAGGAGTTCAAGACCAACCTGACCAACATGGTGAAACCATGTCTCTACGAAAAATACAAAAATTAGCTGGGAGTGCTGGCGCATGTCTGTAATCCCAGCTACTCAGGAGCCTGAGGCAGAAGAATCGCTTCAGGAGAACCCAGGAGGCAGAGGTTGCAGTGAGTGGAGATTGCGCCATTGCACTCCAGCCTGGGCAACAGAGCGAAACTCTATCTCAAAAAAAAAAAAAAAAGCATAGCAGTCTGAATTTACCCAACTTTCTAAATATATCAAATACCGAAGTTAAAGTTCCATACTTAGGATTACATTGACAATCTAGTCTTAATAAAATTTCTTTCGTCTCTTACTTTTTGGGCTAACCAACTCCTTGTGAATTCTTTTTATTTCTTTTTTTTTAAGTTTATTTTTTTCTTTCCTTGTTTCCATTGGGCTTGGATTGGATTCTTTCTGTTATTAGAATTGTTATGAACTTTCCAGTGATTTAATCAAAGCGTCTCTTGACAGATGATCTGCCTCGGATGCGATTCAAGTGCCCGTACTGCACACATGTGGTGAAGCGGAAGGCAGACCTAAAGCGCCACCTTCGTTGTCATACAGGAGAAAGGCCCTATCCATGTCAAGCTTGTGGAAAAAGATTTAGCAGGCTAGACCATCTAAGTAGCCATTTTCGAACAGTATGTATGATTTTTTTTCATCGTTTTACTAATTCTTTTTTGGTTTTTGTTTTTGTTTTTTTGAGATGGAGTTTCACTCTTGTTGCCAGGCTGGAGTACAATGGTGTAATCTCAGCTCGCTGCAACCTCTGCCTCCCGGGTTCAAGCAATTCTCCTGCCTCAGCCTCCCAAGTAGTTGGGATACAGGTGTGTGCCACCACGCCTGGCTAATTTTTGTATTTTTAGTAGAGATGGGGTTTCACCACATTGGCCTGGCTGGTCTCAAACACCCAACCTCAGGTGATTCACCTGCCTCAGCCTCCCAAAAGTGCTGGGATTACAGGCATGAGCCACCACGCCCGGCCTTGTTTTGTTTTTTTTTTTTGAGACAGGGTCTCTCTCTATCGCCCAAGCTGGAGTGCAGTGGTGCCATCTCAGCTCACTGCAGCTTTTGTTTTTTTTTTTGAGACAGGGTCTCTCTCTATCGCCCAAGCTGGAGTGCAGTGGTGCCATCTCAGCTCACTGCAGCCGCGACTTCTCAGGCTCAAATTATCCTCCCGCCTCAGCCTCCTGAGTAGCTGGGACTACAGGCCTGCACCAACATGCCAGGCTAATTTTTGTATTTTTATATTTTTTGTAGAGATGGGGTTTCATCATGTTGCCCAGGCTGGTCTTGAACTCCTGGGGTCAAGTGATCCACCTGCCTCAGCCTCCCAAAATGCTGGGGTTACAGGCGTGAGCCACAGTACCTGGCCCATCATTTTACTTCTTAAGAAATATGTACAGTTGGCCAGGCACAGTGGCTCACACACGTAATCCCAGCACTTCGGGAGGCCAAGGCGGGCAGATTGCTTGAGGCCAGTTCAGTTCAAGACCAGCCTGGTTGGCTGGGCGCGGTGGCTCACGCCTGTAATCCCAGCACTTTGGGAGGCCGAGGCAGGCGGATCATGAGGTCAGGAGATCGAGACCATCCTGGCTAACATGGTGAAACCCCGTCTCTACTAAAAATACAAAAAAATTAGCCAGGCGTGGTGGCGGGCGCCTGCAATCCCAGCTACTCAGGAGGCTGAGGCAGGAGAATGGTGTGAACCTGGGAGGCGGAGCTTGCAGTGAGCCGAGATTGCATCACTGCACTCCAGCCTGGGCGACTGAGCGAGACTCCATCTCAAAAAAAAAAAAAAGACCAGCCTGGCTAACATGGTGAAACCCCATCCACCAAAAATACAAAAATTAGCTGGCATGGTAGCGCACACCTATAATCCCAGCTACTCAGGAGGCTGAGGCACGAGAATTGCCCAAACCCAGGAAGTGGAGGTTACAGTGAGCTGAGATCGCGCCACTGCACTCCAGCCTGAATGACAGAGTGAGACACTGTCTAAAACAAAAAACAAACAAAAAAAATACATTTATGGGCTTTAGGATCATCTCATTTGCTGAGGGAAATGTTTTCACACAACTCTACCATATTTAAAATTCTTCCAACTTAGTGTTTTTACTTTGCACGTAAAGCATAATTATGTATATTGATTTTTAATCTCCTTCAAGACCTTGAAGTGGGGTATATTCTTTTGATGGTAAATAGTTTTATATTTCCATTTTAATTCACTTAGTCTAATATGTTTTTATATACTGGTCTGTTCAGAGCCAAAGATAATATAAACTGTATAAATGCTTTAAGTGTCTAGGTCAGAATCACCACTGTAGATACTCAGCATCTACCAGTGATTACTGAATCCTTGTCTGGTAGGATTTCAGTCTAGTTGCGGCTGTCCAACCAAAGGAGGTCTCCACTACACCTGCTTTCTTTTTTCTTTTTTTTTTTGAGACAGAGTCTCGCTCTGTTGCCCAGGCTGGAGTGTAATGGCGTGATCTTGCCCCACTGCAACCTCTGCCTCCCAGGTTCAAACAATTCTCCTGTCTCAGCCTCCCGAGTAGCTGGGACTACAGGTGCCCACCTAGTTTTTGTATTTTTAGTAGAGATGGGGTTTCACCATGTTGGCCAGGCTGGTCTTGAATTCCTGACCTCAAGTGATCCATCCACCTCGGCCTCCCAAAGTACTGGGATTACAGGCGTGAGCCACCACGTCTGCTGGTCTTATATTTTTAGATATCATATGGTCTCAGGAATTTGAGGAATTGTATTGGTTTATTATGTTTGGATCCACAATTATTATTCCTTTTGACACTCAAATTTTTAGTTTTATCCAGTGAACAGTCTCTACCTTGATGCTGGCTCTTGTCTCCTTTTGTCACAACTCCATTAAATTTTGAAAGTGTCCTTGTTCTCTGGCTCCAAAAGAGGCCTAGACTCACTTTGTACTTTCCCTACCACAGAGCTGGAATCAGCCATTTCTCAATCCATTTCCTTTAGTGGAAAGTGAAATTAGAGCCCAAAGTCTGGGCAGTCATTGTTACGGAGGTGTCATTTCTTTTACACTATTTCAGTGGATAGAGTTAGAAGATACATATTTTGGAGGGATGGACATGAATCTGTATCAGAGCTTGTAACAAAAACAATACCACATTTGATACCCATAGTTTTGTTTGTTTGTTTGTTTGTTTTTTGAGACAGAGTCTCGTTCTGTCATCCAGGCTGGAGTGCAGTGGCACGATCTCAGCTTACCACAACCTCCACCTGCTGGGTTCAAGTGATTCTCCTGCCTTGGCCTCCCGAGTAGCTGGGATTACAAGCACATATCCGGCTAATTTTTTTTTTTTTTTTTGTATTTTTAGTAGAGATGGGGTTTCACCATGTTGGCCAGGCTGGTCTTGAACTCCTGGCCTCAAGTGATCCACCCACCTCCACTTCCCAAAGTGCTGGGATTACAGATGTGAGCTACTACGCCCAGCCTAATACGCATAATATTACTATCTCAGGAGAAATCAGAATTCATTCAAATCATGTACTTTTAATGTTTACTGATTAATATGTCAACAGTTACACACAGGATAATAACTGTACTAGTGGTAATTCCATACATTTTCCTACATATTTTACCAGACTGTATTAGCTTTCTTGGATTTTTTTTTTTTTTTTTTTTTTTTTTTGAGATGAAGTCTCACTGTGTCATCTAAGCTGGAGTGCAGTGGCACAATCTCAGCTCACTGCAACCTCCGCCTCCCGGGCTCAAGTGATTCTCCTGCCTCAGCCTCCCGTGTAGCTGGGATTACAGGCGTGTGCCACCATGCCCAGCTAAGTTTTGTATTTTTTTTTAGTAAAGATGGAGTTTTACCATATTGGCCAGGCTGATCTCAAACTGCTGACCTCAAGTGATCCACTCACCTCAGCCTTCCAAAGTGCTGGGATTACAGGTGTGAGCCACAGTGCCCAGCTTCTTGGAGTTTTTTACTGTGTTTGGTGCCCTACTTCTGCACTGTCCTGACTTTATTTAAATGAATATTCCATAAACATTGATTCAACATTATACAATTAATTTTTATAATTTTTAGATTAGAACCCATAATCTACTGTTCTGACAGCTATTGAACAAAATTGTTTATTACTAATTATAATACGTAATTATTCCTCACTACAACTGTTTACCAAAGCATTTCACACATGTTAACTCATTTGGTCCTCACATTAACCCTGTGAGTGATATTTCCATTAGCCAAAGGAAGCAAGCAAAGATAATACTAGGCTGATATATAGAAGCAGCACCATCGTAGTTGTTTATGATGAATGTCCAGTAGAATTAGTCAGGCTTCTCATCAGTCTGGGTGGTGCCCATATCTTACCAGTTAAATATTTTAACTGTCACCCTAAAGCAGGTTTATATAATGTTTTAAATTACTTGCTCCAAGAAGATAGTAAATAACTAGAACCCCAACCCTTCCAATCCCTGTGGTCCTCTTTCCACCAGATCTTTTATTAATAAAAATGGCAAGTTCTCCTTCTATCTAAAATATTAATAAATTTAAATTTATGCAATATTTTTCTTTCTCTAGTAAAATAACAAAAAATTAATACACAAAACAAGAGAGATTGCACCCCCCGCCCCCACCTCAAATTAAGATATGTTCAGCCTGGAAAACATAGTGAGACCCTTTCTCTATAAAAAATTTTTTTTTAATTAGCCAGGTGTGGTGGCATGCACCTGTAGTCCCAGCTCCTCGGTAGGTTGGGATGGGAGGATTGCTTGAGCCTGGGAGGCTGAGGCTGCAGTGAGCCATGGTCACCACTACACCGTAGCCTGGGTGACAGAGCGAGACCCTATTTTAAAAATAAAAAGTATGCTGGGCGCGGTGCCTCACACCTATAATCCCAGCACTTTGGGCGGCCGAGGCAGACAGATGACGAGGTCAGGAGTTTGAGACCAGCCTGACCAACATGGTGAAACCCCATCTCTACTAAAAATACAAAAATTAGCTGGGCGTGGTGGCACGTGCCTGTAATACCAGCTACTCAGGAGGCTGAGGCAGGAGAATTGCATGAACCCCGGAGGCGGAGGTTGCAGTGAGCCGAGATTGCACTATTGCACTCCAGCCTGGGCAACAGAGTGAGACTCTGTCTCAAAAATAAATAAATAAATAAATAAATAATAAAAATAATTAAATAAGTACATGGCACATAGTGTTTGCAATTATTATTATCATAGGAAGTTACCTCAGATACCAAATGCTATTGGATTAAGGGATAGGTGAAATTATTATGTCATATTAATAATAAAAAACATGATAGCCACTATTTAGAGAAAGCTGATGTTTAATATTTCTGTGACATCAATTCACCACTAAAACCCTTGATCTTTCTCTAAATAATAGATGTTAATTTGAGTTTAATGCATGGCTTTGAACATCTTAAGTTTATGAACTGGTACCTAAAATATCAAACTGTCCTGCTTTTGAAAAATCACTTTTATCACTATTTAAATCTCTACACAGATTCACCAGGCATGTAAACTCATCTGCAGAAAATGTAAACGTCATGTGACAGATCTAACAGGGCAAGTGGTACAGGAGGGAACCAGGCGCTACAGACTGTGTAATGAGTGTCTTGCAGAATTTGGCATAGACAGCCTCCCCATTGACTTGGAAGCTGAACAACATCTTATGTCCCCATCAGATGGAGATAAGGATTCCAGATGGCACTTGAGTGAAGATGAGAATAGATCCTATGTGGAGATTGTAGAAGATGGGTCTGCTGATCTGGTCATCCAACAGGTTGATGATAGTGAAGAAGAAGAAGAAAAAGAAATTAAGCCCAACATTAGGTAGCTGTAATGTGAACCAACAGAGCTGGCATGTCTGCAATTTACATTGACTTCCTGTATCTCTCTCTTTCTATGGTCGGAGTCTAGTTAACAAATTTATCACACTGACTTTAAAGAAATGATCTGATATAACTTGCATGCTTTCTGAACAGGCCATTGTATCCATTCTGAACTTTGTTGCCCTAAAATGTGTTGCTGCACTGGAAAGAAAGAACTAGCTTGAGTTGGCTTGATGGATGAACAATTATCCTCTTACTTTCATTACAATCCTCTTACTTTATTCCAGAGATACCTTTTTCTTTTAATATTGGAGGATCTACTTAGCAAACTTTTTTCAAAGAAAATACTTTAAATAAATTCACCACAACCAAACTTTATGTAAGACAATTTCAAGGTGTTTCAAAAACACATAACTACCAATGTTTAATTTCACAGGGAACCAGTTAAGAGCACATTTAAGGATCTGGCAACCCACCTTACTAAACAAATTAGTCTTTCTATTAATTTGAGATCTGAAACAACCTGTCATTACTCTGATATCCTGAACGTTTAAGGATTATGGAAGAAGACTAAAGTGTTTGAAATCATTCATATTTGAAATTTTTATCATTAGCTTAAAAATTACTCTCAGTATTGTTAAAAAAAAAAAAAAGTAGAGGCTGGCCAAAGATTATATACAGATATTTTCTTAAAGCAGGAAACTAATGTTGCCTAAAAGTCAAGGTAGTTTGTGAAGACAATCTGTCAATATGGTTGTCCATCTCTCTAAAGAAAAGCAGGCTGGGCGCTGTGGCTCATGCCTATAATCCCAATACTTTGGGAGGCCGAGGCAGGCGGATCACAAGGTCAGGAGTTTGAAACCAGCCTGGCCAACATGGTGAAACCTCGTCTCTACTAAAAAATACAAAATTAGCCGGGCATGGTGGCGGGTGCCTATAATCCCAGCTACTCGGGAGGCTGAGGCAGGAGAATCGATTGAACCTGGAAGGCAGAAGTTGCAGTGAGCCGAGATCACACCATTGCACTCCAGCCTGGGCAACAAGAGCGAAACTCCGTCTCAAAAAAAAAAGGAAAACAAACTAGGAGGTTCTTACCATATGTGAGTGATTTCTAACGTTTATGTAGTGCTATATTATTTATAAAGTACTCTCTCATGTATTTTCTCAGTGAGGTGGATACTATCTCCGATTTACAAATGAGGAAATTAAGGTCAGAAAGTCTGAGAGAGAAAACTGATGATTGGACAGGATCTGATTTTAAACAATCCTCTTTCAGCCTTCTCTCCCTGTATGTCTCCTGAAATGGCAAAGAATAGAAGTCAAACCTCACCAGTTGGCAGTCATTATAAAAATAAGCCAATCAGAATTAGAAAGTATGAAAGGAGGAATTGAATCATTTTCAACAACATACAATATCTTGATCTAGAGATTTTCAAATAATGCTAAGTAATGTCCCTACAGTACCTATTGGTATGTTTTTATGTCACGTTATTTATATGTAAATTTAAAGTATAAAACTATTTGAACAAATTATTCACTTAAATATGTTGAACATTTTTGCTTCTCTTGTTTATATAATATTTTCAAAACAAACTTTTCTCCTAGTATACAAAGTTTAAACTTCTCCCCTTTGGGCTGGGCCCAGTGGCTCACGCCTGTAATCCCAGCACTTTGGGAGGCTGAGGCAGGTGGATCACCGAGGTCGGGAGTTTGAGACCAGCCTGACCAACATGGAGAAACCCCGTCTCTACTAAAAATACAAAATTAGCCGGGCGTGGTGGTGCATGCCTGTAATCCCAGCTACTCAGAAGGCTGAGGCAGGAGGATAGCTTGAACCCAGGAGGCAGAGGCTGCGGTGGGCTGAGGTTGCGCCATTGCACTCCAGCCTGGGCAACAAGAGCGAAACTCCGTCTCAAAAAAAAAAAAAAAAAAAACTTCTCCCCTGCATAAATTATGAAACATTCCAAAATTACAGCTAAATTAGAGAAGCATTGTTTCAGTTCTAAAGGTAAAATCTAAATATCCGAAGTAAAGAACTGAGCTTCATAAAGGTCTCTTCTGCAAGTTATCACAGTGAAGCTTGATAGAATTTCACTGTATATGGAGAGGCTCCATCTATTTTACTGTTTTCTTTTTTGTTTTTGTTTTTTTTTCGAGACGGAGTCTCGCTCTGTCGCCCAGGCTGGAGTGCAGTGGTGCAATCTCAGCTCACTGCAAGCTCCACCTCCCGGGTTCTCGCCATTCTCCTGCCTCAGCCTCCCGAGTAGCTGGGACTTACAGGCGCCCACCACCACTCCCAGCTAATTTTTTGTATTTTTAATAGAGATGGGGTTTCACCGTGTTAGCCAGGATGGTCTCAATCTCCTGATCTCGTGATCCGCCCCCCTCGGCCTCCCAAAGTGCTGGGATTACAGGCGTGAGCCACTGCGCCCAGCCAATTTTACTGTATTTTTAAATGCCATGACATACCTCAAAATTATCCTTTTTATGTTACTATTTTCTCTTGTTCTTTCATTAATTATTGTCCTTGATACCAATTTCTAGGCTAAATTGGTTACTTTCTTTTAAAAAATTTAAAAATAGATGAATAACCACTTGTTTCATGGTACTTAATTGAGACTTTTTCAAGATTCCCCTGATGGCACATTTGCAGTTGCTTCAAGACTGGATGATGTGCATTGAGTTCTCTGTTCTCCCAACATGGCTGTTCCTAAATCAGGATTCTGGTTTTTTTGAGATGGACTCTCGCTCTGTTGTCCAAGCTGGAGTGCAGTGGCGTGATCTCGCTCACCACAACCTCTGCCTCCCGGGTTCAAGCGATTCTCCTGCCTCAGCCTCCTGAGTAGCCGGGACTACAGGCATGTGCCACCATGCCTGGCTAATTTTTGTATTTTTAGTAGAGACAGGGTTTCGCTATGTTGGCCAGGCTGGTCTCGAACTCCTGACCTCGTGATCTGCCCGCCTCAGCCTCCCAAAGTGCTGGGATTACAGGCGTGAGCCAGCACGCCCGGCCTAAATCAGGATTCTTAACAATTAAAGTGTATCTGAATGAGGAAGGAAACGCTTGTCATTCTCTAGTCTTACCCAATTAATACTGACACCTTTTGAAATTAAAACCTGATTTTTTAGTTGTTGGAGCCAGTAGGAAAAATGGCTGATTTGAACTTTTTTCCTATAAATGAAGTAGTGCTTGCATGTGTGTACTCTAATGCACTTTAGTCTATGATCTAAATGTCCTTTTATGCTATTATCTTCTGCATGCAAACTTTACATACATCAGCATGAATATCCAACATTCACTGAACACAGTGCCACCAGCACTTGTAATTGCCTTTTCAGAAATAATGCTTTCTCATAATTGTTTATAACGAGCATCAAACTATCCCCACAAAATGATCAAGTTCACCAAACTAGACAAAGAATCTGTTGTATCATTTTAACATCATAGAAGAACATTTAAGACATGTTTGTAAGTTGTAAATAATGACTCCAGTTATAGCATATATATCTAAGACGTTAGAGACCAGTTATTTTCTAGAGTGAAACTGTCTATTGATGATTGAGAAAATTGAATTCTTTGGTTTTTACATGTGGGCAAATGTTACATAGGGGTATAATCTGTTTAAATAAGCTTTATTTATGCCAAGGATTTTTTTTTTAATATCAAGACTTGGTTAGACCAAAGTTTGCTCTTGCAGGAATGCCATTTATCAGCTTCTGAATGCCCTTCTAACTCCATTACCCTCAAGAGTGTCTGGGTATAGGATGAAGCATTACAAAAAGAAAGCACCACTGCAGTCATGCCTAGTGTCTGGGAGAAACAAAATGGACTAGACCTGCAGTTTAAAATAATTTAACCCGAGAAACTCTTCAAATGAATTGTTTCCTAAAGATGCTCAAATTTAAGGGATAAACTCTAAAATCAGAGCTGCTGTGGTTAAAGTCCCCCACAAACCTTTCCCCAGACACCTCTGCAGAACTCAGGTGCACAATGTTGAAAACCATGGAATTAGACAACTTCCTGAATTCCCTTTGAGCCTTGCAGCCTCATTTCGTTACTCCTGTTACTCACGGTGCTTATAAGCAGGTAACCATATGGTCTCTTAGTGAAGCAAATCACATCCTTAGCACATGATGTTCCTTCTATGGGTATCAGATCTTAAGACTTTTTAAAATTTAGGAACAAATGTTTCAATATTATATTTTCAGTAATGCAATCAAAATAAGCATAGTTACTGTTTTCTGTACGGCTAAGTACTGCCTAATGGATGAAAGAAGTTTGGTGCTTCAATTATTTATGAGCTCAGAACTCAATTCATTAAAGTTATTTTGCCAAGTCATGCCAAGATATATTGAAATTTCCACTCATATTGGTTTTTAAAATTTTTTTTAGTCCTAAAATTAATAAGTATGGAAAATCACTAAAAGCAGTGTAGGATAAGGTGTGTTTAACTGGCCGGGCACGGTGGCTCATGCCTGTAATCCTAGCACTTTGGGAGGCCGAGGCGGGCGGATCACTTAAGGCCAGGTGTTCGAGACCATCCTGGCCAACATGGTGAAACCCCGTCTCTAGTAAAAATACAAAAAATAGCTGGGCATGATGGTGGGTGCCTGTAATCCCAGGTACTCGGGAGGCTGAGGCAGGAGAATCGCTTGAACCCGGGAGGTGGAGGTTGCAGTGGCCGAGATCGCACCACTGCACTCCAGCCTGGGTGACAGAGCGAGACTCCATCAAAAAAAAAAAAAAAAAAAAAAAAGATGTGTTTAACTGGGAAGGGTGATAATAATAGAATAATAGGTACAGGAGGACCAAACTTTAGATTATAAACCAGAAAGTTTTGTTATTTTATATAAGTGTATCAGTATTACTATTTATCATTTATATAGCATTTTATATTTGCAAAGTGTTTAATAATTTTTGTTATTCTTTACATATATATGAAATAGGACAGTTATCCCACATGAACGGTAAATAAATTGAGGCACAGAACAGTAAAAAAACCTCAGGGTCAGGCGTGGTGGCTCACACCTGTAATCCCAGCACTTTGGGAGGCCAAGGCGGGTGGATCACTTTAGGTCAAGAGTTGGAGACCAGCCTGGGGCAATATAGTGAAACCCCTTCTCTACTAAAAATACAAAAATTAGCCAGGCATGGTGGTGGGCACCTGTAATCCCAGCTACTCTGGGGGCTGAGACAGGAGAATTGCTTGAACTCAGGAGGCGGAGGTTGCAGTGAGCCAAGATCACGCTACTGCACTCCAGGCTGGGTGACAGAGCGAGACTCCACCTCAAAAAAAAAAAAAAAAAAAAAAAAAAGAACCTAAGACAACCCAGTGAAATGGTAGCAAAAAATAGGAAATATAATGATCACATTTTCTGAATCCTAGACCATCAGCCTAATTCACTGAGGTGTGTTGTGTATCACTCTATTTTATAGATGATTTTATATAAGTAACAGTGGATTGTTTTAAAGCTGACGTCATTGTATGTGGATACATTCTATATGGAATAAATGTTATGTAAAGGATGTGACTTTAGTTATGTCACAGGATCCTTAGGGTGTTGCTTTGCCACCAGCCAGAAACCTCTTGGCCGGTGGCTCCTCTGCTTGGGTTTTGCTTGTGCCTGCTGGGCTCATTCCACCCATGTGGACTGGCAGGCTGTGGTCCACTGGTGGTACCAGCCTGGATCTCATGCCTGCCGAGGGTGAGCCAGGCACGGAGTGACGGGTGTGTGAGTGAGCTAGCGTGGGGTCCGGCCACTGCACACAACCAGGCACACTGGCTGCAGTGGGGTGGACAGCTCTAGGCGCTGGCACAGGCACCAGCTCCATGCCAGGCTGCAGCGGGACCAGACGTACTGAAAGCGGCTTCCGCTGCGGGCATCAGCATTTGGACAAGTGGAACGCAGTGGTGCCCGAAAGCTCAGAGATGCCGGGAACTGCAGACCCCCAAAGAGGGTGTTACAGCATGTCACACCATGGCTCAGGGAGCCCCGAGGTCTGGGCTGCCAGAAGGGCTGCAGCTCTTCTCTCCTTCTCGTCGCCCACAACGTGGTGAGCAGGGAGCATGTTTCAGCCCTGCTTGTGTTACAGCTCTTTCAGTCCACCATTTGGTGGGTCCCGAGTTCTTTTCCTGCATCCGAGAAGAATGAGGTACGCAGACAACTGGAGGGTGAGCAAGGCCGAAAGGAGCTTCACTGAGCAACAGAACAGCTCTCAGGAGACCTGAAGTGGGTAGCTCCTTTCCACAGGGCAGAGAGGAGCTTCACTCTGCAACAGAACAGCTCTCAGGAGACCCGAAGTGGATAGCTCCTTTCCACAGGCAGGTCGACCTGATGAGTGTCCAGATGACCAGCTCTCACCCAAGAGGAGACCTGCAGGCAGGTCCTTTTAAGGAGACTCAAAGCGGGTAGCTCCTTCCTGCAGCTGGTAGTCCTGACAGCCGGCTGAGTCTGCTGAGACCAGGGGTTTTTATGGGCTCAGAAGGGAGGAAGTGCATGCTGCTTGGTCTGTGGGTGTCCATGGGCAGCCCAGAAAACACCACAAGTTCTTACTCTAGCCCTGGACTCCACCAGGAACTGCCAGACCAACCCCCAGGCTTCAGGCATTCCCTGGCTTGAAGGGGGGATTTCACTGGGAACCCACCCTTTTCCACCCAGGAACCTGTCTGCCTCCTGCCATCAACATGCCCTCCATGGTGCCCAGACTGTGCCAAGGGGCGCCTGCAGGCCCAAACCAAGCCACCGTCATCAACCCCCTGACTGGCTTCCCTCCCACGCACATGGGTGCCCAAAGTTTAGAGGGGGCTGAGGTGGCAGGGGGCTGGCGTGTCAGTGCCACCTCTAGCATGCTCAACCTGGCCAGGTCACGACAACACCTAGGTTTGGCCCAACTTTGCTCTGCAACAGAGCAGGTGCAGGAGCAGAAAGAGGCCAGGGAATGGGAGCAGGCACTTCTGAGCCTGTGGGCGCTGGGAGCTTCCCAAGCCCTGAAGAGTGCAGGGATGCCCAGGTCTGGAGCCGCAGCTGGGCGGCTGCAGCTGTGCCCAGAAGTGTGGGACTCCAGCCCTGCCGATTCAGTAGGGGCAGGGCTCCTGCCTGTAGCCAGCCCCTGTGGGCTTCGTGGAGCCGTGAGCCTCAGCTGCGTTTCCCTCACTGCAGCTGGCATCGCAGCAGCGGCTGTTACAGACGGGCCACTGGTGCCTTTAGTTACAAGAGTTTTAATGATAAAATTCAAGTTATCACAGAAATGGTAGTATATAGCCAGCTGTTTTATATATTGTGAAGTATAAGTAACATATAATTTTGATACAGGAGTTTCTTAACTATTCCTGCTAATGGACCTATGAATAGGCCAGAAAAATGAAATCCACCGAGAATCTGTAAACTTCATTTTCACGTCAGCCTTCTCCCCACAGAACTGTATTAATGCCACCAAAAAAGTAAAATATTTAAATATAATGTTAACAAGTAATGAACCACACAGCAATAGAAGCAAAGGGACTCTTGAAGTCAAAATATCTTGAAGTCAAAATATTTTGCAATTACTGAAATAGTATAACACTTTTCCCTACTCTTTCTTTTTTTTTTTTTTTCTTCAAACCATCAAAATCCGTTGCATACTTTCTCACCTTTAAATAGGAAACCAGAGGCTGGGTACAGTGGCTCACACCTGTAATCCCAGAATTTTGGGAGGCCGAGGTGGTCGGATCATTTGAGGCTAGGAGTTCAAGACCAGCCTGGCCAACATGGTAAAACCCCATCTCTATAAAAAATACAAAAATTAGCCTGGCGTGGTGCCGCATGCCTGTAATCCCAGCTACTCAGGAGGCCGAGGCACAATAATTGCTTGAACCTAGGAGGTGGAGGTTGCAGTGAGCTGAGATCACGCCACTGCACTCCAGCCTGGGTGACAGAGCAAGACTGTCTCAAAAAGAAAAAAGGAAACCAGAGACCAGGGAAATACCCTTTACCTTTACCTTTGCGCTTAGCTAGATCATTTGCAAGCAGAATTTTATACTTTGCCTGCTTTGCTCTTTCAGATTTCCAGATACACAATTCCATTATATAGTTTCTTGATTTTCCCCTTGGGAAAATCATTTATTTCCTTGTTGATATTACTTACAACTACTTATTTTCTTTATTAAAGAGAAACTTATTTTTATTCAGCCCATAAGGGAAAAAGGGAACAACATTTCTGCCTAGACCAGAGATCCTCAACTTTGGTTGCACATTAGAATCACCTGTGGATCTTTTAAAATACAGATGCCTAGGCAAATCAGAATCTCGGGCAGGTGGGGCTTGGGTGTAAGTATTTTTGCAAGCTAGGCTGGCTGGGCACGGTGGCTCACACCTGTAATTCCAGCACTTTGGGAGGCCAAGGCGGGTGGATCAGGAGGTCAAGAGATCGAGACCATCCCGGCCAACATGGTGAAACCCCATCTCTACTAAAAATACAAAAATTAGCTGGGTGTGGTGGCGCATGCCTGTAGTCCCAGCTACTCAGGAGGCTGAGGCAGGAGAATCGCTTGAACCCGGGAGGCGGAGTTTGCAGTGAGCTGAGATTGCGCCACTGCACTCCAGCCTGGCGACAGAACGAGACTCCGTCTGAAAAAAAAAAACCTAGGCTGGATACAGTGGCTCATGCCTGTAATCCCAACACTTTGGGAGACAGAGGTAGGAGGATTGCTTGAGCCTAGGAGTTTGAGACCAGCCTGGGCAACATAACAAGTCGCAGTCTCTACAAAAAATTTAAAAATTAGGTGGGCGTGGTGGCACATGCCTGTAGTCTCAGTTACTCAGGAGGCTCGGGTGGGAGGATCACTTGAGCCTTAGGATCACTGAGTGAAGGATGCAGTGAGCTATGATGGTGCCACTGCACTTCAGCCTGGACGATACAGCAAGATCTTGGCTCTAAAAATAAAAATAAATAAATAAATAAATAAATAAATAAATAAATAAATAAAAGCTTCCCAAAGTTTGTGACATGCAAAATAGGGCCCATTCAAGGTTTCCCTCTGTCCTCCCCATATAGATGCCAAGGAGAGGCAGTAGGACTATTTGACCTTACAGTCCACTGGTTCTCAACCGTATCATTAAGGAAAAATTTAAAAATAGAGGTGTCCAGTCCAGGAAAATATTTATTTTTGTAAAATTTCAAGACACACTGCATGTTCCATTATCTAAGGTTTTTAATAGAGACAAGTAATATCGACACTCTAATAAAATAATGAGTAGTCTTAAAATACCCCATTTTTATTTTGGGATGCATTTGCATTTTATTTGATTATGGGTATTGCATTCTGGGAATTCACACAGTATTTCAAACCAATAAAAGAACTATGTAATGAATACGTGACTGAAATACTACATACTGAAATTTTACAAGCTTTAATATTTTCTTTTTAAAGAAAGGAACCAGAACACTCCAAGCTCTGTAAAAGCTCAATTGCTACACTTTAGAATTCCATAAAATAATTGAATTAAGTCATTCTTTAGTTCCAGTTAAATGGAATACTAGAGAGGCAGGAAAATACTACTGTATTATTTAAAGAAGACTTCAGACGAATTTGGAAACAAAGCAAACTTCTCTTTTGCTTTATTTCTTCAAGAATTACCATTTTTAAAAAAAGCTTTAAAAATAAAACACAACTTTTAGATAGAGTACCATTTTCATTCCCACCTTGAAGGTTATGTTTGCAATCCATTCATGACAAGTATATCTCTTCAGTCTCCTGCAAAAAAGAATTTCTTCCAATGACAAAATGGTACTTTCTTGCATAATTTTTTTTTTTTTTTGAGACGGAGTCTTGCTCTGTCGCCCAGGCTGGAGTGCAGTGGTGTGATCTTGGCTCACACCTCCGCCTCCCGGGTTCAAGCGATTCTCCTGCCTCAGCCTCAAAGCAGCTGGGATTATAGGCATGGGCCACCATACCCAGCTAATTTTTGTATTTTTAGTAGAGATGGGGTTTCGCCATATTGGCCCGGTTGGTCTCAAACTCCTGACCTCAGATGATCCGCCAGCCCCGGCCTCCCAAAGTGCTAGGATTACAGGCATGAGCCACCATGACTGGCCCATAATTTTTTTTCTTTTTATTTTCTTGCATAATTTTAAAAGGTTACATGCTGAGTCCAGGCACTGTGGCTCACACCTGTAATTCCAGCACTTTGGGAAGCCGAGGCAGGTGGATCACTTGAGGTCAGGAGTTCAAGACCAGCCTGGCCAACATGGTGAAACCCCGTCTCTACCAAAAATACAAAAATTAGCCGGGCGTGTTGGTGCACACCTGTGATCCCAGCTACTCAGGAGGCTGAGGCAGGAGAACCGCTTGAACCCAGGAGGCAACGTTGCAGTGAGCTGAGATTGTGCCACTGCACTCCAGCCTGGGCAACAAGAGTGAAACTTCTCAAAAAACAAAAGAAAAGATACTGTGCCTTTTGTTGCCTATCTGAATTGATTTTAAACTTTTTCTGTATACTGAGGAAAAAGTCCACAAAAAACCCAGGAGTTGAAAACCCCAGCTGAAAGTATTAGCACCACGTGTTAAAAAATGAAGGCCTTGAGATATGGCCACATTGGTTCACTCCTGTAATATCAGCGCTTTGGGAGGCTGAGGTGGGAGAATCACTTGAGGCCAGGAGTTCGAGGCCAGCCTGGGCATCAGTGACATTCTACCTCCACCAAAAAAACCCAAAAAATTAAAATTAGGCGGGCATGGTGGCACAGGCCTGTAGTCCCAGCTATTTGGGAAGCGAAGCTGGGGCGGGAGGATCCCTTGAGCCCAGGAATTCAAAACTGCAGTGAGCTATGATTGCGCCACTGCACTCCAGCCTGGGCCACATTGTGAGACACTGTCTATTAAAAAAGTAACAAATAGATAAAAAAGCCTGGGTTTTTTCTCCCTAAACAATGGATATCACGTTCAAGCAAGTGAACCCTCTATAAACCATGACTTTATATATTATTTTCAGGGATGACTATGCCAGTGAGCGAGATTAAGGGGTAGAAACTCTTCCTTTTCAGTCCTGTTTTTCGTCACAACTACTTTTCCTGGAAAGTTATTCAGTCTAACAGCTAGACCCCCCTTCCCCCACCGCCCCCGTCGGAGAGGCCTGGGATTTACCAGACACTCCTAAAGCTAGATTAGCTAGACTCTGGGGGCGATAGGGGGAAATAGGCATTTTTCTGTCGTGTGTAGTGGACGCCTTATAAAAAGCCCACATTTGGCCCGGCGCAGTGGCTTACGCCTGTAATCCCAGCACTTTGGGAGGTCGAGGCCGGCGGATCACCTGAGATCAGGTCAGTCTGGCCAACATCGTGAAACCCCGTCTCTACTAAAAATACAAAATTAGCAGAGCGTGGTGGTGGGCGCCTGTAATCCCAGCTACTCGGGAGGCTGAGGCAGAAGAATCACTTGAACCCGGGAGGCGGAGGTTGCAGTGAGCCGAGATCATGCCATTGCACTCCAGCCTGGGCAAAAAGAGCAAAACTCCATCTCAGAAAAAAAATATAAAAATAAATTAAAAAATAAAAATAAAAAGCCCACATTTGCCAGGCACCGACTAGATCCAGCACCGTCCTCATTTAAAACAGTTGGACTTGGGGGGTTGTGCACTGGAATGACTAACCTGGAAGCCACGCCACGACTCAGGGGCGGAGGGGACTCGAATCCGCGCGATCAGATGCCGCCGCAGGTGCTTAAGACCTGCAGCCTACAGAGCAAGCCTATCTTATCCCCACTTTAGGAAAAGTTGTCTGGTGTTACTTAAGGTTATGACATTGTGCTCTGTGAAGTCACTTGCGTCCCCGACACCTCCCAACTCAGCTGGGACTGGCCAGTGCCCTGCTCCCTGACCTCGCCGCGGCGGCCAGTAGGAGGTGTCGGCGCCCCAGGAGTCCGCGGCCGAGCCAATGGGAGCCGCGAGAAGGGCCGGGGCGGAGCCTGGACGCGTGATGCCAGGGAACCACTCCCGTGGGATTTGGCCAGAGGCATCTCACTGGCGTCCTGTCGCCCAGGCTGGGGTGCAGTGGCTCGATCTCAGCTCACTGTGACCTCTGCCTCCCGGGTTGAAGCGATTCTTCCGCCTCAGCCTCCCTAGTATCTGAGATTATGGGCGTGCGCCACATGCCCGGCTAATTTTTTTGTATTTTTATTAGAGACGAGGTTTCACCATGTTGGCCAGACTGGTCTTGAACTCCTGGCCTCATGTGATCCACCCACCTCGCCTCCCAAAGTGCTGGGATTACAAGCGTGAGCCACCGCGCCTGGCCTGAAGTGCAGGCTTTTGAATATAGATGCTCAACGAAGATATGGGAGAAAGAAAGCTAGATTAGCACAGGAAAAAGCCACAGTAGATAAGTAGGAGACGGGAAATAAGTCTGGAGAAGAGAAAGGAGAGGGAAAAGCAGAAACGAGTGACTCAGCCTGCCCAGCTTAATAAACTAAGATTCTAGCTACCATGTCACTTGTGCAGATGGCACGGGCTCCCAGGGTTGTCTCTAGAATGATGACACCCCTTCACCAAGCACTGTGGACCTTCTTTAGAATTAAAGAGGGGGCTGGACACAGTGACTGACGCCTGTAATACCAGCACTTTGGGAGGAGGAAGTGGAAGGATTGCTTGAGGCCAGGAGTTTGAGACCAGCCTGGGCAAAATACTGCCTTTGCAAAATTATGACTGAGACAGTGGAAAGAGATCTAACCTGACTCCATCTTGCTTCTAACCTCCAAGCTATCCTTGTTCATTCCTGGGTGGAGGCTGAACTAACTTCGGGAGAAACTTATAGTTTATAGTTTAAAACAAAGATGATAACAGCCCTTTCCCAAAACAAACCTCCTTGCCTGGGGACTAGGCTGCCTTTGTAGGACTAAGAAATTAGCCACAAGATTAGAAATTATGGTTTAGGATTCATGCAGCTGGAGGTTACAAAATCTTGACCCTCCCTAAACTGCTCTTCAGATCAGTGTTTGAGATATTTTGCAGACCCTGCACTTGATGGATCAGCTGGGACCACCCAGATCGATAAACTGGCTCATCTGATCTTGTGACCCCCCCCCCCCCACACCTAAGAACTGACTTAGCGCAAGAAGACAGCTTCCACTCCCTATGATTTCATCTGTGACCTGACCAATTAGCACTCCCGGCTCACTGGTTTCCCCCCACCCACCAAGTTGTCCTTAAAAACTCTGATCCCCAAATACTGGGCAAACTTAATTGAGTCATAATATAACTCTGGTCTCCCGCAGAGCCAGCTCTGCGTGAATTACTCTTTCCCTATTGCAATTCCCCTGTCTTCATAAATCGCCTCTGTCTAGGCAGCAGGTAAGGTGAACCCACTGGGTAGTTATACTGTCTCCCAAAAAAACAGCAGTCAGGCATAGTGACACATGCCTGTAGTCCCAGCCACTCAGGAGGCTGAGGCAGGATGATCACCTGAGCCCAGGAGTTTAAGGCTGCAGTGAGCTATGATCATGCCACTGTACTCCGAGCAACAGAGCCAGACTTTCTTTCTGAAAAGAAGGCTGGGCACGGTGGCTTACACCTGTAATTCCAGCACTTTGGGAGGCCGAGGTGGGCGGATCACCTGAGGCCAGGAGTTCCAGACCAGCCTGGCCAACATGGTGAAACCCTGTCTCTACTAAAAATACAAAAATTAGCCGGGTGCGATGGCACATGCCCATAGTCCCAGCTACTTGGGAGGTGAGGTAGGAGAATCACTTAAACCCAGGAGGTGGAGGCTGCAGTGAGCCGAGATCGCACCACTGTACTCCAGCCTGGGTGACAGACTGAGACTGTCTCAAAAAAAAAAAAAAATGTTATGCCAGAGTCAGATTGGAAAGTAAGTCATGATATATAGGGTTAAATAAAACTCATCTGATGAAAATTTATGGTTTGTAGGGCATGATTCCCCAGACCCCTTAGATAGGAATTTGGGCAAGAAAAAAAATCAGAGCCTAGTCCTCAGAGCCCATGACTATAATGTCTTTAGTGTTTATACTGGGAGGTAGTTTATTATTATATTATGTTATATTATATTATATTATATTATATTATATTATATTATATTATATTATATTATATTAATTTCATTTTATTTTTTAGACGGAGTCTCGCTCTGTTGCCCAGGCTGGAGGGCAGTGGTGCAATCTTGGCTCACTGCAACCTCTGCCTCCTGGGTTCCAGCGATTCTCCTGCCTCAGCCTCCCGAGTAGCTGGGATTACAGGCGCGCACCACCATGCACGTTTGGGAGGCCAAGGCAAGTGGATCACGAGGTCAGGAGATTGAGACCATCCTGGCCAACATGGTGAAACCCCATCTCTACTAAAAATACAAAAAATTAGCCAGGCATGGTGGTTGGTGCCTGTAGTCCCACCTACTTGGGAGGCTGAGGCAGGGGAATCACTTAAACCCAGGAGGCGGAGGTTGCAGTGAGCCAAGATCACGCCATTGCACTCCAGCCTGGCGACAGAGTGAGACTCTGTCTCAAAAAAAAAAGAATCTTGTGTAAATACATTGACTAGAGTCTGAAGTCCCAAGTCTGCCTCTTATAGCCAGATAGTCTTAGTTGTCACTAATTTCCTCATTAATAAAAAGTAGAATAAATGTACTACATGTAAAATTGCCGGTATGACAAATGGGTAACATTTTCCAGATGGAAGCACCTAGAAAAATGTTTTGTACAGTGGAGACCTGGATATGCATTTATGACAAAATAAATGTTGGTTCATTCTTTTTTTGAGATGGAGTTTCGCTCTTGTTGCCCAGGCTGGAGTGCAGTGGTGAGATCTCAGCTCACCGCAACCTCCACCTCCCAGGTTCAAGCGATTCTCCTGCCTCGGCCTCCCTAGTAGCTGGGATTACAGGCATGTGCCACCACGCCCAGCTAATTTTGTACTTTTAGTAGAGACGGGGTTTCTCCACGTTGGTCAGGCAGGTCTCAAACTCCCAACCTCAGGTGATCCACCTGCCTCGGCCTCCCAAAGTGCTGGGATTACAGGCATGAGCCACTGCACCTGGCCATAATGTTGGTTCATTCTAAAAGCACACTCTTGCATGTCCAGAATTTAACATTAAGCAATTACTTATATGTAAATTTTTTTTTTTTGAAAAGGAGTTTCGCTCTTGTCGCCCAGGCTGGAGTGCAATGGTGTGATTTTGGCTCACTGCAACCTCCACCTCCCAGGTTCAAACAATTCTCCTGCCTCAGCCTCCAGAGTAGCTGGGATGACAGGCGCCCGCCACCATGCCCAGCTAATTTTTGTATTTTTAGTAGAGATGGGGTTTCACCACGTTGGCCAGGCTTGTCTCGAACTCCTGACCTTAGGTGATCCACCTACCTCAGCCTCCCAAAGTGCTGTGATTACAGGCATGAGCTATCGCGCCAGGCCACTTATAGGTAATTAAACAAAAAAAATGTACATAGCACATTAGGAAATCATACTGATACAGTAATACAGTCACTAAATTCTGACAGTTTGCTCTGGAAGAGCTTTTGGAGGATATCTTTTCCAATGTCCTCGTTTCTGAAGTGAGGAAACTAAATTCTCAGTCTCATAGTTTCTCTGCGGCAAAGCTAGTATTGTTGAAATCATTCAGGGCTTCTTACTGGGCAGAATCTGGTAATCCCCAAGCCTTCTGCAGGTCAGATTGGGTGAGGGAGTAGCCCCAGTAGTTCATGATGGCACTGCTCCTGTCTTGAGAAGGGTATGAATGGTTCTCCTTGAACATTCTCTTCCAAACTGGAAAGAACTGGCAAAAGAGGCTGTGAATACAACCACTTAGCCATCTTAGATGGGAGGTACCAGTGATAAGAGATCAGCTGGGTGTGGTGGCTCACACCTGTTATCCTAGCACTTTGGAAGGCCATGGCAAGAGGATCTCTTGATCCCAGGAGTTCAAGACCAGCCTGGGCAACATAGTAAGATCCCATCTCTAAAATAAAAATAAAAATGTTTAAAAAGATCATTGGCTGGGCGCGGTGATTTACGCCTGTAATCCCACCACTTTGGGAGGCCAAGGCGGGCGGATCACGAGGTCAGGAGATAGAGACCATTCTGGCCAACATGGTGAAACCCTGTCTCTGCTAAAAACACACACACACAAAATTAGCTGGGCGTGGTGGCAGGCGCCTGTAGTCCAAGCTACTCGGGAGGCTGAGGCAGGAGAATGGCATGAACCCAGGAGGCGGAGCTTGCAGTGAGCCGAGATCATGCCACTGCACTCCACACTGGGCGACAGAGCGAGACTCCATCTCAAAAAAAAAAAAAAAATCATACCACTATTGTTACCCATAATACATAGATAAGGACCAAGGTCATCAGTAGAGCAAGGATTAGGAATCAAGGCTTGTGACTTAAGATTCCTTTTTTTTTTTTTTTTTTTTTTTGGAGGCAAGATCTCACTCTCACCCGGGCTGGGGTGCAGTGGCATCATCATGGCTCACTGCAGCCTAGACTTCCTGGCCTCAGGTGATTCTCCCACCTCAGCTGCCCAAGTTGGGACTACAGGCCTGTGCTACCATCCCCGGTTATTTTTCTGTATTTTTAGTAGAGGTGGAGTTTCAGCATGTTGCCCAGGCTGGTCTCAAACTCCCAGGCTCAAGTGATCCACCTGTGTTGGCCTCCCAAGCCTGACTTGAGATTCGTAAACTCTTGAGATTTGTTCAAGAAGTTGACCTGCAGTCTCTGCCTAAGAGATTTAAGTAGCCCTAAAACGCTTAATCCATTCATCATTAAGTAGCCAATGACCATTATGTGATCTGGGGGCTTGCTTTCTATTCAGAGAGACAAAACTAGCAAACGTTCGACAATTATAAAATTGACTAAGCTGGCAAATCTTTAAAACTAACTAGACAGGTGCAATTCAGAGAAGACCACTAATGGCTGAAATGGTTGGCAAGGTTTCTTGGTGACAGGCTTTGATGTGGACTTTATTTATTTATTTATTTTTTGAGACAGAGCCTCACTCTGTCACCCAGGCTGGAGTGCAGTGGCACAATCTTGGCTCACTACAACCTCTGCCTCCCGGGTTCAAGCAATTCTCTGCCTCAGCTTCCCGAGTAGCTGGAATTACAGGCGCCCGACACCATGCCGAGCCAATTTTTGTATTTTTAGTAGAGACGGGTTTCACCATCTTGGCCAGGCTGGTCTTGAACTCCTGACCTCATGATCCACCTGCCTCGGCCTCCCAAAGTTTTGGGATTACGAACGTGAGCCACCACGCCCGGCCTGATGTGGACTTTAAAGCAGAACTTGCAAGATTTTTGCCCCTCATTGTGATGACCATAGTGTTTTGGTTTTTTTTTTCCAAAAAATTGGGAGCTTTCACATAAAAATCCCAATTTTTGAGGTGTCATGAAAAACTACAAAACTCAGCTTGTATTCCCACTACTGACAAGGGCTATCGCTGAGGCAGCTGACCTCTCAGACACTATAAGCCCTGGGCTCAACACATAGCCAATCCCATTACCCACCTGGCTCCTTAGGCAGTGGGTTTTCTTCCCTTACTTTAGGAGGAAGGATAAAGGCAGCCCAGAAAGGAGAACTGGACAGAGAAGTGAAGATGAGTGGGTATGTCATGAGGTGAGAGATAATGTTGAGACGTTTATAACTAGAACAGAGTTTTCATGTGAGGATAAGGTTCAGTCCCCATTTAAATCAATTAGCTCTGCAGTTGGGGGAGAATCTGCTCCCTAGGCCAAAACACCTATTTGAAATTAGCAGAAGAATCTGGTGACAGCCAGTGCAGCCATTTCAATAAATAAACCAAAAATAAACTGTGCATTGCTGCTGATGGACTTAAGATGCCAATTTTCTATATAAAGGGTGACACACTCAACTTCCTTCTATTCATTACATTTTGGCATACTTAAAAACTAACACACATTTTTCTTTCTTTTTTTTTTTTTTTTTGAGACGGAGTTTTGCTCTTGTTGCCCAGGCTGGAGTGCAATAGCGTGATCTCTGCTCACTGCAACCTCTGCCTCCCAAGTTCAAGCGATTCCCCTGCCTCAGCCTCCCAAGCAGCTGGGACTACAGGCATGTGTCACCACGTCTGGCTAATTCTGTATTTCTTAGTAGAGACGGGGTTTCTCCATGTTGGTCAGGCTGGTCTGGAACTCCCAACCTCAGATGATCTGCCCGCCTCAGCCTCCCAAAGTGCTAGGATTAGAGGCATGAGCGACTGTGCCCAGCCAAAAACACATATTAAGATTTGAAATTTACATTAAAATATAATAGATTATAAGTTTATCATAAATTATAATTTGTATTGCATAATTACATCTCACTTGTTTTTACTTAACTCCATTATGTAGTGCTGGTAGTAAGCAATATTGAGGCAGAATAGGGTCTGGAGGCGGGGAACCTAAGGCAGATTTGTGCTGACTTCCTAGAACTGAATCAAGAGGATCAGACTGTACTCCCTTTGGCTCCACAGTCTTCATTCAGAACTTTACTTCAGCCTCTGATTGGTCACCTCCTACAACCAATCAGACTGGTCGTGGGCCACTCCTTAATTTACATACAGTATAAGCAAGTAACCAATGGGAAACCTCTAGAGGGTATTTAAACCCCAGAAAATCCTGTAACCAGCACTCTTGAGCCCCTTGCTTGAGCCTGCTTACACTCTGTGGAGTGTACTTTTTGTTTCAATAAATGTGTGCTTTCATTGCTTCATTTTTTTGCTTTGTGCATTTTGTCCAATTATTTGTTCAAAACGCCAAGAACCTGTCAACTCATAGTCAAAACCTTTCACCGGTAACAATATGGTTGCCTCGCATGCTTTTTGTCCTAGGCAAGTCTGTGCCTCACTTAGTTTTTGTTTTGTTTGAGACAAGGTTTTACTCCTGTCGCCCAGGCTGGAGTGCAGTGGTGTGATCTCGGCTCACTGCAACCTCTGCCTCCGGGGTTCAAGAGATTCTCCTGCCTCAGCCTCCCAAGTAGCTGGGACTACCGGTGCATGCCACCACACCTGGCTAATTTTTATAGTTTTTGTAGAAACAGGGTTTCACCATGTTGCCCAGGCTGGTCCCAAACTCATGGGCTCAAGTGATCCACCCACCTTGGCCTCCCAAAGTGCTAGGATTACAGGCATGAGCCACTGTGCCCAGCTCTATTTGGTTTTATTGTATTCCAACTCTCACCCTCTTCTTGCTCTGGATTTGGCCTTCATTGCCTTCATGGTCTTCCATTGTTCATTTTCACAATTAAGCCCCAATTAGCCCACGATATGCAAAGGTTCTGTGAAAAAAAAGAGCCCCATCACAGCCTGGCAATCAACCCTAATAAAAGGTAAAAGGATTCTGAGGGATGTGTTTGGCTTGGAGAGTAACAATTTAAATTTGTAAAATGTGCCTGAGTACAAAGGAGGTTAAAAAGCACTACCCAGTGTTCCTAATATATATTCATTTGAAGAGCTGCTTTTCAAACCACAGGCTCTTGGCCTATTCTTCATTAACCCTATTTTCTTTTTCTGTTTTGAGTCAGAGTCTCACTCTGTCACCTAGGCTGCAGTTCAGGGGCACAATCTCAGCTCACTTGCAACCTCCACCTCCTGGGTTCAAGCGATTCTCATTGCCTCAGGCTTTCGAGTAGCTGGGATTATGGGTGCCTGCCACCAAGCCAGGCTAATATTTTGTATTTTTAGTAGAGATGGGGTTTCACTATGTTGACCAGGCTGGGCTTGAACTCCTGACCTCAGGTGATCCGCCTGCCTCAGCCTCCCAAAGTGTTGGGATTACAGGTGTGAGCCACTGTGCCCAGCTTTCATTAACCCTGTTTTCTGTTAAATACCCATAGAAAAATAATTGCTAATCCGTTCCTTTTAGTTCAAGTTCGCCATACTATGATGATATTTAGCACCACCCAGTGGCAATTTTTTCTTATGTTCTTGGGAATAAATAGCAACTTTGCAAACTCTTGATCCCAAAAGAGAATACCTCAATCAATAGAAACAAGAAAAAAGGTGCAAATCAAACTAAATTTCATTTTTAAAAAGTCATCTACTTTAAGAGTTCAGATCATTTTAAGGTTGTTTTCCTGGCCTCCTGTCTCCTTAAAGACAAATAGCTAGGCCTGGTGCAGTGGTTCACACCTGTAATCCCAGTACTTTGGGGGGCCAAGGTGGATCACTTGAGCCCAGGAGTTCAAGACCAGTTCAAGACAACATAGTGAGACCCTGTCTCTACAAAAAAATTTAAAAATTAGCCAGGTATGGTGGTGCATTCCTGTAGTTCCAGCAATTTGGGAAGCTGAGTTGGAAGGACTGCTCGAGCCCAGGAGTTCGAGGCCACAGTAAGCTATGATTGCACCACTGCATTCCAGCCTGGGGGACAGAGCAAGACCCTGTCTCAAAAAAAAGGACGAATAGCTTAAGTAGTTAAACAAAAACAACAATAAAGAAATTTTTCAAAAATTCTCCTTTTATTCTCTAGTTATAAACATGTACTCACTTTCAAATAAAATTCTATATTAGAAGGAAAGGTCTCTTTGTAAGGCATAGTATTGACTTTTTCTTATGAGAAAACAGGAAATATCATTAGTGCTTTTAAAAAACTGAAAGCGTGAGAGAAAAATCAGGGCTCTATCTAGAGAAGTCTAATTGTTTCTCTACAAAAACCAACTGGAATACAGGATAGCTCTGTCCTATAGCAACCTAAACCAGCACCTCCCTTGATGTGCATATAGAAAATCTATGTCTTGTGGCCGGGCATGGTAGCTCATGCCTGTAATCGCAGTACCTTGGGAGGCCAAGGTGGGCGGATCACAAGGTCAGGAGATCAAGACCATCCTAGCTAACACAGTGAAACCCCGTCTCTACTAAAGATACAAAAATTAGCCGGGCATGGTGGCGGGTGCCTATAGTCCCAGCTACTCGGGAGGCTGAGGTAGGAGAATGGCGTGAACCCGGGAGGTGGAGCTTGCAGTAAGCCGAGCTCACACCACTGCGCTTCAGCCTGGGCTACAGAGCGAGACTCCGTCTCAAAAAAAAAAAAAAAAAAGAAACAAAATATATGTCTTAACCAACTTGGAAGAAAAACAAAATTCTGTGTGTGGAAATATATTTTTTCAAGTTATTCTTCTTTCAACCTGGATTCAGCCTCAGGCTGCTGCTGACATCAGTGATCCTCTCTGGGGTGAGGCTGGAGGGCTTGCATTGCACTGGAAGGGCATGAGGCACACCTACTGCCACAGCAGAGAATCAAAGGACCATAACTGTCCCTTGGGGGGTTGAAGAATTCTTTAAAGTGTGAATATTTGGGGAACACAGACCAAGGCTGTGCCCTGATTTTCCCTTTCTGAAAGTCACACTTTAACTAAAATATTTCTGTTCTACAAATTTCCATATATCAAAAAAAAGCTGTAGAATTTAATTCATAGTGTCTTCTCAAAAGGAAGAGGAAAACAAAAACAGTTCTTCGTAGGAGTCTTTTATTTTTTGGTGTCTTAAATGTCAATGATCACAAAAACTTCCGGGTTCTCTTCATTATAGACCTGCATTGCTGAATATGTTATTGCTTTGACTTCTGTTCCCTAAAGTTGGGGTTAGAGAAAAAAAAAAAAAAAAGGAAAATAGGATATTGAAATCATAATCATTAACTCTAGCAACAATCAGCAGAAAGTAAAAATTTTAGTATTTTGAAAATGAAAAACTCACATGAAACAATTAGTTATCAAATTAGGAGAATATACAGGGATCCAAGAAAAATGAGAGGCAACACATGCACAATGGAGTTGGGACATGGAACTCTAATCCTGGCTTTGTTTCCACCTGGGTGTATAGAAATTGTCTGGCCTGTCTGGACATCAGTTTTTCATTTATAAAATGGGTTAAATCACATAAAGACACATCCATGGGTATGTTCACTGCAGCACTATTCACAATAGCAAAGACATAGAATCAATCCACATGCCCATCAATGGTAGACTGGATAAAGAAAATGTGACACACATACACCATAGAATACTACACAGCCATAAAAAAGAATGAGATCATGTTCTTTGCAACAACGTGGATGGAGCTGGAGGCCATTATCCTAAGTGAATTCATGCAGGAGCAGAAAATCAAATACCATGTTTCCATATATTTATTTGGGACATAAACATTGAGTACACATGAACACAAAGAGGGAAACAAGACACCGGGTCTATTTGAGAGTTGGGGGAGGGTGAGGATTGAAAAACTGCCTATCAGGTATTATGCTGATTACCTAGGTGACAAAATTATCTGTACACTAAACCCCCACAACATGCAATTTACCCATGTAACAAACTCGTATATGTACCCCATGAACCTAAAAATAAAAGTTGGAAAGAAAAAAAAGTAAAAAACTTTTGAGGATGATTAAAAAAAAAAAAAGAAAATGGGTTGAATCAAAGAACACAAGCTTTTCTACTATTTGGCTCAGGGCTCTTTCTGAAATCAAAACCACCTCCTTATACTCTGACCTAGGCCCTAGGAATTCAACTTATTCTCTTTTCCTCAGTTGACAACACTCACTTCACCTCTTGGGACTCTTCTCTTTCCAAGTCTAGCTGAAGAATAAGATATAGTTTCCCAGGTCAAAAGCTCTCCACACGTCTCTGATACATGACATTGCCCAACCCTGCCCCAGTTTAAAACCACAGAATTAGATGTTCTCTTAGGTTCTTTCCAGCTCCAAAAGGAATCTACAATAATTCTGTGCACCATAAAATGTACCAGGCAATAGGTAAATGGCATTTGCTAGCTCTACACCACACAAAAAAAGGAAGATTTCACAGAAGGATATAAGTGGCACTGCCACTGCTTTTTCTCCTCTGCCACAATCACCTGGCAAAACCACAACCTAATTCAAGTTCAACTGTCTGCTTATGGCAGCACACACCATGCTAACTGGTATCACCCTGAGTGTATGTCCACACATCTCAAACAGGAATTCAGTACTCGCAGTAAAATCTTACAATTACCAATAAATTCCCTTTTTCACTCTCTGAGACAATTCTTTCTCTTCTCCTCTAGTGATCATTCCTCCCTCATTCTCACTCTCAATCAACTGTGCTTCCTAGAGAAAGTAAGAGCAACTCAGTAAGAACTGACTCATTTTCCTACCACCAAATCTACCATCATGCTGTATCTGTACTCACCTTAGCCTGATTGCAATGAATGGCTTGTCCCTGGCTCCCATCAGAAGGCCAACTCCCATACGTGAGTACTTGATCCTATACTCCCCTTACCAAATTTTACCAAAGAGGCTGTGGCCCTATCTCTACAACCTTGTCTCCTACTATTACACCTTCACTCTCAGCTCCAGCTTGCTGTTCCCTGAACTTACCTCATTTCAGGGCCTTTACACCTGTTTCTTCACCTAGAAAGTTCTTCCTTATTTCTGCTCACTCCTCATCTCTCTTGCCTCTGCTCAAATATCACTTTCTCAAACATACTGATATATTTTGGCTGTGTCCCCACCCAAATCTCATCTTGAACTGTAGTGCTCATAATCTCCACGTGTTGTGGGAGGGAGGGAGCAGGTGGAGATCATTGAATCACGGGGGCGGTTTCCACCATGCTGTTCTAGTGATAGTGCGTGAGTTTTCAGGAGATCTGATGGTTTTCTAAGGGGCTTCCCCCTTCGCTCAGCACTCACTTCTCTTCCTGCCACAATGTGAAGAAGGAAGGGTTTGCTTCCCCCTCCACCATGATTGTAAGTTTCCTGAGGTCTCCCCAGCCATGCTGAACTATGAATCAATTAAGCCCCTTTCCTTTATAAATTACCCAGTCTCGGGTATGTCTTTATCAGCAGCGTGAGAATGGGTTAATAAACATATATTTTCTGACTACCCCCTCCCCTCCTCCAACCACTCTTACCTTATCCTGATGGCACTGTTCACTATCTGAAATTATATTATGTGTTTACATGTTTGTCTGGCTCACTTCTCCCACTACATTTTAAACTCAGTAAGGGCAGAGACTTCGCTTATCCTATTACATTTCTACCTCGAGTGCATAAAAAAAAGTCTGAAACACTGGAGGCACTTGATAAGTATTTGCTGAATGCATGCATAAATTCATGGATGGATGGCATATGGATTCATGGAGAGAAGGTAAAGACAGTATTAAAACCAGGAAGGTATTTTTAAACCAAGAAATATTCCAGGAACCAGATGTTTTAATAAGCTATTTGTAAAACATTCCTTTTTGCTTTGAAAAGTTGATTGGCTGGGCCCAGTGGCTCATGCCTGTAATCTCAGCACTTTGGGAGGCCGAGGCAGGTGGATCACCTGAAGTCAGGAGTTTGAGACCAGCCTGACCAACATGGTGAAACCCCACCTCTACTAAAAATACAAAAATTAGCCGGCTGTGGTGGCATACACCTGTAATCCCAGCTACTCAGGAGGCAGAGACAGGAGAATCGCTTGAACCTGGGAGGTGGAGGTTGCAGTGAGCTGAGATTACACCACTGCACTCCAGCCTGGGCAACAGAGTAAGACTCCATCTCAAAAAAAAAAAAAGAGTTATTTGATCATTCATTCAAAAAATAAGAAGTAGCTGGGTGCAGTGGCTCACGCTTATAATCCCAGCACTTTGGGAGGCCAAGGTGGGTGGATCACCTGAGGTCGGGAGTTCGAAACCAGCCTGGCCAACATGGTGAAACCCAGTCTCTACTAAAATACAAAAATTAGCCTGGCATGGTTGCATGGGCCTGTAATCCCAGCTACTCGGGAGGCTGAGACACGAGAATCGCTTGAACCTGGGAGGGGGAGGTTGCAGTGAGTAGAGGTCACGTCACTGCACTCCAGCCTGGGTGACAGGGTGAGACTGTCTCAAAAAAAAAAAGAAAGAATAATAATAATAAAAAAAACTGTTGGCTGGGCGCGATGGCTCACGCCTCTTTTGGGAGGCTGAGGTAGGTAAATCACCTGAGCTCAGGAGTTCGAGATCAGCCTGGCCAACATGGTGAAACCCCATCTCTACTAAAAATACAAAAAATTAGCCAGGTATGGCGTCATGTGCCTGTAATCACAGCTACTTGTGAGGCTGAGGCAGGAGAATCGCTTGAACCTGGGAGGCGGAGGTTGCAGTGAGCTGAGATCGTGCCACTGCACTCCAGCCTGGGCAATAGCATGAGACTCCGTCTCAAAAACAAAACAAAACAAAACAAAACAAAACAAAACAAAAACTGTTAGGAGTACCAAGCTGGAATTGGTGGTGTGCACCTGTAAGCTCAGCTACTCAGGAGACTGAAGTGGGGGGATTGCTTGAGACTAGGAGTTTCGGATCAGCCTGGGCAACACAGCAAGGCACTGTCTCACATAAACAAAAACTCTTAGGAATAAATGAAATTAATTTGCTCACAATCCATTCTGAACACTTCCAATGACAAATATGAATTTAGAATACAGTTATGTGCCGCATAACATTTTGGTCAATGACTAACTGCATATATGATGGTGGTCTGAGAAGATTATAATGCTGTTTCTTTTTTTTTTTTTTAGATGGAGTTTTGCTCTTGTCGCCCAGGCTGGAGTGTGCAATGGCGTGATCTCCGCTCACTGCAACCTCTGCCTCCCAGGTTCAAGCGATTCTCCTGCCTCAGCCTCCCGAATAGCTGGGATTACAAGCGCCCGCCACCGCACCCAGCTAATTTTTGTATTTTTAGTAGAGATGGGGTTTCACCACGTTGGCCGGGCTGGTCTAGAACTCCTGACTTCAGGTGATTCACCCACCTCGGCCTCCCAAAATGCGGGGATTACAGGCGTGAACCACCACGCCGGGCCTATAATACTGTATTTTTACTATACCTTTTTTTGGTATTTAGAAATATAAATACACAAATATTTACCAATGTGTAACAACTGCCTATAGTATTCAGTATAGTAACATGCTGTACAGGTTCATAGCCTAGGAGCAATAGGCTATACCATATAGCATAGGTTATAGCATCTAGGTTTGTGTAAGTACACTCCATGATGTTTGCACAATGATGTAATCGCCTAAAGATGCATTTCTCAGAATGTATCCCAGTAGTTAAGTGACCTGTCTGTATCTGGCCTAAACACAGGGGTCAGCAAAATATATATAGCCCACAGGCCAAATTGCCTCTTTTTGTACAGTCCCATAAAGTAAGAGTGATTTTTACATCTTTATTTATTTACTTTTATTTTATTTTTTTGAGACCAGTCTCGCTCTGTCACCCAGGCTGGAGTGCAGTGGCATGATCTCGGCTCACTGCAACCTCTGCCACCCAGGTTAAAGTGATTCTCCTGCCTCAGCCTCCTGAGCAGCTAGGATTACAGGCGCGTGCCACCACGCCCAGCTAATTTTTGTATTTTTAGTAGAGGCTAGGTTTCACTATGTTGGCCAGGCTGGTCTCAAACTCCTGACCTAAAGCGATCTGCCTGCCTTGGCCTCCCAAAGTGCTGGGATTACAGGTCTGAGCCACCATGCCTGCCCTGATTTTTACATTTTTAAATGGTTGGGGAAAAAAATCAAAACAATGACATTTTGTTACATTTGAAAATGATAAGAAATTCAAATTTCAATGGGCATAAATAAGTTTTACTAGAATACAAGTGAACTCATTCATTTAAGTATTATCTATGGCTACTTTGGTGCTACAACAGAAGCACTGAGTAGCTGCTCTTCTGTCATTCTGGGCCCACAAATCTTAAAACATTTATTATCTGTCCATTTTACAGAAAAAAACTGCCAACTCCTGTTCCAATAGATTTTCCTACCATAGAGTGAGGCCATACAGGTCGGCAAATACAGAATCTAGAGACACACAGAAAGTAGAAGGCACAATAGAGAACATCTAGTCCAACATCTTTATTATAGGAGAAGAAATAAAGGTCAAAAAGGCAAAGAGAATTTCAAATTCCACAATAATCTGAACAAACTTGACCCTAGAACCCAATGCTGACGCCTCATCCACTAAATCAGGTGTGTATAATCACAGTATTTTAACAAAATATATCCAGACAGGTCAGAGAAGCTTGAGAAAAACTTATCACTTTACACCAGTTAGAACTAACTGAAGTTGATTGTCACATATATGAACTTTATGGTAAGGAAATTTTTCATGTTCTTAATGGCTGGATTTTAAAACATACCTGAGGGTGCTTGGACAATGAAAATTCTTCTCCCCACCTTGAGAATACAAATTAAAACATGATTAAGATTTGTTCTCTCTTTATATGTTTTAAAATAAGCCTTGTAAATGTGGTTAACATGCTAGAAAGCCAAAAGAGACAGGAGGGGGTCAGGGAGCTGTTAAGTTTCATTTTCATTTGTCAGAAGATACAGCTGTTGAGGGACGTGTGTGCAGTGTCATCATTTGCTCTCAAGGTTGATAGTTAAGGCCAGGTGCGGTGGCTCATACCTATAATCCTGGCACTTCCGGAGGCCAAAGGGAGGATCGCTTGAGCCCAGGAGTTTGAGAACAGCCTGAGCAACATAGGGAGACCTCATCTGTACACAAAATTAAAAAAATAAAAAAAGTTAGCTGGGTGTGGTGGCACATGCCTGTGGTCCCAGCCACTCACGAGGAGGAGGCAGGAAGATTGCTTGAGCCCAGAAGTCAAGGCTGCAGTGAGCTGTGATTGCACCACCGCACTCTAGCCTGGGTGTCAGGGCAAGACTGTGTTTCAAAAGAATTTTTAATTATAGGCCAGGCGCGGTGGCTCATGCCTGTAACCCCAGCACTTTGGGAGGCCGAAGCAGGTGGATCATCTGAGGTCGGCAGTTGAGGTCGGCAGTTTGAGACCAGCCTGACCAACATGGAAAAACCCTGTCTCTACTAAAAACACAAAATTAGCCGGGCGTGGTGGCGCATGTCTGTAATCCCAGCTACTTGGGAGGCAGAGGCAGGAGAATCGCTTGAACCCAGGAGGTGGAGGTTGCAGTGAGCCAAGATCGCGCCACTGCACTCCACCCTAGGCAACAGAGCGAAATGAAAAAGGTCAGGCGCGGTGGCTCATGCCTGTAATCCCAGCACTTTGGGAGGCCGAGGTAGGCGGATCACCTGAGGTCAGGAGTTCAAGACCAGCCTGGCCAACATGATGAAACTCTGTCTCTACTAAAAATACAAAAATTAGCCAGGCGTGGTGGTAGGCACCTGTAATCCGAACTACTCAGGAGGCTGAGGCAGGAGAATCGCTTGAGCCAGGAGGCGGAGATTGCAGTGAGCTGAGATCATGCCACTGCACTCCAGCCTGGGCAACAGAGCGAGACTCTGTCTCAAAAAAAAAAAAAAATTTAATTCTAGTGGCCAGGCACAGTGGCTCCCACCTGTAATCCCAGCACTTTGGGAGGCAGAGGTAGATGAATCCAGGAGTTCAAGACCAGCCTGGCCAACATGGTGAGAACTCGTCTCTACTAAAAATACAAAAATTAGGCAGGCATGGTTCCATGCGCCCGTGGTCCCACCTACTCGGGAGGCTGAGGCACAAGAATGGTTTGAATCTGGGAGGCGGACATTGCAGTGAACCAAGATCACATCATTGCACTCCCAGCCTGGGCAACAGAGTGAGACTGTCTAAAAAACAAACAAACAAAAAATTAATTTTAAAAACTTTAAAAAAAGGTTGATAGTTGATCTCAAAATAAATGTGCCCCAATATAGTGTACCTATGGTGGAATCTCAATAAACATTGTTTAGTAAATATTGTTTCAAAACAGAGTAGTAACATATTCAAAATTTTTACTATCCTCAGTTATGAAACTAGTTAAGTAGGCTGGGTGCGGTGGCTCACACCTGTAATCTCAGCACTTTGGGAGACTGAGGCAGGAAGATAGCTTGAGCTCAGGGGTTTGAGACCAGCCTGGGCAATGTAGCGAGACCCTGTCTCTACAAAAGATTAAAAAAAAAAATTAGCCAGGCATGGTGGCATATGTCTGTTGTCCTAGCTAGGTGGGAGGTTGAGGTAGGAGGATTGCTTGAGCCCAAAAGGTCATGGCTGCAGTGAGCCATGATCATGCCACTGCACTCCAGGCTGAGAGACAAAGCAAAACCCTCTCTCAAAACAAAAACAACAAAAACAAAACAAAAAAGAAAAACAAAAACTAATTAAATAATACCTCCCACTGGAGAAAGCAAGTCTGAGTACCACAAAGGCAAAATACTAGACTCTATAATACAGTCCGAACTTGGTTTACACTTTACAACTTTTCCAAAAATATCCATGATCTGTATATAGAAGGCCCTAGAAAAGTAATCTAGAACTTAGGATCAGTCTCCTCTCTGTCTTTGACACTAATGTGAGTGAAGATCACAACGTGGTATAATAGAAAGAGCAAAGCTTTAAAATTCTGTTCAAACACTTATTAGCTAGTACTTTTGGACATGCTTGTTTCTTTTTTTTTTTTTTTTTTTTTTGAGCCAGAGTCTCGCGCTGTTGCCAGGCTGGAGTGCAGTGGCACAATCTTGGCTCACTGCAACCTCTGCCTCCTGGGTTCAAGCGATTCTCCTGCCTCAGCCTCCTGAGTAGTTCAGATTACAGGTGCCCACCACCACACCTGGCTAATTTTTGTATTTTTAGTAGGGATGGGGTTCCACCATGTTGGCTAGGATGGTCTCAATCTCTTGACCTCCTGATCTGCCCGCCTCGGCCTCCCAAAGTGCTGGGATTACAGGCGTGAGCCACTGCACCCAGCAAGCCTGTTTCTTTACTCATTAAAAAACAACAAAAAACAAAACAAAACAAAAACACAGAGAAGATAATAAAAGATCTCACTTTACAAAAAGAAGTGAATGAAATTCAATATAAAATGGGGCCACAGGAGTTAGAGACCAGCCTAGCAACATAGCAAGACCCCATCTCTATAAAAAATTAAAAATTAGCTGAGATTAGCCAGGCATGGTGGCAGGCGCCTGTAATCCCAGCTACTCAGGAGGCTCAGGCAGGAGAATCGCTTGAACTCTGGAGGCAGAGGTTGCAGCGAGCCAAGACTGCACCACTGCCCTCCAGCCTGGGCAACAGAGCAAGACTCTGTCTCAACAACAACAAATTAGCTGGGCATGGTAGTGCGCACCTGTAGTCCCAGCTACTTGGGAGGCTGAGAAAGGAGGATCACTTGAACCCAGGAGTTCAAAGCTGCAGTGAGCCATGATTACACCACTGCACTCCAGCCTGGGGGACAGGGCAAGACCCTGTCTCAAATCAATCAATCAATCAATCAAATTAAATTAAATTAAATGGAGCCGGGCGTGGTGGTATGCACCTGTTGTCCCAGCTACTCAGGAGGCCAAGGCAGGAGGATCACTTGAGCCCAGGAGTTTGAGGATGCCTGGGCAACATAGTGAATGAGAACCCATTTCTAAAAAAATAAATGAGGCCGGGCACAGTGGCTCAAGCCTGTAATCTCGACACTTTGGGAGGGCTGATGCGGGCAGATCACCTGAGGTCAGGAGCTTCAGACCAGCCTGGCCAACACAGTGAAACCCCGTCTATACTAAAAATACAAAAAATTAGCCAGGCGTGGTAGCAGGCGCGTATAATCTCAGCTACTCGGGAGGCTGAGGCAGAAGAATCGCTTGAACCCAGGAGGTGGAGGTTGCAGTGAGCTGAGATCACACACTCCAGCCTGAGCAACAGAGCGAGACTCTGTCTCAAAAATAAATAAATAAATAATAAATGAAAATAAAATAAAAAAGCTATATGTAAAAGTAACCTAGGAGGGCCAGGCACAGTGGCTCATGCCTATTACCTCAGCACTTTGGGAGGCAGAGGCCAGAGGACTGCTTGAGCCCAGGAGTTTGAGACCAGCCTGGGCAACATGGGGAGACCCCATCTCTTCAGAAAACAAAAAAGTCAGCCAGGCATAGTGGCACACTTGGTGGTCCCAGCTATTCAGGAGGCTGAGGTGGGAGGATCCCTTGAGCCCAGGAGGCTGAAGCTGCAGTGAGCCATGACCACACCACTGTACTCCAGCCTGGGAGACAGAACAAGACCCTGTATCAAAAAAAAAAAAAAAGAAAAAAAAGAAAAAACCTAAAAAATATAATTAAGTGACTAAAGAAACCTGAGAAACAAGTCCAATCAAAGTGACCTAATCAAGTGTTTGCAAACTCTGGAAGGAAAATAAAAGTACGATTTGTTAAAAGAAGGAATTGATTTAAATAGGTCTAGAAGTGAGAACATATGAGAAAAAAAGTGTCAGTGTTTCCCATCCACTAAGCTGGGCTTTATGCTGTGCCATTTAGCAATTACACATATTCTCTCCCTAAAAAATCAACAAATTGGGAATCAGATTTAACAATTAAAATCAACTTTATTTTGTTAAGTTTCTGGTCCTTCCAAGCCCTTAGACATCCCACAAAACTCAATCTGCAAGTGGCCCTCTGATTTATGTTTCCATCTGTTTCCTTGCTCATTGAATTCAATGAAGAATATAACTTTAACTCGGTACTTAAAAGACTTTCAAAACTTACCCAATTGATCGTAATTTGAAATTTCTTTGATCAATGCTAAGTACTTTCACTTCCTAGACAGGAAGAAAAATTTTTTAATTAAAAAAAGTTCATAATAGACTATCTACTAAAAATCTTTTTGTTCTGTTTTGTTTTTTTGGACCATCTACTAAAAATTGGTAAAACCTTTTTTTTTTTTTTTTTTTTTTTTTTTGAGATGGAGCCTTACTCCATCGCCCAGGCTGGAGTACAGTGGCGTGATCTCGGCTCACTGCAACCTCCACCTCCCAGGTTCAAGCAATTCTCCTGTCTCAACCTGCTGAGCATCTGGGACTACAGGCGCCTGCCACCACGCCCGGCCAATCAATTTTTTTTGTATTTTTAGTAGAGACGGGGTTTCACCTTATTGGTCAGACTGGTCTCGAACTCCTGACCTCAGGTGATCCACCTGCCTCGGCTTCCCAAAGTGCTGGGATTACAGGCGTAAGCCACCGCGCCTGGCCTTTACAACCTTTTCTAGAAAACAATAGCACACAACTTCTGTGAAGCAAAGAAAATTAAAATGTTAGCTAAAATAGGACAACAAATGAGATATATATGTATGCAGTTTTTTTTGTTTGTTTGTTTGAGACAAGGTTTCACTCTGTTGCCCAGTCTGGAGTGCCATGGCATGATCTTGGCTCACTGCAACCTTCACCTCCCGAGCTCAAGCAATCCTCCCACCTCAGCCTCTGGAGTAGCTGGGACCACAGGCATGTGCCACTGCGCCCAGATAATTATTGTTTTTTTGTTTTTTTTGAGACAGGGAGTTTCGCCATGTTGCCCAAGCTGAGTATTAAATATATTTCAAGGAAATAAGTTTTTTCTTACATATTCAAGGGAGGTATTCTAGAAAAATGTAAGATCTAAAAATATGAGTCAAAAGAATTTCTCTGCAAGATATATGGTAGAGAACTACTCTGGGCACACAGGGGCAGTACCTCTGCCGCTGCTGTACACTGCCACTTCAATAAAAGCTGTTGTTTAACGCTGGGGGAAAACAGATATATGGTGGAGGAGGACGACATAGGATTTCAATCACTCTGAGCCTAATAAACTACTGGTAGGCACTTGAATTCTGTAGGATGAGTGACTCAGTTGATAGAATGAGTATAAGTAGTGAAGCTGGTAAAGCAGAGAATGGAGGAATTATAAAAGCAGAGAGTGCCATCTCTATTAAATAACAATGACATTGCAGATGTGTTCCCTTCTAAAGGATGACAGCAGCAAGCAATCTCCATTTGGCTTTTCCTTTTTTCATGTTAAGGAAAACTAAAAGCTGCAGTTGTTTAACTTAGGCCAATGTGACAGGGCTACTAAATTTCATGGAACAAAAGGAAAAAATGGATGGACATAAATATAGCTCAAACTTGGGAAACATAAAAAGTGTGGATGAGGCTGCGTGCAATGCTCACACCTGTAATCCCAGCACTTTGCAAAATTGAGGCAGGAGGATTGCCGGAAGCTAGGAGTTCAAGACTAGCCTCGACAACATAGCAACACCCTGTCTCTATCAAAAACAAAAACAGAAAAAAATGTGGATGAAAACTGTAGGTACATTTTTATCACACAATCCTGATTAGTGACAAATACATGAGATCTAAATACGAAATGTTCCCACATAGGCAAATGCAGGTTAACCAGGAAGTGCCCGTGGTCATTATAATCTCTGCAAATCAGTATCATCTTATTTGTATGGATTGGTTTTGTTTCACATGTCCTATTTTAAATCATCTGTTCTATTTTAAAATATGAACTAAGAATCCATTTGCTCAGTAAAAAAGAAAAACCTTTGCTTACCCGGGGTATGAAGAATTCATCAGCACTGAACTTATAAAGCCATTCATCCAAAAAGTGAAACAGAAGAGACTGTAAGTCATCTCCTACACAAGATCAAATAGTATATTTAATAATTCTGGTCTCTAAAAACATACTTGAATTTAAAAGTGCAATAAATAAATGTCTTAGGTCAGTTTAAAGAGAAAGAAAAGACTCATCCTTAATTTTCTGGTTCTTTTTGTGAAAATATACTCAGATTATGTAGAATACTGCACAATTCTATACAGTACTGTATAACAATTTCTTCCTTGTGAATAAATCATTTACCTTGGGTTTCTACTTCTACTGTTTGGAGGGGCTCCACTGTCCCAGTATCTGTCATGTAACCAAACATGGCCATTGCACATTGCTCAAATGCTTCCTCCAGAGTATCTCCCCATGCGTGTAACCTAAAGAAGTATATTCATGCTCTGTGTAATACAATCCACTGCAAGAAAGAAAATTTGATAGCAGGCAAAGTCAAAATAAATTCAGTATGATAAATACAAATTTTAAGGCCTCAATCAATTTAACAGCACTGCAACCAGGTGCTTTTCTTTTTATTATTTATTTATGATTTTTTAGACTGAGTCTCACTCTGTTGCCCAAGCTGGAGTGCAGTAGTGCGATCTCGGGTCACTGCAACCTCTGCCTCCTGGGTTCAAGCAATTCTCCTGCCTCAGCCTCACAAGTAGCTGGGATTACAGGCAGGCACCACCAGACCCGGCTAATTTTTGTATTTTTAGTAGAGACGGGGTTTTACCATGTTGGTCAGGCTGGTCTCGAACTCCTGACCTCATGATCCGTCCGCCTCAGCCTCCCAAAGTGCTGGGATTACAGGCGTTGAGCCACCACACCCGGCCTTATTTTTATTTTTTATTTTTTGAGATGGGGTCTCTCTGTCACCCAGGCTGGGGTGCAGTGGTGCAATCTCGGCTCACTGAGCCACTGAACCCTGCAAAACTGAGTGCTTTCAAACCATCATTTTCATATTGTGAAGGAACCAAAATGAGAGGAGAAAAATTAAAGATAGGGATACCAAGATTGAAACATTCAGTCTTCCTACTGACGTGGTTTCAAAGGAATGAACTCCCGCTATACTCACTGGACATCTGCTGTATGATCCAAATCTGAGGGACAGAGGGAAAAACACTTATAAGACACTAAACTTGACTCTCAAATCACACACACAAAATAACTCTAGTCCATTATTATTAGGAATATCATCTTTAAAGAGCAAGAAAATGTGGGCCAGTCCATCCACACCTTTTGCTATCTATTCACTCAACAAAGCTAATTGCTTTGCTTTGTTGGAATCTTTTTTTTTTTGCGGGGACAGAGAGCCAAGATCGCGCCACTGCACTCCAGCCTGGGCAACAGAGCAAGACTCCATCTCAAAAATAAATAAATAAATAAATAAAATTCCAGGTTTCTGTCTCACCTTTTCTTTTACAGTGAACCTAATCCTAGATAAAATCAATTTAGAAAATAAACTCCACAATATATGAGCTTTTTCCTGATATTCCCACAGGAAAACCAGAAAGTAACAAACGGTACTATAGCACATTCCCATTGGATCTCTCCTCTCAACATTCTTCATCCATATCATGACTCTTTTTTTTTTTTTTAGTTGGAGTTTCACTCTGTCACCCAGGCTGGAGTACAGTGGCGCGATCTTGGCTCACTGCAGCCTCTGCCTCCAGGGTTCAAGTGATTCTCCTGCCTCAGCCTCCTGAGTAGCTGGGATTACAGGCGCACACCACCACACCCAGCTAATTTTTGTATTTTTAGTAGAGATGGGGTTTCACCATGTTGGCCAGACTGCTCTTGAACTCTTGACCTCAGGTGATCCGCCCACCTAGGCCTCCCAAAGTGCTGGGATCACAGACAGGCGTGAGCCACTGCGCCTGGCCCACAACATGACTTTCATCAATTCTTCCCACTTAGGATCATAGAATATTAGGGCTGGAAGGAATTCCTGGAGATCATGAATATGATTCCTTCACTTGGAACTGCCTTTGCAAAATTATAACTAAGGAAATTATGACAGTGAAAGAAATCGGACCTAACTGACTCCATCTTACTTCTAACCTGTAAATTGTCCTTGTTCATTTCTGGTGGGCCCAACTAACTTTGAGAAGGAATTCAGTTCATGGTTAGACTCTGAAACAAGATTAGTAACAGCCCTTTCCCGAAAAGACCCCCTTCTTGCCTGGGGACCAACCAGTCTGTCTTTCTGGGATTAACAAATTAGCTACAAGATTAGAAATTAGAGTTTAAGGGTCATGTAGCCTCTAGCTCTAACAGTCTGAACCTCCCCAAATTGCTCTCGTGGATAACATCACTATTGTAAAACCTAAGATCAGTACTTGAGATATTTTGCAGACCCTGCACTCAGCTGACACCACCCAGACTCGTTATCTGGCTCAACCAGTTTTGCCATCCCACCCAGGAAGAGAAGACAGCAAGAAAAACTCACTTCAATCCCCTGTGATTCCATCTCCAACCTGACCAATCAGTAGTATCCACTTCCCAAGCCCCTACCAGCCAAATTGTCTTTAAAAACTCTGATCCCCAAATGCTCAGGGAGACTGATTTGAGTAATAAAACTCCGGTCTCAAGCACAACCAGCTCTGCGTAAATTAGTCTTTTTCCACTGCAATTCCCCCATCTTGATGAATCGGCTTTGTCTGGGCAGCAGGCAAAGTTAACCCATTGGGCGGTTACACTTATAAGAAAAACTTGAGTCTGGGCGCAGTTGCTCACGCCTGTAATCCCAGCACTTCGGGAGGCCGAGGCAGGTGGATCACAAGGTCAGGAGATAGAGACCATCCTGGCCAACATGATGAAAGCTTGTCTCTACTAAAAACACAAAAACTTAGCTGGGCGTGGTGGCGCACACCTGTAAACCCATCTACTCAGGAGGCTGAGGCAGGAGAATAGCTTGAACCCAGGAGACGGAGGTTGCAGTGAGCCAAGATCGCGCCACTGCATTCCAGCCTGGGCAACAAGAGCAAAACTCAAAAAATGGAAAAAAAAAAAAAAGGTGGGGGGGAAGAAGAGGGTCAGGTCCCTAGGATGACCCTAACCCTCTGTCCGTCGTAGAAATGCCTGCCTGAGAAAGAGCATCATGGCCAGGAGAATATGTTTGTTCTAGCAAACACCTTATGTAGGCCCCCAAATTTCCTTTCTTAGAGCAGGTACTAAAAAGAGCTTACAAATGTGAATATCCATCTCTTACTACTTAGAAGTGTCTTTCTCTAAAACCCAAGAGCCATTCCATTGAAATGTAATCAACGGGAAGGATGGGCCTTTGTCTGTCTTCCAGCCTCTGTGGGAGGAAAGAATTCTAATTTCCACACTGTCAGCTGTCAGACACAGCTAGACTAATCACATTTACACTGATCAACTCTTTGTACTTTTTCACTTCTCTGACTCTACTAAGTCCCCCTCACTCCTCTCCCTTTAAAATGCCCAGTCATCCCCACACAAATCAGAATGGAGCTCAGCTCTTTTCCCACAGTAGTTATTAAATAAAACCTGTTTTCACTGCTCTGAGTAACGTCGAGTTGTATTTACCTTTCACACACGAGTGAAGAAGCCAGACATAAAAGAATCTGGCCGGGCGCGGTGGCTCACGCCTGTAATCCCAACACTTGGGGAGGCCGAGGTGGGTGGATCACGAGGTCAGGGGCTCGAGACCAGCCTGGCCAGTATGATGAAACCCCATCTTTACTAATAATACAAAAAAAAAAATGAGCTGGGCGTGGTGGCACCCGCCTGTAGTCCCAGCTACTCCGGAAGCTGAGGCAGGAGAACTGCTTGAACCCTGGAGGCGGAGGTTGCAGTGAGCCAAGATTGCACCACCGCACTCCAGTGTGGGTGACAGAGCAAGACTGCCTCAAAAAAAAAAAAAGAATCTAAACTGTGTGGTTCCATCTATATGAAAACTAAAATGGGCAAAATTAAGCTATGGTGGTAGAAAACACAAGTGTTTTTCTCAAGACAAGGAAGTGGAGGATTGACTGGAAAAGAGCAAAAGGGAACTTTCTCTGGTGATGAACACGTTCTATAGATTGGATGGAGTGTTGGTTACAGAGATGTATGCATCTGTTTATAAAAACTCACTGGACTTTACACCATAAGGTCTGAGCACCTTACTCAGGTAAAATATATAATTTTTTTTTGAGACAGAGTCTCTCGCTCTGTAGCCCCGGCTGGAGTGCAGTGGAGTGATCTTGGCTCACTGCAACCTCTGCCTCCCAGGTTCAAGTGATTCTCCCACCTCAACCTCCTGAGTACCTGGGATCACAGGAGTCCACCACCATGCCTGGCTAATTTTTTGTATTTTTTAAGTATAGACAGGATTTTGCCATGTTGGCCAGGCAGGTCTCAAACGTCTAATCTCAGGTGAACCACCTACACTGGCTTCCCAAAGTGCTGGGATTACAGGCCTGAGCCACCGCGCCCAGACTAAATTATATTTCAATTAAAAAAAAATCAATTTAAAAGACAGTGACACACTGCTATAGGGCAGTGGTTCTCAAATTTTGGAGTCTCCAGAATTCTTTTTTTTTTTTTTTTTTTTTTTGAGACAGAGCCTCGCTGCAACTTCCACCTCCCAGGTTCAAGTGATTCTCCTGCCTTAGCCTCCTAAGTAGCTGGGATTACAGGCATGCGCCACCATGCCCAGCTAATTTTTGTATTTTTAGTAGAGACGGGGTTTCACCATGTTGGCCAGGATGGTCTTGATCTCTTGACCTTGTAATCCGCCCACCTCAGCCTCCCAAAAGCTGGGATTACAGGCGTGAGCCACTGCGACCAGCCCAGAATTCTTTATTCTCCTAAAAATTATTGAAGACCCCAAAGAGCTTTTGTTAATATGGGTTATATCTGTCAATGACCATACTGCAAATTTTAAGTGAAAAGATTTTTAAATACGTATTAATTCATTTAAAAATAACAATAGGCTGGGTGTGGTGGCTCACAACTGTAATCTCAGCAGTTTGGGAGGCCAAGGTGGGTAGTTCACTTGAAATTAGGAGTTCGAGAACAGCCTGGCCAACATGGTGAAACGCTGTCTCTACTGAAAATAGAAAAAATTAGCTGGGGATAGTGGCACAACCCTGTAATCCCAGCTACTTGGGAGGCTGAAGCATGAAAATCGCTTGAACCCAGGTGGCAAAGGTTGCAATGAGTTGAGATCGCACTACTGCACTCCAGCCTGTGTGACAGAGTGAGACTCCATCTAAAAAATAATAATAACAATAATAATCATTCCATTTTATTGAACATAAATTGAGTATTTTTATCTTTTTGCTTTTATTTATTTATCTTAAAGATGGAGTTTCCTGGCCAGGCGCATTGGTTTACACCTGTAATCCCAATACTTTGGGAGGCTGAGGTAGGTGGATCACTTGAGGTCAGGAATTCGAGACCAGCCTGGCCAACATGGTGAAACTCCATCTCTACTAAAAATACAAAAATTAGCCCGGTGTGGTAGCATGTGCCTGTAGTCCCAGATACTCGGGAGGCTGAGGCAGAAGAGCTGCTTGGACCTGGGAGGTAGAGGTTGCAGTGAGCCAAGATCATGCCACTGCACTCCAGCCTGGGCAACAGAGCAAGACTCTACTCCCCCAAAAAAAATAAAAAAAAAAAAGATGGAGTTTCCCTATGTTGCCCAGGCTGGAGTGCAGTGGCTAGTCACAGGCACGACCATAGTACAATATATCCTAGTATTCCTGGGCTCAAGTGCTTACCACCATCCTGGCCTTGCATATTTTTATGAAAAAGTAACTATATTGTTAAAAGATTTAACTGGTCATGGTGGCTCATTCCTGTAACCCCAGCAACTGAAGAGGCTGAGGCAGGAGGACAGCATGAGGTCAGGAGTTCAAGACTAGCCTGGACAACATAGTGTGACTCCATCTCTTAAAAAGTTTTTAAAAAACCAGGCGTGGTAGTGCATGCCTGTAGTCCCAGCTACTTGGGAGGCTGAGATGGGGAGGACTGCCTGACCCTAGGAGCTTGGGCTGCAGTGAGCTAAGAGTGCAGTGAGCTGCATTCCAGTGTGGGCAACAGAGTAAGGTCCCAACTCTAAAAAAAAATAAAAGTTATTAATTAAAAAAAATTTAGTGAAGACTGGCACTGTTTTACATTTTTTCAAATATTTTAAATGTCTGGCAATATAGTCATTTACTTGGAGTGCATAAATAAAATCCAACCTCACAAATATGCAGAAGGAAAATACAGGAGCATTTTAATAGCTTTTTCAAATAATTGTGGCTAGGCTGGTCCAAGTGCAGTGATGTTTACAATTAATTCATCATAACCAGTTATACATTTCTTTGTTCCTTCTCCACTCCCACTGCTTTACTTAACTAGCCTTTTAAAAAAATTATGGATAATCTTTTTTTATGTTATACCAAAACTCAAAACATGGTATTTTTTTTTTGAGACAGTCTTGCTCTGTCGCCCAGGCTGGAGTGCAGTGGTGCAATATCAGCTCACTGCAACCTCCACCTCCCTGGTTCAAGCAATTCCCCTGCCTCAGCCTCCCGAGTAGCTGGGATTACAGGCGCACGCCACCACGCCTGGCTAATTATTTTTTTGTATTTTTAGTAGAGACGGGGTTTCACCATGTTAGTCAGACTGGTCTCGAACTCCTGACCTCAGGCAATCCACCCCTCTCGGCCTCCCAAAGTGCTGGGATTACAGGCATGAGCCACCGCACCGGCCAAAACATGGTAGTTTTTTCAACGTTAGTTGCAATGTGGATTCTGTAACCATCACAATGAACTTACCATATTGTAAAATTAAAATCCATTGATCTATTATGCACTTAGAATGAATCTTTTTGTTTTCTTTTTTGAGACGGAGTCTCACTCCGTCATCCAGGCTGAAGTGCAGTGGCACAATCACAGCTCACTACAGCTTAGACCTCCAAGGTCCAAGTGATACTTCTGCCTCAAGTCTCCCAAGTGGTAAGGACTACAGACACGCACCACCACACCTAGTTAATGTTTTGTAAGAGACAGGGTTTTGCCACGTTGCCCAGGCTGGTCTCGAACTTATGGGCTCAAGCCATCTGTCCCCCTTGGCCTCCCAAAGTGCTGAGATTAAGCTCATCAGGCCTGAAAATTTTAACTGGACTTGAATTTTACCATTATCAACAAATATTGTCAGCTATTTTCCTTGATGTGACAGATCACTGTTCACTTTCAAGGGTGTGGAGGCCCACACCTGTAATCCCAACACTTTGGGAGGCCGAGGTGGGCCGATCACCTGAGGTCAGGAGTTCAAGACCAGCCTGGCCAACACGGTGAAACCCTGTCTCTACTAAAAATACAAAAAAAAAAAAATTAGCTGGGCATGGTGGTGGGGCCTGTAATCCCAGCTAATCGGGAGGCCGAGGCAGAAGAATCCCTTGAACCTAGAAGGTGGAGGTTGCAGTAAGCCGAGATCGTGCCACTGCTCTCCAGCCTGGGCAATAGAGCAAGCCAAATACTGAAGTCTGAATAACAAAAGCATGTCTTTCATTCTTTCAAGAAAAAGTGTTCCATGAAAAACGGACCTAGTTCAGCTCACAACTCAATTACACAAGTTTTTTTTTTTTTTTTTTTTTTTTTTGAGACAGATTTTGCTCTTGTTGCCCAGGCTGGAGTGCAATGGCGCGATCTCAGCTCACCAAAACATCTGCCTACTGGGTTCAAACAATTCTCCTGCCTCAGCCTCCTGAGTAGCTGGGATTACAGGGATGCACCTCCACGCCGGGCTAATTTTGTATTTTTAGTAGAGATGGGGTTTCTCCATGTTGGTCAGGCTGGTCTCGAACTCCCAATCTCAGGTGATCCACCGCCTCGGCCTCCCAAAGTGCTGGGATTACAGGCATGAGCCACCGCGCCCGGCCAATTATTGTTCTTTTCCACAAGTAATCAACACTTAACATGCCACAAAAGTACTTTATACAGGCCGGGCACGGTGGCTCACACCTGTAATCCCAGCACTTTGGGAGGCCGAGGCGGGCGGATCACGAGATCAGCAGATCGAGACCATTCTGGCTAACATGGTGAAACCCCGTCTCTACTAAAAAATACAAAAAAAAAAAAATTAGCCGGGCATGGTGGCTGGCGCCTGTAGTCCCAGCTACTCAGGAGGCTGAGGCGGGAGAATGGCGTGAACCCGGGAGACGGAGGTTGCAGTGAGCCGAGATTGTGCCACTGCACTCCAGCACTCCAGCCTGGGTGACAGAGCGAGACTGTCTCAAACAAAACAAAACAAAACAAAACCTTTGTACATACTTCCAATTTTGTTACATAGAATATTATGACAACTAAACTCTGATTTTTTTTTATCTTGCCCAAATTCCTATCTAAGGGGTTTGGGGAGTCATGCCCTACAAATCACAAATTCTCTTCAGAAGTATTTTATTTAACCCTATACATCGTGACTTACTTTCTAACCTGAGTCTGGCATAAAATTACAAGATACAACACAAGGAAGAAAATCAAAATATTTTACCCCAAAGCATGTTTCTTTGCCATATTTTGAAATGGCCAGGGCCGGGCGCGGTGGTTCATACCTGTAATCCCAGCACTTTGGGAGGCCAAGGCAGGCAAATCACCTGAGATCAGGAGTTCAAGACCAGCCTGGCCAACGTGGTGAAACCCCGTATCTACTAAAAATGCAAAAATTAGCTGGGCGTAGTGGCAGGCACCTGTAATCCCAGCTACTCGGGAGGGTGAGGTAGGAGAATTGCTTGAACCCAGGAGACAGAGGTTGCAGTGAGCCAAGATGGTGCCACTGCATTCCAGCCTGGGTGACAGAGCGAGACTCTGTCTCAAAAAAAAAAAGAAAAAAAAAGAAATGGCCCGGCAAAGCTGTTCTTTCTGGGGGAGAATTTGCATCCGTAAAGAATCTCTATTAACATAGCTAGATCTTTTTCTTCCAGACCCTCCCAATCCTAAAGATGTTAACTAACATCTGAATAGGAAACATTTGTCTTCTATTGTCTCTAAGGGCAGCCACTATAGGACTTCAAAAGAACTTTGTTCTCCACAATCTTTTATCTTAACCAGAACATTCCCTTTCCATCAATTCTAGGTCTTTTTTTTTTTTTTTTTTTTTCAAATGGAGTTTCCTCTGTCGTCCAGGCTGGAGTGCAATGGTCCAATTTTAGCTCACTGCAACCTCCGCCTCCCAGATTCAAGGGATTCTCCTGCTCTCAGCCTCCGGAGTAGCTGGGATTACAGTCACGCGCCACCACGCACGGCTAATTTTTGTATTTTTAGTAGAGACAGAGTTTCACCATGTTGGCCAGGCTGGTCTCAAACCCTTGACCTCAGGTGATCTGCGGGCCTCGGCCTCCCAAAATGCTGGAATTACAGACGTGAGCCACCGTGCCTGGCCTTTTTTTTTTTTTTTTTGAGATAGAGTTTCGCTCTTGTTTCCCAGGCTGGAGTACAATGGCACGATCTCCGCTCACTGCAACCTCTGCCTCCCAGGTTCAAGCGATTCTCCTGCCTCAGCCTCCCAAGTAACTGGGATTACAGGGATGCACCACCACGCATGGCTAATTTTTTGTATTTTTAGTAGAGACGGGGGTTTCTCCATGTTTGTCAGGCTGGTCTCGAACCCCCGACCTCAGGTGATTCACCCGCCTTGGCCTCCCAAAGTACTGGGATTACAGATATTAGCCACTGCACTTGGCCTTTAGTTTTTGTTTTAGTTTTTGGTTTTTTTTTCTTTAAAGAGATGGGTTCTCACTGTCTACCAAGGTGGAGTACAGTGGCACAATCATGGCTCACAGCAGCCTTGACCTCCTGGGCTCAAGAGATCCCTCCTGCCTCAGCCTCTAGGTAGCTGGGACTGTGGCCCAGGCTGGAGTGCAGTGGCATGATCTCGGCTCACCACAACCCCTGCCTCCCGGGTTCAAGCTATTCTCCTGCCTCAGCCTCCCGAGTAGCTACGACTACAGGCGTGCACCACCACACTGGGCTAATTTTTTGTATTTTTAGTAGAGAGGGGGTTTCACTATGTTGGCCAGGCTGGTCTTGAACTCCTGACCTCGTAATCCGCCTGCCTCAGCCTCCCAAAGTGCTGGGATTACAGGCGTGAGCCACCATGCCTGGCCCCAGCTAATTTTTTTTACTTTTTTTTTTCTTTTTCTATTAAAAAGATGGGGGTCTCACTAGGTTGCACAGGTTGCTCAAACTCCTAGCTTCAAGTGATCCTTCCACCTTGGCCTTGTTGTACCCAAGCGAGTTAGAAAAACGCCACACTTTGAGACAAATTAAGAGTCTTTTATTAGCCGGCGACCTAGAGACGGCTAATGCTCAAAATTCTCTCGGCCCCAAGGAAGGGGCTTGATTAACTTTTATACCTTGGTTTAGGAAGGGGAGGGGGGGTCTAGTTAAAACAATTTTACGGAAGTAAAGTAGTCAAAAAGTTAAAAGGACAAATGGTTACAGGAAAGTAAACAGTTCCAGGTGCAGGGGCTTTAAGACTATTACAAGGTGATAGATCCGGGGCTTTGGGCGTTTATCAATCGGACGAATTCCTGGGAACTGCGGATATAGCTTGCCACAGTATCTTATCAGTTAATTGCATTCTTGGATGTGCTAGGAGTCAGCTTGCACAAGTTAAGTCCTTGAGGAAGGGGCTGCCAGTGAAAGAGCCAAGATGGAGTCTCTCTGGCTCTCTTAGCTAAGGGAGAGTCAATTCAGGTGGAAACAAGACTAGGTGATTAAGGGAAAAGGGAGAGTCTAAAAACAGAGTTAGTAAATACCAGGTTGGGCATTACAGCCTCCCAAAGTGTTGGGATTATAGGTGTGAGCCACTGCTTCTATCCTAAGAATGTTCTTTTCTTTTTCCTTTTTTTTTTTTTTTTTTGGAGTCAGGGACTCTGTCACCCAGGCCGGGAGTATAGTGGCATGATGATAACCCACTGCAACCTTGAACGCCTGAGCTCAAACAATCCTTCTGGCTCAGCTTCCCCAGTAGGTGCGACTACAGGACTACACACACATGCCACCACACCCAGCTTTTTTTTTTTTTTTTTTTTTTGTAGAGATGTGTTTCACTGTGTTGCCCAGACTAATCTGGAAATCCTGGGTTCAAGAAATCCTCCGGCTTAGGCCTCCCAAAGTGTTAGGATTATAGGCACGAGCCACCTCACCCAGGTGTTTAATTTACTACCACGCACTTAAAATTAAAAATAATATAATAATAAAAAGGCAGCCAGACACGGTGGCTCACGCCTGTAATCCCAGCACTTTGGGAGGCCGAGGTGGGCAGATCACGAGGTCAAGAGATTGAGACCATCCTGGCCAACATGGTGAAACCCCGTCTCTACTAAAAATACAAAAATTAGCTGGGCATGGTGGCGTGTGCCTGCAGTCCTGGCTACTCAGGAGGCTGAGGCAGGAGAATTGTTTGCACCTGGGAGGAGGAGGTTGCAGTGAGCCGAGATGGCGCCACTGCACTCCAGCCTGTCAACAGAGTGAGACTTCATCTCAAAAAAAAAAAGTCATTTTCATTCAAGAATGTCCTTAGGGCTAGGTGCAGTAGCTCACACCTGTAATCCCAGCACTTTGGGAGGCCAAGGCAGGACGATTGCTTAAGGCCAGGATTTCAAGATCAGCCTAGGCAACACGACAAGACCCCATCTCTATAAAAAATAACATAATTAGCTAGGTGTAGTAGCCAGGCATAGACAGTAGTCCCATCTACTCAGGAGGCTGAGGTGGGAGAACAGCTTGAGCCTAGGAGCTCAAGCTTGCAGTGAGCCATGACAGCGCCACTATACTCCAGCCTGGGAGACAGAGGGAGACCCTTTCTAGCATACAGTTTGGTGCTGCTGTCTCAATTTGTACTAAAGGGCCAAGAGATTTTGTTTTTGCTTTTTCTTTCACAGACAGAGTCTTGCTATGTAGCCCAGGATGGAGTGCAGTGGGGGCAATTATAGCTCCAAAAGATAGAGCCCAGCCTTACTCTGTAGCCCAGGATAGAGTGCAGTGGTACAATTATAGCTCCAAAAGACCAAGCCGAGTCTCAAACTCCTGGGTTCAAGTGATGCTCCCACCTCAGCCTCTGGAGTAGCTGGGACTACAGGCTGGGGCCAGTTTTACCAACCACTGATTTTGTACCACCAGTACAAATATCAACACAGTGAAAACAATAACACCTCAGTATTATTATGAAAATAGTTTTGACATCACAGACCCTCTGGAAGGATATAGGGAACCCCAGGAATACAGAGATTACATTTTGAGAACTATTATACTACTTATACAAGTGTACTCAGTTTCTGAAAATTCACTTATGACACGGGCACTCTTCTATAAGTACATCATACTTCAATAAAAGATGTATTTTGGCTGGGTGCAGTGCCTCACGTCTGTACTCCCAGCACTTTGGCAGGCCAAGGCAGACAGATCATCTGAGGTCAGGAATTCGAGACCAGCCTGGCCAACATGGTGAAACTCCATCACTACTAAAAATGAAAAATTAGCTGGGTATGATGGTGCACGCCTGTAATCCCAGCTACTCAAGAGGCTGAGGTTGGAGGATCACTTGAGTCCAGGAGGCAGAGGTTGTAGTGAGTCAAAGTCGCACCACTGCACTACTCCAGCTTGGGTGACAGAATGAGACTGTCTCAGGGAAAAAAAAAAAGATTTTTTTTTCTTGGTATCTAATTCCAGGTTATTCAATTAAAGTTTTTTATTTTATTATTATTTTTTTTTGAGAAAGAGTCTCACTCTGTTGCCCAGGCTGGAGTGCAGTGGTGCAATCTCGGCTCACTGCAAGCTCCGCCTCCCGGGTTCACGCCATTCTCCTGCCTCAGCCTCCCGAGTAGCTGGGACTACAGGCGCCCGCCACCTCGCCCGGCTAATTTTTTTGTATTTTTAGTAGAGACAGGGTTTCACCATGTTAGCCAGGATGGCCTCAATCTCCTGACCTCGTGATCCGCCGGCCAAAAGTTCTATTTTCAAATGTATAAAAAAAAAATTAGGAAAATTATTTTAAAATCTCAGTGGACAAGGCATTCCCTGAGTATGACTTCTTATCTTAGAAGCCATAAAAAAAAGGGTTGGCCGGGAGTGGTGGCTCATGCCTGTAACCCCAGCACTTTGGGAGGCTCAGGTGGGCGGATCACTTGAGGTCAGGAGTTCAAGACCATCCTGGCCAGCATGGTGAAACCCTGTCTCTACTAAAAAAAAAACACAAAAATTAGCCGGGTGTGGTGGTGGGCACCTGTAATCCCAGCCATACGGAAGGCTGAGGCAAGAGAATCACTTGAACCCAGGAGGCGGAGGTTGCTGTGAGCTGAGATGGTGCCACTGCACTCCAGCCTGGGAGACAGAGCAAGATACTGTCTCAAAAAAAAAAAAAAAAAAAAAAAAAAAAAAAATGCCAGGCGTGGTGGCTTACGCCTGTAATCCCAGCACTTCGGAGGCCGAGGCGGGCGGATCACCTGAGATTGGAAGTTCGAGATTGGAAGTTCGAGACCACCCTGACCAACATGGAGAAACCCCATCTCTACTAAAAATACAAAATTAGCCAGGCACGGTGGTGCATACCTGTAATCCCAGCTACTCTGTCTCAAAAAAAAAAAAAAAAAAAAATTAGCCAGGTGTGGTGGTGCATGTCTGTAGTCCCAGCTACTCAGGAGGCTGAGGCAGAAGAATTACTTGAACCTGGGGGGCAGAGGTTGCAGTGACTGGAGATCATGCCACTGTACTCCAACCTGGATGACAAAGCGAGACTCTGTCTCAAAAAAAAAAAAAAAAGAAAAGAAAGAAAGGGTCAATGCAGGGGGTCCCCAACCCCCTGGCCAGTACCAGTTGGTGGCCTGTTAGGAACCAGGCAGCACAGCAGGACATGAGCTCACAAAGCTTCTTCTATATTTACAACAGCTCCCCATTGCTAACATTACTGCCTGAGCTCCACTTCCTTTCAGATCAGGCACAGCATTAGATTCTCATAGGAGCTTGAACACTATTGTGAACTGCACATTGAGGGATCTAGGCTGTGTGCTCCTTATGAGAATCTAAAGCCTGATGATCTGTCATCCCCAGATGGGACCATCTAGTTACAAGAAAACAAGTTCAGGGCTCCCACTGATTCTATATTACAGTGAGTTGTATAATTATTTCATTATATATTACAACGTAATAATAATAGAAATAAAATGCACAATAAATGTAATGCGCTTGAATCATCCTGAAACCATCCTCCCCTACAACCCCCGTTGGTGGAAAAACTGACTTCCGTGAAACCAGTCCCTAGTGCCAAAAAGGTTGGGGACCGCTGGTTAATGAACTGCATTGCATAAAAACACTTTCTGCCTAGTAAGAAAAACCAACAACCCAAGACAAAAAAAAAATAACCCAAGAGAAAAAAGGGCTAAGAATATTAACATACACACCCCAGAATGGGAAATACAAATAGCTTCCAAAACAGTATAATATGTTCAACTTCACTTACAATAAGAAAAATACAGTAAGTATACTTTACAAATTAGAAAAGATAAAAAAGTATGGTAACAATTAGTAGAAGTGGGAGGAAAGAGGCACATTCACACAATACTAGTGAAAGTATAAATTGGTACAACTCCTATAGAGAGCAATTTGGCAATAACTGTCCAAGTTAAAATATCCTTTTAAAAAATGTAGGAGTCTTAGCAATGGAAACAAAAAAAACTTGGAGAACTTGATTCTACAGATTCACTTGCACATGTACAAAACAGTGGATGTACAAGTGTATTCACTGCTGCACTGTTTCTAATACCACAAGAGTAGAAATAGCCTAAACGTCCATCAACTGAAAATTGGTTAAAGCAAATGCTAGAACATCTAGGTATGTACATGTAAGAAAAAGGTAACGATGACTGCTCTACAGAGGGGGACTAGGTAGTTGAGGATGGGGGCTGCCAGAGTTACTTTTCACTGCCTATGTTACACTTTCTGAATTTCAAATCAATATATATGACCTATTAAAAATAATTTTTTTTTGAGATGGAGTCTGGCTCTGTCGCCCAGGCTGGAGTGCAGTGGTGCAATCTCGGCTCACTGCAACCTCCGCCTCCCAGGTTCAAGCGATTCTCCTGCCTCAGCCGCCCAAGCAGCTGGGATTACAGGCACCCACCACCATGCCTAGCTAATTTTTGTATTTTTAGTAGAGATGGGGTTTCACCATGTTGGCCAGGCCAGGCTGATCTCAAGCTCCTGACCTCAGGTGATCCACCCGCCTCAACCTCCCAAAGTGCTGGGATTACAGGCGTGAGCCACAGCACCAGGCCTTTTTTTTTTTTTTTTTTTTTTTGAGACAGTCTCACTCTGTTGCCCAGGCTGGAGTGCAGTGGTGTGATCTCGGCTCACTGCAGCCTCCACCCTCCTGGGTTCAAGCAATTCTCCTGCCTCAGCCTCCCGAGTAGCTGGGATTACAGGCGCCCACCATCATGCGCAGCTAATTTTTGTATTTTTAGTAGAGACGGGGTTTCACCATGTTGGCCAGGCTGGTCTGGAACTCCTGACCTCAGGTGATCCACCCACGTCAGTCTCGCAAAGTGCTGGGATTATAAGTGTGAGCCACCGCAAACGGCCTATAATATTTTAAAATTGTTTTTAAGTGAGAGAAGGGGATATGCTAGGAGGTATGCCAGCTCCAGAAAGCACATTGCCTAGAATACTATGGTAAATAAGTAGATTTTACAGAGAGGACAATGAGAAATTAATGAAAGATTTTAAGCAGATAAATAAAAGTCAGATTTGTGCTCCCCAAACCACAGCTACCTTTAGGGATGACAGCTTAACGTTTAATATAGAATTTAAGAGACAAAGATAGGTTATGTGATTTGCCTAAAGTCACTAAGCGAATAAATGGCAAAACCAGCTGGGCACTGCAGCGCGGGCTATGATCGCTCCATTGCACTCCAGCCTGGACGACAGAGCGAGACCCCATCTCTAAAAACACACACACACACACACACACACACACACACACATTTTTTTTTTTTTTTGAGACAGAGTTTCGCTCGTTGCCCAGGCTGGAGTGCAATGGGGCGATCTCGGCTCACCGCAACCTCCGCCTCCCGGGTTCAAGCGATTCTCCTGCCTCAGTCTCCCGAGTAGCTGGGATTACAGACATGCTCCACCACGCCCAGCTAATTTTGTATTTTTAGTAGAGACGGGGTTTTTCCATGTTGGTCAGGCTGATCTCGAACTTCCGACCTCAGGTGATCCGCCCGCCTCGGCCTCCCAAAGTGCTGGGATCACAGGCCTCAGCCACCGAGCCCGGCCTAAAATAATCATTTTTAAAAATCACAATCATAAATGGCAAAACCAGGTTTTTTGCTAATATGATCGAGGTGAAACATCAAGTTAGAAATCCCCTAATTAGCTTTCCGAGTCCTCTAACCTCGCACACTCTAATCTCACCGTTGGGAAATACATGGGGGTAACAACCCTGCAAACGCCTGAAAATATGGTTATCTTTAGAATTTACGAAGATAAATGTGATTAGGCACATGTGGAAGAAGTTCAAGAGACTGTAAATGAGGGAGGCCAGGTTTCGCGACTATTAAACCAGGTGGCTTTTTCCTTCAGCATCCCCAGGAGAAGTACGAACGCGACTACAACAGCCGGCACAAATGGGATCATGCCTGAAGTACCCATGGGGCACAGTAGAAAGAGCAGCAGGAAGCCGCGGGTAAGGAGAGGGGATGCCTGTGTGCTTACATGTAAAGAGAGAAGTAAGCCACCTACTCACACTCGTACTTCCTATTGACTGGCGGATACTTGGCCTTGATCGCCTTCTGTTCTTCAGTCAAATTGTAATCTCTAACATCTTCCTCTTCCTGCGCCATGACTGCAGGATTAGACACTCTACTTCCGCCCTTCATCCACCGGACTTCGGCCCGGAGTTACTACTTCCGCTCTAGACTCCGCCCCTTGGCGCACACCCTTAAAGGACCACACTCCTTTCTCGGAGTTGGCTGTTGACCTACTTTAGTCCCTACCCTGCCGCTTGGATCGCATATTTAAAAAGCCAAAACCCCATCTTCTGCGATTCCTTCATTACTAGTTCTTTCCAAAGACTAAGGAAAAACGTTGAAGGGCACCTTGAATGAAACCCGTCTGGGTCTGACTGGCGAGGTTCTTTCCCCCGCTTCACCCCCAAAATTGATAACTAGACCCGAAGGCATTCTAGATTTTTCATCTCAGTACTCTGAAAGGGTCGTAAGCTTAATAGCCTTCAAGAAAATGGCTGCCCTCTTGCCGCGGGAGTGTGCGGACCAAACCTCTCTCACGTGACCCTGACCGGGCGCAGTCCCGTCAACGCCGGCGCGCGCAATCGCTGGAAGTCGGCTCGGGGAGGCGTGGGGGGAGGGGCGGAGCGCGCGCCTCGGTCCCCGCGGAAAGCTACTCCGCGCGTCTGGATTGGTCGCGAACGCGGCTTCCCCGCCCATCCCGCCATTAGGAGCGCTCCCATTGGCTGATGTTGGCGCGAAGGTGCGCGAGTCAGCCCTCGCGCTGGGGGCGCAGGAAACAATAGAGGCCGCGCGCACAGAGCGAGCTCTTGCAGCCTCCCCGCCCCTCCCGCAACGCTCGACCCCAGGATTCCCCCGGCTCGCCTGCCCGCCATGGCCGACAAGGAAGGTGAGGGTGCCGGGGCCGACCCAGGAGGGCAGTGGGTGCCTGGGCTGAGCCGCGGCCTCGACATGGCCTAACAGTGAGGGCAGGCCCGAGTTTGCCGAGTGCAGTCCCCGGTACTGAAGGCGTGAAGAGGGAACTCCCCGCGGGGCGTGCTAACGGCTCGCCAGTTCCCTGGGACCGATTTCGGTCGCAGCTGGCGAAGCCAGCGGTGGGGCCCCCGGCCAGTGTTTGTTTCTCTTCCTGCCTCCGATATCGGTTTCTCGGCCTCTGTCCCGAGCGTGGGGACACCGCTTCCTACCCACAAGGCTCGGAGCTCGGGCCTCCTCGTCGGGCTTGTGAGTTTCGGCGCGCACGAGCGTGCTCCGAAGGCCTGGCTGGCCCCTTGGCCTGGAACGGGTAACGGAGTGTTTGGCGGGGATGGCCCGAGGAGTTTCGGCGCCGCGAAAGTGGAGAGTGTGGATGCCTCTGCCGTGGGGATTTAGACAAATCACCTCCATTTCATGGTTAGGCTGTAGGAGTCATGCAGGTGGCTTTGCAGAGGATTACTCGGTTTCCGTTTGTTTGCTAACTTAAATTTGTTTTTAAAAATTTTAGCAGCCTTCGACGACGCAGTGGAAGAACGAGTGATCAACGAGGAATACAAAATATGGAAAAAGAACACCCCTTTTCTTTATGATTTGGTGATGACCCATGCTCTGGAGTGGCCCAGCCTAACTGCCCAGTGGCTTCCAGATGTAACCAGGTGACATGACTCTCCCGAACGTTATTTTGATGTATTTTCAGTGTAGATTTCTCATATTGATTTTCTTTTTTCCGCTCTTCAGTCACCCGGAGAAGGCATGTGATCAAAACCTCTTGGTGACATTTTTTCTAGGCCACAAAGTAAGGCAAAATAACAAAATGATTTTGTAACTTACCTGACAAGAGAAAACATATTGGCGTTTTTTTCTCAATACTGAATTAAATAGCTGTAGCTGATGATAATACCTGTAATAATAGTGGCTGTACCAAATAATAGTACAAAACTTGTCAACTTTCAAAAAGTATTATGGCCAGGAGCAGTGGCTCACACTTGGAATCCGAGCACTTTGGGAGGCCCAGGCAGGAGACTTACTTGAGGCCAGGAGTTGGAGACCAGCCCTGGGAATACCCTCGTCTCTACTGCCCCCCACACAAAAAAAGAAAAAAGTATTACAATGAGTCTAGTCCTTACAACAAAAATTTTTTGTTTTTCTTTTTGAGACGGTGTCTCACTCTGTTGTCCAGGCTGGAGTGCAGTGGCGCGAGCTCGACTCACTGCAACCTCTGCCTCCCAGATTCGAGCGATTCTCCTGCCTAAGCCCTCCCAAGTAGCTGGGATTACAGGCACCTGCCACCACGCCTGGCTAAATTTTTTTGTATTTTTAGTAGAGACGGGGTTTTACCATGTGGGACAGGCTGGTCTCCAACCCCCTGACCTCTGGTGATCCGCCCGCCTCTGCCTCCCAAAGTGCCGGGATTACAGGCGTGAGCCACTGCACCTGGCCTCAACAAAACTTAATTTGAATTCTCGTAGTATGTCATGGTACCTGCCTTCAAGGAGCACATTGTCTAGTTGAAGTGGCAGATATAAACTAATAATTATAGTTATATATGGTGACAGCAGTTGTAGAGAGATAATTAGGGTACCTAGAAAACACCTGAAGGTGGAATGGCTTTCTTATAAGGGGTTTGGGCATAGTGAGGGCTAAAAGATTAATCCTATGTTTCTTACGTGTAGGTAGCTTATCTCTAGTAGAGGGGATAAAATAGCTTGCATTTATTGGGGCTGTATTTGGTGCTACATATCGGGGATCCAAATTAGTTATAATTAGCATAAAAGTGGTACAGATAAAATTATCAGAGGAAGGAAAATTTGCCTCAATTTGCCTCATTTCTTAGGAAGAAATGACAATGCAAAAAACAAAGAGGAGGGTAAATTTAGATGATATTAACATAGTTTTAACAAGACCATTGTGCCATTTGGAATAATGGATTTTCTGGTACAAAAGTAAGTTTTCTGAATTACATTCAAAAGCGATTGTATGCTAAGTAAATTCCTTCAAAACTTGGATCTTTAAAAGTTAAGATAATTGCAAAATGTTATTAGACTATGATGTAGCTCAACAAATGATAGAAATTTGGCAGAAATTATACTAGTAACTTAAGAATGAGGCTGCTACCTTTACAGTGGCATAAGGAAAAATAGGGAAATGTGTCCTAGGGATGTTACACAAAACCATAGTAAAAACCTAGAAATTGGGAGTTAGAAGCTGCTTTGTGTGTTTTTTGTTTTCTGGTTTTTTTTTTTTTTTTTTTTTTGTTTTTGTTTTTTTTTTTGAGACGGAGTCTCCTCTCTTGCCCAGGCTGGAGTGCAGTCACGTGATCTCCGCTGACTGCAAGCTCCGCCTCCCGGGTTCACGCCATTTTCCTGCCTCAGCTTCCCAAGTAGCTGGGACTACAGGTGCCGGCCACTACCCCTGGCTAATTTTTTGTATTTTTAGTAGAGCCGGGGTTTCACCGTGTTAGCCAGGATGGTCTCAATCTCCTGACCTCATGATCCACCCGCCTCGGCCTTCCAAAGTGCTGGGATTACAGGCGTGAGCCACCGCGCCCGGCCTAGAAGCTTCTTTATCATGACCAGGAGTTCCCACATGCAATTGATCATCAGAATTGCTTGGGGAATTCAGGATAATTGGAATCATTTCTGTCAAGAGTTTTCAGTGGTAATTCAAACCATTTAGGAACTTATGGGCTGGTCATGGTGGCTCACACGTGTAATCCCAGCACTTTGGGAGGCTGAGGCAGGCAGATTGCTTGAGGCCAGGAGTTCCAGACCAGCCTGGGCAACATGGTGAAAAGCCCGTCTCTACTAAAATTACAAATATTATCCGGGCATGGTGGTGCGTACCTGTTAGTCCCAGCTCCTCAGTGGGGGCTGAGGCAGGAGGATCACCTGAGCCTTGGGAGGTCAAGGCTGCATTGAGCTGTGATCCTGCTACTGCACTCCAGCCTGAGCTAGGGATTGCCACCCTGTCTCAAAGAAAAAGAACTTGTGGCAGAGTACTTAATGAGAAGTGTACTGGAATGGTGATTCCACATTTACTATAGTCATATGCTAAATTGTGCTTATTGGACTAGTGGATCACAAATATTGGCCATCCCATACCTACTAAACATTCTAGAACCCCTACTTTTCAGAAACTTCCCAAGTAATATAATAGAATGACTAGCTAGGTTTCGAAAGCAAGAATTAAAGACTTAATTCCCCAAGGCTGAAATCTGTACTGTCATCTTAGTAGTTTTCTGCATTAGCAAATCTAGATAAATAATGTGAGAATTGTTTTTTGTTGTTGTTGTTGTTTTGAGACGGAGGACGGAGTTTCACTCTTGTTACTCATACTGGAGTGCAGTGGCATGATCTGAGCTCACTGCAACCTCCGCCTCCTGGGTTCAATCGATTCTCCTGCCCCAGCCTCCCAAGTAGCTGGGATTACAGGCACCCGCCACCACGCCCAGCTAATTTTTTGTATTTTTAGTAGAGATGGGGTTTCACCATGTTGTCCAGGCTGGTCTTGAACTCCTGACCTCAGGTAATCCACCCGCTTCGGCCTCCCAAAGTGCTGGGATTACAGGCGTGAGCTAGTGCACCTGGCTGAAAATTGTTTTTGAGACAGGATCTTGCTTTGTTGCCCAGACTGTGTTGCAGTGGCACGATCAGAGTTCCCTGCAGCCTTGACCTCCTGGGCCAAGGAATCCTCCTGCCTCAGCCTCTGGAATAGTTGGGGCTACAGGCACACGCTACCATACCTGGCTAATTTTTGAAAAATTTTTTTGCTATGTTGTCCAGACTGTTCTTTAACTTCTGGGCTCCAGTGATCCTCCCACTTTGACCTCCCAAAGTGCTGGGATTACAGACATGAGCCACCGTGCCTGGCCCTGTTTTTGTTTTTTAAGATGAGGATTACTTACAAGCAAGCAGCCCTGATGCAGTGTTTACTTTTGTGTGTGTTCTTTTTCTGGTGTTTACCCAGATCCGTTTCCCCCCTTTAAAAAGAAAGAAAAACCACGGTTGTAGTTCTGTAACACTGTCCTCTCCTTCATTCTTTTTCTGGTTCTTGTCTAACCTTCTACATACAGGTAATTCCAATTTTCTGTTCATATCTCTCTTCATTTCTTTTCAGTGTAATGTAGAAGCTCTCAGAGCTTTGCCTGTGACATCTGTGCAGAAGAATTCCTATTGATATCTTTAGACCTCACTTCTCCAGAGCTTTTCCTGATTTTTCTTCTGCCTGCCCGTGTCTTCCCTGGTATATCTTACTGGCTTCCCCAGTTTGACATGTTGTAAATGGAATTATTCCTTACGTGAAGGCCTTACCCCAACTTTCTCTCCTGTTGTTCCTATTTCTTTTCATCATAATTGGCTTTAGTTTGACATTTTCTCTTTCTCCATTTTATAGGCAGTCAATTTATAAACCCCAATGAATTCTGGTTGTGTAGCATCTTTCCCATCTAGGCCAGGGGTTCTCAAAATTTTATATGCATCATAATCAGCTGGAGGTACTGTGAAACAGTTAGTTGTGCCCCACCTTCTAGAGTTTCTGATTCAATGGGTCTGGAGTAGATGTGAGAATTTGCGTTTCTAACAAGTTCCCAGATGATGTGGATGCCCTTGACCCAGTATGGAGTACAGAATGCCTTAAGACGGCATTCAGAACACTAAATAGTCAGTTTTAATCGGCCTTCTCTCCCACTGTGCTTTCCCATATCAGAAGTCAGATTTGGACTTCAGCATACTTGTTACTTAGTAGCTGTGTGATCTTAGGCAAATTGTTTAATTTTCTTTCTTTTATTTATTTTTTTCTTTTTTGAGACAGGAAGTAGTCTTTCTCTGTCACCCAGGCTGGAGTGCAGTAACACGATCTCTGCTCACTGCAGCCTCCGCCTTTCGGGTTCAAGCGATTCTTGTGCCTCAGCCTCCCAAGTAGCTGGGATTAGCCAGCCGCCGGTTTTTTTTGTTTTGTTTGTTTTTTGAGACAGAGTCTTGCTCTTTCGCCCAGGCTGGAGTGCAGTGGCACCGTCTTGGCTCACTGCAACCTCTGCCTCCTGGGTTCAAGCAGTTCTCCTGTCGCAGCCTCCTGAGTAGCTAGGACTACAGGCACCGCCACCACACCCGGCTAATTTTTGTATTTTTAGTAGAGACCGGGTTTCATCATGTTGGTCAGGCTGGTCTCGAATTCCTGACCTCAATTAATCCACCCTCTTCGGCCTCCCAAAGTGCTGGGATTACAGGTGTGAGCCACCATGCCTGGCCCAGCTGCAGGTTTTTTGAGGTCAGGAATCATGTCTTAATTGTCTTTGTACTTCCATCGCGTTTGGAGCGATGTGTCCATTGATAGGCGGTTAGTAAATGTTTGAAAAATTGGTTTATGTTATTTACTCTTCTTTCCCTTTTTTCATTCTTTTCAATTTCTTTGCACCCTTTCCCCTTCTTTCCTTTTTAATGAAAGTTTTAGTAAGCAAAATTATTAGCATACCCAACAATGGTTTGCTTTCCCTCCAACCTGTTGGTAGTGAGTGAGTAGTTAATTCACATTTTATTCCATAAAACGTTTTACTTTTTCTCCAGAGTAATTAAGTAGAAAATATGGCTCTTGGCCAGGCACGGTGGCTCTTGCCTGTAATCTCTGCACGTTGGGAGGCTGAGGTGGGTGGATAATTTGAGGCCAGGCGTTCGAGACCAGCCTGGCCAACATGGTGAAATCCCGTCTCTACTAAAAATACGAAAATCAGCCAGGCATGGTGGCAGGTTCTTGTAGTCCCAGCTACTCGGGAGGCTGAGGCATGAGAATCGCTTGAATCCGAGAGCCAGAGGTTGCAGTGAGCCAAGATCGCACCACTCCATTCTAGCCTGGGCGAAAGAGTGAGACTCTATTTATAAAAAAAGAAAGAAAGAAAAGACCCTTAATGACTTTTTCCCCTCTCTTAAAACCTGGTTGTATTAGTGACTTTGACATACATGTATATTGTTGACTTCGCCGTCTCCTGATGTTACTAATTTGAACAGTGACTATATATTGCCGTTACAGACCAGAAGGGAAAGATTTCAGCATTCATCGACTTGTCCTGGGGACACACACATCGGATGAACAAAACCATCTTGTTATAGCCAGTGTGCAGCTCCCTAATGATGATGCTCAGTTTGATGCGTCACACTACGACAGTGAGAAAGGAGGTAGGAATCTTAAAGGTGAAAGAAGTAAAGATGTGTGGGTCATATCTGTTATGTGCACTTTGATAAAGTAAACTCTGACTTTAGAAACAATATTTAAGGTTGAGGGAAAGCCTGAGTTTGCAATGGTAGGTATTTATATTTATATTAGAGTTTTAGGTATCAGAAGAAATACTTAACACATCCTTGGTTCTGTACCTTCACAATAAACTTTTCTCAGCTGGTGCTGGTGGGGAGGATTTCTGCAATTGAAAGAAGCAAAAATATATATTATTGCTGTACATTCTTGATTTTTTATTTTTTTACTCAGTCTCGCTCTATTGCCTAGGTTGGAGTGTAGTGGCACGATCTTCTCTCACTGCAACCTCCGCCTCCCGGGTTCAAGCGATTCTTCTGCCTCATCCTCCTGAGTAGCTGGGATTACAGGCGCCCGCCACCACGCCTAGTTAATTTTTGTATTTTTAGTGGAGACAGGGTTTCACCAAGTTGGCCAGGCTGGTCTTGAACTCCTGACCTCAGGTGATCCACCCACCTCAGCCTCTCAGAGTGCTGGAATTACAGGCGTGAGCCACTGCACCCATCCATATTGCTATACATTCTTAACACGGGAGATAACTACCCCTAAGGAGGTGAAAATTGGTTTGTGTATGTGAGTAGGTGTAAATAATCTTACTGGTTGATTGTTTAAAGCACAGATATGCACAGAGGACATAGGATATCTATGGTATTAAAATTTCATGGGACTGGTGGGGAGGGAATAGTTCTTAAAAGAGTTCTTAGAGGAGCAATAGTAAAAAAAAAAAAAAGGTTGAGAAACACTAACTTAAATTACCCTTTCTAGGTTTAAAGTGGTAGAAATGACTTAACCATGGCACTCTCTATGTGTATAGAAACTAAGTTCCAATGAGTTGTTTAATTATATCCTGTTTTTAGGCCATAACCTAAGGGTTTAACTGCTCATGAAATGCTTAAACGCTTTCCTTTTTTTTTTTTTGGAGATGGAGTCTCGCTCTGCTGCCCAGGCTGGAGTGCAGTGGCGCGATCTCAGTTCACTGCAACCTCCACCTCCCAGGTTCAAGCGATTCTCCTGCCTCAGCCTCCCAAGCAGCTGGGACTACAGGCATGCACCACCACGCCTGGCTAATTTTTTGTATTTTTAGTAGAGACAGGGTTTCATCATGTTGGTCAGGCTGGTCTCGAACTCCGGACCTCAAATGATCCTCCTGCCTTTTGTTCTTGTTACTGAGGCACAAATACTCTGATTGGTAGTGTGATAAATTGTAAAACTACATATATGTGTGTGTATATATTTATATTGTGTGTGTAAAATTATATGTGTAATTTTACACAATATAAATGTTATATTTATATATAAACATACGTATATATGTATGTATATGTAAAACTACATGCGTGTATATATTGTGTGTAAAATATAGTTATATATAATTTTAGATAATATAAATGTATTATATTTATATATAAATATATAAATTATATATGTAAAACTACATGTGTATATATTTATATTGTGTGTAATATATATAATTTATATATACATATAAATTTTATATATATAAAATATATGTAATTTTACACACACACAATATAAATGTATACACACACATATATGTGGTTTTACATATATATGTAATTTTACACACAATGTAAAAAACGCACCCCTTCTCCCATATAATAAACCTTTCCCTGGCCGGGTGCGGTGAGTCACTCCTGTAATCCCAGCACTTTGGGAGGCTGAGACCAGTGGATCACTTGAGGTCAGGAGTTCAAGACCAGCCTGGCCAACATAGTGAAACCCTGTCTCTACTAAAAATACAAAATTAGCCATGTGCAGTGGCACGCACCTGTAATCCCAGCTACTCAGGAGGCTGAGGCAAGAGCATCACTTGAACCCGGGAGGCAGAGATTGCAGTGAGCCGAGATCTCACCATTGCACTCCAGCCTGGGCAAAAAAAAAAAGGGAAACTCCGTCTCAAAAACAAAACAAAAGAAAAACCTTTCCCCTGGATATCACTTAAATGGATGTATTGTGATGTATTGTTTTCTGAAGGATTTATCCTGTGTATTGGATCACTCATTCAACAAATATGTTGAGTAATTTTGTATGCCAGGTATAGAATATGCAATATAGGTTCATAATTTGCTTTTATGGCCTAATATATCTGGGGCATGTATCTTTGTTAGTAGATGGAGACCTGCCTCCTTTTGATGGCTGTATAGTAGACCATAATTAACTATTCCTTACTGATAGACATTTAGATGGTTTCTAATTTTTTGACTTCAAAAGCATAGTTTTGCTATAGAAATACTTTCTAAGTAGAATGTTGTATCAAAGGGCAGGACCGTTTTTTAATATAATTGATACTGCTAAGTTGCACTCCAGAAAAAGATTTGAAGTCCCACAACAGCGTATGTATTTATGTCTGTTTCTCCATGCCTTTGCCAACACTGGACTCAGTAGAGTTCATTCTCAAGTTTACATTGCTTTTTTTATTTGTGATGTTGAGCTTACATCTCCTGTTTATTTATGTTTTTTGCCCGTATTTCCTTTTGAGTTACCTCTTCATATAAGGTAAATTATACCTTCTCCACCCAATAAATAGGTGCAGATCATTTTCTTGTTTAACTTAAAATCTTAAGTCCTGTTATTGGTTAGAAGCTGTAAGTTGCTTTTTTAATGGAGCCTTGCTCTGTCACCCAGACTGGAGTGCACTGGCATGATCTTAGCTGACTGCAGCCTCCTTATGGGCTCAAACGATCCTCCCACCTATGCCTCCCAAGTAGCTCTGGCTACAGACATACACCACCATACCTGGATTTTTATTTTATTTATTTATTTTTTTTGAGTCGGAGTCTGGCTCTGTCGCCCAGGCTGTAGTGCAGTGGCGCAATCTCTGCTCACTGCAACCTCCGTCTCCCAGATTCAAGCTATTCTCCTGATTCAGCCTCCCAAGTAGCTGGGATTACAGGCGCCCACCACCACACCCAGATAACTTAATTTTTTTTTTTTTTAAGAGATGGCATGTCACTATGTTGCTCAGGCTGATCTGGAACTCTGGCCTCAATCTTCCCACCTCAGACCTCCCATTCAATGATTTCATAAAGTATGTGTTCATCTATTGTTGTCTTCTGGGACTTTTATGTTTGGGCCATTAAAACTTTTGTCATTCTGGTATTTGGTATGGAATCAGAATCCAGCCTTTTTTTCCTAAATGATTGAGTTTTTGTTGTTATTTTGAGGCGGAGTCTTGCTTTGTCACCCAGGCTGGAGTGCAGTCACACAATCCCCGCTTACTGCAACCTCTGCCTCCTGGGCTCAAGCAGTCCTCCTGCCTCAGCGTCCTGAGTAGCTGGGATTGCAGGCATGCGCCACCATGCCCAGCTGATTTCCATTGTATTTTTTGTAGAGAGTAGGTCTCACCACGTTGCCCAGGCTGGTCTGAAAACTCCTGGGCTCTTGCAATTCACCCACTTTGGCTTCCCAAAGTTCTGGGCTTATAGGCATGAGCCACTATACTCAGCCAAAAAAATTTTTTTATTCAGTCAACCATTGATGGACACTTGGGTTGATTTCCGTATCTTTGGTATTGTGAATAATGCTACAGTGAACATACAAGTGCACGTGTCTTTTTTGTAGAACAATTTCTTTTCTTTTGGGTATATTCCCGGTAATGGGATTGCTGGGTTGAATGGTAGTTCTATTTTTAGTTCCTTTTTTTTTTTTTTTGAGATGGAGTGTCACTGTTGTTGCTGGAGTAAAGTGGCGCTATCTCAACTCACTGCACTCTCCGCCTCCCAGGTTCAAGCAGTTCTTCTGCCTCAGCTTCCCGAGTATCTGGGATTACAGTCATGCGCCACCATGCCCAGCTAATTTTGTATTTTTAGTAGAGATGGGGTTTCTCCATGTTGGTCAGGCTGGTCTCGAACTCCCAACCTCAGGTGATCCACCTGCGTCAGCCTCCCAAAGTGCTGGGATTACAGGCGTGACCACCATGCCTGGCCCTGTTTTTAGTTATTTGAGAAATCTCCACAGACTGCTTTTCACAGTTGTTGAACTAATTTGCATTCCCACCAGCAGTGTCTAAGTGTTCCCTTTTCTCTGCAGCCTCACCATGTTATTTTTCAACTTTTTAATAATAGCCATTCTGACTGGTGTGAGAGGCATCTATCTGTTTTGATTTGCATTTTTCTGATGATTGGTGATGTTGATCTTTTTTTTTTCACATTCGTTGTCTGCTTATATGTGTTTTGAGAAGTGTCTGTTCATGTCCTTTGCCCACTTTTTTTTTTTTTTTTTTTTTTTTTTTTTTTTTTTTGAGACAGTCTTGCTCTATCACCAGGCTGGAGTGCAGTGTGGCAATCTCGGCTCACTGCAACTTCCGCCTCTTGGGTTCAAGCGATTCTCCTGCCTCAGCCTCCCAAGTAGCTGGGACTACAGGTCTGTGCCACCACACCCAGCTAATTTTTGTGGTTGTAGTAGAGATGAGGTTTTACTATGTTGGCCAGGATGATCTCCATCTCCTGACATTGCGATCTGCTAGCCTTGGCCTCCCAGAGTGCTGGGATTACAGGCTTGAGCCACCGCGCCCGGGTTTTTTTGTTTTTTTGGGGTTTTGTTTTATTTTTTTAACAAACAGTCTCTCTCTGTCGTCCAGGCTGAGTGCAGTGGTGCGATCTCACTGCAGCCTCCGCCTCCTGGGTTCAAGTGATTCTCCTGCCTCAGCCTCCTGAGTAGCTGGGATTACAGGTACCCGCCACCACACCAGCTAATTTTTGTTGTTGTTGTTGTTGTTGTTGCTTTTTGAGACAGAATTTCACTCTTGTTACCCAGGCTGGAGTGCAATGGTGCAATCTCGGCTCACTGCAACCTCCACCTCCCAGGTTCAAGCAATTCTCCTGTCTCAGCCTCCCGAGTAGCTGGGATTACAGGCATGCACCACCACACCCGGCTAATTTTGTATTTTTTGTAGAGATGGGGTTTCACTACGTTGGCCAGGTTGGTCTCGAACTCCTGACCTCGTGATCCACCTGCCTCAGCCTCCCAAAGTGCTGGGATTATAGGCGTGAGCCACCATGCCCAGCCTAGTTTTGTTTTTTAAGGAAGTGATATCTCAGCCCAGGCGCAGTGGCTGGCGACTGTAATTCCAGCACTTGGGAGGCCGAGGCTTATGGATCACGAAGTCAGGAGTTCAAGACCAGCTTGGCCAACGTGGTGAAACCCCATCTCTACTAAAAATACAAAAATTAGCTGGGCGTGGTGGTGTGTGCCTGTAGTCCCAGCTACTTGGAAGGCTGATGCAGTAGAATCGCTTGAACCCAGGAGGCGGAGGTTGCAGTGAGCCGAGATCGTGCTACTACTGCACTCCAGCCTGGGTGACGAGCAAGACTCGTCTCAAAAAAACATAAAAATAAATAAAAATTAAAAAGTGATGTCTCTAGTCTTTAGTCCAAATTTATAATAAATTATTATATATTTTACTCAAGCTGGTAGATTCTTAGTTGTAAGGTTCATGGACTCAAAAAGTGGCTCAGTGGTAAAAATCACTATGGTGGTTACCTTGTTTGAGGACATAGTATTGACTGGGAAGACACAGTTCATACCTTCTGGTAAGATGGGAATGTTTTATATTTTGACCTGGTGCATACATATATAAAAATTCATCAAGCTACGACGATTTGTGCACCTTTACTATATCATGTTATACCTCACGTTTGTTTTAATAATATTTATATGGAGAGAAGCCAACAAAATAGGAAAGCAAGTTGATACTTCAGCCTTTCTTTTCTACTTCAGATTGGCCTTTTCGCATAACAGCTTCAACACCTATTTATTTATTTTGTATTATATTACTATATATGTATTTTTTCAGACAGGGTCTTACTCTGTTGCCCAGGCTGGAGTGCAGTGGTGTGATCACAGCTCACTGCAGCCGCAGCCTCCCAAGCAGCTAGGACTTATAGGCATGTGCCACCACAGTCAGCCCCTGAAATATTTTTTTTTTTTGAGACAGAGTCTCGCTTTATCGCCCAGGCTGGAGTGTAGTGGCATGATCTCCGCTTACTGCAAGCTCTGCCTCCCAGGTTCACGCCATTCTCCTGCCTCAGGCTCCCGAGTAGCTGGGACTACAGGCGCCTGCCACCATGCCCAGCTAATTTTCTGTATTTTTAGTAGTGACGGGGTTTCACGGTGTTAGCCAGGATGGTCTCAATCTCCTGACCTCGTGATCCGCCTGCCTCGGCCTCTCAAAGTGCTGCGATTACAGGCTTGAGCCACCACGCCTGGCCTTGAAATGTTTTTTAAATGCAATTTTCCATTTCTTTTTTTAACCTGTCAATTTTTTTTTTTTCTTTTTTGAGATGGAGTCTCGCTCTGTTGCCCAGGCTGGTATGCAGTGGCGCGATCTCGGCCCACTGCAAGCTCCGCCTCCTGGGTTCATGCCATTCTCCTGCCTCAGCCTCCCAAGTAGCTGGGACTACAGGCGCCCGCCACCACGCCCGGCTAATTTTTTTTGTATTTTTATTAGAGACGGGGTTTTACCGTGTTAGCCAGCATAGTCTTGATCTCCTGAACCCTGTCAAATTTAACAGTGAGGGATGTGTGCAACTTTGATAACACTGATGTTAATAAGTTCTGATAACCCAGTAACATTGGGCCGGCCCAATTTTCAATTTTGAATACGCTAAGTTCTTACTACTGTGGTTTTCTTTATGGTTTAGGAGGCCTACGTTTAATATCTACTCAATACTGAAATAACCAATGTTATGTAGTGGTTACCCCTTGCTCTGTGGGCTCTGTGCCAACTGTGGCTTCTCCTCCTTTGTTATTGGTGCCTCTTTTCTGGCAGCTATGCTTCTTTTTTTGTTTGTTTGTTTGTTTTTTGAGACAGAGTCTCACTCTGTCGCCCAGACTGGAGTGTAGTCGTGCAATCTTGGTTCAGTGCAACCTCTGCCTCCCGGGTTCAAGCAATTCTCTTGCCTCAGTCTCCTGAGCAGCTGGGACTACAGGCACGTGCCACCATGCCCAGCTAATTTTTGTATTTTTAGTAGAGATGAGGTTTCACCATATTGGCCATGCTGATCTCAAACTCCTGACCTTGTGATCCACCCGTCTCGGCCTCCCAAAGTGCTGGGATTACAGGTGTGAGCCACCGTGCCCAGCCACTTTTTTGGGGGTGGTGGTCATTGGCCTTTGCAGTTGTATATGTGCATATCTCAGAGATATGATGGGGGTTCAGTTCCCAATCACTGCAGTAAAGCAAATATATAAAGCAAACCACACAAATTTTTTGTATGTTTACACTATACTATAGTCTCCTAAACGTGCAATAGCATTATGTCTAAAAAACAATGTACATACCTTAATTTGAAAATACTTCATTGCTAAAAAAAATAATAATAATAATGCAGACACAGAGGCACCAACTGAACACATGTTGGGAAAATGCCACTAATAGACTTAGTGCAGGGTTGCTGTAACCTTCAATTGGGGAAAAAAACTTATGTGTGACGCACAATAAAACGAGCTATGCCTGTACTTAGACTGAAGTTTCTTGAGGTACGTACCATATATGCCTTGTTTTTTCATAGATTGTAGATGCTTGTGGGCTGGAGTTATGGAAAAAATTAGGGATTTTTTCTCCTTTAGAATCTATCTTGAATTTTTATTTTTAGGTTTTTAGCCTGTGTGAAACATTTTGCTTTTCAAAAGTTATTTTGAAGTTGAAAGTTATCTAATACGCCAGCCATACCACCCATGTATATCTTTGCTTTCTGAAAAGATGTTTGTCCTTCAAAGAATAACACTAGGCCCGGCCCAGTGGCTCTCTCCTGTAATCCCAGCACTTTGGGAGGCTGAAGCGGGTAGATTATCTGATGTCAGGAGTTCAAGACCAGTCTGGCCAACATGATGAAACCCCGTCTCTACTAAAAATGCAAAAATTAGCTGGGCGTCATGGCACATGGCTGCAGTCCCAGCTACTCAGGGGGCTGAGGCAGGAGAATCGCTTGAACCCAGGAGGCAGAGGTTGCAGTGAGCCGAGATCGTGCCATTACACTCCAGTCTGGGTGACAGAGCAAGACCCTGTCTTTAAAAAAAAAAAAAAAAAGCACTATATAGCAATGCAATTGACAGAATATTTTTATTTATTTTTAAGTTACTCTCACAACTTCTTTGCTTTGTGGATAAGGTATTTGATGCTCAGAGAAACTGAAGGCCTTCCCTGAATCACCAAACTAAGTAAGTGACAGAGCCACTTAGGGGCCTGGGTCTGACTCTTACTTTGGAACTTTTGCAACCGTACCATGCTGCCTTCTATTATTCTTTGATCATTAACTACCTTTATTTATATATTGCTTTGCCAAGATTTACATAATCACACATTATATTGTTATATATACTATAATGGTACTTGAGAGAACTCTCTAAGTGCACATAGTAGTCATGTGTGAATAAAAAATGTTTTCATCTAGTTGTTGCCTACCTGGTTTATTTCAACCAGGGACTTTTGTTGGCATGTGTAAGTGGGTGTAGCAAAATGGAACTGGCTGCTGTGGCTCTGTTTTTCCTCACTGAAATAAAAGAAACACTGTAAGGAGAAGATAAACGGCATGATGGTATTTCAGAACATTCATCCCAAGCTAGAGCTTCATACAAGCAATGCAAGAAGGGCACTTTAGTGTTTAGCACACTGTGTACTTAATATTCATTATAGTAGTAGCATTGGTTTTATTTATTCAGCATACTTATTTACACTTTGAAATTTGAAAACTTTATTTTTTTTTTTTTTGAGACGGAGTCTTGCTCTGTGACCCAGGCTGGAGTGCAGTGGCACGATCTCGGCTCACTGCAACCTCCGCCTCCCAGGTTCAAGCAATTCTGTCTCAGCCTCCCCAGTAGCTGGGGACTACAGGCGCCTGCCACGACGCCCAGCTAATTTTTGTATTTTTAGTAGAGACGGGGTTTTACCATATCGGTCAGGCTGGTCTCGAACTCCTGACCTCAGGTGATCTGCCCGCTTCAGCCTCCCAAAGTGCTGGGATTACAGGCGTGAGCCACTGCGCCTGGCTGAAAACTTTATTAAGATCTGTTTTTGAAGTATGTGGGCGAAGGATTACCCAGGTGCCGAGGCAAGAGACTGAAGGCACAAACTGTTTCAGTATAATAAAGAAAATAGTTAGAATAAGAATAGTTAAAATACAAAGTAGATATAGAGATGATCATGGACATTATCAATCATTAGTATAAACATTATTAATCATCAACTTTTAATATTACTCTTTGTTGTATTACTAATATAACCAAGGAATAACCGGCAGGTATAGGATGAGGTGCTGAAGGGACATTGTGAGAAGTGACCTAGAAGGCAAGAGGTGAGCCCTCTGTCACGCCCGCATAAGGGCCACTTGAGGGCTCCTTGGCAAGCGGTAACACCATTGCCTGGGAAGGTACCCATTACTTAGCAGACTGTGAAAGGGAGCCTCCCTTCCCTTGGAGTCAGGGAACACTCTGCTCCACCAACCAGCTTCTTGTGGGAGATTGGATATTATCCAGGCCTGCCCACAGTCATCCGGAGGCCTAAACCCCTCCTTGTGGTGCTGTGCTTCAGTGGTCATGCTCCTTGTCCACTTTCATGTTCCTCCCGTACTCCTGATTCCTCTTTGAAGTTGCTAGAGGATAGCAGTAGAAAAAATAGTGAAAGTCTTAAAGTCTTTGATCCTTCTGATAAGTGCATAGAAGAAAACGCTGACGTATGCTGCCTTACCTCTCTGCTTCAGCTGCCTGAAAGGGAAGGGCCCCTGTCCCATGATCATGTGACTTGCTTGACCTTATCAATCACTTGGACGACTCATCCTCCTTACCTCGCCCCCTTGTCTTGTATGCAATAAATATCAGCGCACCCAGCCATTTGGGGCCACTGCCGGTCTCTGCGTCTTGGTGGTAGTGGTCCCCCAGGCTCAGGTGTTTTCTCTTTATCTCTTTTGTCTTGTGTCTTTATTTCTTATGATCTCTCATCTCCGCACACGGGGAGAACACCCGCTAAGCCCCGTAGGGCTGGACCCTACATCAGTAGAATTCTAGTTTTCCTTAATTTCAGATAGTAATATAATACAGCCATCCCTCAGAATCCGTGGGGAATTGTTTCCAAGACCTCCTTTGGATACCAAAATTCACAGATGCTGAAGTCTCTGATACAGCATGGCATAATGTTTACACATAACCTATGCAGATCTTCTCATATACTTTAAAATGTCTCTAGATTACCTATAATACCTAATATAATGTAAATGTTATATAAATAGACTATATTGTTCGGGGATAATGATGAGGGGGAAATCTGTACATGTTCAATACATATGCAATGTTTTTCTGAATATTTTCAATTAATGGCTAGTTGAATTCATGGATAAAGAACCCACTGATATGGAGAGCTGACTGTATTTCTTATTAGTTATTTAACTACCTGGAGTCACGGGGGTAGGAAAGCACTTTATAGTGCTAGCAAATGTATAGATTACATCTAGTATTATGCCAGTTTGTTGCTAAGGAAAAAAAATCCTTTCCTGTGTTCTTATACTCTGGGTAACCTCTAGAGTAGCTCTTGTTTTGTCCTCATTTGCAATTAATTTATTCACAGAATTTGGAGGTTTTGGTTCAGTTAGTGGAAAAATTGAAATAGAAATCAAGATCAACCATGAAGGAGAAGTAAACAGGGCCCGTTATATGCCCCAGAACCCTTGTATCATCGCAACAAAGACTCCTTCCAGTGATGTTCTTGTTTTTGACTATACAAAACATCCTTCTAAACCAGGTATGTGCCCTTTTCTATTCAAATACAAATGAGTCACTATAGAAATACATGGTTCCACTCACTGTGAGTTTAATTGCATGTTACTCTGTGTAATTTAACATCTTGTGATTTGTATTGATATGTGTATATTTTTCTTCATTTTGCCTCCATGAAAAAATAATGCTTTTTTACATAGAACAAAATACTGGTGCTGTTTAAGCATTATCTATTTGATCATAACGGTTCCTATATCATTTATAAATGTTAAGAGCTTTAGACATCTTGACCAAAATTCCATTATGCTCAGTAGGCCCAGAGAGCCAGTGGACTGGGTAGTCTTGATGTGTCTGTCACTTTGCAGATCCTTCTGGAGAGTGCAACCCAGACTTGCGTCTCCGTGGACATCAGAAGGAAGGCTATGGGCTTTCTTGGAACCCAAATCTCAGTGGGCACTTACTTAGTGCTTCAGATGACCATGTGTGTATCCTTCCCATTTTGAAGCAAATCTGGGCTAGTTACCAGTTGGTTTCTTTTTTGGGGTGTGTGGGGAGGTGAGAATCTTCCTTTTATATAATGGTTAATTTTACATTTAAGACCATCTGCCTGTGGGACATCAGTGCCGTTCCAAAGGAGGGAAAAGTGGTAGATGCGAAGACCATCTTTACAGGGCATACGGCAGTAGTAGAAGATGTTTCCTGGCATCTACTCCATGAGTCTCTGTTTGGGTCAGTTGCTGATGATCAGAAACTTATGATGTGAGTAGAATCCATTCAGAGTTTCTAAATATCTTGTCTAAGTTTTATGTTTAGTCACCATTTCAAGGTTTTTTTCCTTTGTTTTTTTTTCACTGAAGTTGGGATACTCGTTCAAACAATACTTCCAAACCAAGCCACTCAGTTGATGCTCACACTGCTGAAGTGAACTGCCTTTCTTTCAATCCTTATAGTGAGTTCATTCTTGCCACAGGATCAGCTGACAAGGTCAGTTTCGTTTATTTTAATAGAAAACATAATTTCTCTAGGTTTTTTTGAATTGCAGAGATATTTTACTTACAGTATTTTTTTTTTCTTAAAAAATTGATTACTCTTGCTTTTCTTTTTGTACATAGACTGTTGCCTTGTGGGATCTGAGAAATCTGAAACTTAAGTTGCATTCCTTTGAGTCACATAAGGATGAAATATTCCAGGTAAGAGAAACTAATGCTACTATTTTGTTTGTTTTAAGAAAAACCTGCTGGGCGCGGTCGCTCACGCCTGTAATCCCAGCACTTTGGGAGGCTGAAGCGGGCGGATCACAAGGTCAGGAGATCGAGACCATCCTGGCTAACACGGTGAAACCCTGTCTCTACTAAAAATATAAAAAATTAGCCGGGCATGGTGGCGGATGCCCGTAGTCCCAGCTACTCGGGAGGCTGAGGCAGGAGAATGGCATGAAACCCGGGAGGCAGAGGTTGCAGTGAGCCGAGATTGTGCCACTGCACTCTAGCCTGGGCGACAGAACGAGAGTCCGTCTCAAAAAAAAAGAAAAAAGAAAAACCTGGATGTATGAGTGGGCACACATGTGCTTTATGCCGTTGCTAAAAATAGAAATCTATATGCCTATGCTACTTTCTGTGGGAATTGTTTTTTCTTTGTTATTTCTATACTTTCTCAAACTGGTTATTGACCACTTACATTCTTCAGATATTAAGAAAACTAGGCCAGGTATGGTAGCTTATGCCTGTAATCCCAGCACTTTAGGAGGCTGAGATGGGTGGATTGCTTGAGGCCAGGAGTTTGAGACCAGCCTGGCCAACCCTGTCTATTTTTTAATAAAAATTTACAAAGAAAGGAAAACTAGTGCCTGATTATTTTTTCAGCCTTGTTTCTGACACTTAGTGATCTCTTCCCTTCTTCCAATATATTCTTCATCCTTCATTACTTGCCACATGTGTTGATTTCTCAACCCAAGCCTCAACCTCTGGCTCCATATTTTCTACCTCATCAGTTTAAACCCATTTATGCCTAGTGTTCCATTATTGGAACGCTAAGCATGTGGGAGTTTATATCCTGCTCAAGGTTATCGCCCAGGTCTGATTGCAAAAATTAAAAAAAGAAATAATCACTGCACTATGTTCAAAGCTTGTTGCTACGGCACTATGAAAGATTACGTTATGTAGCCTTTGCTATCAAGGAGCCCCCAATTTTTTTATTTTTTTTTAATTAATTTTTTTGAGACGGCATTTTGCTCTTGTTGGCCAGGCTGGAGTGCAATGGTGCAATCTCGGCTCACTGCAACCTCCACTTCCCAGGCTAAAGGGATTCTCCTGCCTCAGCCTCCCAAAGTGCTGGGATTACAGGCGTAAGCCACCACGCCCAGCCGAGCCCAAAATTTTATAGTGAGGGAGGGCTTGTTTAGAAATTACTATAATAAAAGATTTTGTCAAGTGTTATGAACCTGAGGGTGGTAAAGATTAATTCTGGTGTGTGAAGGTGGCGTCTGAACTGGGCTTTAGGTGAGCCATACTCCTACATACTTAGTCTCTTATTTTCTACTTTTCAGCCCACCTTGGTGAACATTTTATCCTTACCCTATCTCTTTGCTTTGCTTGTGACGGTATTCTTGCCTGGACAGAATCCAAATTCTTCCTTAATTGCTGGTCACTAATGCCCTCTTTTTCTGTACCTTAAGGCTAGGTAGCACTTTTACCATATTTGGTAGCAAACTCTGATTGTTGGATATATAGTAGTAAATTTTTTGTCTGACTCTTTAATAAAATTATTGCATGGAGTCATTTTTAATCAGACTTATATGTAATACAGAACTCATAGTAAATACTTGGGGACATAGTTATTGTATATGTCATCTGTACTTTAGTTCTTAGGTCAGAATTGGATTGCATTTGGGTAGAGGCCAGAATTAGCAAATAAGAATAGACAAGATGTAGGCCGGGCACGATGGCCCATGCCTGTAATCTCAGCGCTTTGGGAGGCCGAGGCGGGTGGATCATGAGGTCAGGAGTTTGAGACCACCCTGACCAACATGGTGAAACCTCGTCTCTAATAAAAATACAAAAATTAGCCAGGCATGGTGGTGCACGCCTGTAATCCCAGCTACTTAAGAGGCTGAGGCAGGAGAATCGCTTGAACATGGGAGGAGGAGATTGCAGTGAACTGAGATCACCCCACAAGAACAGACAAGATGTGATGTTTCCAAAGATAAAATGATGCTGGGCACATGGCACACACCTCCAGCTACGCAGGAGGTTGAGGCAGCGAGATCCCTTGAGCCCAAGAGTTCAAGTCCAGCCTAGAAGCAATATAGCGAGGCCTCATCTCTTTTTTTTTTTGATACCAGCCTAACCCCATCTCTACACAAATACAAAAATTAGCTGGCCGTGGTGGCGGACACCTGTAATCCCAGCTACCTGGGAGGCTAAGGTGGGAGAGTCGCTTGAACCTGGGAGGTGGAGGTTTCAGTGAGCTGAGATCCTGCCATTGTACTCCAGCCTGGGTGACAGAGCAAGACTTCCGTCTCAAGAAAAAGTGTGCCAAAGGGGTGCTGTGGGAATGGAACAAAAGCTTATATCCTGGGTCTAGAAATGTCTAGTAATGGGTTGTTTTTGTAAACATTTTTTTTTTGTTTTTCTTTTTGTTTGTTTTTGAGAGAGTCTGTCACCCAGGCTGGAGTGCAGTGGCACGATCTCAGCTCCAACCTCTGCTTCCTGGGTTCAAGCAATCCTCCTGCCTCAGCCTCCCGAGTAGCTGGGATTACAGGCGCCTGCCACCACACCCAGCTAATTTTTGTATTTTTAGTAGAGACAGTGTTTCACCATGTTGGTTAGGCTGATCTTGAACTCCTGACCTCATGTGATCCACCCGCCTCCCAAAGTGCTGGGATTACAGGTGTGAGCCAACCGCGCCTGCCCATAAAATAAATTCTTTAGCTCTTAATTTTAACTGTAACGTGTATAATACCTTGACTTCCTCTTCCCTTTTATTTACAAAATTTTTAAATTGTTAAATATTTTGTGAATTTTTTCCCTTTATTTTCTAATTCATGGCTTTGCTCTTTTCTTCATTCCTATGTGTAGGTTCAGTGGTCACCTCACAATGAGACTATTTTAGCTTCCAGTGGTACTGATCGCAGACTGAATGTCTGGGATTTAAGGTAATTCTTGTATTCATTCCTCTCTCTACATAATTATTTCCTTTATTTACACTTTGCAAAGGTAGTTACTAAGGGTAAATCTGTTTTAACTTTTAAAATTATGCTTTTGTACTAGTAAAATTGGAGAGGAACAATCCCCAGAAGATGCAGAAGACGGGCCACCAGAGTTGTTGGTATGTTAAAAGCATTGGACAGTACTGAAATAGTCTGTAATTTAATGTCCTCTATCTGCATTTCACCTCTTTGTTTTCTTCCCTCTTTCAGTTTATTCATGGTGGTCATACTGCCAAGATATCTGATTTCTCCTGGAATCCCAATGAACCTTGGGTGATTTGTTCTGTATCAGAAGACAATATCATGCAAGTGTGGCAAATGGTAAGGGTTTAGTAATTTATTTTGGGGAGGTGAAATAAGTGAGACATAGAATCAATTTACATTTGTATATTTTATGATTACAGCTACCATCTCTGTTCATTTTACTCCCAGGTGTGATTTTAAGACTTGTCTATACATTATCATTTTCAGCTGCCTGCTCTTGACTGTATTTGGTCATACCACTGGTATTTTAAACTCTGCTAAACAAAACTGACCCTCTCTCCCACTTCTCCTTTTCCCTCTCCTCCTTCTTTCTTTCTTTTTGTATGACTCCAACATTTTCCTAGCTAACCAGACTTGAAAACTCAAGAATTTTCCATGTCTGTTTACTTCTAGTTCTAGTTCACTTCCAGATTTCATACCATCTATCTGCGGTGTTTCTCCCATCTTATCATCTTACAAGTACAAATTTACATACCCAAAGGAGGTATATCATATCACAGCATCAAATACTACTATTTCTCCATGAAAGCTGTCTAGATTTCAAAAATGTTCCCTATCTCTATCTCAAAGAATGTGAACACCCTCCTTAAATTTTCTCTTTTTTTTTTTTTGAGATGGTCTCTCACTTTTTCACCCAGGCTGGAGTGCAATGGTGCAATCTCGGCTCACTGCAACTTCCACCTCCCAGGTTCGATCGATTCTCCTGCCTCAGCCTTCTGAGTAGCTGGGACTATAGGTGCGTACCACCATGCCTGGCTAATTTTTTTGTATTTTCAGTAGAGACGGTTTCACTATGTTGGCCAGGCTGGTCTCAAACTCCTGACCTTGTGATCCGCCCACCTCGACCTCCCGGAGTGCTGGGATTGCAGGCATGAGCCACCGCGCCTGGCCTCTTAAATTTTCAAAGCACTTCAATTTAATAAAAATAACTGTGGTGTCTCATACATTAATATTTTTAAAATAGTTATATTCGGCCGAGCACGTTGGCTCACGCCTGTAATCCCAGTACTCTGGGAGGCCGAGGCGGGTGGATCACGAGGTCAGGAGATCGAGACCATCCTGGCTAACACAGTGAAACCCCATCTGTACTAAAAATACAAAAAAAAATTAGCCGGGCGTGGTGGCGGGCGCCTGTAGTCCCAGCTCCTCAGGAGGCTGAGGCAGGAAAATGGCGTGAACACGGGAGGCGGAGCTTGCATTGAGCCAAGATTGCGTCACTGCACTCTGGCCTGGGCGACAGAGCGAGACTCCGTCTCAATTAAAATATATATATGTATATATTCCGGAGATAGGTGGTGGTTATGGTTAATGCAGTGTGAGTGTACTTAATGCCACTGAACTGTACACTTAAAATGGCTAAGCTGATAAATTTTATGTTGTATGGAGTTTGCGACAATTTGGAGGTGGAAGACAGTTTCTTGCTCTGTTGTTCAGGCTACAGTGCAGTGGTGCGATTACAGCTCACTGCAGCCTCCAATTCCCGGGCTCAAGACATCCTCCTACCTCAGCCTCCCTAGTAACTGGGACCACAGGTGTGCATCACCAGCCCTGGTTAATTTTTAAAATTTTTTGTAGAGATGGGGTTTGCCATGTTGGCCAGTCTGGTCTTGAACTTGTGAGCTCAAGCGATTTGCCCACCTCCCAGAGTGCTGGGAGTACATGTGTGAGGCTGCCCACCCGCCCCCCACTTTTTTTTGTTTTTAAAGAAGTGCGTAACTTGGTGGTTGTCTGGTAAAGGAAAAGAATTCAGAAGAAACTTGGTGTCTCTCAGAGTAGATCTAGTACCAGGAATTAAGTTCCAGGGAATAGTTTTTGACTCATCATGAGGAGAGGGAGGATGTTTTCATCAGTACTTTCTTACTTTTTATTTCTTTATTTTTTTTTTAATTTTTTTTTTTTCTGAGACAGAGTCTCACTGCCTCACCCAGGCTGGAGTTCAGTAGAGCAATCTCAGCTCACTGCAACCTCTGCCTCCCAGGTTCAAGCAATTCTCCTGCCTCAGCCTGCTGATTAGCTAGGATTACAGGCATGCACCACCATGCCCGGCTAGTTTTTTTGTTGTTGTTTTTTATTTAGTAGAGACGGGGTTTCACCATGTTGGTCAGGGTGGTCTCGATCTCCTGACCTCATGATCCGCCCTCTTTGGCCTCCCAAAGTACTGGAATTACAGACGTGAGCCACCGTGCCCGGCATTTTTATTTTTGAGACGGAGTTTTGTTCTTATTTTCCAGCCTGGAGTGCAATGGTGCGATCTTGGCTCTCTGCAACCTCCGCCTCCTGGGTTCAAGCGATTCTCCTGCCTCAGCCTCCCGAGTAGCTGAGATTACAGGCATGCGCCACCACGCCTGGCTAAATTTTTGTAATTTTTTTTAGTAGAGACTGGGTTTCTCCATGTTGGTCAGGCTGGCCTCGAACTCCTGACCTCAGGTGATCTGCCTGCCTCGGCCTCCCAAAGTGCTGGAATTACAGGCGTGAGCCACCGCGCCTGGCGTAATAGCACTATTAATTGAAGACAGAAATAAAATAAGTTTGTGACCTGCCAGACTAACAGATTGTACTACATCCATACTTTTTTTTTCTTTTACCTCCAAATACCATCACAACATTCATACTTTGTAACATTACTTATCAAAAAGAAGGATGGGCCAGGTGCGGTGGCTCACGCCTGTACTCCCAGCACTTTGGGAGGCCGAGGCGGGTGGATCACAAGATCAGGAGATTGAGACCATCCTGGCTAACATGGTGAAACCCCGACTCTACTAAAAATACAAAAAATTAGCCGGGCGTGGTGGCGGGCGCCTGTAGTCCCAGCTACTCGGGAGGCTGAGGCAGGAGAATGGCGTGAACCCGGGAGGCAGGACTTGCAGTGAGCCGAGATCGTGCCACTGCACTCTAGCCTGGGTGACAGGGCGAGACTCTGTCTCAAAAAAAATAATAAAAATAAATTTAAAAAGTATGATTAGGGGCTGTGCTCAGTGGCTCACACCTGTAATCCAAATACTTTGGGAGGCCAAAGCCGGAGGATCACTTGAGCCCAGAAGTTCTAGACTAGCCTGGGCAATAAAGTGAGACCGTGTCTCTACCAAAAAAAAATTAGCCAGGCTTGGTGGTACGTGCCTGTGATCCCAGCTACTTGGGAGGCCGAGGCAGGAGGATACCTTGAATCCAGCGGGTAGAGGCTGCTGTGAGACATGGTGGCATGTGCCTTTAGTCCCTGCTCTTTGGGAGGCCGTGACAGAAGGATCCCTTGAGGCCAGGAGTTTGAGGCTACAGTGGGCTGTGATCACACCACTGCACTCCAGCCTAGATGACATAGCGAGACCCTGTCTCTAAAGGAAGAAAAGAAAGAAGTACGGTTAGGGTTATAAGATATTCATGACATGCTGTTAAAGGGGAAGCGCAGACTGAAGAATAGCATAATGGTATTCCTCATATTAAAATTTTGTGTATCTAGTCTATATTTAGAAAGCTGATTACTGGCCAGGTGTGGTGGCTCACGCCTGTAATTCCAACACTTTGGGAGGCCGAGGTGGGCAGATCACCTGAGGTCAGTAGTTTGAGACCAGCCTGGTCAACATAGTGAAACCCCATCTCTACTAAAAAATAAATACAAAAATTAGCCAGGCATGGTGACGGGCGCCTGTAATCCCAGCTACTTGGGAGGCTGAGGCAGGAGACTTGTTTGAACCCAGGAGGCGGAGGAGTTGCGGTGAGCCAAGATCGCACCATTGCACTCGAACATGGGCAACAAGAGCAAAACTCCATCTCAAAAAAAAAAAAAAAAGAAAAAGAAAAGCTGTTTGCTAAAATGTGCTTGGTACCTAGTTCTTGGTTTCTTTAGACCTTTCTGTATTATAATTTTTTTACAAAAAAGATGTGTAACTTGAAAACAGAAAATTCACCTCACTCTCTTTGTAATAAATCCCTTCAATATTAATACAGAAACTTAATAGCTGGGCGTGATGGCACGTACCTGTAGTCCCAGTTCCTTGGGAGGCTGAAGTGGGAGGCTAGCGTGATCCCAGGAGGCAGAGGTTGCAGTGAGCTAAGATGGCGCCACTGCACTCCAGCCTGGGTGACAGAGCGAGACCCTGTCTCAAAAAAAAAATACTGAAGAATTCAAGGTTAAACTAGATCCCTGCAAGGCCATCACCTCCATTCCAAGTTGTTACTTTATTTGGTGTTTTTAGCATTGTAATAGAGTAAGTAAATATTTGGTCTTTGTCCCAGTTCTTGGCACAGAGCTCTCCAAAAACACTCGGAGTTTGCAGAGTGCTAGGAGTGTCTTTGTCGTTCCTAGTGATCCACTTTGGACCACACCTGAGTTTGTTCTACTGTGAGGTGATTTTGGTGGGGCCCCTAGATAGCCTCATAGTTGGTTTAGTCAGAAAGGCCAATCACTTGATTTGAGGGTTAAAACTTGTCGGCCCACTTGCCAACCTTGGGGTTGCAGGGCCAGAGATTGAACTCTATAAAAACTCCTAATTTGATGTGCTTCTGGATTGGTGAACAACTCGACATACTGGGTGGGTAGCATGCCCAGAGACTTGATGGAAACTCTGCAGCCCCTCCCCACCTTGCCGTATGCATCTCTTCCATGTGGTTCCTCAGTTGTATCCTTTATTTAAAAAAAAAAACAAAACAAAAAACAAACAAAAAACAGTAATAGTAAAAAGCTTTCTTGGGTTCTGTGAGTCATTCCATCAAATTATCAGACCTGAGGAGGCAGTAGTGGGAACCCTGAAATTTGTAGTCAAGTGGGATAGAAGTGTGCAGGTAGCCTGGGACCAGGGAATTGCAACTGGCTTCTGAAGTAAGGACAGTCTTCTCCAAAGCTAACTTCAGATAGTGTCAGAATAGGATTGAGTTGTACACCCAGTTGGTGTCCTAAGAAAGGGTACCCCACATTTGGTGTTAGAAGTAACGTCAGAAAGCATCACACAATTGTATGTATTCTTTTCTCTGGGGTCAGATCACAAGCTCTTTGAAGGTAAGACTATCCTGTCCTCTGCAGTACCTATCATAGTGATATGTGCATGGTAGGTGCTAAGAGCAGTAAATTTTGCTCCTGTGAAAGTGGTTCCTGTATTTTAAGATTATGCCGTTGGATACAGGTATTCTGTCAAGCAGTAGAAGTAGAGTTTATTCTATACAAGAACAGTTTTTCTCTTCAATATATAGAGATTCGGAACATATTGTTTTGGAAGTTTTAAGTGTGCAGTTCAGCAGTCTTCAGTGTATTTACAGTTGTGCAACCATCAACCACAGTCAATTTGAGAACATTTTCATCATCTGAAAAAGAAACCCTGTACCCATTAGCCATCATTTCCTATTTTTCTCATAGTCCCCCAGCCCTAGGCAGCCACCAAGCTATGGATTTGCCTGTTTTGGACCCCTGTTTTTTTTAGACGAAGTCTTGCCCCCCAGGCTGGAGTGCAGTGGTGTGATCTTGGCTCACTGCAACCTCCGCCTCCTGGGTTCAAGCGATTCTCCTGCCTTAGCCTCCCAAATAGCTGGGATTACAGGCGCCTGTCACCACGCCTGGCTAATTTTTATATTTTTAGTAGAGACAGCGTTTCACCATGTTGGCCAGGCTGGTCTCGAACTCCTGACCTCAGGTGATACGCCTGCCTTGGCCTCCCAAAATGCTGGGATTACAGGCGTGTGCCACCACACCTGGCCTGGACACCTTATATAAATAAAATCCTAAAGTATGTGACAGCTTTTTTTTTTTTTTTTTTTTTTTTTTTTTTTTTTTTTTTTGGCACACAGTCTTGCTTTGCCACCCAGGCTGGAGTGCAGTGGTGCAATCTTGGCTCACTACAACCACCACCTCCCAGGTTCAATCAATTCTTATGCCTCAGCCTCCCAAGTAGCTGGGACCACAGGGGTGCACCCCCACACATGGCTGATTTTTGTATTTGTAGTAGAGATGCAGTTTCGCCTTGTTGGTCAGGCTAGTCTCAAACTCATGACCTCAAGTGATCTGTC